>NC_000013.11:103127979-103752979 GCF_000001405.40 Homo sapiens
GAGGTTATGTAACTTGCTTAATGTAAACTAATCGTTAATAAATGAAGTACTAGGATTCAAACTCAAGTTGGTCTGACTCCAAATCAAGAATAATTCCACTACCTTATCGTATCTCTTGCGTTTTTAATAGTCTCTATTTAATAGTCTCTATTAAGAGTTTGTAAGTCTCCACCCAACCCTACTTTCGCAGTAACACAAATGAAAAGCAATTGAAATATATTGGACTAAAAAGATTCCGGAATACACATTACTGTTACTTTCTGTGAGGGGTAGATGTTCAAGTCTAAGGTGGGGTGGTTGTGTTTGCTACATAAATCTGGAAGGTCTTTCACCCCTTTTCCAAGGTTGTAGAGTATGGTTTTCCATTGCAGTGGGGACGTGATGAGATTAAACTATTATCAGGTGAAACCACATGCAGTTCCAATTTCCAAATATTTCTGCTTTCAAATGACTTCTCTGGAGGGAAAGGGGCTATAAATCCCCTAAACAAATAATAATAAATGTTCTGGTTGGTGTCTGTATCACAGAAATATTACTTTGGCATGCTGGCACTTAGCAAATGAGAAATGTCAAAACAAATAAACTGCTTAATCCATATTGGATCATGACAAATTGATTTGGAAATCCTGTTTTCTCCTATCAGGGGCTGCTCCTGCAATGGATTGTTTCACATTTTTTATACCGGCTTGAGGCCTTTGACTCATGTTATTGAGAATGGAAAGGCAATTTAGCAGTTCTGTAAGGTGTATGACAAAATGCTTTAAAAAAAGTTTTTATCATCCTTTTCCTGAATTGATATTTTATGTCACCTTTGTACAGTCATGATTACATCAACTTTTTATGCTCAGAAAAATGCTCAATTTAAGTATCTATAACTATTTCCATCACCTTCTATTTTTTATTATTTCATTCTGAGTGTCTATAAAAAATAGCTGCTATAAAATTATGCAGAATCATAATGACTTTGGTAGCTATCGTCAATCAATTGCTGCTGAAGAGATTCTTGACAAATTATTATATTTAAGAGAAACGTGTAGAAAGCTGATTGCTGCCCTATCAAATTAAGACTTGTTAATTTTATGGCCATAATTGTAGTTATTTTCTTACATTATTTTTAATAATTTATTTCTTATAAACTTAATAGATAACACATAAAACATAATTCTTTTGTGCCATTAACTCTTTGCCTAAAACTTCCAACACTCTCAAGTAGTGTGATGATTGACTTTGATTGTCAACTTGATTGGATTAAGGGATACCCAGATAGCTGGTAAAATATTAATTGTTAATATATATATTAATTATTCTCGGTGCTATAGTAAGCACTAAGCCTGTCCCTCTTCTGCTGAAAGAGAAACCCCAGGTGGTTTGTCAATTGGTTAGAATAATTGGGTTGCTCCAAATGTGTCTGTGAAGGTGTTTCTGGAGGGTACTGGCATTTGAGTTGGTGAGTGAGTGAGAAGCCCGGCCCTCAGTGTGGGCAGGCACCATCCAACTGAAATATATTGGACTAAAAGGCTAGAGTCCCGATGGCACAAAAGGGTGGGAGAAGGGTGAATTCTTTCTCTCACTTCAAGAGACGGGAAACCCTTCTTCTCCTGTCCTTCAATGTAGGAACCCCAGGCTCTCTGCCTTCAGACTTCGGGATCTGCATCAGTGGCCCCCTGGGCTCTTGGACTGAGAGTTACGCCATATGCTTCCTTGGTTCTGAGGCCCTCAGACTTGCAGTGAGCCACACCATTTTCCCTGGTTCTCCAGCTTGCAGATGGTGTATCGGGGGACTTAGTCTCCATAATCTAGTGAGCCAATTCTCCTAATAAAGATCTTCTTATATCTCTCTCTATATATGCTATTAATAACGTCTCTGAGGAGAACTCTGACTAAAGAGGTAGATACTATTACTCTGCACATATTAGAGAGGAGGGAAGTGAGGTGCAGGTTCAATAACTTGCTGAAGGTCAGTCATAGATGCTAAGTGACAGCACCTGGGCATGAACTTTGCAGCCTGGTGAGAGTCCATGCTGTATTTCCTTAATAAATGAGTGAAGAAAACATCATGTTCTTTCTTCTCAGTGCAAATAAATTTTAGAAAATTATAGTCATTTTTACTTTACTTGCCACTTTAAAATACGCTCACTGCATTACAATACCTGGAATGCATATTTCTGAGGCATATATTGTTATTTCTCAGCAGTATTTTCACTTCAAGGGCCCACATGGGGAGTGGCTACATCAAAATCACATGACTCCTAGTAGGTGGTGGCAATCAGGAGGACTGAAAATTAAGACTAAGGAGTTCAGTTCCAAATTCATTCCTCCTTCTCATTCCCAGATAATCAGTTGTGAAATACCAGCAATAACTTATTACACTTTAACTTCATTTCAGCTCAACTTAGTCTGCTGAGTTTCTAAAGATGGCAGCAATCCTGGGTGGGTACCTATAGCGAATCACTCACACCAACACCATTTGAGAAGACAGGACCAGCGCGGGCAGTGTGAAGGCTAGTAAGAACAGTAGTCTGTGCCGGAGATTGTAAACTGGTGACTTCGGGCCAAGCATGGTGACTTCAGGCATATAGCTGTGTTTAGTTAAGCCAGCTGAGTGTTTCACTTTTTAAAAATTAGCTGCCAATGTTTAAAAATTCACACACATTCAGATTTCCTTCTTCTTAGGAAACATCAGACGATCTGGCAATCTTGGGTTCTCACTGCTAATGCCAACAATGGATTGGACCTGAAGGCAGCTGCCCTGTTGAGATGTGTCATTCATTCTTCAAGTCTGACTAGCCCTGACCACGCACCATTTTCTTGCAGCTCCCTGAATTGGCTTATTTTGTGTATTAACGGAACAATGATTAGCAGTCAAGTTTGTGATTCCTGCCTATGCAAAATTTTCTGTTCTTTAATCTTGTGAAAAAGAAATCTCTGTCACATGATTAATCAATTCCAGTGTTGCATGATTAGATTTCAGACTGAAAGCTGTGTAAGAAAGGGAAAAGAACTTGGACTTTGGAGTCAGGAAACTCTAGGTTCAAATTTAGACCCTGTAAATTATTCACGTATAACCACTGAAAAGTTTCTTTCTCTCTTTGACCATTGTTTTCTTCCTGTGTAAAGTATAAAAAAAGACCATGTGGCAGAGAACTATGAGTACATATCTGGCATCCAACAGATGCCAGGTTTCTTCAACCTTTGCTATGACAAGTGTCACTAAAGAATCTGGAAAAAGACTTTGACTTTATTCTCAACAATTTCGGTCTGATAAGGGGGACAGACTAGTGTCCCATTATCTACGATGTTAACTTTGATCACCTGCTTATTGTGGATTTTTGCCAGGTTTCGCCACTGTAAAGTTACTATTTCCCTTTTTGTGATTAGTAAATAATTTGTTGGGAGCTATTTAGAGACATTGCAAATACCTTATTCTTCTTCAACCTTTACCCAATAGTTTAAAGATTCATAAATGGTTTTTGCCTGAATAAATTATTATGATAGTGGCCAAAAAATACCTGACCCTGGTTTTGGAAGTCAGGGAGCATAATCAGTATTTTCCAAGAAAGAGCCTGGGAAGGCCTCCCCCCGCCACCCCCATCCCCCGGACTGCAGGACATCATTGTTGGTATCCCTGCAATGAAAGAAATCCATTCTGCTATTCATCTTACTTTAATGCCTTGGGACTGAGTCAGGGAAGGTGTCTTGTCCTCTACGTATGATGGGGTAGACAGGAAGACATGGGGTCTTTCATTTCTGTGGTTGGACATGGTGAACTGACTTTCGTGGAGAATACACATAGTCAGAAACTGCAAAAATGCAAGATGCATGTTGCACTGGCATACCTGCGTTACTCCTTTAGAAACAATGAGTGCCCCATTCATCTCTGATCACAACCATTCATCTCTGATCAGAACTTCCATCCATCACCCTCCCTCTCCCTCACATTGCCTTGGCCAAACTGGCCTCCTCACTGTTTCTCAAACAGGTTGTGCACATTTCTGCCTCAGGGCCTTTGCACTGGCTGTTTTAGCTGATGGGAATCCTTTTCTCTACATATCCACATGGCTCTTCCCTTACTTCCTTACAATCTTTCCTCATTTGAGAAAGGCCTACTTTGACTACTCATTTAAAATTGCAGCACTCTCTCTCTAGGATTCCTTTTATCCTGAATAATTTTTTTTTCGGCTGCTCTATAGATAGAGCTGGGCTATCCCATAGGCAGAGCAGCCTGGTTTTCTTCTATCATTGTAGAAAGCTATGTAAGTTACTTTCTATATTGTCTTGATTATTCCTAATCAGTCCCCACTAGAATGTTAGTTTCACAAAGGCTAAATTTTTGTTGTTGTTCAGTTTTGTCTAAGAGCTGGAACAGTGTTTTGTTGGGTAAATATTGTTGGATGAATGAATGAATGAATGGTAGTTTCTGCTTAAAGTTCAATGATGGGGCAGACTTCCAGTTGGTTATGAAATAGAAGAAGAAAAATTAAATGATCTAGGAGAGTGGGACTATTCTCTGGCAAGGTTGCCCATGAAGACATTTGGTCTGGGCACCTGAGCCCTGTGCACCTGCCTTTTTTTTTTTTTTTTGAGATGGACCCTCACTCTGTCACCAGGCTGGAGTGCAGTGGCCTGATCTCGGCTCACTGCAAACTCCACCTCCCAGGTTCAAGCGATTCTCCTGCCTCAGCCTCCCAAGTGGCTGGGATTACAGACGTCCACCACCATGCCTGGCTAATTTTTGTATTTTTAGTAGAGATGGGGTTTCACCGTGTTAGCCAGGATAGTCTCGATCTCCTGACCTCGTGATCTGCCCGCCTCAGGCTCCTAAAGTGTTGGGATTACAGGCGTGAGCCACCGTGCCCAGCTGCGCCACCGTGCCTGGCTGCACCTGCCTCATTTTTATCTGCACGGCAGTTCTCTCTGCTTTCCTGATGGGTGGGTGGAAGGTGCCCTGCCACTCTAACCCAACAGGTCCTGCACTCAGAGTGCTTAGAACTGCGACCTTTATCTCTCATTATACCACATGCCATAGATCCTGGCATCCAAAGGGAGTGTAGATTTCTCTGTTTTGCTTTCAAATCCCAAACCCCTGGCAGAGACTCCTTGCTTCTGCTTGAGTCAGCTGCCACATCCTATGCTCACCTAACTGCGAGGGAAAAGGAGATCTCAGGGCTGCCTGAGGCTACCCTGTGGTCGCATGCTTGTGACTAGTGACCTTGCAAAGGGAAGGAGAACCTGCCTTCTCCTCGGGAGCCCTTGACTTCAAACAGTTGGGTGCATGTTGCTTCTGTTCCCTTTATCACCCTGGCATTTTGTTCTAATTTGTCCCTTTCTCCTTTCACTCTTTTTCTGATCCCCACTCACACTGGTCTTTGTTCTTGAGGTTAAAAGAAGCTCAGGCCAGCTTGATGCTTCTCAATGGACTCCCAGGCACCAGGAACACGATTGAAGGCGCTGGCCAGGCTCTGTCTCTCAGTCTCTCTGATGTGATGTGGGGCTCCTCAGATGGTGTGGCTGATGGAGGCCCCAGCTTCCCCCTTGGTGGTCACTGGTCAGTTTTCACTCTGTCTCTTATGCAGTGTATTAACCCCAGGGGGCATTGCTCTCTGCAGCAGACAGTGGAAACAGCCTGTTGGGAACGAGGCTGCCCATCCAGCTCCTTCGATCTTCTGATAAAAGCAGACTGGGGCGCAGTCAGCAGCAGTCGGATTCCTTTAAAGACCTGCCTGCCTTGCCAAGAGAAGGGTTGTTTGTTCAGGTTTGCACTTGGCTGGCATAAAAGGCATTGCAGGGACTGGAGTAATGGTATTCTCTTGGGTCTTGTCCAGAGTAACTTTAGAAAATAATTGATGAGCACTTGTTATTTTCCCCAGCTTAACATTCAACTTGTGGGTGATCCCCATTGTTAGACTTCACCTAAACCTGGCTTTGTGCCACTTTTTTTCTTAGACTTGGAAACTCAAAAGATTACATAAATTTGTTGGTTGTAAGTATTGGATGTCTTCCCATGGAGACTGGACCAGAGACAGCAATATAGTTCCAGGTAAATTTATGAGTTTTTATTCAGGTTGGACGTTTTGGCCTCATATGAGGACATTTTAGGGCATTTTGCTGCATTCCTAGAAAACACCTTCAAATGTTGAGCTGCCAGTGTGCTGTGGGGCAATTCTATATGGGGGTGCAAGGAACACTTCTGATGAACTGAGAAGGAAAAAATGGCTTCCTGACACTCTTGCTGGGCCACACAGGTCACCTACCAAGCCGATTCAATGGCTGAACTTTTGTATAAAAAAGCTAGATAAAGCAATCCCCTCTGGCAGAATGAAAGTTTCCATTAAATGTGAGCCAAGGGCCATCAGCTAAATTGAAAGATAAAGACATGCAAAGGGTATCTAGTGCCCTGGTGCATGTGGAACTGAACCGTTTTATCTAGAGGTCGAGGGAGTCATAGTGGACAAGGTCCCTTGAGGGGAAGTGGTGAAGCCAAGGGGCTGGAGGAGATGCTCAGGCTGAGAGTGACAAGCAGAAGCCAGGAAGCTTAGCCAGAGACATGAGCCTCAGGCAGAGCTGAGTGGTCTCTGCCTGGGGAGGAGAGAAGCAAAGACATGCCAATCAGAGAACAGAGTTCAGCTGCCAAAAAGTGCAATGAACCAGTTTTCTCTCCCCATCTCCTTACAATGGAAGGAAAATTAAAAACAAACAAACAATAGACTCTCACCCATACCTTTTATAGTGCATTTGTAGCTGTTATAATATTTTTATATAGATAATATTTTTTTGAATGAGTTCTGGAGATCTAATGTACAGCATGGTGACTATTGTTAACAATACTATATTGAATACTTGAAATTTGCTAAGATATTGATCTTAGGTATTGTCATAATATACAACAAATATTAACTCTGTGAGGTGATGAATATGTTAATTAGTTTGAAGCTGGTAATCCTTTCACAATGTGTATCAAAACATGTTGTACATCTTAAATATATACAACTTTTATTTGTAAATTATACCTCAAAAAAGCTGGAAAAGATAATGAAATAATATTTTGTGCTGGATGCTTTTTTGTTGGGAAATGGCCCTGCATCAATCACATGCTCTTGATGTCAAGTAAAAATTCTTCCTTTATCCCTAGATGGGACTCATTTTTACCTTTATAATTCTGGTTACAACAATATGAAACGGTACTGTGCAAGAGTTATTTTCTTTCATGCCTGCTGTTCGTGTTTAATGACTTGGATCTCTGTTTTAACACAATATCCACAACTTAAAACTCAGAGAACTGCCAACACAGATGCTAGTTTACTTTGTATAGCTCTAAGATGAGAACTTCAATTTCATATTGGGGGAAAGTCACCTACCACTCCCCTCCCTGCCCTTAGAGCTAGAACTTGTTTATGAAGCAACCTCAGCTAAATGCAAAGAAGATAAGCCAGAAGAGAGAGAGTACATGTCTATTCCAAGTCTGTTATGTTCCCTGTTCAGCGCGTGACAGCCTGAGCCTCAGTGGTTTTGACACTATGGTCCCATGAGCTCTAACTTCTGATGAGGTTTCCTGGGGATGTGCTAAGAGCCAAGCAGAGAGTCTGTCCTCCTGAAGTTCCACTTGGTCCGTTTTATATTTTGGGATTACCTGTCACATTTGTTTTAAAGATGGTTACTCTTGCTTAAAAATAAATTTAAAAATGGTTTCTGTATAACGCTTAGTCTTCACAACATTCCTGTGGGTTTGCTACCCTGATTTCCATTTAATAGATGAAAGAATTGGGGTCCTGGGTAGTCATCTGGTGCAGGATAACAGGTGGGTAAGTGGCCTCCCGCTCAGCATTTCTCCACAGTCTCACTTAGAAGCAAGGAAAGATGCCTCTGAGAGAAGGGACTTAAATATTCATACACTAATGCTTATGCATGTTCCTCACCAAGGAGTCCCTGACTGTCACTCTATATTCTTTTGTCACTATGACGATGGACATGACAGGCAGATTTCAGAACAACATTCAACAAATATTGATTGAGTTAAGAGTCAAATAGAAATATGCTCAAACCCGAAACGAGGCTGTGAGGATATAGGGCGGTGAATGGGACACCTGCCTTCATGGAGGTTACAGCACAATGGATAGACCGATATAAATAATAAACTACAGTCTTGTTTCCAATTTTGAGAAGTACCATGTCTCATCACGATAAACAGTGTTGAGTTTGATGGGAAGAAAAGAGGTGCTCAAAGCAAACTGGCTGAGAGATGATGGCTGAACAGCAACGATGGGGGTAGAAGAACTCTAGAAAGCAGACACACAAGCTACAATTTAATCTCTTTTGTTAATAACAGCTGTCTTCTATTACTTTTTTACAATGGGATTATTAATATTAATTTTTCCAGCAACCCTAAGAGAAAATAGTGACCACAGGTGTGCACGTGTATTTACAGAGGAGAAAGCTGAGCGGTGAAAGGTCACACAACTCCCTGAAATCTGCAGCCATGAGGGAGGGGCAGCAGCGTGGAGCCCTAAAGCCATCTGTCCAGGCACTGAGCGCTTAGCCGCCCACACTCCTAACTGTGCTTCTGTGCTCCTGCTCAACACAGCCTTGACCCTGGTGCAGCAGCGTGGACAAACCACACACTCCTTTTTACGGCAAATGGAGTTTATACTGCTTGTTAGCCCCAGATTGGCTCCCCACGCTCCCCTTTCTTTCTTGCTGGAGGCCTGAGTGATGGCCGCCAGTCTCTTTCCTCTGTAAAGCTCATAGCATCCCCGCAAGCCTTGTCACCACCCCACCTGGTATCTGCAACTTGTTCCCCTGGGGCAAGTGCTCAGTCCCTCTTATTCTAACCTAAGAGCCCTAATCTCCATGGAAACATAGGCAGGGAGGGTCTTGCAAACCAACCCGGGGATCTCCGGAATTTAGGAAGCCTTGGTGTGGTCAGGATACTGGTCTAATGACCATGACCACCTTGCTAAGACTAAGAACTGTTCTCACCTCTTCTGATCGAGGCCACATCTCCGGAATGCCTTTTGTTTCTCAGTGTGTGGGCCTGGAAACTTACTGAGGTTGTGATACCAGGTGGCAGCTAATAGCCTCTTAGGTGCTTACTTGTGGGCAATTGCAAGTTTTAAAACTTTCCTGTGTTCTTGTCTCCCGCTGAAGTATTATATTTGGGTGATTTCCACAAATTTGTTTTTTCTAGTTTAAAAGAGAAATTAGACTCTATTTTTAATGTTCTTTATGAACCCCCTCCATGACAAAACAATAGCCAATAGTGCTTAAAATTTGTAAGAATGATTTAACGTCACTGGGAGAGATCATATGTAAATGTGTTTACACACCCTTGTATAGATTTCATGTCAAACCAAATTCTTCAGCCTGCAAGTTCAACTACAATTTTATTTATTTTTTTTTATTGGGATATTTTTCTTTTTTTTTCTTTTATTATTATTATACTTTAAGTTTTAGGGTACATGTGCACAATGTGCAGGTTAGTTACATGTGTATACATGTGCCATGCTGGTGTGCTGCACCCATTAACTCGTCATTTAGCATTAGGTATATCTCCTGAAGCTATCCCTCCCCCGTCCCCCCACCCCACAACAGTCCCCAGAGTGTGATGTTCCCCTTCCTGTGTCCATGTGTTCTCATTGTTCAATACCCACCTGTGAGTGAGAATATGCGGTGTTTGGTTTTTTGTTCTTGCGATAGTTTACTGAGAATGATGATTTCCAATTTCATCCATGTCCCTACAAAGGACATGAACTCATCATTTTTTATGGCTGCATAGTATTCCATGGTGTATATGTGCCACATTTGCTTAATCCAAATGTCCAACAATGATAGACTGGATCAACTAAAATTTTAAATCAGAGGTCTTTATATGCCTTAGCCAGGTTACGAGGGTTTCAGAATTTAAGGGCAAAATCTCTTACCTCTATAAATGTTGTTTCAATGTATCAAGAATCCCCAAATCATAGTCAGACAGCATTTATCCCTGGTTTATCATTGATTTATTATTTATTAAACACTTCATTATACCAGGCACTGGGGGGCACCCAGAAGTGACTAAAAGAGACCAGGTACCTGGTTTCATTGAGTTTATATTTTAGTTTAGGAAAACACACAACAATATAAAACATAAATTTTAAAAAGGTTAATTTCAGATAGCAAAAAGGGATACGAAGAAAATGGGATGGTGTGATAGAGACCCAACTTACAGCTGAGGGCGACCGGTTCTACCTGAGGCAAAGTGGTTAGGAAAGCTGTTAATTAATGGTGACCTTTAAGTAGAGACCTGAATGGAAAGAGAAGCCAAGCCTGTGAAGACTGGTGTTCCAGCAAGAGGGGTTGCATGTGCAAGGGTCCTGAGGCTGGAATGTGCCTTGTGACTTCAAGAACAGAAGGGCTTATGTGAAAAGTGAAGCATGGTGAGTCCAGGGAATTCTGGAAAACCTGGAGGAGGAGAGGAGGCTGGGTATGGGACCCTGACGTGGAGCTGGATTTTATTCTGTGTGAGGTGGGAAGCCATTGGAGAGTTTTATTCAGGGTACTGACATCACTTGGAAAAGAGTAAAAGATTACTCTGGATCACAGGATGTAAAAGCAGTGGCAGAGAGGCTTGGCAGGTGGCTGGGGATGTCCAGACTACTAGGATGGCCCTTAGACCAGACAGGAAACAGTGGAAATGGGAGAAGTGGGTGAGGTCCGTGTATATTTCAGAAGTAGCACTGATGGGATTTGCTGATGGATTGCAGGCAGGGAGTGAAGAAAACGGAGGGGGTGGTAAGGAAGATTCCCAGGCTTTTGACTTTAACTGTGTGAACGGATGGTGGTGCCATTTACTGAAATGGGGAAGACCCAGTGAGGATTTGAGGTGAAATGACAAACTCTGATTTGCGATTTGAGTGTGAAATTCATATTAAATATCAATGTGAGATCAGAGGAAGAGGGAAGGAGAAATCAACCAAGGGAAGCTGAGAAGGAGCCTTAGGTAAGTGGAATAATGAGAGTGTTGCAGAAACCAATAGAAGAAAGAGCTCCAAGAAGGAAGGAGTGGTCAACTGAATTAGGTACATGTGGAAAGTCGAATACCACAGCTGTGGAAGAGGGTCCAGTGGGGGCTCATTGGCAGTCTTGATTTGGTCAGTTGATGGAAGAAATAGAAATCTGTTTGGAATCAGTGATGAAATTGGGAAGCGAGAAAGTAGAGACAGTGGAAACAGCCTTTACTTGAGGTTACGCTGTGAAGGGGGCATTGCATGGTAGTTAGGACACTTGTACATTAAATATTGTTAAGGTGGAAGGTGTATCATACATTTGTATTTTAAAGGGAGAGTTCTGGTACTGCGGGAGGCTATCATCTTATACCAGTCAGAATGGCTATTACTAAAAAGGCAGGAAAAAAATAACAGATGTTGGTGAGAATGCAGAGAAAAGAGAGTGTTTGTACACTGTTGGTGGGAATATAAATTAGTACAACCTTTATGGAGAACAGCATGGAGACTTCTCAAAGAACTAAAACTAGGAGGACCACAGGATCTGGCAATCTGGATATCTGGATACCCAAAAGAAAAGAAATCATTCTATTAAAAGGATACCTGCATTCATCTGTTTATTGCAGCACTAGTCACTATGGGAAAACTACGGAATCAACCCATGTTCATCAATGGATGAATGAATAAAGAAAATGTAGCATATATACACAGTAGAATACTATTCAGCCATAAAAAATGAAATCAAGTCTTTTGCCTCAATATGGATGGAATGGAAGACTATTATTTTAAGTAAAACAACTCAGACACAGAAAGACAAATACCGCATGTTCTCACTTACATGTCGGAGCAAAATAACATACACATGGACATAGAGTGGGAATGGTAGATGATGAAGACTCAAAGCACTTTCAGGGTGGACATGGGTAGATAATGAGAAATTACTTAATGAGTGCAATATACATTATTTGGATCATGGATGCCCTAAAATCCCCAACTTCACCACTATCAATACAGACATGTGACAAAATTACACTTAGACCCCATACATTTATACAAATACAATTTAAATTAAAAATGCAGATGAGATAGGAGATGAGATAACTCCTGAGAGTAACCAAGTAAAGCATTCGCAAAGGTGAGTGAGGATAGGCACAGAGCACTAAGTGAAGGGTGGGTTTTGATTCCCTCTGGGGCACTTGATGTGTCTGAAGAGGAAAGGCAGAGGACAGACAAAGATATGCAGAGGCTGGTGAACTTGGTGGTGTCAAAATGAGGAAACTCCTCTTATGGCTTCCATTTTCTCAATATAACAATAAAATGATCTAAACATAGAATATGCTATACTATAAGTATAGACAGATTTAGGGGAACAATCCATTAAAAATGTAAAGGGGTGCGGGGAACAGATCCGTAGCTTACAGTGGTGAACCATCAGCTATCCAGACCCATCCATGTCCTCGGGTTTCTTTGTAACTGAGGTCTTGAGCAACCATGTCTTATTAGATATCAGCACCTACTGATAAAATGTGGGTATTGCAGTCCAGGGCTGCTGAATGTGAATGGTTCGAAGCTTCCCATTTCACAGAGAATAACATCCAAACTCTATCTCAAGGCCCCATATCTGAACCCAGCCTCTGCTCCTGCCTCAGCTTTTCTGGAAGGTTTTAGAAATACATTTTAGCACTGGAGTAGCTGAAAGGAGACCCTTAAAATGAGAAAGATGGCAAAGAAAAAGTGATTCGTTATTAAGAAAGTGCCCTTTTAGCTGATTTCTTAGAAAGATGTATTCTTTGAAAATGAAGTTTATGTTTTATAATTAAAGTCTGTGAGATAGTAGAACTTTTGATCCATTAATCATTCCGACCTTCCTGCTTTTGACTTCTGCTCAGCTGGCCTTTGTTACTCAACATACCAATATATCCAATTCCTCCCTTCTCAGAGATGCTTTCGAAGTCTGGTTTGTGGATTTCTCTTCCTTAGGCAGCCTCTTAGATACTTGTAGTTGCCCAGGCCTTGATGTTTAGCATTTTTCTCTCCACGCTGGGTACTTTCCCTCTTTCCCCGGGCAATCTCATTCACCCCAAAGACGTGAACTATCATGTATGTCCTCTGGTAACCCAGAGATCCGTATTTAGTCCCATCTCCTCATTGAAGACTGGGAATGGGTGGTCCATTCCTTACGGATTTCTCTTATCAATGCTCCACCTTATGTCTTACATTTAATTCAAAGCAAACTGGATTTGTCACTCCCCTCACTTTCAAAATCTGCCCTACCTCTGGTCTGAAGGTTGGTCAATTCAATCTTCTTTCTTACAGTGGCCCAGGTGAGAAACCAAGGAATTATGTTTCCGTCACTACCTCTGGTATCCTTAGTCCTTGGTGTCTCTCAAACATGTTCCCGCCTTCCTTCCTCTTTTCTCTTTTTTGCTGGACTTTTCCAAGAGCAACACCATGTGTTTCTTCTGTATCTAGTCCCTGTTCCTTCACATTATTTTCTTCTTACCTACTTCTCTCGTCCCATTTCTTGTTCCTCCTCTAAAAGCATAGTTGTAGCTTAACCAAACTGCTTATCTCTCTATGAATACATTAATCTTTCATCTCCGTGGCTGGCACATGACTGAAGTACTCTTTATATCTAATTAACTCATTAATTAACTGATCCATCTATTCATTAACTATCCAACTGTTAACTTTGTCTTATTTTAAATTTTGATTCATTTATTTCTTAGCACAAAGCCATTGTTGTAGTCACTGAAGAAGGGGAGCCAGGAGGACCCTCGCTTTTCCTTTAAGATCCGACTCAGAATGGGATTCTCTGCGATGCCTCCACGACCCCTCATCTGACCTAGGCTGGGTTGGGCATTCCTCCTCTCTGTCCTCACATCACTGTTACACACCTTCATCAGAGTACCTGGCACACAGTGTGTCATTATCGGTCAGCTTATCTGAGACATCTGGGAACTGAGATTCAGGGGTCTGTTCTTCATGTCTCTGTCCCAGCCAGACACATGGTTGTGGCTTATTAATACTCAATTCACCAACACAGGAACAAATGAAAGGATGTTTGAATACCAGCCACCTCTCCCAATTTTTAGTGGTTCCAAAGCAACACAACAGTGTTTTTAACGATCCATTTATATAGGTTTCCAGATAACCTGCTATAAAAGCACTGCTATTTGATTAAAGGTTCAGGAGGTCAGACTAGATGGTCTGATAAAAGATCCTCTCAATTCCCTCCTGTTAATATATCCATAGATATGGAGGGTTATCCAAGGTGAGGAGACTGACAAATGATCTAATGCAATCCTAGGCTGTGTTAATAGAGGAAAGAAGTGTGTCCAGTTCACAGAAGATAATAAGCTTTCTGCACTCAGCACTGCTGAACTCACTGCAGGAAGATTGCGATTAATTCTAGCTGCCTTATTGAAGCAGGAGAGCACCTCTCTGACATCTATCCAGAGAGGTCCAGAGGTCAGTGGGTAATGAACCTTATCTTATATAAGCAATGGTTGAAGGTACAGTGAATGTTCAATGGAGAAAAGAGACATCAGCACAGAAACACGTCTTCATGAATTTGAGGCCTGTTATTTGGGAGAGGAATTAAGGCTATTCCATTTGACTTTAAGAGCGAGGATTTTTGGGCCTAGAATTATCTACAGAATAGATTTTAGCTAATTATAAGTAAGAATGTTTTAACAATTGAAATGGCCTGCCTTTCATATTACTGAGTTTCTCAATGCCAGCAGAGTGCAAGAAGACAATTACTATTTGCTAGATAATCTCCTGAGATCAAAGATTCTACTATTCCAAGATGGTGACCTTATTTTCCTCATCTCCAAAAAAGATTTAAGAAGAAATGAAATTTAAGTACATCAGGACAATTTAGTCAACAAGAAGAAAGTCTTGGAATACAATTATACTCATGAGTAGGTCTGTCAGAAGTTTTCGGAGGTCTCAACTGCAGAATAACTTGAAAATTAGTTTGGATAGTCACTAGTTAAAATAATTTAACTACTCGTGTTCAGAATGAAGAGGAAGTAAATAGGCAGGGTGTTATTATCCCTGAATCAAGGTTTTATTTGACCTATATAATATCTGTTTTCCTTATAGTAATAGTACAGTAAATTGTACAGTAAAGCATTTTTGAGCATGGAAATAATTTAATTAAGAAAAAACCAACAATAACAATAAATAAAACAGAAAGCACAGAGGACAGATAAATGTTTTATCAATTCATCAACTGTATTGCTAACAAAATACATTAAGGAATTTGACTGTAAGACCTTACAGAACCTAAAACTATTGTTTTTTTCTAAAAAAATTGTTCCTGTTCTAATCCAGATATTTATTATTTTACCTTTACTCATGATTGCCAAGCATTTAAGTATTTTTAAATGTCTTAAAGGTTTTTTCCCCCAGCTAATTTCTATCCATATGTGGCATTTTTGAAGACAGTTTTATTAGAACAAATTAACAAATATATCCTTTATTTGAGTACTGGGATATGAAATTCAAATTGGTATTATTTTTATAGTTTATCTCTACTATCTTTGCCTGCTGCATGCATATAAATTCCATTATCATTAATAGGAGTTATGCTCATACAATGAAAGCATTTACTCATTAGTGTCTAATGCACCTCTCAAGGTTATCCTAAGGTGCAGAAGTTTAATGAGTACTTAATGAGAACTCTAGTACCACTGATTAGGAAAATCCATCATGTTTGTGATATGGATATCACAATCTAACACAGGGAAGGTAGTAAAAGTATTTAGTCCCAAATAGTCTCTTTTGTTATTAATCACATGTATGGAAAGCACTTTGTGTTGACAAAGTTATGACCTTTAATTTAGTCCATTAATACTTGAAATCTGCTAATCTCTTAAGTAATTCATCACAATTTAAATTTTCATGCAGTATATGACATTTTGTAATAAATATATTACATAAGACTGAAAAACTTAGATCATGTTTTAAAATAGAAGTTTTATAGATATTGAAAAACTGCTTGCACAAAATTTAGTAAATTTTTTGCTATTGCTTTGAAAAATAATTTACAATGGAGGAATCCATTAGCTGTTAATATGGTGGGAATGAAATCAGTCTAGATAATTCAGAGCAATCTTATTATGTCTCCATTCACATAGGTTCATAGTTATACATCATGAGCAAGAGAAAAACATTTTAAATTGTGAAATATCTTCTGAAACTCCTACTAACAGTTTGATTTGAACATTTTGATCAATTTTATCTGCTAGGTTAAAAAACCAGATAAAACATAAAGTGGAATTGTTTAAATAGGATTCTGAGTACCTTTTTACATTTTCAGCTAAACGAGGTTTTTGACATATCCATTGTTCTTAGCTGTGGTGCTAGCAATGCTTCCCATGATACCTGTTATTTTTTCTTTTTAATCACTTACTGAAAAGTTTCTTTCCCAAGGAATTGATAGGTTAACAAGTGTCCTCCTACATTATGAGATGGTGGTTGTAATGATCAAATAAGGTAATATATGTAAAAGTGCTTTATAGCCATAAAAAGCTTTATATGTATATAATTTGTTTTTGTTGGATATCAGTAAAAATGGTCTGTAAAGTTGATAGCTTCTGAATGGGAATTGGGTGGGTTGTAATAGATGTGTGGAATGGTCAGTGTTCTGGGGCTGGCTTTCTCTCTGTCTCTCCATTCTTTTTTTTTTTTCCTTCTTCTTCTTTTTTTTTTTTTTTGTTGAGACGGGATCTTGCTCTGTTGTCCAGGCTGAAGTGCAGTGGCGCAATCTCAGCTCACTGCAACCTCTGTCTCCTGGGCTCAAGCAATCCTCCTACCTCTGCCTCCCAAGTAGCTGGGACTACAGATGTGCACCATCATACCTGGCTAATTTTTGTGTTTTTTGTAGAGACAGTGTTTCACCATGTTGCCCAGGCTGGTCATGAGTCTTTTTCTATCCTTCTCCCTTTCTGTCTCTGTCTCTCATGTTCACACATCCACACCCACGTATTTCAACTGACTTGCCATTTTAATGTATACTTACTATAATTAGACCTAAATCTTATAGTCCAAATTCCTTGGGTAGAAAAAATATTCATTCAGACTGATACCTGGTGGATTTCTTAACCCATAAGAATCAAGAAAAGCATGTGGGATGATATAACAGGTACCCAGTAGATGAAACCTGAGAAATTAAACTAAAAGCAAGTAAATGAATACCATGGTAAAGATTGATGAGCCCTGCCATACTCTCTCTAGAGTAAAACAAAAAGAACAAAGCAAGGAGGAGAGGTCTTTGGTACATCACACAGGGTAGGAAAAAGGGAAGATTAGGAGTAATTGACTAGATGTTCAAATATGAAACCATTATTAATAGATCCTACGCAGGTGTCATCATTTTATTTATGACTACTTCTCAAGTGTGTTAGTTCATTTGGACTTCTATAACAAAGTAGCATAGACTTGACAGCCCATAAACAACAGAAATGTATTTCATATGGCACTAGAGGCCGAGAAGTCTAAGGTTAATGCACAGTAATCTGGTGTCTAATGAGGGCCCACTCCTGGTTTGTAGATGGCTAACTTTTGTCACACCCTCCCAAGGTAGAAAGAGAGCTAGAGAGCTCTCTGGGGCCTTTTTGATAAGGACACTCATCCCATTTATGAGGTTCCTATTGTGACTAATCACCTCTCAAAGGCCCCACCTCCCAATATCATCTCATTGGGGGTTAGAAGTTCAAGTCTGGAGCTGTGAGGACACAAACATTCATTTCATAACATCAAGGGTGATGCAAATGTGTGAGCATTAGAATGTGTCATGGAATCCTATTTATACTCACCAAATATCCCTTTGGGAAATGTAATTTTACCTCCTTTGTAATGAGAGGCTTTTGGCATACCCATTATACTATCAAAATATTAGATTACTTTGATCTCATTTTTCTCTTGCTCACTATCTAGAAGAGGATATACTATAGTATATACTAGTGGGTAGATACACTACTAGTGGGTAGTTTCAAGATGGAAAAGTTAGAGGAAGAAAAACAAGATGCTTAAATTAACCATAGCTAGATCATTACTGCCTTGGATGAATGTAATATGTATTTCAAAGCATACAGGATTTGGTACATCTTTCAGATTGATATGTACATAAAACATTTATAGCTCTGGCCTGTTTTAACCTCTAATGAATGAAATGGATGAATAAACCTTGAAGATACTGCATGTCTTGGTAAAACTAAATGTGTTGTAGAAATAAAGTAATGCTGAGCTTGATATCAATACCAGTTATTTAAAAATCTGAGTATCAGAAAGTATACAAAGCATATATATGAAGCTTGATAAATACTCACACAGTATGCCCACCACATAGATGAGGAAATAGAAACCCTATGAGGAAGGCTATTAGATGGTGATGCCTTACCCGAAGTGATCACAGGATATCTTTCAAGTCAAGGGTATCATCAATCTCCTCTTTTTTAAAATTATACTGTGGTTTTTTTAAATGGCTTTTTAAAAGAGTAGTTTTAGGTTCACAGCAAAATTGAGAGGAAGGTACAGAGATTTCCTATGCACCTCCTGCCCCCATACATGCACAACCTCCCCCACCATCGCATTCCCTCACCTCAAAGGCACATTTTTTATGATTGATGAACCGAAATGGGCACATGGTCATCACCCAAAGTCCATAGTTTACATTAGGGCTCCATGTAGATATTGTACATCCTATGGGTTTGGACAAATGTACAATGACAGGTATCCACCATGACAGTATCGTGGAGAGTAGTTTCACACCCTAAAAATCCTCCGTGCTCTGCCCATTTATCCCCCTCTCTCCCTGTGATTACCTTTTAAATAAAAATGTCAGATTTATTGAAGAAGCTGATTCAGGTAAGTTTGTAGTTCTGGAAACACAAGAGTTAATTGTGAAACTTTTCCAGTTGATGACTTTTATAGCCGATAGCATTTTCTGTATGTCTGCTTGGTCATTTACACTATCTTTAATAGTTCTGAGCATTTGGCATTTTGCCCTTGAAATGTTATGGAAATCATATCCAGATTTTTGAAAGCAACTCTGTTAGAATCAGCATTTTTCTCTGAAAAAGTCTCAGAGAAATGACTCCTTTACAATTTTAAAAGTTAATGTGTTTGGGGGGCAGGGGCTTTAAAAACATCAATTTGTAGACCAGGTGCAGTGGGATATCTCCTCTGAAGTAATGAGCTTAGGTCAAAATTTCACCCTCTGTAACTTGGGGCATAGTCCCATGTGTACAAAATTGCACGGTTCATGCTGTTAAGCAAATTCATAAAGTGATAGAGCTAAGATGAAAATCTCAGCTTTTTCAGGAATTGTTGGTTTCCTGTTAAACTTAGTGAAATCAGAAAATCATGACATTAATGAAGGATAAGAGAGAGTGCTAGTGAAAGTCTTTAGAGCCTTTTCCAAATTTTCTGCAGTTCTTTTTCCATATACCACAGCAACACTCTTGTAAGATCCTGTTTAATACATAAAAGTATTTTCCTTCATAAACCACTGTCAGAACTATAGGTTTTCCATTTAATGGCACCACAGTCCACTGAAAAGTGAAAACCATGGCCAACTGACTTTTTACTTTTAACTTCTTTTCTTCTCTTGCTTATTGACTTAAAAACAGTGGAATTGGGCAGTCCTTTGAGAAATTAGTCAATGTCAAACATTTAGCTAATTTACCTTGCTCAAGTATTTAGACAACTTCTTAAACATTTTGTAGCTTTGTAAACACATATGATGTAATAACACAAAACATATATTGAAAAATTATTCTGAGTAAGAGCCAAAGGAGGAAGAGTCAGATGAGTTTATGAAGAAAGTTAGTCCACAAAATGTGGGCAGCAGAGCTTGCTTTCTTAATAAAGTTGAGCTAAAAGCTCTGAGTTTCTTTAAAAATAAAAATCAAACAAGAAAACACTCTCAGTTACAAGATTTTCCCTGTCCCTAAGGCCATTTGGCTAATGGCAGACAGTGCCTGCTAGTGTCCTGTGAGGAACCTGTTACCTACGGACAGCTTCCCGAGCTTCTGTCCCACACTAGGTGTTTTAAATGTGTTCTTTCCATTCTCACGATAATTTTTGAAGGAGATATTATCATCTCCTGTACACAGATTAGGAAATGGAGCCAGAGAGCTTTTGTAATTCATGCAAAGTCGCAGACATAATTAACTGTGGACCAGAGAATCGAAAGCACGTTTCTCTGCGGTCAAAGTGCACGCTTTGCTTTCTACACAATTCCACTTTTCAATGCATGGCTTTTGTATATTCAGTTGTGTGAAGATTGTGACTATCTTTATAAGCTGACTTATTCAGGCCTCCACGAATATTTTCTGTAAGACCTAGTTGCTTGGGGATCAGTCCCTGTGCCTAATAAGGGGCAGCTATTCACTGTTCTTCAACTTGGCTGAAATCAGGAAAATCAAATCAACAAATCATCAGGAGGGACTGAAATATTCCAAACTCTGCTCTGGGTGTCTGGGTGTGGGTGAGAGGTTGTATAGATATTTAATTCTTAGTCTTTAATCTTATGAGGCTTAATAATCTGGCCAAATAAGCCATAAGTATGGGGAAATGTAATGATTAAATATTAAAATAATACTTAAGAATGAAAAGTTGAAGAGTCACAAGAAGCAGTATAAAATAAATTGACAAATGAATAATACAAGTCATTGCTAGAATATTTCAAAGGAGGGAGACACAGCTTTTATGAAACTGATCAGGAAAGGTTTTATGAAGGTGGCAGAATTTCTAAACTCTCAACTCAAATTAAATGTTCAGTTTTTTTTTGTTTTCATTTATTTAAGTTTAACAGAAAATTGTACAATTAATTCCAGTCCTCAGAAAATGATACTAGAATATTGGACAATGCACTCCACTGACCTTTTAGGAGATTTCCAGCAAGTGAAACTAGGGTGCATTCATTGTGTTTTGTGCCTTGGAATTTGCAAGTGATTGTTCTGAGGGCTATAGACACACAGCAGAGAAAGCCATAATATTTAGCAGTTCAAAGACATGGACAACTCCAAAAGATACCCCTTGAGAAGTAGTGTAATAGAATTTTCCTTATTGAATGGCTGAAGAAATAGAACAGAAACAGACATCAACTGCCCATGTTTTCCTAATAAGGCTGAAGAAACTAGTTTGGAAGTTTAGTTCCTGATTCAGCATCTTGAATTTCAAAGAGGCTGGCTCACTTAGTAGGCATATTGTCCTTATAAAACCCATTGCAGTCATTATTTAGTTGTCTTTTGGCATGATGTAGTTCGTATTTCTGTTATAATGAGAGTAGCACATTTTGATCATTTTTGCTTAATAAAATGAGCAGCTATTTCATAGGTTAATCCCTGTGCTGTTAACACCTCATAAATTAATGTGTATTTAGGATGAGATCAGCTTGCTTGATTAGTTCTTGCCTGTTTTCCAAACCATGCTTGAACACCTTCATCAGACAGACGTCTGAAAATTCACCTTCTTACATTCTTAAACTTTCTGCTACTTTACACTGGTACTAAGGCCACCATGGATTAAATTTTTTTAATCAGACATTTAAATAGTTTTTCAGAAGTTTTCCTCTCACATGGAGCCATATGTGACTAGTTTGATTACACTTTCTAATTTTTAAGAGATTTCCAGAATAAGGTGAAGAAGGTTAGCTAGATAGTGTACTGGACAGATAAATTCAGTGGGCTCCAAGAAGGTGCTCTGATGGAAGAAGATAGCCAGGAATGAAAGATTCCTTTTGAAGAGTGGAAGCTTTGGTCTTTTTAGTGTTCTCAGGAGTACCCGCAATGGCGAAAAATCAGAAAACTAACAGATACACTTATGGATCTCAAGTTTAGTTTCTTGCCTTGAGGTTAGATACATCTTTGTTCCTCATGTCCTACATCATGACACTTCCTGAGTCGACTCCAGCCTGCAGTTGCTTCAGGCCCAGCACAGATGGCTGCCACCACTGACACCCCATTTACACGTTTTTTTCTTTTCCCATTTCTCACTTTGCACCTCAGTCCTGCCACACTAGCCTCATTGCTGTTCCTCAAATTTGCTAATGTCACCGCCACCTTGGGGCCTTTGCACATTCTTTCTTTGCTTGATGTGTTCTTCTCCTTGACATCTTTAGTTCTCTATTCAAAGTATCAGAGAAGTCTTTCCTGACTTTTCCACATGAAAAGCAACCAATACCCATTCCCAGCATCATCTATGCCCTGTCCACTGATAGCATAACCTGATAAATATTTATTAATTTACTTTCTGTCTTCTCTCAATAAAACATTGGCTGAGGGAATAGTCTCAGTCTCTGTCTCTTTGATTCACTGCTATATCCCCAGTGCAAAAATAGTTTTCAGGAACATAGTAGGTGTGCCTGCTACTATTTGTTGGGAGTATATGATTGTACATATTTCCTTTCAGAATTATATGAATGTTACTATCACTATTATATAATTTTACAATTGATTGTAAGTAGACTTTGGCATTCATGAAGGTACCACTAATCATTTCTTCTCTTCCTACTTCACTTCTGAAAGTCACTTAGCTGGTGTGGGAGCTGGGCTCAGTGCCCAGCAACCCATCTGAGGAATAGACAGGACTATAGATAGAACTTGATGTTTTGGGGTCTATGAAGCTTTCTGGATGCCTTCCCCATGAATATCAAGGATCTATGTTGTGTGACCTGTTCATCCACTTTTATCCTTGTTACTGTAATTCATAACTGAGTTGTATATTTTGTGAGGAGCACGAACCATGTTGGGTATTGTGTGTGTGTGTGTGTGTGTGTGTGTGTGTGTGTGTGCGTGTGTGCTCCTACAGTGTCTTCAGCACAGATTGGGCCCATAATTGACATTTGAGAAGTATCTATGAATAGAAGTATAAGAGTAACTGAATTAAGTTTTAGAGAAATATGTTTTTAATTCTTCCAAACTAAGTAAATATTTGAAGAGCTGTGAATGCCTGTAGTTTCTAAAATTTTATTTGAATTTTTCAGTTAGATTTATAACACGTATTTAACACAGAATAATGCAAAGAAAAACACCCTGAAAGTAGAGGAATCTGTGATGATATTAAGGTTGAAATTCCGTAACATATTCTTGCGTATTCTGCTGACCTTTTTGTGATAATGCAGTTGTGAGAATAGGAGATGATCTCAATTTAAACTGCCTATGGCTTCCTGATATTCACTTTGACAAACCAAAATTGGAGTTTATTGCATGTTTAAATATGAAAATTATGGTAACAATGTCCTACTTTAGCTAACTCATAGTCAAAAACATTTTTAGTTTCTTCCTAATTGAACAAAAATGTCATTTTCCTATAATATATTTTGGATTTGTTTAGTTTCACATTCTACTGTTCATGCTAATTTTGTTTAATGGAAACCTATACTTTACCTAAAATCAATGACTTTCCCAGATTGGAGCGTCTTACGTCTTATTAAACCTCCTTCTCTTCTACATTTTTTTGTATGAGCAGCTCGGTTCACAATTTATTAAGTATTTCTGTATGTTTGTGGAAAGTGACATCTTGTTACTCACATTTACTAGGAAGGGAACTAAGAGCAACTGGGTCAGCTGGGCGCGGTGGCTCACGCCTGTAATCCCAGCACTTTGGGAGGCTGAGGAGGGTGGATTTCTTGAGGTCCGGAGCTCGAGACTAGCCTGGCCAACATGGTGAAACCCCATCTGTACTAAAAATTACAAAAATTAGCCGGGCGTGCTGGCTGGTGTCTGTAATCCCAGCTACATGGGAGGCTGAGGCAGGAGAATTGCTTTAACCCAGGAGGTGGAGGCTGCAGTGAGCTGAGATCATGCCACAGCACCCAGCCTGGGGACAGAGTGAGACACTATCTCAAAAAAAAAAAAAAAAAGAGCATTTGGTTCAAGTGGGTGCCCAGGTTTCTAGATATGCTGAGCAGGTAATCCTGGGTATGCTAGGATTTGAGGTGCCCAAGAAAAGCTTAGCTGCCCCAATGGACCCCTGTAACTACTCCAGAAGATTCTACCTTTGCATTAAAGGAGGGATTCTCTTCATTCCCTTCTTTAATGTGCAAATATTTCTGGGGGGAGTGGCCTAGTAAGCCATAATGTATTATGAATTGTTTGGGGCTTTGGAATGTTAAAGAGAAAAGGTGAAATGTAGCTTTACACCCAGATCAAGCTCCAGTCTTATGAGCTTGTTTTGAGTCTTTGACAAATTGTGGAGTTTGTATTTTCTAGTAATATGTTCAATTTACCTACACCAGAAAGACTTGTGAAGTGCGATGATCCTTAAACAGCTACGCGTAAGAAAAGGAAAGGTTTCTGTGGTCAAATTAATTTGGGAAATAATGGAATAAATTAAATCAAATAGCGTTTTTCCTATAGGCCTTTGAAAATTCTGGGATCATAAAAAAGAGATGACACTGAGGGAACCATGCTGTATCCACCAGTTTAGCTGTCAGAAACTGGGTGAGTTAATGCAGTGTGCTTAGTCTCACGTGTGAGCTGCTATCCTGTGCTCCACTTGCTATGAAACAAGATCGTAGGTACTGTATAAAGCACCAAGCATAATATCTGGAATATGGTGGGCACTTTTAGAATGTTGGTTTTTTCCCTTTATGTTTTCTCCTTTTACTCTTCAGAAAATCAAGAACTTCAAACCAGTACTAAATAAAAATTAATATTTTATAATACTGACTTTTCATTCATTAGTCTGAGGCTCTTTCCAAAGAATTTATTAGCATTATTTAAGTAGAAAATATTTGAATCCTTTCCTATCATAAACTTGATTAGTATAAATGCTTCTGTTTATTTCCTGTAAGGTGTTTTTATATGAATTTATTTATGTGAATGCTAATATTTAAATGATATGGTAATAGGACTATATAAAAGTGAATGGTAGATTTGAAGTGTTTTAGGATGATTATTATGTGTCTTAATGTTAATTACTTGGATCATACGCAAATTAAAATAGAATATTAAGTAGATAATATTTCAATTTATTTAATGTATGTTGTAGGTTACTCTAAGTCAGAGATAATTTTCCTCTTGTTCAAAATCAAGCTACTTTAGATTGCAGAGAGCTTTTAAAGTATTCATAGGTTTTGTCTGGTCATCTGAAGTGAAAACTGGGTTCCCAAGGCATGCTTATGTGTGTTTTAGAACCTATTTTTTAAGGAAAAATTGAGGCCAATGATGATAAGAAGTGACATTCATGAACATTTGATGAAAACTAAAGAATTCTCCAAAACAAGTAACTATTTCACAGTTATTGAAAAAGACTATATGGCAAAAATAAAAATGACATATATTAACTTTTACCAAGCAATACATTTTTACAGTGTAAATTTTTCAGGTATCATAGGGCATTTTTAGGGTGTCTGGGCATTTTTAGGGTATTTACCATTTTCTGGTAGTTTAATCTAAATAAACTCTCAGGCAAGCAGATTTTTAAAGAGGACACGATACAGTCACCCTGACCTTATTAAGCCTCTCCCCCTTTCATTATTAATTCATTTAAAGAGGTGTCATTTTCAACTACATTTTTAGTCGTTCTAGCTATAGTAATGGGAAAAAAAAAACAACCTGAACCTTAAAGTCAGCATTGCAAGAATATCAACACAGACTCAGAATAACTAGATGTATACACACTCTTGATAAAAAGCAGTTTTCAGAAACATTTCTCAGCTCATTGTATACAATTGTTGACATTTTGCCACTGAAATCTTTTTAATGTTGTAGCCCTTTGAAATTTGTGTAAAGGCTTTGCTTCACATTAAAGTAGATGAGAATATAACGAAAAACCAAAAATAAAATCTTTCAAAGCATGCCTGGTATTGTAGGGATTTATGATGGTATCACATTTAGGGATCAGTGAACACAAATTTGTTAAGAAAAAAAAAAAAGCAAGATTTTTTTCAGAGAGTTCCAGAGAGACTGTCTGAAGCGTGATAAAAACAAAATCCACTAGTGGAACTCACTAGAATTGGACTAAGTACCACAGTCATGGGATTTATTTAATTTGCTGTTGGGTTTGGCTCTGTAAGGGCATGTCAGCATGATGTGGAGTGAAACCAAGGCATAAGAATCACTTTAATCTGATGTGGTCAGTTGTTCCATATGTCATTGTTAAAGTTTGTTTGAACTTTCTGTCCCAGGTTCCCAGAGAGTTATGGGGGATGCCAAAAGGTGCCATATTTAAATAAAAATCTAGGAAGAAGCTCTTGATGTGATGCTTATAGAATACCAACACTGTAATTTCTGGTTTTCTTGCTTTCTGTTTTGATTTCTCTTGGTATTTTTCATTGTTTCGTTTTTATTATTTCAATAGTTCATCCATTTTATTTTATTTTGATGCAAAGCATTAGGTAGGAATTCAACTGTTTTTCTTTCTTGGCAGAAATCTCTTGCTAACTTAAAATGACATCTTTAAAATATAACAAATTCCTGTATGTGCTTATGTCTATTTTGGAATTTCCTATTGCATTTCATTGATCACTTTACTGATGCACTAGTATCATACTTTTAAATTATTGAACCTTCAGAAGTTTAATGTCTATAAATGTCAGTTACCTCTCATTGCTATTATTTCTCAAATGTTGTCTGGATGCTTTTTAAATTTTTAATTTTTTCAGATATCAATGTATCTTATTCCAGATAAAATCCTATCAGTAATTTAATTGGAATTGCATTTTATTTAACTCTTAAAAAACATAAGAAGCTTTCCACTTTGTCTTCTTTCATCATTAAATTTTTTTATATAAATTGTGCACATATCCTGTTCAGATTATAATGTCCAGTTTTCTGAGTAAATCAATATATTCAGATTAAGTACTACCTTTTTGAAACCTTTCTCCTTTCAGCCTTCTCCTGTAGAAAAAACTGCTTCTTCCAACCATGAAAATAGGTTTATTTTGGGTACCTATAAACCAGCAATCTAAGGATCCTATGCCTTCTCCCTGAGGGACAGAGGGACTGTAAACCTTCCTTTTTTGCAGCTAGGCATCAAATCAGGTGTTTTCCATTCAAATAGCCTCTCTCATCTTCCTTGTGGCTTATCTCATGTGATTTACACAGGTGTTAGGAACAACCCCTCACTCTACACCATTTGCATATGTTAGCTCATAAGAAATCTCACACATCCCATACAACCTTGTCCAACTAAGTATTGCGTAGAGGACGTGATATGACACAGTGCTTCTTATGCATCCTGCTCCCATGCATTTGTCTCTTAAGCCATGACTGCGTGTAATAACATTCACATACCCTGGTCATGCTTTGGTTTGCCATTTCTCCCTCATTCCCCAATACTTAATACCCCAACCTTTCCACCACAAGCAGAGTCCTTGTTACTTTTCAGCAGTGTTTTCATTTCTTGATCGACACCAGTTTCTCCATCTCAGCATGAGTGACATTAGGGGCTGGACCACTCTCTGTGGTGGGGTCATCGTCAGATGCTTACCAGCATCCCTGGCCTGGAACCACCAGATGGTCAGCAGCATCCTCCCCCAGCATGGCAATCAGAAGGGTCTCCAGATATGGCCAAATGTCTTCTGAAGGACAGAATCACAGCTACTTGAGAACTTCCCTCCAGAACTCTGTGGAGATCTTCATTTACTGCTTTTCAGAGCTGTAATTCGATTAGCCTCCATATCTCTCCTTCTGGTCTATCAGCTAGCTCTCTGGGAACTCCCCTTACCTGAGTCAGGAAAAACTTCAAGGCTCTAACTGTGAAGCCACCTTTTGCTCCTGCTAACCACAGAATCCATGGAAAGTTTTTGCTGCCTGGGGCCCCCTGGCTTTAACTTATTGCATCCTTGAGTCTCACAGGTGGTGCACTGAGCAATTATCATGCTTCACGTCCTTACTTGCACCTAGGTTTCTCTGAGCGCAGGGTGTGATCAAATATAACACTGGATAGAACGCAAGGGGTTGGGGGAGAAGGCCAGAGAGAATTTTGATTCAATTTAGTTTCTTGGGTAAAGGAATACATTTTGTATATGTATTCATTGTTAAATCTTCTTAAGCCTGCTGTTCTTCTACATGCATAGCTTTGATTTCGATTGAAATCTAATAGGAATAAGAGAACGAGGATCGAAATCTGTGAAATATATTCGCCCTCTCCTTGCACCTCATTCATTACACACCCTGGGTGCATTTTCACTCTTTCCCTTCTCTGTTAGTTGGCAGTTATTTCTTATTGCCCTTCTAATTATATTCTGAAGTCCTTTATAGTTCCCTATTTGTCTTGTTTTTCTAGCCTGGTTACAGCCCAAAATATATTTTCCACCTGTATTTTACTGTGTTTGCTTTTGTCACTTAATAATATTTGTTGTGCACTGATTATTTTTCAAGATTTTTTCCCCCAGGAGACAGTCTTCTTACAGTCTGTTGTGTTTAGATGACCGTGCCTTTAACTCTCTTGCTGTTTCTTTTGTCTCTGACAAATTTAGAGCAGCAGTTTGGAATATTTAGTGTTGTGTTTTTCTTGCTGAAGTTAAAAAGAAAATATCTCTGTGAACCTTCCTTTTAAGGTTCATGGTGTATCAGCATTTTCTAAACAGGTTTTCTCCTGGGTAGAGACAGCCGTGGGTGGTGCCCCACTTTCTCGGAGATAAAAATGTCTTTGAGAGACTTCTTAATTCTCTTCTGCTCATTCTCCCCTGATACCATTTCTTTGGTTGGCTTGAGAGATTTTAGCACTGTTCTTTACACACAGAGGATGACATAGGAATGGCATGCTCCCAAATGCACCATCAGGTGACCTCATTTTTGAGGATCATCTGTTCTAAAGGCTCTCTTCCTCCAAAGCCAGGTGCTGCGTCTTCTGGTGGCTCAGTCCACCCTGCCCCAGCTTTGCCTGCACTATCTGCTACTGCTGTGACCCACTAAAGAGTCAGATGGTTGAGCCATGAAGTCATAATTCAGAGTAGGACAGTGCTGACCAGAGGCTGTCAGAATACGTGTTTTATGTTGTTTTCCAGTGGTGGAGTGATTAAGCTGTAATGTACACATTTATTAAAACCATTTTGATGCCAAATACTGCGATACATAGGTAAACAATAAGTCTCAATTTTTAAGGCACTCACCAGCTCTTTGGGGGAGAGAGACACATATATAAAGCAGGTAACTTTGAAGGCTGTGATGCAGCTCTGCTGAGCTCTGTCTCCATCCCTCTCTACGCTGTCCAGTATGGTGAAGGGATGGATGTGAGCGTTCACCACTCTGGTTAGTGTTGTAACCTCTGTATGGAACTCCCTGACAAACAATGCAAAGAGGAAATGATGATCAGTTCAAGAAGGCTACTCACTCACAGTGCTGTGTCAGAGCCAGCTTTTACCTGCTTGGAAGGATCTGTTGCAAAACGTTCAGGAATTTTTTGAGCTGGTTGTCAAACAGGGACATTATGAAACATTAAATTACATAATCATAAGATTAAATAAATGATATCAAAACAAAAATAATAAATACTCAAAATGCATCGCTTTCTAAGTATTCAACTACATTTTACTGTTATCCATGTTTTTGAGGTTACTGATATCTCTTGTGTCTTTATGGTAGAAATACTACATAATGCCATGCTACTGTGCATCTCTCTCCCCAGCTCCACAAGCAGTGATATCTCACTGCTAGCTTGAACTTGGCCATGGTGGGAGTATTTATTTCATGGAAATTGGCAGAACAACTCAGGCTTCCCCATGCGATTCTCTCTACCTAGAGCTGGTTGTGAAACATTTACCAGCTCACTACTGCAAAGTTGTGTGTATTATATAAACAGGAAAACCATGGAGTTCAATACGGTCCCACTAATAAACAGAGGATGCCACCACATAAATCACAGCACCTGCAATTTGTCAGAATCAGAATAATATTTGCAATTCTTCCTATTGGCCCATATCCTGACATGTCAAAGCCAGACTAAAATACTTTATTCTGTTGAGTCAGGTACCCAAATGCTGGAACCTCTTGCTGTTGGAACAGATGTCTGTTACTAAATAGATTTTTTTCTAATTGGCTAAAAACCCCAAACCCTCACAGTTTCAGTAAAACAACAGAGAGAGGAGAAAATTAGTGGCTATTGGGGGTATGAGGAGAGATCCTGGGAAATTAGAATCACACAGGATCTCTTTTGCTTGGTCTTAGCCAAAAGGCTGAGAAGCAATCAAGATCTCTTTTAACATACACATGTCCATTTCTTCTTCCTGGAAATTATTTTAAGCCCTTAATCTTGGGTAATGTTGGATCCTTGAGAACTAGGGACGTTTAAAACTTTACTGTTTCTAGGTTAATAAAAAGTAAGCCAATAAAACCAATGACTATTGCCTTTTATTTTCAAATTAGTTTCTATGTCAGTGACCTACAAGTGACAGGAATGTCCTTTGATATGTGTGATAAAATCTAGTTTAAGAGAGAATTCTAATTCCGGAGATTGCAATCCCCAAGAGTGGCAGTTTTTGACTGAAATTGAATGAGCTAAAATTCTAAAAATCTTAGCTCTCCAAATTTTAGTCCATTGCTTCAGTTTTTTTTGAGAAATTGCTGCTTTATTTAGTGATATCATCAAAATCCACTCCACCCTTTATTTCTTTATGTCCTTGGTTCTCAAAACTTGAGTATGCTTCAGAATCACCTGGAAAAGTTGTTGAAACACAGAGTTCCAGGACTTACTTTGAGCTTCTGATTCACAGATCTGGGGTGGGCCACAGAACATGCATTTCTAACAAGTTCCCAGGTGACCCTGGTGCACTGGTCCAGGGCTGCACTTTGAGAAGATCTGTTCTACACAGATCTTGATAGGAAGAAGGCTATGTTGTAAAGGTTATCTAAGATGGGAAAGGGGAAATGGAGATATAAACATGTGGGACAAGGGAGGTAATTGAGAAAGTAGATCTTAAGGTGAGAGCTGTGAAGACTTAAAGCTGCCCATGGAGAGTCTGGGGATCTGAGAGTCTAGCCAAGGTTTAAACACTCTGGCCCCATGAAAGTGAAGTTACGGGCCAGCTGGAGGTGGGCTCCTCCCCAAATTGCCTTTAGGTGCAGGTGTAATTAATGGGTCCCCTGAGGCTCATGCATCCAGCCTGCCTACCTGAAAGCACTAGGCCAGTGTGCATAGTCTTGGCTGCACTTTAGCATCACCTGGAGAGTCGTAAAAACTACCTGTGCCCAGGCCCACCCCAAAGCAATTAAATCAACTTCTGAGGCTGCAATGTGGGCAGTAGACGTTTTCAAAAGCCAATTTTTCTGAAGGTGGCTAGGTCCTTCCCTTAGAGATTCTGATTTAATTGGTCTGGGGAGTATTTTGAAAAATATCCACTACCTGTAGTTTTTGAAATCAACGTAGATGATTCTAATGTGCACTTAGGATAGGGAAGAACTGCACGAGATAAACTCCTATGAGGCCAAGGATTTTGGTCTCTGCCATCTATAATTCTTAGTGTCTTACACAGTGCAGTCCTGGTACAGAGTAGTCCTTCAATAAACTTATACTGAGTATGTTAATTCATGATTGCTTTTGTGTGGTATCAGGCACTTATGAGGTTGGGATACTTGCGAAACAACTTAAGATGTGACTCTTCTTCTCTTTTTGTCAACAAAGGTGCTGGGGATATTTCCCTGTGTGACTGGCGCATGTCTTGGTGAGAGGCAAGACAATGAGATGCATTGGGAATATATGAAACTTAGAATTCTTTTTTCATTTAGACCAGGGATGGGCAATCTGCAGCCTTCAGGCCAAATCTGGTTCCTCTTTATATAGCTTTTCAGCTCAGAATGGCTCAAAAGAAAGGTAATATTATGTGTAAAAGTCAAATTTCAGTGCGTATAGGTAAAGTTTTATTGGAGCACAGTCATGTCCATTTATTTTCATTCCGTGTCCATTTATTTTCATTCCGTGTCCATTCATTTTCATATTGTGTATGGCTACTTTGTGCTACAATGACAGAGTTGCGTACTGTGATGAAGACTGCATGGCCCACAGAGTCAAAAATATTTTCTATCTGGCTCTTTACAGCAAAAGTTTGCCAATCCCTGATTTACAACTTGAGTCCTCCCCGTAAATATACTTGTTACAATTTAACATTGACCAGTTTGGCATCTGTAGATCTAAGATGCTTACTAGTACAGTTCTTCTCAAGCAGAAAAGGACAAGACTATTGCTATCTTAATCAGGTCCCAGGGGACTTGTTTGCAAGGCTTACTGTATCATCTATTTTTTTTTAATTGAGGAACATTAAAATCTGTGGACCAAGGATAACATGTGGTCCACCGACCCGTGGTCCTTGGGGGATCTTGAGTTTATTAAGAACTGCTAAGATGTTTTTGAGTGCTGTGTTTTCACTTGGAACCACAACTACTCAGATTGTCATTGGGCTCTTGACAATAGCCTTTACTCTCATTCTCCCACCTACTCTTCCTCTGTCTCTTGTTCTACACATGGCCAGTGAGGGAAAAGTGATTGCATGAAGGCACCAGATGACATACTGTGGTTTATAAGAGTTGGATGGATAATTTTCAGGGCATCTTTCCAAAAACCTCAAAAAACTGGAGAATTCAGGCCTTTTGTCTACAGAGCAGTTTGAACCCACAAGCCACTACATTGAATCAATCTCAATTTCTGAGATGATTTTAGACATTTGAGAACTGCCTCTGGTCTCTTCTCTCATCTCCTCCAACACTGCTTCGGGATATTTCAGCTACTCATAATTAGTTTCTCTGCCTTCATTCCCATCTCCTTATAGATGATCCTTCATATTGTCTTTAGAATTTCTTCCATAAAAGTAAATTCCAGCAGCTACCTAAACATTTTTGTGTCAGGGCGCACTGAAATAAATGGAATAGGCTGCTGATGGTTTCAGGTTGGAGAGGAGAAGCCACATCTAGACACACAGATGTGTCTAGACCACCGAGAAGCTCTGGCTTGGGACTTACCAGTGACCCAGACAGCTTTAATATTCCTCTCAGCTTGATTAAACATTAGACATTTAGGCCCCTGAACTTACTTTCCTTAGAATATGTATTTTAGAAAACTTACAATTGCAAATTCTTCCTTTGCCAATTTGAAATGTAAATCTTCTAAAACCGAGGAATGTCTTTTTCAAGAACCTAGAGCCATCACTTTGAAATGTAATTACCCAGAAAGAAAAGGTCCCTATCTGCCAGTCTATATGGGAGGGCACCAATTAGCAAACACAAATGGCCTAATCACATTGACCAGCCTCCCTCAATGTCCTCCAGTACTTTTCCACTGGCTCATTCCAGTGCTTAAAAACTCTCTCACCTTTTGCTTCCATGCAGTTGAGTTCAATCTCTCTTTTCTATTGTATTATAATAGTCTTGACTCCTATTGCAATAATCTTGAATGAAGGCTTCCTTAGCTGTTTAACTTATCCTGTACAATTTTTCTTTGAACATCTACCTTGATGCTGCGGGTTCAGTTGTCTCCCAAAATGGTGTGTTGAAGTCCTAGAACTCCTGGTACCCGTGAAGGGGACTTTATTTGGAAATAGGGCTTTGTAAATATCATTAAGATGGGAATTAAGATGAGACCATACTGGGGCAGGGTGAGTCCTTAATCCAATATGACTTATATGTCTTTGTAAGAAGAGGAGAAGAGACACAGAGACAGACATCTGCAGCTTGGAAGCCAAGCAATGCCTGGGGCTCCCAGAAACCAAGAAATGATTTTTCTCAGAGCCTGACATGAACCAACATCGTGCTTTCAGCCTTCTGGCTTCCAGGAACGTGACAGAATACATTTTTGTTGTTTGAAGTCACCCAGCCCTGGGTGTTTTGTCATGGTGTCCCTGGGAAACTAACCCACTTGGGATACAGAGGCTTTCACTGGCCAGCCCTGACTCCCATGGCAGTTTCACCTTCTAGCACTTTCTGTCAGCACGTGGTACTCAAATCTTAATTTTCAACTGTGACCTCTTTCACTTCCATGCTCTTTTCCATCCGGATTTATCAGCCAGGAGCACCTCAGTCCTGTCCACCAGGCCTGCATAGTATAGTCCTATTTGTCCTTCTAGGCACATTGTAAATATCACATCCTGTAGAGCCCTCTGCCAGCCTCCCAGGCAAAATGTGTTGGCCCGTCCTCTGGGCTCCTCTGTGATATGGTCACCTGTGTACACATTTCCCCTTGTATTAGGATGTACTGGTTGAGGTGACTCTCTTTCCCTAGATTCTGGAGGGTAGGGTGTATTTGTCCATTTTCATCTGCTATGAATAAATACCTGAAACTGCTTAACTTATAAAAGAAAAGAGGTTTAATGGATTAACAGTACTACATGGCTGGGGAGGCCTCACAATCACGGTAAAAGGCAAAGGAGGAGCAAAGGCATGTCTTACATAGGGGTAGGCAAGGGAGCCTGTGCAGGGGAACTTCCGTTTATAAAACCACCAGATCTCATGAGATTTACTCACTATCACGAGAACAGCATGGGAAAAACCTGCCCCCATGATTCAATTACCTCCCACCGGGTATGTGGAGATTATGGGAGCTACAGTGCAAGATGAGACTTGGGTAGGGACACGGCCAAACCATATCACAGGGTCTTGTCTAATTTGAATCGAGAAGAGTGGCCCTGCCTCCCCAGAGGGCACTCAGGTAACATTTGGTCAATGAACGAAGCTGGAGGGGGCCATAGTTGTATTTTACTTTTCTCCACTTTCTAGTACAGAGAAGCTACAGTGCCTTTTTGATCACATCAGACTTACCTTGTCTGACAATGAGAAGAAGGGAGAGAAAGGGAGATGCCTTATTAGATATCGCTTCTTAAATGCACAATCAGCATCTCAACAACAAGAGTGTTAATCATTTAAGAAAAGCCCCAGAAACCGGCATAGAGTGATCAGTTATAAACTACCTCAATGTAAATGTCCTATGCCCTTCTACCTAGTTTGCAAAAGAATTAGAAGGTGATGTACAGGCTCTCAGCATATTTTGAGTTTTTATTAAAAAGCCTTAATTTGAGCAACAGCAAAAAAAATTACGGCCGGGCGCGGTGGCTCACGTGTGTAATCCCAGCACTTTGTGAGGCCGAGGCGGGCAGATCACGAGGTCAGGAGATCAAGACCTCCTGGCGAACACGGTGAAACCCCGTCTCTACTAAAAATACAAAAAAAAAATTAGCCAGCCATGATGGCGGGTGCCTGTAGTCCCAGCTACTCGGGAGGCTGAGGCAGGAGAATGGCATGAACCCGGGGGGGGCGGAGCTTGCAGTGAGCAGAGATCCCGCCACTGCACTCCAGCCTGGGGACAGAGCAAGATTCCGTCTCAAATAAATAAATAAATAAATAAATAAATAAATAAATATATAAATTAGACTTGTTTGTGTGTTTTGTTTGTTCTTTGCTTAATCAATGCCCAGAGAGCAGAAGACAAACTTCCTGAAAGACTTCTATGCTAGTGGTGTGTAGATTTCCAGCATTCCATGAGGCTGCATTTCCCCTTCTACTAATCCCAAAACCTACCCAATTTTTTCGTTTTCTCATCTGGGATTGAAGAGGAAGGAGCGAAATCATGAGTAAATGCTTTGTCTGGAAGACCACTGTTCAAGACCTCATAACGTTCTAGGTATTTGCTCAGGGTCTCGTTTTATTTCTCTGAACTCCCAGAGAAATCCAATGCCTCTGACAAGGGTGGATGCTTCAGAGGTCTTAGAATCCACACTGGACATTCTGGATCCTGTGCTTCCATGTTCCTTCCTGCTCACCTCCTGGGAATTACTTTCCCTTCTTTTGAGGAACTGCCTATTTCCCACTTTACAGGATCCTAACAGGTGCCTCATGTCACTGACACAAGGTGCATCCTCCCCTGCTCCCCACCGCAGGCCACTGAAGTGAGCACCTGGCCTTGCTTATATTCCCAGCCCCCAAACTCACATGACCACACCTAGAGCTTATCCAGGGCTTCCTCCCCATGCCTAAAGGAGACACTTGAGTCTAACCAGTGAGAAGAAGACCAATACACATGGAAAAACGACATCTTAAGGATGGTGGGAGAGCAATCAGATGATGTCAGTTGAATTTCTGCCATCCTTAAGCCTCAGACTTCTCAGCTGTGGCATGCGATGACTTCCCTTTCTGCTTTACTAAGTACCTCCTGGTTGGGTTGCAATCATGACCACTTGCAACCAAAGCATCTAGACTTTGATGGGGTCACAGGGAGGGTTGTCCTCGGCTTGGTCTCCTATGTTCCATTGACACTTGAGAAAAAGCAGTCGCAGAGATCCCCTGAAACATTTTTTTGTGTGTGTGGTGGTTCTTACTGATGACATCCTGAGGTTTCATTTTGGATTTTCTTCCTACAGGGTGACATGCACAAATAAATCATGTCTGTATTTCCTTTTATTTATATCTTAATATGACCTCAGTCATGTGATTAGATAATTTGAAATTTAATAGAACTTTCCTGTGTGAATCAGCTAAGATATATCACAGTGAAATCTGAGAGCCTGGAGAAGGACAGGGAGGGGGCGCTTCACACACTCTACTGAGTCAGCACATAATAGCAATTCTCTATGTCCTCATAATAGATACTTGAGAATAATTACTGACAGCCTGTGGAGAATTCATCAACCTCAGGTACCAAATAATAAGTTATACTATCATGGTAACTGTTTGAATTAAGTTAGAAATTCAAAGAATACTGATGATGTCTCATTACTTTTCCCCCCAGAAAAGCCAATCTGCATAATTGATGCCATAGGTGGAAAAACATTTTTTTATTATTACATTCTAAATCAAATAGCTTTTAATAGATGAGAGGTGCAGGATCATCGGAAACCAATGGTGGCCACGTGGGATAGCAGTCCATAATTTTTCAGCACATTAAAAAAAAATAAGTGTTTATTTTCTAAACCTCAGCATGCCATGTTCCAAAGAGAAATCTCAATTGACTGAAAGAGATGGACTGGGGAAGTTCTCTGTAGAGAAAGAGAGACTACTAATGAGTTAGTGCAGTGGACTCAGGCAGGCTGCCCAAAGAGAGGCCGAGCCCCTGAGCAGGGAGGCCTGGCCGCCGAGAATTGGACTTTTTCCTTTGTGTAGGTTGAATATGTCTCTGGAATTCATGGGGCAGAAACATTTTCCTTTTTTTTTTTGAGACAGAATTTTGCTCTTGTTGCCCAGGCTGGAGTGCAATGGCGCAATCTTGGCTCACTGCAACATCTGCCTCCCAGGTTCAAGCAATTCTACTGCCTCAGCCTCCCAAGTAGCTGGGATTACAGGCACCCACCACACCTGGCTAAATTTTGTATTTTTAGTGGAGACAGGGTTTCGCCATGTTGGCCAGGCTAGACTCAAACTCCTGATCTCAAATTAGGGCCATTTTTGTGACTACTTATTAAGTAAAAGGCTTTCTGCCTGGTGATAGGGTTCGGCTTTTCCCAACAGACTCGTTAAAGTAAATACTATTCTTGATGTTAACATTCCTTATCACAAATGCCAAAAGTGAAAAGTGCATATGTATATATATACACACATACACACACACGTGTATATATTTATTCTTTGACAAGTAGATGACTTATAGATGAAATCAGTCTTGTTTTCTTCCATAGAGAGCTTTGAAATGTTCTGCGAACTTCCGTATCCTTCTTGCCACTCAGATGTCACAGCTGGAGGTTGTTTGGCTTCTGAAGTGAGCCTGGACCCAGGGTTGGAGGTGTCCATTCTTGCTCCCTTGGCCACTCTGCAGGACACCTTCCATTTGTGTTTTTCCACCCTGCTCCTCTTGGCTTTGGTTGGGGGAGTCTGACTCGCATGAATCCTATCCACGGCATCCTCATCTCTCCCTGTCTTGCTTCTGGTTTGATTTGGCCAATGTGGAGCCCCAGGGAGAGATCAGAGAGGGAGAAGGGAGTATGGCAGGACTCCCTGCAGGGTAATGTTAAGCTGGCTGTGTTTGTTAAACAAAGGTCATGGGTCCACTTAAGACGGTCTTCTTTGTAAATCTCACCTTTCAGGATCTGCTCATTATTCTCTCCTCACATCCCTTCCGACCCTGGGGTGGGCACAGCTCCTCCCCTCCTACAGGCCCCAGGATTCGCACTCTCTGGTATGGTTTTCCAATACTCTGCCTTCATACTGATAAGAGCTCTCTCAGCCTTCCTTGATTATCCTGGTATGAGGGTATCCTTGGCTTCTGCTGGGATTCTGAAGGCTACTGGTTTCAGTATCTCCTTTTTTTTTTTCAGTGAATTATTTATTCACATTTCTTCCCCTTCCATTTTAAAATTTTATTTCCTTAATTCATATGTAACATATGTACACATTTTGGTGGGTGCATGTGATAATTTAATACATTCGTATAATTTGTAAAGATTGAATCAATGTAATTAGGACATCTGTCACTTTAAATATATGTCTTTTCTTTGTGTCAGAAACATTCAAATTATTCTCTTCTAGCTGTTTTGAAATATACAATAGGTTTTAGGATCTCTAGAGTCCTGGTTTTGTTTGTTTCTTCCCTTGTCTCATTGTTTTATTCTGCTACCCTTCATTGGCTTTTTTCTCCTTGCCCATAGGATCATCAATGTTCTCCCCGAGTCTTAATTTAGTTCTTTCTTATTTTTCTGACTCTGCTTTTACTTTCTCTATTATGTCAGTTACTAGTGACATCTCAAGACTCTCATATTTACAGATGTCCAGACGTTGGAGCTCCCCCGATGTAAGCCGTAAATACACTCCAGTGTTCCCATGATTGCCATCAATCCCCTTGTGCTCCTGGTTATGAGGCTTGCCTCCTGACTGACATCACTGCACGCATTTACAGGATTTTCTTTTCTACCCCCAACCCATCTCCCATCTTCCTGTTCTACCTTTTATTTCAATTCAGAATATTGGATATCTTTTTTCCATTTCTTCTAATGCAAAAAAGTGACCTAGCAGCCCAGAGCATTTTCTAGGCTTACAAATTATACTACCTTTGAGGTTGGTGTTTACTAATTTTGACCCTCATGCATATCTATTATCATTGAACAAGCCCCACCCAAACTCTCAATTAAGCAATATTCATATAAAGAAAGCAGCCTCCGGGTAAGATGCAAAGTTGGTGGGGTTCAGTGGGAGGAATGGGGAGCCCATCCTGTAGCACATGTAAAAACCTCATTTGCCTGGAAATATTTCCTAATTGCTTCTGCTAGCAGTCCTGAAGCTTCCTCTGTAAGAATCAGGAATCACTAATGGTTTTAATTACAAAGCATGTGGCCCTGCCTTCTGATAGGCCACATTTCCATTTATTTATTATTTATTTATTTATTTATTTATTTTGAGATGGTGTCTCACTCTGTCACCCAGGCTGGAGTGCAATGGCATAATCTCAGCTCACCGCAACCTCCGATTCCCAGGTTCAAGTGATTCTCCCTGCTTTAGCCTCCCGAGTAGCTGGAATTACAGGTGCTGCCCACCATGCTGGGCTAATTTTTGTATTTTTAGTAGAAACGGGGATTCGCCATATTGGCCAGGTTGGTCTCGAACTCCTGACCTCTGGTGATCTGCCCGCCTCCGCCTCCCAACGTGCTGGGATTACAGGTGTGAGCTACCACCCCCGCCCTCCTTTTATCTTTCACATCAAAACGTTAGCCTCTGGCCCGGTGCCGTGGCGGGCGCCTGTAGTCCCAGCTACTCGGGAGGCTGAGGCAGGAGAATGGCGTGAACCCGGGAGTCGGAGCTTGCAGTGAGCCGAGATCGCGCCACTGCACTCCAGCCTGGGCGACAGAGCGAGACTCCGCCTCAAAAAAAAAAAAAAAAAAAAAAAAAAAAAAAAAAAAAAAAAAATTCAGCCTTCAAGGATGAGCCATAGAAATGGAACCCATCACAGGAGTGATGTGGGTTCCAGTGTAGACACAGCAGGGAGGAGAAGGGCGGGAGGTAGACCTACAACCAGGACACAGGGCTGGAAGAAAATCCGCTCCTGCTTGTCACCTTGTTCTTGGTATAATAGTACAAGAAAAAAGCTCTGTAAGCTTAATCTCTTAAAAGCAAGAGAGATAACGATGTTGGTGTTTTGGTTGTTGTTTTTCCTTGCCTTTTACCTCTTCTTCCCCTAAACCATTTCTATCTCTAGGTTCTGTTCTGGAAGTTGTCAGCTTTATAAGATAATATTTCTCAAGCTCAGGGCTATGTTAGATAGATATTAAGCTTTGCAGATCTTGATGTGCTGCTTCTGCAGGGTCTGTACCTTGAGCTGTTTGGAGCAGAGCCCTCTTCTATTCATATTCACATGACTAGTAGCTTGCATAGTACTTGATGCATACGAACTGTAAAAGAAAAATTGCACCAGGTCAGTTAAACAAGCAAGGAAGTCTCTTTCTTTCCCAACTTTGAGTTCAGGGGTGCACAAGGAGGTTTGTTACATGAGTATATTGCATGTCACTGAAGTTTGTTGTAGAAATGACCTTGTCACCCAGGTAGTGAGCATAGTACCCAATGGGTAGTTTTTCAATCCTTGCCCCATTCCCACCCTCCACAACTAGACTCATTGTCTATTATTCCCATGTTTATGTCAATGGGTACTCAGTGTTTAACTCCTATTTATAAATGGGAACATACAGTATTTGGTTTTCTGTTTCTGCATTGATTTGCTTAAGGTAATGGCCTCCTGTTCCATCCATGTTGCTGCAAAGGACATAATTTCATCATTTTTTATGGCTGCATAGTTTTCCATGATGTATATGTGCCACCTTTTCCTTCTCTAGTCCACTGTTGATGGGCACCTGTATTGATTCCATGTCTTTGCTGAGTACACGTGTCTTTTTGGTAGGTTTCTTTTCCCTTGGGTATATACCCAGTAATGGGATTGATGGCTGAAATGGTAGTTCTTTCAGAAATCTCCAAACTGCTTCCACAGTGGCTGAACTAATTTACACTCCTACAGTGTTTAAGCATTCCCTTTTCTCCACAACCTTGCCAATATCTTCTATTTTTTGACGTTTTAATAATGACCATTCTGACTGGTGTGAGATGGTATCTGATACGGTTTGGCTGTGTCCTCATCCAAAATCTCATCTAGAATTGTAATCCCCATTATCTTCAGGTGTTAAGGGAGAGACCAGGTGGAGGTCATTGAATCATGGAAGCGGTCTCGCCCCTGCTGTTCTCGTGACAGTGAGTTATCGCGAGATCTGATGGTTTCGTAAGTGTTCGGTAGTTCCTCCTGCGTTCATTTTCCTTCCTCCCATCTTGTGAAGAAGGTGCTTTGCTTTCTCCTCACCTTGTGTCGTGATTGTAAGTTTCCTGAAGCCCTTCCTGCCATGCTGAACTGTGAGTCAATTTAACCTCTTTCCTTTATAAATTACCCAGTTTCGGGCAGTTCTTTATATCGGTGTGAAAACAGACTAATACGGTATCTCATTGTGGTTTTGATTTGCATTTCTCTGATAATTAGTGATGAGCGTTTTTTCATGTATTTGTTGCCTCATGTATGTCTTCTTTTGGGGAGTTTCTGTTCATGTTTTTTACCCGTTTTTAAAATGGGTTTTTTTTTTACCCATTTTTAAAACGGGCTTTTTTTTTAACCCATTTTTAAAATGGGCTTTTTTTTTTTGCTTGTTAATTTGAGTTCCTTATAAATTCTGGATATTAGACCTTTTTTTGGATGTATAGTCGGTAAATATTTTCTCCCATTCTGTAGGTTGTTTACTTTGTTGATAGTTTTTTGTTTGTTTCTGATGTGCAGAAGCCTTTGTTTAATTAGGTCCCATTGTCAATTTTTGTTTCTGTTGCAATTGTTTCTGGGGACTTAGTTGTAAATTGTTTGCCAAGGCTGATGTCCAGAATCGTATTTCCTATGTTTTCTTCTAGGAGTTTTATAATTTTAGGTCTTACATTTAATTAATCCACCTTGAGTTAATTTTTGAATATGTTGAAATGTAGAGGTCCGGTATCATTCTTCTGTATATGGCTAGCTAGCTATCCCAGTACCATTTATTGAATAGGTGGTCCTTTCCCCATTGCTTGTAATTGTTGACTCTGTTGAAGAGTAGATGGTTGTAGGTGTGTGACTTAATTTCTGGGTTCTCTATCCTGTTTTATTGATTTACGTTGTTTTGTTTTGTTTTGTTTTTTTGAGGTGGAGTTTTGCTCTTGTCACATAGGCTGGAGTGCGATGGCCTGATCTTGGCTCACTGCAACCTCTGCCTCCTGGGTTCAAGTGATTCTCCTGCCTCAGCCTCCAGAGTAGCTGGGATTACAGGCACCTGCCACCATGCCTGGCTAATTTTTTGTATTTTTAGTAGAGATAGGGTTTCACCATGTTGGTCAGGTTGGTCTTGAACTCCTGACCTCAGGTGATCCACCCGCCTCAGCTTCCCAAAGTGCTGGGATTACAGGTGTGAGCCACCATGCCCGGCCATGTCTGTTTTTGCACGAGTAAAAAACGGACTGTTTTGGTTACTGTAGCTACAAGTCTGCAAGGATGATTTTATTCAAGACTATTGCGATAGGGAAGATTGAAATAAATGCTAATAAAACAAAAGTGGGAGAGTTTTTATGCTCTGGGGGGAGGTAGTGGGAAAATACTGAAATCCTGGAAGATATTAGGAGGAGCTTGGTCAATGTGATTAGGCCATCTGTTTGCTAATTAGTGCTGATGGAAGTTAGGCTCCTACCCCTCCATAGAGACTTGCAGACAAGGATCCTATCTTTCTTGATGATGATGTTTAAAAGGGATGACTCATAGGTCCTAGAGAAAGACATTTTTGGGTTGTAGAAGATTCACATCTCAAAGAATTTACAACTGCAAGTTTTCTATAGTAAGTGTTCTAAGAGAGATCAGAAATCTCTAGTCAGGAAGAAGCCTCTCTAAAGCTTAGTCAAGATGAGGGGAATGCTGTGGAGGCCTTTTTGGTCAGAACCCATTGATGATCTTCATGGTACTCTATTTTGGTGTTTGAATGGACATTTTATTACATAGGCAAGTAATGCTGATCTGAAAATTCTAGAAAATCTTGTGTGTGTATGTGGGGGTAGGGAGCATTGCAATTGTATTTAGATTGACTATTTCTAGGTATAATTTTAAAAAAATACTAGAGAGAACATGTTATTTATTTATTTTTTGCATTTTTTTCTAAGAAGAAATGTGTGCTCTGTAAGATCAAGGACTATGCTTGTCCTCCCATCACCTGGCACAGTGTTTTGGAAATAGTTGATGCTCAGTGAATATCTGTTGTTTGCAGTTCAATGAGAAAATATGCGTTCCTTTCATAAGACCCATCAAACAAGTGCAGGTTGCTTCGAAATTTAATTGTCACATAATGGAAGACACCCGGGTCTCCAGGTGAGCCGTCTGGGTTGGAGTTCTGGTTCTTTTACTTCATAATTATGTGAAAATGGGCAAGTCATGTAAACTGAGTCTTCGTTTCATTATCTGTAAAATGAAGCTAATACCCATCTCAGAAAGCTTGCTGTAAATTACATGAGATGTTGCCTATCAAAGCACCTGTAAATCTCATGGATGACACATATGTGGCATATCATTATTTCTGCATGGTTTTCCGCATTCCTTTCAGCACTGTTCTGTCCTAGGTGAATCTGATAAAGGTGGCCATGGAGAGCTCTGTGTGTTGCCTCTCGGCCTTTTGATTTGTAATAATGAACCCTCATTATGTTTTTATATAAACTTGTTCTACTTGAATACTTTATCGGTGCCTTTGTTTCTGCTTGTTTTATTTTTCATGACACTTTGGTTTGATTCAGAGTGGGAGATATTTCTTTGTTTATCTAATTCTTTAATTAAGTCACCCTACAGTGTGGTTAAAGCCAGTCCCTCTGGGCACTAATAAGAGAAACTAATCACAACTGCAAAGCTCAAGGTAGAAGCTACTTTGGTATAGAATTGATTCTATTGCTGATGTGAATGCGACCTAACGGAATCAGCTGGAATTGAAAGCCTGCACCACGATCTGGCCAAACATCTTGATGCATTTCTTAGGCTGCTGAAAATAATTAGATTTTATCCCTCTTTTAACCCGTGCTCTGCCTCAGTCTCCTTACCCTCACTCCTTGAAGTCTATACTTTTCATTAAAGTGGGTACTTCATATTACTGAGGACTTTAGTCTTTTCAAAGTGTTTTTCCAACCATCTTCGTTTACCTCTGTCAGATCTGGGTGAGATAATTGTCAACATCAATGTGTTTAGATAAAGAAAATGAAAAGGGCACCTGACATGACTAAGACTGATCAGCTCAAAAATAGTAGAGGCAGCATTAGAGTTCAGCTCTCCCAGAAACCAGCTAGAAGGCTCTTGCCACCACAGGGGAGGTGCAAACAGAAATAAATTTTTAAAAATGAGGAGCTCTAGTTCTGCTCTTGTTTTCTGAGCCTTGGGCCTATTGCCTGTATTCTTTCATTACCACAGGATGCATCCTCCTTTCCCTACACTGTATTCTTTCATTACTGACCATGTAAGGCATCCTCCTACCCCTACATAAGTACCTGCTCTGGGTCATCTGCTACTTGTGCCTCCCTGAAAACAATCTATATTTTTAAATGAATCTCTACATATTGGGCAGTTAGTCATGTACTTAGGGTGTTTACATCTGTCAAAAAGATGCTGTTTCTACATTTATTCAGGCAGCCATTTTGTCCATCAGTATCTGCCAGATGAGTGCTGTATGCCATAGGCAGGTATTGAAGGAAACTAAAAGCAAAACAGCAACAACAAATGAAGTTGATAAAGACACTGCTTGCTTTCAAGGGGCATGAAATCAGGACGTGGCATGGAACTTTCCCTGGTTTAGAACCTCATTGCCTTTTGCCTGCATTCTTGTAATAAGTGTTTGCTACTCCTACCTGTGCTAGGTATGGATAATTTCAGGTGAGGCATTCAAAGGCATTCACAATTTGACCTCTGCCCTTCCTTTCAAAGCTTATTATGGGTCATGTGGGTTCCTTGCTGGACACACTGGGCTCCCTGACATTTCTTGAACACCTCCATTTCTCAAACTCTTTCCTTTGCTTGGAAAGCCATTTCCCTCACATTTACTTGTGAAAGCTCATCCCTTTCTTCAAGCCTCAGGGTAAATACTGTATTCTCCAAAGTATTTCCATATTGAATTTTTTCTTCATTATGCTTCAGTAGCTCAGCACTTCCAGAGCTCAGACCCTCTGTACTAGCACATAGCAAATCTATCTGTAATCAGTTATTTATCCGCATATTTGCCTCCACTCACTAGACTGAAAGCTTCCTGGAAGGGGCTAGAAAATGGGAATGCAGTTTGCAAAAAGTAGATGTGTCAAAGGTGTGATTTTAGATGTTCACTGATTCTCATTGTAATGTTTTCTTCTGGGGCCCGAGGGGAAGATTACCTTTTCAACCTCCCCTGTGGTAAGGTTGGGGCCATGTGATTGGGTTCTGGGTAGTGAAATGTGGATGAAGGATTGTAAACTAGCTCCAGGCTGGGTAATAGACCACCTACTCACTTCTCTTTCCGTTCAGACCCTGGAGGCCACACGTTTGAGACGGTGGCATGAAAAGACGGAAGGAACCTGGATTTACTTGTTAGCACCAAAAGAAAAGCTGCCTAGGACAGCTGCCAGATGCCCATTAGACAGAGATGTAGGGGAGAAATACCTCCTCCTTTTGTTGAATGAGATTTTAAAGGTTTATTTATTATGTAGCCTTGACCAGACTCTCCTGACAAATAGTCTCTGTGCTCCCTGGGGGCAGGGACAATGTTGATCTGTTCCAATGCTGTGTCCTTAGCATTTCATCCTATGGCCCGTGCATAGTATGACCTCAATAAAGACATGCTAAACACATGAATAGTTGCCAACTCTCATGATCTCTTCGTATTTCACCTGTGAAAGCCAATCTCACGTTTTCACATTCTGAAAAATGTTTTTATAAATAACAGTTCATGGGAAAGCTTCTATTTTGTGAACTAGTTAATAAGGCATATTTTTAGTGAGCACAGGGCAAATAGCTTTCTTTATGGAAAGGTCTACTGCGGAGGGTTCTGGTTAATGGGTTCCCAGCTTTGCTCTACAAATAGAATCAAGAGATTCTGGGTTGTGGGAGCTACAGTTAAAGTTAGAATCATATATGGAAGCAAAGCTGAAGGAAAATTAAGGGATAACTTTCTTTTCAATAAGCACTTACTGACTATAATAGAGATAATAAATTGTTAATAAGAAAAGGAATGTAGCCAAGGGAAAAGGCTAGAAATCATAGCAGGAGAAGGAAGTTGACATTTGTTGAGCACTTTTTAGGGCCAGACATTATTTCAGGCCCTTCATGACTCCTGATTTCATTTAATTCCCACAAAAGCACATTGAGGAAGATGGGGAAATTGGAGTGTTAGGTAACACAAGTGAGTTCACACAGCTAGTAAACTGTAGAATGGGATTTGAACTTGGTTCTGTCTGGCTTAAATCCCCTCTACATTCATTCAAACATACTATGTTAACTCCTTCAAAAAGTGCTAAATAAAAATTAAACAGCATTCAAGCTATTTGCCATGATTCTAGGACTTTAACTCATGCTGAAGCGTGCGAGTCTTGGGATGCCCACCACCTAGCATAATAAGACGCTGGGGGTCCCCATCCTGCTCTTTGTGATGCTTTTGGCTTCTTTAACTTGTTTTTCCCTCCCGCTCCATTCCTGAGCTTTCTTCGTCCTAGATATTTAGATATGGCCTTGCTTTTCAGGTCTTGCACTGGCTCCTTGGGCTAGATGACAGATTTAGTATCTGCCCTTGGACCTTCTTAGTCACCCTCTGACATAGGTGCATGCCATCTAGTAGCTCCATTTCAGAAAGACGCCATGTTTAGTTTGACTCTAGAGCATGGGACACATGCCTAGCTTGGGTCTGCTTTTTTGGCCTCCTCTGGTGCTAATTCTAATTCCCATGACAAGATAGAAAACATCCAATTAATCTATTAAGTTATATATTATTATGTGCATCTGAGAGAATGAAAAGACACAACCCCTAACATTAGGAAACTTAGAGTCTAGAGTAATGTATGAAAACCCATTACACATACAGAATTTTCATGAGTATTATCTGATATACCACTCTCTGGGGGATCCTTTTTAAGTGCGAAAATTGAAACTCAGATTGGTTTTACCGACTTGCCCCCCTTAATGTAGCAATTAAATAGGAGAACAGATATTTGAACCCAGGCCCTCTTATTGCAAAAGTCTTGGCTTTGTCCAAAATAGCACATCATTGCCTTTGTGAGAAAGCAGCTTCCTACAATATCTAAAAGATTAATCCGTTTCTTGTTGTTTGTAACGTCGGAAAGTAGACACATCTATTTACAATGATAAGGCTAAAAAGGATTAATTTGGCACAATACAAGTGTTACCTTGATAAAGGCTGTATGATGTATGAGGATGCTGAGAAAATCTGATATGTCCACCAGCTACACTGTGCAGATTTAAAATTATGTAGTGTTTCGTTTCTGTGGACTTTGATTTTCAGAGACCTCAGAGGAAGAGGTTGGGATTTTGAGGCTGCTTGCGTGATTGTAATTGCTGTTACAGTAATGTTTATGTTCTTGTAGATATTTTTATTTTCACTCAGCGAGATAAAGGGGGAGGTGATTGACTTTTATTAAGGTTAATATGGAGGCTGGCTTCCGTCTTTTAACCTCACTCTTTTCCATTTTCCACTTTGCTTTTTTCTTTTCCTCCCTTCCCCATGTCAGCATCTGCTACCTCTTCTCATACATGAAATTATTTTGTTATTTTTGGCAGGTATGTTTTAAACTGATTCTGGCTGTGTTTTGATGGAGAGGAGGAGTCTTTAATATCACTACTGATGGATGACGTGGCCACTTGATGGGCCGTATAGGAATGTCTGTGCTGTCACCAGCAACATTTCTAGACCACATTAAAAAAAACACAAAAACCTGATTTATAAAAAAAATGCCTAGGCCTTGGGTTATTTGCAGCCTAATATTAATTACATAATGATCTGGGGACATGAAGATGTTCTATTTCAGCTTTATTTTTTTTTCAATTAGAAAATGTCTCTTTTTGTTGACTAAAGGCTTTTAAAAAGTGACAGTGAGAGAAAATATTTAGTTCTCATAGTAACCAACACATAAGGACTTCCTCGCTCTACCGAAGCTTGAAGAAACATAGGCTGATGTCTTCAAATATGAAACATTTTCAGCAAGTTCATTAGTTGGGTTCATATCTTCCCTTGTGTTTCAGTGGGAGAATCCTCTATTGGCTTAAATTTGCCTGGGTGGTTCCCAAACTGTTGGATGAATAGAGCATCCTAGGAAGCTTATGAAAAATGTCTGTTTCTAGACAGTGTAATTCAATAGGTCAGGGTGAGTTCCAGGGATTAGCACCCGTGTGATCAACAGCCGATGGTCCTCACACCACATCTTGAGAAATCTGCTTCCAGGGCAGTGGCTCTCAAACATGAGGGAGCATCAGGAGCACCTGGGACTTGTTAAACACAAACTGCAGGTCCCCACCCTCAAAGCTTCTGATTCAGCAGGGCTGGGCAGAGTCTGATAACTTACTTTATGTAACAAGTTCCCAGGTGATGTTGATGCCGTTCTTTGGGAACCCCACTTTGAGAACCGTTGCTCTTGGGTATTCCCATTGTGGCCACCAGCTGGTTAAGAGTCAGACTTTGACAAATACCAAATGTTATGCTCCTTGTTCTGAGGTGTATGAGGAGGCATGTCTCAGTTCGTAGCTTCTTGAAGGAAAATTTATACAAGACACAGACTCCTTTTTAGGTAATAAACTATTATTGTTCACAGTGGAACTTCTGGACCTTCATTAAAGAAAGTGCTAATTTTCAAGGCCCAGGTTTTAGAGGCTGTGTATAAGGCTCCAATGCAGAGGCCGTTCCCATGTTGACATAGCCTATCTAAAACTGATTTTAACTTTTTTTTTTTTTTTTTACATTTTACTTTAAGTTCTGGGATACATGTGCAGAACATGCAGGTTTGCTACATATGTATACATGTGCCATGGTGGTTTGCTGCACCTATCCACTTCTAGATTTTAAGCCCCAAATGCATTAGGTGTTTGTCCTAATGCTCTTCCTCCCCTTTTCCTCTCCTTTCCCCCGACCCCTGACAGGTCTCAGTATGTGATGTTGCCATCCCTGTGTCCATGTGTTCTCATTGTTCAACTCCCACTTATGAGTAAGAATATGCAGTGTTTGGTTTTCTGTTACTGTGTTAGTTTGCTGAGAATGATGGCTTCAGGCTTCATCCATGTTCCTGCAAAGGACATGAACTCATTCTTTTTTATGGCTGCGTAGTATTCCATGGTGCATATGTGCCACGTTTGCTTTATCTAGTCTATCATTGATGGGCATTTGGGTTGATTCCAAGTCTTTGCTATTGTAAATAGTGCTGCAGTAAACATGTGTGCATGTGTCTTTACAGCAGAATGATTTACAGTCCTTTGGGTACATACCCAGTAATGGGATTGCTATGTCAAATGGTATTTCTGGTTCTAGATCCATAATGTCACATTACCTTTAACAGGAGGTGCAGTTTGTGGTCTCATGAGACCTAAGTAATGTTTTGAGGTACTAATTATATGTGAAGAGCAATTATTACTTATAGTTGGGTTCAAAGAGAACTATTTATATTGGCAGAGTCTGTAATGAATATTAATCAATTATTGGATATTAGTTATAATAATAAATACTTTTTATTAATCTGTTTCCTTTTGTAAAGGAACTCTGCTGATATTTTCATGACTACACAAATCAGCTAGTCTGATATTAACCACAATTACTTGGTTTAAGTTTACTCTTAAGAATGACTAAGAGTTATTTTTCCTAGTCACCAGCCTTAGAGAATTGTGACTTATTTGAAATGCTAATACTTGTGAAGTTCTGATGCTGCTTAATGCTACATTGTGACATGCATTTTCTCTCCCATGAATACAGGTGAGCAACTTTTAAACAGCAAAGTAATTCCTTAAGAGATTTCCTAATGTTGACTAATAGAAAACATCTCACTTTTTCCACTTTCACTTTTCCCCAGCAAGTTCATTATGGAGTAGATAGTTTAGAAGGCTGATGCAGAAAGGAGTCTGAACATATTTGTAATGTCAGAAAAAGTGGAGGAAGAGATGACCAAACATTACAAAAGAGCTTTGTAAGTTAAGAACTGAAACACCAAACTGGAAAACACAGGTTCTTTATTATAAAATTGGTTGTTACCTATCCATAACATTGATGAGGCTGACATGTTTAGAATGAGCTTTTTTATCCTTAAGTATTTTTTTCCTGTTCTGCTTTGCATTACTAGAAGAGAAGAAGAAAAAAGCAGAGACATATAGTTATGTTAATTTCTGAAACCTCTTTTCAATGAAATTTTAACCTCTGTTATGTGCCAAGTGCAATAAATATCTTGCTTTTGTGTTGGCGATACATATGAAAATCCTGGCCTCCTTTTTAATTAGCCCTACAACACAATTACAGCCTTTGGGTTATCAAACTCTTACACCAGATAAAAGAGGAAAAACACCACCACGATGTGGTGGTCCAATTGATGGTAATTGGACCTGGTCTGGATCGGAAAGGGCAATTATCATTTCTCACTGCTTCTCTTCCTCTTATGTGAAGTTCATTTGGACGACCTTTTGCCATTTTTGCCCAATGACATAGAGTGGCCTGTTCTTGGGCTGAAAGCACTCTAGTTACTCTTGCTGTCAGAGAAGTATTTCAGCAGATCATGGCTTGCAGCTACAATAAGAAACCAGTGAAAGTGCAGGCAAAATTTGTTTCCTTTCAAGCGAAGAGGTAGTTTTGTTTTTTTCCCCATTGTGTCCTAAGCCTGGGTTTAAGGATATGATATTGGTTTCCACAAAAAGTCGAAAAATTTACATACTGATGGTATCTGCACTTCAGGAATTTCCTTTAAAATAAATATTAAATAAGTCATGATGCTTAAAAACTAGATATGAGAAGTAGTGCACATGATTGCTAGTAAGAGGAGATCCCCAAGTTCCTGTACTGTGATCAGGTGCCTCAAAACACACCATTGGAATTGGAGTTGGAGGCTTAGAGTAGAAACAAGTTAATTTTAGCCTTTAAAGTTGGCCCCCTTCGTTGTAGGGGGCAAGAAACAGCCTGGTTTTGTCCAAAACAAATGGTGATGGTTTCTATTGCATAAAATATGATTGTGTACGTATAAAGCTCAACACCCTACTTACCTGGGTTATTCTGGCAAAAGTTCTATTTTAGTCCAAATTACCTGCTTTGGGAAGAAGGTTGCTTTTCTCAGGGGGTAATTACCAGTGCAATCGCAGCACCATCTGCTCGCCTTATGTTCTGTAGATGACTCGAAGGAGATAGTTTCAGGAGAGACCTGAAAAGGGAACATTTCAGGAGGGAGGAAATGAAGATAACCTAAAAGAAAGTAATAATTAGGAACTTAAAGAGGAAGAACATATGGTTTTGAACATATAACTTAGCAGTGTCCTAGACCTCTGGCCCAGCTGAGGTTTTCCCAGGAGTAAGAACTGAGAGAGAGTCGGGGCTAGAACAGAGAGTGGCCAATTAACCTAAAGGGAATCTCCAGAGGGACCTAGCAGAGAGAAATAGCAGATGGTATTCATTTGTGATTTTGTGGTGAAGAAGTAGCCGCAGGCTAGGTGCAAACGGCAGAATCTTGCTTTCCATATTCTAAGACAAAACTTTAAAAGGAAAGCCTGCGTACCCAGGAGAATTTTCATGCAGTCATCATTCATTTAAAAAATATACTTAACACCTCCTAAGCAGGATGTATTTCACTAGGCTGTTAGAGGAGATATGCTGATGTGTAAGTTATGGTTCCTTCCCTTGGGGATTGTACAATTCAATAGGAAAGCAGGGGAAATAAGATGTGTGCATGTCCAGGTAACTACCATTCATGGCACATAAGTGCCACATTAGGGAGACAAAGTGCTATGGGGTTTCACAGAGGTGAGAGTTAATTCCTGTTAGGGCATGAGGAGGAGGCTTCATGGAGAATGTGGAATTTGAGCGGGACCTCTGTGGATAGATAGAATTTTGCTGAGCTCTGAGAGCCTGCCTTGTATGGAGGTGGGATTCAACAGAGATTCAGGGACTTTAAGTAGAGTGGTTTGGGATTTTAATATTTATCTGGAGAGACAAAATTATATAAATATTTTTCACACTTTAAATACATCTGAAATTTGATTCTGCATTCTTGGGCGATTAAGCTGCATTTGAAAAAATGTGTACAATCAACCTTCAGTAGTTCTAGCTTTAGCATATGTTAATCTTGCTCCTGCAGCTGTGACCTCAGAAATAGAATTTTAGCAAGAATAATTTTTTTATATATTTAAATTTTTTTTAGCTTTGGCAAACAAAGGCAGGAATGGCTTGAATTGCAAAAGCCACTAATGTTGTCAGATTCTCTTTTGCTTAGAGCCAGGTTGGAGTCTTGTCTGGAGGAACTGGAGTTTCTCTTATCACCCTGGACCCTCTATTCCATATGACCTGTCCCATATGTCATTCTCTCAGTGTCAGTTTTTGAATTATATAATAGGAACACTTGCATCTATCCTATTGTTAGTATCATGAAATAAATATCTTTCTGTAATATTTGAAACTAGTAAAAAGTGACATTGGGATACATGTTCTTTTACTCCACAAAGACAAGTTATTTAGTGACTTTTTAAGGGAGGAAAAACATTGAAATCCCTAGGTATAGTAGACCACATTTATCCATAGTATCCACCTTTTGGTGTCTTTCCCCCACCTTTTAATTTTGGTGAGTGCGCGCAAGTACATCTCCCCTCCGTCCCTCCCCATCCGTATCCAGGTCTTCTTGCCACGCAGTTCCTCCCTTGACAGTCTCCTAGTCTGTCAGCAGCAGGAACTGAGAGGATCAATTCAAGTGTGAATTATCTTTAATTAAAACCTGTCACTTAGAAGTAAGTGAAAGAGAATTTAACCTTTGTTTATTCCACCTCAGCTCCTCCAAGCGTCCCAGGGCTCCACTTTGAAGGGCCAGCCTGCTGCCTGTGGCTTGAGTGGATCACCCAAGGTTTCTGCTACTTGTGGAAGACAACCACTATTTTTCAGTATCCGTGAGCTGCCCAGGGGCACGCTCCCGGATCCATGTTACAAAATAGCCTTTCCTCCCGTTCGTTCTCCTCATTACACAAACATATGTCCATAGTGTGTATGAGAGACCATGAGTTCGAGCTTCCCTGCTCTCCTGTTCTCAGAGGCCTCCGTCGTCTTACAGACACCCAGCTGTCCTGCTGGATGGGCTTACACACTTTACTGTCACACTTAGTGGGGTGGCAACTGAGGACCATTGTCATGAAATCTCTCAACTTTTCTGTATTCTCAACTCCAATCTTGCAATATTGCATTTCCAACTAACTATAAGCATCTTCATTTGGCCATCCCTTTAGCACCTTAGATTCTGTCTGGGCCCAGCTTTCTAGGGCTAAGAGTTGGGGCAGGTCTTTGCCTGCTGTGCCAGTTGGTGATTCTGCCAGGAGAGTCTTGGTGAGAGGTTGGTGTGGCTGAACTGAGAAGTCCATCACCTAGGAGCATCTGAAGTTAGTTGACAGCCATGATGGAGGGCATGAGCCATGGGTAAACAGGAGCAGTGGTAAGCTGATCATCAGTTGGAAAGGCTGGCTGTTGGGAAGTAAAAAAGAATAAGGAGTAGACGAAACAGATTAGATAGAGACTACGTTGAGGTCCTAATAGGGCAAATATTGCTTTAGAATTGGTTTGAGTAGTATTTACTCAACATAAGTCTCTGTAGATAACTTGGCACACTTTGCTGGGTTGGGGTTGTACCTAAAATTCGCAGACATACTAGACAAATTTGCAGGTGTGGAAATAAACTTATCTTCTATTTCCTTCTCTTGTGTTGCCTCTGAAGGTCATCATGATTCTCCCAGTTACTCAAGGCTTTTTATGATTCCCTCTCCTTTGCTTCTCCCTCATATCCATTTGCTAAGTCCTATATTTCTGTCTCTGAGGTAGCTCTCATACCCTGGCCTTTTTCCTTTGTCTCTCTGTGGTCTATTGAAGTAGTCTAATAGTCTTGTCTCTAACTGTGCTCCCCTCTACTACTTACACACAGCGGGCAATCTTCTTGATGCAACCGTTAATTATTTACTCACATGCTCCATATCCTTCAGTTATTTTTTTTTCATTCCCCTTAAAGAGCAGTTTCTCAGATGGCATGCTAGGCTCTCTCTGATCTAGTTTCAACATGCTCTAAGTAGTGTGTTTCCCATCACTTTTCTTTGTGAACCATTGCTGCAGGAAAGTTAAGGGAAATACTGGTCTCTACTCCCATACCTCTCACTTTCTTACATTTGTTGGTCCTCTTCCCTCTGCCATGATATTCTCCTTCCAACTACCTCTATCATTTACACATAATCAAATCCTACCTATTCTTCTCTAGTTCAAATGCCACATCCTTTTCGAAGCCATCCCTCATCTTAACAGCTAGGATAAAGTTAATCCTACCTCCTCTGAACACCAAGTCATTTTCTTTATACTTCTCTTAGCTTATTGTTTTGTTGTATACATGTTTTATGTATAACCAAAATATCATTAAAGTTAAGACTATATTTTGTTTGGTTTTGTATCTACCTAGCTCCTAATACAGTGCTTTGACAAGATAAAATGCATAATAAATATAATAAATATTATTTAAATTTAATAAGTGGGTGAAATAAAGAATGGATATCCATTCCTGCAAATATATGTGCTGGAATGTTTACTATTTATACTGCGTATGGACAGAAGTTTTCTGTGAATGTGATGGGCTCAGCACCTCACAGGACTATGAAAGAGATAAAACTGCAGGAGATTTCAGGTAGATTGAAGGAACTGAAAGGCAAGCTGAACCATACTTTTAAATAGTTTGATTTCAGAGGAAGTTATTTTCTAAAATGTCTTCTGGAAAGGTAAATGATAGTGTGATGAGTCATACAGAAGATTAATGCAAACTATAAGATTTATTATTTTGGAAACATTATTTCAGGGGATTGGGCCAGTAGGCATACATTCTGACTGTAATTCCATAAGGCTGAATGTTTGGTTGATACTCTTTTCTTTTGCTTTTGCTTGCCCACTTAACCAATTCACCAAAAAAGTGGCTTCCCTGATTAGAAATGAAGACACCAAGATTTGCTCAGAAAGAAAAAAAAAAGTAGATTTTGTAACTTTCTCAGTGTTCCTGCATCCCCCTCAAAGCCTCAAATTCTCCTCCTCCTCTTATTGCTATTGTCAGAATGGAGGCTGTCTAATGATTCTGAAGATGAACCAACAGCATGATGTGAGCCCTGTCATCTTTTCTGGGATTTGGAATTGGAAGTGGGGATTGGGGGGTCTGGGATTGAGATTGGGGGATCTGGGATTGAGATTGGGGGATTTGGGATAGCTTAAAAGGGGAAGAGCAGATTCTAGAAGAGAATTAGGTTATTTTAATAATCAAATAGGAAACAATATTTCATTTAACCAGTAATGCAAATGGTTCCTGAAATCATACTCTATTGATGTAAAAGAAGATTCTGCGGTGGTGCCCAAGTTAAATGCTTTGGGAAGCATATTAACTCAAGAAATACAAGTGAACAGAAATGTGCAGAAGTTCAAAGGCATTTTGAAATGACTGGATGGAAAAAAATCTAACTTTGAAAAATGACGAAGCTACAAATAGTTAAATAAGGCTTGTTCTGGTAAAAGGCACTCACAGTACCTTCTTTGGTAGAGCCACTCCAAGTTGACCAGGCCAGCGAACGTTCACTGTGCTCCTACTGACACGCCGAGGTGGCTGAATTTGCAGGACACACAGCTAAAGACTAGAAAGGGGGCGCCTCTATCATGGTGGGGAGATGGGTGGCTCATGCAAAGGGAGGAGACATAGATAGGAGCAGTCTAGTGGGGAACAGAAGAGGGAGAGAGTAAGAAAGTGTTTGTTCTGGGTTCCCCCTAAAGATCCACCCGGTGAGGTCTTATCCTCTCTAGCAGTCATGGGAATGAGTCAGCAATGCCATGGATGGAATGGCTGCTCTGCTTGTGTGTTGCTCTCCAGAACCTGATGGAAGGCTTCAGTGGAAAAACCGCTTTAGCCTCCCAGCATCTTTCAGTGTGTGTTTAGTCAAAGGAAGAAGGGGAGGAGGTATTTGGAAAGGGGTAGCCCAACTCAAGGAAGAAAATGGGGACAAGATGAATTTGGAATGAAATTGTTCTCTCCAGGCCAAGTTTATCCTCTGGTAGAAGAGTCTGGTTCAATACCAATCAGAGCAATTGCTGACTTAGAACCAGCAATGACCACAATGGGTCAAGCACACCTCCCCCGCAAGTGCTTTCTGCCTCCAGGTGATTTGGGACACGAGGCCTTTCACTATCCAGCATGGCATTCACAGGTGTGTATAGGTCTCAGGAGGTATGTTTCTGTTCTCTTAAGGTGGGGCCCAGAATAAAGGTGTTTTGCAAGACAGTCCTATGACATTGGCATTCTGATTAAACCATCTGGGTTTTCCTGACCTACATGTATGTATGTAGGGGCGTGTGTGTACATGTGCATGTGTGTGCATGAGAGTCTAGGTGTGTGTAAATGTAGGTGTGTGTGTTCTATATGTTAGAGTGTGCTTGGGAGTTTTCTCTGTGTGTTTTGTGTTTACAAGGTTGAGGTTATGAATGGGGAAGTGTGACAGGACTCATTCATTTCATAGTTTTCATTTCTTAGAAGAAAAGTGTACATGGATGATTCTGTCTTCAAGTCTTCAAGATTTTAAGTTCACTAATGAGTTATTTCTGGTTGTGGTAGATAAGTAATTTTTTCTGCAATGTGATCTTCTGCATGAATTTTTGCAGTGTCCTTATCAATGGGATGGAGGGACTCTCATAATGATATTAACAATGTTAACCGTATAGATAATCCCCAAAAGTGATATTATCTTCGGTACAAGTATGGCTGTTGTCTTTCAAGCAAAGTTTCGTTTAAGTTGTAAATATTACAATGTATTTAGAAAGAGAAAAATAAATTATTTAAAAGGCAAAATACTGTTGAGTTAAAAGTGTGATGCTGGAGTTTGGCAAGCTCACCCCTGCAGAATACATTCTATTGTGGCATTACATATCATTTCCATGTATCTTCATTTTATGATCTTCATTTTGAATGATTTGATGGTTCAGAGGTGTGGTAATAGATATGAATTTTATTTTGACATGTGGAAGAAGGCATTTAGATGCAGTGTGTGTGCACTGTGAAATGATTAGAAATTATTATGGGGTAGAAAATTTGTGATTGAGCTTGAATGATTGAATCTATTTTAAAAATGTGCAGAGCTGTTAGCTTTCAAAATAATTTGTGCAGTCAAAAGAAATCAAAATTCATTTTAGTTATTCATATTTTATTTTTGAAGTAAGCCACAGTTACTTTATTTTTTAAAGTAATGGCCTAACTCCAACACCAATTCTTCCAAAGAGGAAGAATCAAAAAACCATAATGAGAGAGTGCCTTTAAGATGAAATTGAGAGTTAGTAAGTGAATAAACAGGTTGTCTATTAAGTAGTTACTGGTTTCTTCTTACGTTATGTACTAGAGGGTACACTGAGAGACACAGCAGAATGGACAAAGGGCAGAGGTTCCAGGCTTGTGGAAAAGGCCTCGCATATCAACTAAAACATATAAATTTGAGGCCATTTAAATTTGTTCCTTTTCTACCTACTTCTTGTGTTCCCTCACCTAACTATTGTGTGGAGCAACTGTGAGGGGCTTGTCTATAAAACTGCAAATGGAGAGTTTGATGAAGTTTGATTATTTAGTTCCCGAGTGTGCCTTTCTTGAGAACCAGAACTGGGCTTGTAAGGGGGAATACTACAGGGCTAAAGACCATAGGCTCTTGGAAAATCAACCACTTCAGCCTAGCTTCCACAGGAGTTGAAGAGCGGAAGATTTGAGATTAAAATCTTTTGAGATAACGGGAAGTGAAAGTTTCTGTGTCGCTCATTGTAAAGACAATGCATACAAGTTGAGGTGATGACACTGAGGACCCCCATCTCCTGAAAGGCTTCTTGCAGCCTCTGTGTGTTCTGTATCAGGAATCCCAAAGCAATGGAGAGGTGACACCCAGAAATGCTCCCTGTCTACTGACAACTGGCTGCAAATGGCCATGGCTCTGTCCCAGGCAATCTCACTGTCCTATGTATTTAGATAGTGGGAATGTGGATAGTTCTCTTGATTTGTACTTGGGAAGATTAGCGAAGACTTTTCTTTTTGCATGTAGATTCTTCCTCCCTGTATTTGAAGGTAGGCTAAAATTTTTCTCAGGAAACAGATTCAGGTCTGAGAAAATGCTTGTTTGAATACTTAATAGTTTTGTATCTTAAATTTTCGAAAATAGGCCTAGAGGATCCTGAGGATAGAGTGAACTGCAAACTTTGACTCCGATTTCAGATAATGAAATCAGCTTACCTATATAGAGATATTGTAAAATTAACTCCATATCCACTAATAAATATATTTCAACCAGAGTCATGGGTATGTAAATGACTTGATTTAATGACCGTCATACCATGCTGGTTTCCTTTTTCTTAAAATAGAACTAGTGAACATTGAGGAGATACCCAGGAAGGCAAATCAGGAGGAAAATGATTGGGAAAACTCCAACGACCTTGCATTATTGATTTTTATCTTCAAAAGTTGTCCTGGCAGTTAACTCCCAATGGAGTGGAGTGAGACTGGGGGATACATTTCTGATGATTTCTCGATGCTTTCAAAATTGGTATACAACTGAACGTTACTTCTGTAGCAGGACATAGGGCAGGATCATCACTGAACTAAGTTTATTCACACTTCAGTTCAACTTGGGTCATTCCTTCTTGGTGTCCCCAGTTTCTAACCCTTACTACTGTAAAGGAAGGGGTGGAATTATTCACTAGAGCTTGGTAATACACATTTTTGTTTGCTAAAAAATTTGGAAGATGCTCATTCTAAGCAGATCACATAGAGGTCAGCCAGGAGATTTGGCATTTGCTCTTTATACCGCAGCTAATTTTTCTGTGGAAGCATTTTTGGTACCTATAACTGAAGTGACTGTCTTAGTCCTAAAAGGTTCAAAACCCTTTTTAGGCATTCTAAGATGCTAACACTCTGAATTTCTACCCTTTCCCGGACCCCCAGAAGGCTGCCATTTTAAAGTATAACAACAGGAAAGGATATTTGTCATATGATACAGTTTGGATCTGTGTCCCCACCAAATCTCATGTTGAATTGTATCGTAATCCCCAGTGTTAGAAGTGGGGCCTAAGTGGGGCCTGGTGGAAGGTGATTGGATCATGGGGTGGTTTTCTCAAGAGTGGTTTAGCACCATCCACGTAGGGCTCTTCTTGTGATAGTGAGTCCTCATGAGATCTGGTTGTTTAAAAGTGTGTGGCATCTCTCCGCTCTCTCTTGCTGCTGTTCCAGCCATGGGAGATATCTGCTTCCCCTTCACCTTTCACTATGGTTGTAAGTTTTCTGAGGCCTCCCCAGAGGCTGAGCAGAAGCCAGCATCATGCTTCCTGTACAGCCAGCGGAACCATGAGCAATTAAGCCTCTTTTCCTTATAAATTACTGAGTCCCAGGTATGTATTTATAGCTGTTTGAGAACGGCCTAATACACCAGAGTAGAGCAGATGTTTGTAATATGGGTTTTAAAGACCGTCGTCAAAGATAATCCCCTCTGTCTCACCTGGCTGGCTCTGCCTTTGCATGAAAAGAATTGGAACTGAGGACTAGCACTTAGCATGAAAGGAATCCAGGTAATTCCCACCCCGAGGAGACGGTGGAGCCCTCTGTAGACTGAAATCAAGGGCTAGGAGGAACGAAAAAGGTCTGGTTATCGTCACATCTGCTCGGTGCCTTTCGTGAGCAGCACTTATCTTGGTATCTGGCTCTTGTCCAAGAACTGGCCTTTGAAGACCTTCCGTGTTGGAGGAGAGATGCCAGAAAGGGGAAGCTCTTTCTCTTCATTGGGTGTGCCTGCCTGCCCTTGTGAGGCGTTCCTGCCTTACCGTGGAAGTGGCCTGTCCTTTGAATGATTCGGGTCACTGAGTGAAAAGCTCCATGTGGCTGACGATGGAGAAGTTCCCCACAGAGCCTCTTTCAGAGGCTCTTTCAGTCTTTCAGTCCAGCAGTAGTTCCCTCCTGGGTGTCAGAGACTGAAGGAGGCATGAGAAGCCAGAGGCACATCCCAGCAGTGTGCCCCGCAAAGAATGGCCTCTTCTTTGTTTGAGGGCTGGTCATTCTGACTATGGACCTCACAATCACTGGAATCGGATGACAAAAGAATGTTGTCAAAGAACATTAATCATTGCATGGGTTGCAATTCGTGATTAGCTGGATTTGCATAAAAGAATGTAGAGGCCTTGAACCACAAAAGCGAAAATGTGTATCCAAGAAATAGTGGTGGCCATCATTCCAGTGAGAGCATGTTCATAACTCACTGCTGCAGAAGAAATGATCAAAAAGTGGTCCAGGGGCCCCGGGTTCTCTGTGTTAAAAATATTTCTCAAGAAAAACTGCATGTGTACCTTCAAAAATAAAGCTAATATTGAAATACCCTTTCTAATGGAATTATTTTTTTGATGCTCAAGAAGTCATGAATAATATTTAAAAAGCAGAAAACACACTTCTTTATAATCTTTGCAAATCCAGTTTAATGTTAAGCTCCCCTTAAGCTCTATTTACAAAGAATTGTACCAGTTTTCACCTTGATATGGTGGATTTACTTTCACTATGCAATTGGAAAATTGACTTTTGTACTCCTGAGGGTATTTTTAAAAGTAAATTGGATTTCTTAAGTTCATTATTTTTTAATAAAATGCATAGTTAATGGTATTAAACTTCTACACCTACTACATTTTATTCTTGTTTGAAGTATATGTGGGTTTGTGAACTGGCTTATAGGAAAGATCAATCGGAAAACACTTTAAAATTAGAATTCTTAGTATGCCAGGTTCACATTTTCCAGTAGGGGGCAAGAAAGTACTATATATGAAATCCAGAAATCACTTTCTTTTTCTGTACCTTTGCAAACAAATTAAGTTCCCGAATTGTGAAATGCTAAGTGTGATAGGAAAAAGGATATTCAAATCTATTAAATATAATCTCTTTCTTATGTCAGAGGGCTATTAAGCATGATATTTAACTGCTCAGTGAATCTCTCTGGGAGAGAGAAATGAATTTGGGAAAGGCCAAGAGAATGGGATGTGACACTTTGGCCAAAGTGTCTTGTCAGCACTCCAGCGCTGACTAGAACTCAGCCATGTTGCCCAACCTCCATGAATAACCCCCCAAAAGACCTCCCCAAACCAACCCCCCTCAAAACCATGACATGTTAATGCTTGGTATCTTATAAGACCCTTCACTTGTACTTGTTCACACACACATAGTCATTCAAGTGGCCCTAAGGAGCTGCTTTTAGTCTGTTAGAGACATAGACCACGCTACTTACTTCATTGATAATGAGCTCACACACACATTGACCAATGCAAGTGAGATAATCAATTACTCATAATTGATCCTAGCTGTGAACTTTTTGGTTATGGTTCAGGCACTCTGACATCATCTATATAGTTCTTCCAGAACAAATTTCTATATCCAACCTGGAGTTTCATACAGGACATTTTATTTTTTAAAGACTACTACTTCAAATGTATTTCCATGTTTGTTTTTCCTCTTTCCTAAGTCTGTAATTTTGATGGAGTGTTTTTTCCTTGACTCTAGTTTTTGTAGGGGAAATTGCCTATACAATCAAATCAATATGCCACATGATGCATTTGGTATAAATAAATATAGTAAAAATGTTTGGAAAATCCTCAATTGTGTGTGTCAAGTATGGTATTGGCAATCATTTTGGTATATCATAACATATCTTAAAGGAAACAGAATGCCATTTGTCATAACCTTACCATTTTCCTTGGTTTGTGTAATGCTTATTAGCTACAGAAGTCAATAGCTTCCACATGAACAGGTTATGTTTACTTGGTTACTTGAAAAACAGATGCCTGTTTGAACATAAACTGAGAGACTTAGGGGAAGACATTTAAGGTTCAATGATGTAAAGACTGTGCTAAAGTTGTCTGAATCAGGTAAATGGCTTCCCAAAAGACGGTGTTACATTTTATAATCTCTTTCTTGAGAATAAACTTGCTTTGTTTATAAGACATTGTATGATTTACATAGTCACTAAAATGGAATATTAAACTCAACTTCCTTTCAGAAGCAAATTCTTTTAGTGTGCTTGTTTCATTTGGATGGAAACTTAGGAGATCCAATTTAGGTAAAAAGGTGCTTGGCTTATTGAGTAATGGTAAATATCCCTGACTTCTTATGCAGCTTCTAAGAGCAGGCAGGGAACATTCAGACAAAGCAAAGGAGTAGTTTATGTGCATGTGGGGGTTTCTTAGATTTTTGTGGAAACTCAATTGTCTACTTTTGTCCTGCTTGCTTTAATTTCTAGGCATTTGTTTTGTTTTATTATCTCTTTTCCAGACACGACTTTGATCAGCTCATAGGAAGTCATCTGTAGCAGGGTCATATTAAAATCCTTCTCATCAGCCACCAGCAGAGCTGTTTTTCTCTGTGACTTATATTTACGATACTTTTTTCTTGCCAGTTAGAGACATAAGATATATGGGTATAGGGAAGAGACACAAGAACTGTTCTGTTTATTTTAGTCAAAATACTGCTCATATAAATGAGAGGGCAAATGAAGTGGCTTTCTCACAGAGGTCTTCAGTAGATGGGAACTTATTTTTACTTATCTTTGTCTCTGAGTCTGAATTAGCTTCCTCATTGAGAAAAAAGGAAATGTTCTTAAAGAAATACATACTTAGCATTTTAAAACCATTTTTCTTCGTCCCTATTTAGAGAGGAGTTTCTATACCTAAATGAAACTGAGCCTTAAAAGATATCCCTTTGTCAATGAGTGAGGTTTTAAATACTCCAAAAAGAAAACTACCCTGAAAAATGATTGTATGATTTTTATTTAAAAATCTCCCACATACATCATTTTATACAACATATTAAACATAGCTACCTTCACATCAACTTTTCCTGCCTATAATGTTAGAAACGGGAAACTATTGAATCCAGGAAAGTGTTGTATATTTGTATTGCTCAGCATTTTTGAATCAACCAGATCAAAAGATTTTATAAACTCAAGAAAATGAAATGATAGCATTTAGCCACAAATGTAATTTTCAACTAAATGAACTTGACATGCTTTATTATAAACAGCCCTGTTGTATGTAAGTTCATTCTAAACTGTGTGCTTCTGCAAAATGTAGGAGCATGCAGACCAACACTGAAAGCATGTGGTCTCTCAAATGCAGAGGTTTATCTTGACACCACCGTTGGAAAGCCTGAATGACGTAACCACCTTTGGAGCACTGGCTGGTGGAATAGGAGTCCGGCTGCTTTATGACAACAAGTCTCGTACACATTTGCAGCTATCTTCAGGTGGAGTGAAACCCAGGATGAAGTGCTTTTACCTGGGAAAGCTGCAGAAACTGCTTCCTCCACTCAGACTGCCTCCCTACCAACTTTTGCTTTATTTTCCAAGAGGGTCGGTCATTCTCTGGCATAGAGAAATGGAATTTGCAATGAGTTTCTTGGTAGCAGACAAAGTGACTTTCAAAGGATAGAAGACACCTAGGCATGTTTGCATTAAAGCAACTGATTTCAGTTGGTGCCTGAATCAGTAGACGCAGATAGACTATTATGCACATTCTCCAAATATGCCATTCTAATCTCATATTCTCTGTCACTTTTCTCTTCAGCATTTGTTCTAGGGTAATTCACTATTTATGGCATGCAGAATTCATTAACGTTTGTCACTCCTCTGAAATTTTTAATCACCAACAACATGTATTACAGGACAAAAATGTGCAACTGTCATGCATATCATTTTGCAATCGTTTACTGACTATGACACTTTTTATAAAGAGTGTAAATGTTGATAGTTGAGACACCAGAAAATTAGCCCTTAATTGGTCATGCACCCCCCCTTCTGTGAACTCCCCTGAGTACAAACAGAAGCCCATTTTCAATGGTTTCTATTAATTTCTATTTGGCTAATATATATGCTTGTTTTGGTTTGACCTATGTCTAGAAGAAAAAGTCATATGAGGTGGTTTTTATGTGATATTGCCTATTTGGTTCTTAGAACAAGGAGCTTTTCTGTCCGGACTGACGATTTTATTGTGTTTTGTTATGGTCAGCACTTGTTAGAGCAAAGTTATTTGGGGGATTTTATATATTTAAAATTGTAAACTGAAAATTTCTTTTTCTTGCAAAATCCAGGATTTTGCATCATTCAATATCATCCCTTTCACAATGTGAACTACTGTCATTTAGTTTGGGGTCACTTGGAGACAGGCCTAGAGACATAAGTAACAATAACTTATGAGAATGATTATTTTTGTATTAACTTTGATTTGATTGGAAAGAGGAAGACGGTCTAAAATCTAGCACAAGAATTTCCCAGGAACTCAGCCTAAGGGATGGAACTAGCTCCAGTGACTACAGCACCATTTAGGGTCTGAGTTAGGAAGAAGCGACATTTTGACTCAATAAAAAGAATATTTATCTCTCCAATGAGCTCACTTAGGGGATATAAAGTTTCTTTTCCCTGGAAGAATAGTTGATCACCTGGGCAGTGTGTGTTAGAAGTGATGCAAGCATAGCTGTGAGTTGTATTGCAGCTCAAGGGCCCTTTTATGCAGTCAACATTTCTGTAGGGGAATAAGCAGGATCTTCAGTGAGGCTCAGGCATTTCCTGTGATTTACTCAGATGGGGTTAGAAACTATGCAGACAGCCTATTAAATGATATTAACAACCAGGACTACATGATCTATTATCCTTCCTAGAGAGAAGAATCTTTTTTTTTTTTTCCTGACTTTAACTCTTTTTTTTCTTTCTCAGTTCAAATTATTCTCCCATAATACTAAGAAATCAGTATTATTTCTCACCAGGGACGAAGTGGATCAATCTCTTCTCTAGTGGTGTCTCTGATTCATTAATGGCTGTGCTGTAGGGGGAAAGTAATTAAGGTAGGAGAAAAAAAAATCTCACAAAAACCTGCATCCCCAACCTGAGGAACACAGTTTGATGGAGAGCCAATTCCACACAGTAACTTAGACTTCCAGTGCTGCCAATCTGGCAGGTGTTCAACATTAAATTTTTAAAAAATTAAATAGGGGAAAAATACACAACCTGCCAAATATCACTATATTGTCAATAAAATAAAATGAACTGCTTTTTCTGAATATTGGCCCCCAAGGAGAAGAGCATGCTGATTACTTTAAAGTTATCACTAATTCTTTTAAAATGCTTTATTTCAGGTATTTTTCACTCTTTAAATATTTTATTAAGAACGACCAAGTATTCTCTATTAAAAAGTTGACCTTTGGGCTAAATTATTAATATTTTAAGCTAATATAGATTATGCCAACTCTGGAGCTGGATTTTTTTTCGCTACCATACCTAGAGGCCTAGTAAAAGAGAATTGGAATGTTACATATATTAGTAATGTTTTATTGGAATAAATTTTTCGCTCTTTTGGATATTGATGTAATATTTATATATTTTCTAAGAAGCATTTACATAAAACCCAATCTGGAATGTTGACAATGAAAACAAAATAAGAAAAATAAAAATTCAACTTCCATATGAAAAGGAAACAAAGTATGATTATCAGTGAAAAAGTATAAGTACTCTAAAAAGGCAATCCGAAATACAAGCGATCATCCAAAACACACAGAGGAGAAGGTGTTTCTAATGGGCATTTAATGAGGAATAAGTTGCTGAAACTTCAGTTATTGCAGTGTTGGCTGGAAGGAAATGAAAATGTAGTACTAAAAGTAAAACATCTTTTGATTAACTACAACTTCAAAATCAAATTAAAAACTGAAACAGATTATAAACAGAATGGGTAAAATAACAAAGTCCACAAGATTTTTAAGACTTACACATGATTGGTAGTCACATGGTTAAGTCCATTGGAGGAGACCTAATGTCCTCCAGGTGAGGCTCATTATGTTTGTGTCTTTCTCTAGGTACACAGGGTGAATCCCATGCATACAAACTGAAGTATGTGGGTTGCTTCATAAATGACCACACATGAAGGTTGATAGGATGGTTCTCAAAGCAAATCATGTGATTCTCAGTATTTTAACTTTTCCTGAATTACAATTTGATGTACAAAATCTATGCTTGCATATATTTTACAAAATTACATTAGAGTCATTGAAACAATAATATATTTGAAAGTGCATACAGTCGTCGTTCTTTTCTTCCTATATTTTAAGTAGTAAGCTCTGCTGGTGCAAAGTCCAGATGTTGACCCACCTGTGGGGACTGGGAGCAGCAAGAATGGACATCAGGAATGGGAGTATCTGGAATAATGGCTGATCAATAATTTCTAAACTAATCACATGCAATTCATCCATTGATTCGCTCATTTATTCACCCACAGACTGGTCTCAGACAATCACAGATGGGTCACACAGACACAGTAGGTTAAAATTGTTTAGAGAACAAAGATAGCACTACTTATCCTGAACTTGCGTCAGCCCCAGAGATGGTATTATACATGCCCCAAGTGGAGTGAGGATTTGGGGACCCTTAGGTCTGCTGCAGACAGAAACAATTTTCACAGATTGGCTTAAAACTTTTAGATTGGGGCATTGAGAAGTTTCAGAATAGAAGGGAAACAATTTTCAAATGTGAGTATAGGAGGATACTACAAAACTATTAGCTATATAGGAGAGAAGCACGGCATTGCTGGAAGCTTCTAAGTATCAGTGTCAAAAAGATAGGGATTGAGAGTCACATTTACATGCTGAAGAGCTGTGTGACTTCAGCTATAGTTATCAATCACTCTGTTTCCTGTTCTGTGAAATGCAGGCCAAACAAGGTAATTACGAACATTAGACATTAGAGATGTGAAGCATGCATGTTATTTTCTTTTGCTTTCATGGGTATGTATCATATAGTTCTACTTCTGTTTCCATCTTCCAGCATGACCTGTGGAGTTAACTGGACTTCTGTGTAACATCAGTATTAAACGTTAACAGTATTGCACAAATATTGACTTTTTAAAAGATGACTAAATGGACAGTAGCAGTAACTCATGTCCTTGTTTACATCCTGACAGTATTGATTAAACTTACAAGGGTATTGTACTATGCCAAGTGCTTTCCCTATGTGAACTCATTTAGTTCCCTCACCCACCCTGTGGAGGAGGTATTAGTATCTCATTTTGCAGCTGGAGGAAACTAGGGTCTAGAGAGCTAAAATGATTTGCCTAGGACTGCTAAGTGGTGGATTTGGGGCTGGAATGCATCCCGTAGGACTGCCATGGACCCTCTTGCATGTTCCATTAGAATGTGGCAGCAGAACTGCAGTGCGCGCACACACACACACACACACACACATACACACAAGCTAAAGTCACGTAAAAAATGGTCTGTTTTGCTGGGGCAACAGTATTACTAAGTGTGGTGATACTATGTTTTCTAATTTAACCATAATATTCCTAGCTCTAATTTCTTTCCATAGGGAGGTTCAAAAAACTTTAATACAAGATGAGCAAAATGCTTTCTCTTATAAGATATGAATCTAGAAGGACTCAACATTCTTTTTTCTTTTTTTTTCTGTTTAGTTTGTTGATGTTTTCCGAGAACTTAGAACAATATCCAGCATATAGTAGGTGCTGAAAAATATTTTTGAACAAGTATAGTAAAAAATGTCTTAGAATATAATCTTGGTTTAATCATAAGGTAGTATCACTTTAAAAAAAATTCTACAAAATAACCCAATTGGATTCCTCCCATCATCTAAACCAGTGAGTGAGTGTCTCAGACAATCAGGTTTGGATCCACACTCTATGGCTTTATTATTTGGTGCAAGTATAATTATTTAGATTTAGTTCTGAGTTTCTTTTTTTCTTCCTCTTCCTCTGTTTGCACCTAGGATTGTATCTGACAGTGTAGTTGACTCAATTTAATAAGAAAAGAGACAGAACACTTAGTCAGTGGCTGACACACAGTGATGACAAATATTTGTTTGTCTTCCTTCTCTCTATGACTTAATGACATGTCAGCTTACGATGTGCCTCTGTTGATATTTGTAAAATGTCTAGACTAACTTTGAGAGAGTGATATCAGTGAGATGGGAAGGGTTCTCATTTGTTTTAACAAAATGCATTATCCCCAAATGCCATAATGGATTTTCCATTAACAAATAGCGCATTCAGATTCCAAGCTGGAAGACAAGTAGCTATGTCTTTGTTGTAAGATTTCATAAAACAGATTACTTTTGTCTTTATTTTGTTTGACCTCAGCTGAAAGACAATTTTCATGTAGTTAAAGCCATTTTGGAAAAAAATCACGTGTAACCATCAACATCTGAAAATACTAAAATCTCTTGGTCTAGATACTTTATATTCGCATTTCTTGCAGCAGTTTTTTGTCATTCTATCTACATGATATGAAATGACCACCGTGCATATGTAAAATTGCTTCTGGGAGCTTCCTAATGTTTATCCCATATTGTGTTACAATTATTTTTGGCATCTAGAGGCAACATTTCCCTCTCAATCTAGACTTAGCAGTTCTTTTTTAATCCTCTGCCTTTGAAACAACATATTGGCAGATTGTTTGTTCTTATCTGAGGTTCGGGGAGTTCCCTGGAGTTTTAAAATATATGCTTTCTCATAAGCCTCATGTGGAAGTTACTGTTTTAATTCTTCTCCCCCACCATGCTCCTTGTTCTCTTCTTTGGGACAAACTCCCCACATCCTGCTGCAGGCTCTCCAGCTTCTCCAGTCTGTAAGCAGCTCCAGTCACTGCTATACTGTAGTCAGACTTCTTTAAATTTGAATTCTGCTAACATTTGTAACCTCAGTAAGATTGGGGTGGATTGAGTTTTGTCCCTGGAAATGCCACATAGATCCAGCACCAGGTATTATGGACAAAGAAGCAGAACGTGGGATTTTTCATATTTTATCTCAGTGTCTGGGAATCTTCTAGACCTGGGCTTAGTAGTATCTGGGTGGTGTCAGGACTGGAGACCAGGTTGAGACATCCTCAGGGTCTACAGCCTGCTTTGCAGGTGGGAGATGGGCAGTGAACTTAGAAATAAGGAACTTTGCATAGGTAGGGTGTGGGGTCAAATATTAAAGGGCAGATCTTCAGAGAAGTGCTACAGCAGTGAGCCGCCCTGTCAGATGCACAAGCAAGGTACTCTGGGTGCCATCACTGAGCTCCTAGGACCTCCTCAGTATCCTAATCGCCCTCAGGAGATGGCCTGAAGATTGGCTTCTTAGTTTTAAATTCTAGGACCATCTACAAGCTTGCTTTTGGTAAGTCACTATAGACAAATAGCAGTCAAAGCACTCAGGAAGATTTAAGCTCCAGTGAAAAACTATGCATTGCCTAAAGCATATTCCATGGGAGCTATTTTATAACACTGTAGCATGTCAGTAACTGACAGAAAACCGCTAAAACAACACGAAACCCTGACTCCTGTCTGTAGACAAATTCTGTCCAGTGGAGACATTTCAATTGACTTCCCTCCCCTGACCGGAAGAGAACAGATTTGTCTCCATTTGTACATTCATTTTAATATTCCTAATCTATACATTTGCTTTTTTGTTTCTCCTTTGAATTGGTGGTAACACCTCACCACTTTCTTCATAAATAATATATTTAATGTGTTCATTTTTATATCTGACAGTCATAATTTTACTCTTATAATGAAAATTACTTTTATTCTATAGTGTTGGTTCACAGTTTGGTGTAAATAACTTGTTCTTTTTCATTTCTACAAATGTAGAAAGGTTGCACTGATGCATCAAGGTTTTCTTGTTGGAAGTCTGAGGACTTTTTCTGCCAAATTTCCTGCATAGGCAGTCTGGCAAACCCTGCATCGTCATGTGCAATGCCCTGGTCCTATCTCTTCCTGCTCCCATTCTTCTGGGCACTTGGACATGCATAGCTTCTATTGCCTCTCCTGGATCCTTCATCCATCACAATCATTTTCCCACTAGGTCTTAGGTTACTGTGTGTGAAGAGAGGCCCAGTGAGACAGAGCCTTCACTCTTCCACATTGGCTCAGAATAAGGCAGGGTTTTGAGGTATTTGTGGGTTTGAGTGAGTGATATTTCCTAAGATGGCTCTGTCTCCTATGAGGCCAAAATTTCTCCAGGAATGTTTTTGTGATCAATCACATCCTGCATCTAATCATCTGATTAGCAACCGTAATTCAATCTGTAGTCCTAATTCCTTATTCATGTAATCTAACACATTCACAGGTTCCAGGGATTAGATGATGAGCATCTTGCAGGGGATAGGAGCATCATTCTACCTACCACATACACATACAGCATTAATAGGCTTTGCCTCTCCAAGCCTTGGCTTAAGTTGAATGATATTACAAAGATGACAGAGACTGGAGTAAGCTGATGACCTAGATGAGCCTTATGGAAGAACAGGTAACCTTGTTGAGACCCAGTAGTTGTCTACTTTCCATTAGAATTCTCCTGGGAGAACTCAGTAATGTAAGACTTAGAGTTTACAATTAACCAGGATGGTCTCATCTTTTGTCGGGTCTGAGATCTTGCCCTGTACCACACCGTGCCCTTCATCCTGCCCTGCTCCCTTGCCTGTAAATGGTAGATAGACTCTTCTTGTCTCTCTACACTTGTTATTCTGTGCAGCTGCACAATGATTTTTTGAGATAAAACACATGTAGGTGGATTTGCTTTTATGTGCTCATCTCATTTTATTCTTTCATATTCATTCCTGTTTCTTATATGCTTGATGACAAAAGTAATAATAGTAAGTAGTTTGTTTGCATTGTAACAACAGTTTCCCAATTGGTTTCTATTGCCTTTACATCCTTCTAGGTTTTCAAATTTGTTTTTTAACCTGTGGCTAGAATGCTCTTTCTAGAATACAAATATGATCAGTATCTGTTCTTCACTTAAAACTTTGCAATAAACCCACATGGCTATAATAATAAAAGACACTTCATGTTTTGGTCTTTGCTTTCTTCATAAATGCACCTGTTTTATTGTTATTTTCAATTCCCTTGAGTGCCAAGCTACCATGCTCTTCATCATATTGCTTTCTCTATCTAAAATGCACTTCCACTATTGTGGCAGCTTTTTCACTCTGTAGATGGGCAAGCGGGAGGGAGTGGCACCCAGTGGCTGCTTCTCTCATTGTTCAGTGAGCAGGAGGGAGTGTTACAGCTCTTTTATTCCCTCCACCTGCAGCTTCGTGAGCAGGAGTACTATAGCTGTTTCATTTCATAGTTCAGCTAGTTCCAGGTTCTTGTGCTGTGACCAAGAGGAATAAGGTATGTGGACACCAGAGAGTGAGTAAGTCAGAGGAGAATTTTATTAAGCAACAGAAAGAAAGTTCTCAGTGTTGAGAGGGGACCCAAAAGCTGGTAGCAATCTGTGAGGCTGAGTCTGGGGTTTTTATGGGCTTAGAATGGAGGAGTGTGTGCTGATTGGTCCATGGGTGGCCTTGGAAAAGGCACCATTAGATTAGTTAAAAGGTATCATTACAGGGAACCAATCAAGAGAGAGTGGGCAAGAAGGGATGGAAGTTCTCACTCCAGTTTTGGACTGTATGGAGAACTGGCAGCTCAGTTTTCAGGCTTTAAACTGTCCTTGGCTTGAAGGTCGGGTTTGACCAGAGACCTGTCCCTGTCTGCCTAGGCATTTGTCTGTCTCCTGTTGCTATCACTATTCCTCCACCCATTTTTGTCTACTTTCTCTTTATTGTTTAGGCCTCCATTTAGAATTTACTTCCACTAAGAAGGGTTATCTGACCCCTAAATCCAGCCAAAGTCCCCTCTATGTGGTAACAGAGCTTTGTGTACTCTCATCAAGGGCTTATCATAGGATATTACTGCCAGATGGTTATTTTTAGGTGTCTGCCTTGTTCATTGTTATAGCTCCAACATGTAATAGAAGCTCTAACTAGTATTTTAAATTGTTGCGTAACTTCCCGTTATCAAATATTTTGGCATGTATGAGTGTGAAACACATTTTTACTGGACTGGAAAACTTAATTTTTTAAATCCTCACAACAATCTATGAGGTAGATTCTCACTTTATTTAATGGATGATGAAGTTGAGGGTTGGAGAGTAAATAATTTACTCTTCACACCATTAAATGGCCCACATTAGGATATGAATTAGTGTTTGTCTACTTTGAATGCTTATGGTTTTAATCACCAACAGTAGCTAGAGCAATCTCTTCAGATCTCATATTAAGTGGAATCATAATGCAGTTTTACTTGGATACAGGGTGTATTAGTTTTATATTGCTGCAGTAACAAGTTACTACAAACACAGTAGGGTAGCTCAAGAGAGTACAACTTTATTATCTTCCAGCAGGCTAGAAGGCCAGTAGGAATCTTACTGAGCTAAAACTAATGTGTGGGCAGGGCTGCATTCCCTCTGGGGAGTTGGGGAGAATTTGTTTCTTTGCTTTTTTCAGCTTTTGGAGGTCACCCACATTTCTTGGTTCATGGCTTTTTGCTCCATCTTCAAAGTTAGCAAGATAACATTTCTGTTTCCCTTGCCACATCTTCAGACTCTCTTTATCTGCCTTTCTATTCCACTTTTAAGGATCCTTGGGATTACCTTGGGCCACCTGGATAATGCAAGATAAGCTCACTATCTTAAGGTCATCTGATTAGCAACCTTAATTCAATCTGAAGTTCGAATTCCCATTGCAATGTAATCTAACACATTCACAGATTCCAGGGATTAGAAGGTGAGGGTCTTGCAGGGGATAAGAGCATCATTCTACCTACCACATGCACATGCAGCATTAATAGGCTTTGCCTCTCCAAGCCTTTGCTGAAGTTAAAGAATGGTATCACAAAGATGGCAGAGACTGGAGTGGGCAGGTGACCTAGACAAGCCTTATGATGGAAAAAGTACCTTAGTGAGACCCAGTTTGAATTTTTGGTGTCCCAAGTATTGATCAGCCTTTAGGGACTAGCAATACCATTTATGAGAAGCTAATGAATACATGAGAATGCAAATTCATAACTTTTCAGTGGCAAGCTTTACAAGTTGATACTGTTATCTGTAGTTCAAATATCCTCTCCCAAGGAAGCCAATTTAAATTAAAGAAGTTAACCAGGGGTACAATTTGACCTAGGGAGATGCAGAATCTCAAGCCTATCTCCTCTGGCCAGGACACTTAAACATTATCTTTACCCTTAAGGACTATGTTGCCCTCCTAGACAAAAGGCTCAGCATCTCTATCCTTTGGTCTGTATAAGATGAAATCTGCCAGGATCTCAGAAAACCCTTTTTCTCTGTCACATAAAATAACATTTCTTCTGCTCACACATTGTTTTTTTATTGAGTTATTGCCACTAGTGAGATTTTTGCTTTCTATAGATTATACTCAAAAATCTGTCTTTAGATGACCAGAAATCCCTGATTTTTTTGCTTCTTTAAGAGATAACATGCATCTTACAATGACTTCTACACAGGGATACTTTTTGGGCATTTGAAATTTCCAGTTTAATTTTTTTAGAGAGAAAATGATTTTTCTTTTTTTCTGGGGCATTTCTTTTATTGGGTACTGCTTTTGACCTCTACCTGGCTGTAGGGATCATGTGCTTTTGAATAACCTTTTTCTATCAAGCACCATGACATTTTACATTCCAAGTACCATCATAACTACTTGTTTTCTTTATTAGGGAAGCCTATTATATTTTTCCTGAATCTGCTTGAGCATTCACTGGTGGCTGATCCCTTACATTGTCTCACTATATTCTCAAGATTAGTGTGAACTCCCTTCTCATCCTCCATGTGTGTCACATCTGAGATATTGGCCTTCCTTACCCAGGAACGTGACCTCCCCAGGAAAAGTTTTCCTGCTTATTTCTCCAAATTTCCGTGCCATCTCTTTGGACTCTTCTGACAGTTTTTACTACTATTCTTAATAAATGTATGTGAACATCTAGTCTCTCCTTAATGCAGAATTCTTTTCTAAAAATCTAGTAGAAGACCAGGCAAATGGAAAATGCGCATAATGTACAAAATTTGCTTGTTGATGCTATTTCCACATCTACCTAGATCTCCTTCTTGGCAGAAATAGTACATTTATGCCTAGAAACCTCTTATTGTACTTCCAAACAAAGGACTTTCACAGATAAGGGAAACAATTAAAAACTGTCATTTTTTTCTTGAAATCTTTTTATTCTCAAAGAAGTTGAGGGATACTAACTGGTACTTTAAAATCAGTAACTTATCCAAGTTGCAAATTGTAGAGTTCTTGTAGCTTGCTTAAAAATCAAAACAGTGTCACAAACGTAGTTTTTGGTGTTAAACTTAGCAGAGAAACCAGACCTTGGGGAAAAAGCAGTGAGAGAAAGATTTGGAGAGAGAGAGATCACACTTTCTGTGTTGGTGACTGAAGGCAATGGTGCACTTCAGTGCCTTCTACATCGACTATTTTGCTATTGCAATAATAAATATTTTAAAACATTGTGGGTCTGGGGAGATAGGATAAATTATATTAACTAAGAATATTATCATTCTCATTTGGTATGTTTCAACCTCTGAATTATCTAAAAATGGTTGAAAGAAAGTTTACATCTTGTTAAGATATATAATAAACAGCCAGGAAACCGATTCAAAAAAGTTTTTTTAAAAAATGTCCTTAAGTCAGAGGTACCTTGATTTTCACTTCCAGTAGTTTAATATTAATTTTCTTGGTCCTAATAACAGCTACATTAAAGAGAACTTTAGAGTAATAAAATTAGAGAAAAGAAAATAAATGATGGAAGTTTATAAGGAAATAGGGCTTTCTATGTTAGTTGGTTGAGTGTCAAGCCTGTCTCTTTTCGTATAATTTATAATGTTAATTTTGCAAGTGTTGATCTTTCTTAAAGGAACTTGAATCCTTGATGAAAATGAATGAAGTTCTAAAACATTAAAGAACCATTTTCCAAAGAGTTTCTATAATAAATACTGTTTTTATTTTTAAAAATTACCTTACTAGAAAGAAAAATTGTTTCGAAGGATAACAAAACTTTAAATTTGGATTCCCCATGAAAGAAAAATAAAAGTGTTAACTCCCTGCATCCACCTTCGTTGCTGAATGAAGTCATCGGACAATGGAAAATGGGAAAAACCAGAATACTTGGTTCCACTGTCAGCTTCTTAGTCACACAAATATGGTTGATTCCATTAGTTCAAGCCGATGCATTCAGTGAGCATGAACTTTTCCCGCTTGGCAACTTATAAACACACAGGGAGCTGATTAAATGGCTATTTCTAGGGCTGGCCATCACCATTTTGATTCTAGTTCCTCTGCATCTAAGGGTCTATGGTTCAAATCACAGCAGGAGTGAATTTTCTCAAGCAAAAGAAAGGCATTTATTGGACTAGTTAGTGGTGTGGTGTGATTTACTAGGGTGCTGCAGGGGGATCCATAAACCCTTTGTTGAAAACTAGTGTTATGAAGCCTGAGGGTGGGGCTCTGGGGGCAATTTGTTCCTGGAGCTCTCCTGCAGTTTTGGTGGCGTAATAATCAGAACCTCCGCTTATTTTCTGTCCCTGAAATAACTTCCACCAAACCAACTTATGGGCCATTTCCCATTGCCCTAGTAGTGCTACTTCAGCTGGCAGTTTTCTTGACCTTACACAGGTGTCTTTTCAAAGGGGAACTAGGTTTACTTTGGCACTGGGGACTTGGGATGGCTCCTTCCGTCATCATTTTTTTTTTCCCTCCCACCCTCTCTCCTTTGTCCTTATCTCCCTCCCTCTCTCTCTCTCCCACTTTCTTTTTACTTTTCTGAGTCTCCCTCCTCTCTTTTGCTTTCAAGGTGTGCCCTCACACTACTTTTGTTTTGAAGTGTTCATAGGATTATAGGCTTTTCTAGGCATTAGAATACACCTCAAGTGCTCAATGTCACTTAACCCACTCCACACATGATAAATCAATCACCTCTACCTTTTCCTTGTTTACTCATCTCCTGTTTCAATACTTTCAAAGATGGGGATTTATTACCTCATAAAGCAGTCTTCTCTTTTTATGGGTAGTAACATATCTCCATTCTTTTCCTAGTTTCTCTTCCCAGGTTCTGACTTCTATTTTTTTTTCCTTACCTTTCTGTTAAAAGGTAGCCACATGCTGGAACCATATGCCATCTTTCCTTTTTTGCACTTTTTATTCCCATCTCCTATTTTGTTTCCAGAGATATAGGTCACTTCATAGGTTGCCAACATTCTCCCCTTTATTTCCTTCCTTTGCTAGTATCTGCAATTCATTTTAAATCTTTTTTTTTTAAAGCTATTAATTTTCTTCTTTAATTCTCCCAAATAAAGTTAATGTTCCTCTGGTAATTTTAATTTTGGAGGGTCTTCTAAATAAAAAATAAACATTCCTTTTCAAACTGTTTTTGTGTTCTCCTGGCAACTCATCAATTTATTACCTTTCTCTGGTCTTGGATGAGTCCTTGATGTTGGGAACACTTCTTTGGTGCAGAGCAAAGATCTCTGTATACATTTATCAGACATCTATTTAGCATAAATATATTCAAGTCATACATCTCTGGGAATACTTTTTCTACATGTATTCATTCATTCACTCATTCATTCACATAAACATTACTGATATCTTTTTAAGCAGAAGCATGTACTCTCAGTCCCAGAAGGCTACATTTGGGTGTTGATAAACTAGGGCTCATTTTTAGAATCCTGAATATGCTTCATATCTTGCACGTTAAACTACAAGCTCCTAAAATAGAGATGAGTTTTTATTCATGGTTGTAGCCTCCAGAATCTCATGCTGTTGCTGACATCATTAAGCAATTGTTGAAGATGAATGAAGATAATCGTCTTCAAAATGTGCTTGATTAAATGAACTGAATCACTTTCGTGTAGAGAAGGGTAAGCCGATAGCTAAATGAAAATACTGATGAAAAATACCAGTTAGTCTGGGAAATTTGGTATTTGCTAATATTCTAAACAGGCAAAAAGGCAGCAAATCTTATTTTCTAAGTCTCTGATTTTCCTCCCAACCAACATGATGCCCCTTTTCCATTTCATCTCTTTTGGCAGGGGGCAAGGTTGAGTGAAAATTTCATTAATGCTTTGAAATGGGGTTACAGATGAACCACCTAAGCACCCTGCTAGAGGTAACAGAGAGCCTCTCACCTGCTTCTGAGGTGGGCATGTCTGACCTGACCTTTGTTGTGCTGAACTTATATCATCAGAGATTTTATTCTGTTTAGTTTTTCTGAGACTTAAGAATTGTAGATGAATTAAGTGCAAACATCCAGTTCTTCTGAATGGCAACATCACATTTGGTATCTATTGCTGAAGGCACTGTGTTTCCTCATTGATCTCATGGACTTAGGCTCTCAAATTCAATGCCCAACTCCTCCCCAGTAGTATGCATTTGGGTGTATCAAAATGCTTTGATATTTTGTTTATTTTATGAAGTTTTTTTTTAATTTTAGTGTAAGAAATGTTGTATTAGGGCTCAGATAGAATCACATGTGACCTTGATCCCATTAGCACTGTGATATTGTTTTGTTTTGTGAATTAAGTTGCTAAAATGAAGAGGAATTGAATCCTCAGCAAAGAGAAGAAATATTACTTGCTTACTTGGAAGTAAACAAATTATCCTGAAAGACGGTCAAGGAGGAAAAATTATCCCACTGCATATCAAAAGCATAATACATTGAGAGTTTAATATGTGCTAGACAGTGTGCTAACCATGCTGCTGACATCATTCCTTTCAACAATTCCATGTCATATGTAATTCTCCCCCATTCTGAAGAGCTCATGGAAGATAAGCAACCTATCCAGCATTGCAGATCACCTGTGACAGAGCTAAATTTCCATCTTGGGGTCGGTCTCACTCCAAATTAGTTGTTCTTAACCTGGAGCCACACCTCCTGGGGAGTGTGTGGAAAGAATTAAGGGATTCCATGAACTTGAAAAAAAATTGTGTATGTTTGTTTTCATTTACTTCCTACCAAAATGGAACATTTTCTCTAATTATCAATGCGGACCCACCACAGAAGCATCAGCAGTAACTATGGACTTTATCACCTGTAAATATCACAAAGTTTTTCTTTTTTTTTTTTTTTTAACTACCCCCCACATTTTTTTTTTTTAACTATGAAAGAAATGGTACTCCTGCAAAAAGCCTTAGGATTTTATCATGACACAGTTGTGGTAGATATATTAAAATATCATTCACTTATTGAGAAATTATAGCAGATTCTCATTAATATATTGATATGCATATTTCAAATATATTGATATGTGTTTCAATATAATTGTTTTCCTTTGTAGTGTTTTATTTTTATATTTACTATTATATTTGTCTTTATTATTTGCATTATCTTTATATTAAATATTTCATATTTTTAATATTAAATTTATATTTTATATATTTATAAACATTATTCTGCAAAGAGTCCATAAATCATGAATCCATGAACCATGAGTCCGTTAGACTGCCAAAAGGATTCATGGCCGAAAACCTTGGAGACCTGATCTAGAGCTTCACTTCTTACCTCATACTCTTGTCTGTGTTTTTTGTTCTTATGCCATATCTGGATATGGCATAAGAGCAAGAAGAAATTTAATGGTCTGTGCAAATTACAACTTAGCTATAGTAGTATTCAGTAGTGGCAGGAAAGAAGGGTGAGTGCAGCATCTAGAACATTTCACACATCTATTTCTAAACGCATGTGAATGCAGAACATTGAAAATAATGTCTTTATTTCCTACCGGTCAAGATCTCCAAGCATCCGTTCCTTTTTCATACATCAGTAACAATTGGCTGAAAGTTCTTTTCTTTTCCTCTGGTTTTGAGTTGTGTTTAGCTCATTAATGGTGCTCCGTTTTAGATGATTCCTCAATATACACATCCCAGGCAGCCTTCCAGTCCTGCTGGTGCCTGGATCTGGGCTTATTTCAGCTGAGTTACCAGGCATAAACCAAGCTATAGATCCCAGAAGCCTGCCAGCCTTTGCCTCCAGTCACACTGGTTTCAGTAGGTTAGTGTGTGGACCTATTTTAATTTTTGGATTTATTAATCTGCTAATGAACATCAATGTGTATTTCATTTATAATAACAAATCTACCAAATGCCAGGCATTCTTTTTTTTTTTTTTTTTTTTTTGTGAGACGGAGTCTCGCTCTGTCGCCCAGGCTGGAGTGCAGTGCTGCGATCTCAGCTCACTGCAAGCTCCGCCTACCGGGTTCACGCCATTCTCCTGCCTCAGCCTCCCGAGTAGCTGGGACTACGGGTGCCTGCCACCATGCCCGGCTCATTTTTTGTATTTTTAGTAGAGATGGGGTTTCACCATGTTAGCCAGGCTGGTCTCGATCTCCTGACCTCATGATCCGCCCGCCTCGGCCTCCCAAAGTGCTGGGATTACAGGCGTGAGCCACCGCGCCCGGCCCATGCCAGGCATTCTTTTAGATACTAGAGATACGGAGATGTTCTGAGGGAGGTTTTGAGGAATTTCTTTTTATTTAAAAGTGTTGGTTTATTAATTATTATTATTTACCTATTAACTGGATTGCTGGATAACTTTGTAACTTTACCCAGCTTCTGAGATGTTCCCACAGACACTCTGCTACTAGACGACCTTAGAAGCTCCTTGACACTTGCCCGGGAGGATTTCTATGTTTCAATATTTACTCAGAGTGATTTTATGTCAATGTTCATAGATTGACTTCTAGTCCGTTACAGGGGCAGACTTAGCCCTGCTGGTTTATGGGGGCACCAAGTTATGTCAGAAGTATGGACCTGGAATAATGAAAGGGCCTATGTGCAATTTATTTTCCTTTCAGTAGAAGCACGGAATTGGAGCCAGGTGTGTGTATCTGTAAGCATATCATTGCAGCAGAGTTAAAATGCCACACCCCTTGTGAAAGGAAGGCCATGTGGATTGTCGGGGATGTTTAATTCCCACTCTGCCACTAACAACTTCCGTGACCTTGAGAATGAGAAAGTCAATTAACCTTTCCAGCTCTCAGATTCCTCATTTTTAAAATGATGACATTGAACTATGAATCTCGAATATCTCTTCTAGCTCTAAAATTTTATGATTCCATGTTTTTGAGGTATCACATATATTGTAAGAACTTAAATTTACTTTTTATTGATGTTTAAAAGATAGTTTCATTTTATAAACATCTGTTCCGTGGCACATCTTTGATGCTTACATCATAATTCAAAGGTGATTGATTTAAAAATTTCCAGTTAAAGTAAGAGGATTGGTTAATTCCAACAAATACAAAGCTTTGTACTATATACCTTAAATTACAGATCAATATTTTAGTCATGCCAAAGAGAATGGTAAAAAATATTTGCTAGATTTTGTCCAATATATGTATAAAACATACATATTTCTACATACAAAATCTTTTAATTATTGGATTAAAAACTGTAGGATTGAAGGTTTTTGTGTTGATTCTGCAATTTGACATACATGTATTTAAATATGTGTAATAGTAAATGTTAGATTTTCTGCATTGTTAGGAACTACATTGTTTCCCACAGTTTTTAGAGCACTATATTCTCATCCAATACTAAGATTAGCAAATGGTATTAGGTGAAACCAAGTGACAATGGATGGTTTTGATGTAAATTAAACATTGATGCTCCAATCTGTGTACAAGGCTCTGTTTTACCACGGTGCTTTCTGGAATGTCACTGAGAAGGTCAGAAAGGCAGTGCATGAACTTTCTGTCTGTGCATTTCTCCAGAGGCTTTGGTGATATAAATCTAAAGAATAAATGTATTCGTGAAAGTTGTGCTGTCACTCTTGACTAAAGGTGATGAGTAGGATCCATCAAAAGTCTTAAAACACTTTTTGTTTCCCAAGGAAAAATTTTAAAGACTAAAACAGCAATATTAATTCACCTCATTTGTCCTTGGAAGTACTTATTTATGTCAAAACTGTAACAGATGCATTTTATAAACTTTATCTTGACTTTTTTGTTTTCACCTTCAGTTGAGTTTCTACTGGGGTAAACTTGGAATGTTCTAACACTTAGTCTGGGGAGAAAAGTAAGAGAGGGGAATAGGTTTATCTTTAGCAATTATATTAAGTTAGTTTGTCAATGCACTTTGAGAGCCTGTTGAAAGGTGATTTTTCAGTTGCTAACTTCCACACAACCTGTAGCTATTAAAATTGTAAACAGTCATGGTAAATTCCAAACGCCTAAACTTGGTAGAGTATTTTGTCTGTGTATTGAAAAAAGATGAACCTCAGGGAGACGTAAACTTGCCCTCTAAGTTTCTTTTTTTTAGTTTTTTTTATTTATTTATACGAGACGGGATCTACCTGTCGCCCAGGCTGGACTGCAGTGGTGTGGTCAGTCATCTGATCTCAGCTCACTGCAGCCTCAGCCTCCTGAGCACAAGTAATTTTTTCGTCTCAGCCTCCTGAGCAGCTGGGGCTACTAGTACATGGCACCACGCCCAGCTAATTTTTTTTTTCTTTTTTTTAGAGACGGGGTCTCACTATGTTGTACAGGCTGGTCTCAAACTCCTGGGCTCAAACTGTCCGTCCACCTTGGCCTGCCAAAGTGCTGGGACTTCAGGCATGAGCTGCCACGCCTGGCCACCCTCTTAAGTTTCTGATATGAGGTCTAGACCAGGGTGTATAGAAAAACTTTGATTTAAGAAAATTCAAATCTATCAGAGGTCCAAGACCAAAAATTAACCTCATTCAATTACGTAAATGCATTTGTGTCTCAGGAGTCAGGGTCTGCTGGGCTGTTTTCAGGACTTCTCATCCACCGTGGCTTGATAGTTTGCTGGAATCAGCACAGAAACTCAGTCTGGGTTTCCCTCTCTTGCCTTCATTTTCCTAAGAGAATTGGTCAGAGTTCCTGTGTTTGTGATGAGAAAGGGTCATACGTTTTTACTCTAAAGTTCTTTTTTCTACTTTCAACTGTTGTGGATTTAATGACAGTGTTCTTTGATCACAGTAAATATATGGAGCATTTGCCAAATCAGAAGAGGCATAAACCTGCTCTAACAATGTTTTTGAAAATGACTGTGGAATGTGGTGGTTGCCTGTGGCAAAGAAAGATGAAGATGGCGCAGGGTGTGTCTGGCTGGTCTCAACTGTTAGCCTGCCAGTTTAACTGCTAGTCTGCTTTCCTGGTAACTCACTGGCTTGTATTTGGTAAGCACTTCCACCCTGGCCCTTTAGGGACTTATCCAGGCCCTGGAAGTCTGTAGCCTTAGCTCCTGCCTATCAATATCCCAGTACACAAGGAGTCAGAGGTCTGGACAGAAGGTGTGGCTAAACCTGGTCATAGAAGATTAAACAAGGAGGAGGCTGTCTTCCCAGCCTGTGAGAAAAGGACTGTTTGCAATAGACAAACCACCCAAGAAGAAAAACAAAAATCAGCTTGATTGATTTTTATTAGATCAAAGAAATCACTTGTTACTTTTCATGGCCTTTGTTCTGTATTTTTCCATCTCTGAAAAGACATAGCACAGCATAACACTTCGAAGCCTATCAGGTAATTTTTGAAAACTGGACAACAGAGCAAGAGAGTTATAACTTAGGTTAGAAATGTGTTCTGCACAGTCAGCATTTCAAAGAAAATTGTATGTCTCAAATACGAGCGAGATTTTAATCAAATACATTTATTTCGTTAGATATTGAAACAAAAGTACTGAGCTAAAAATGCTCAATTCTTTGTTCAGTGCTTTTGATACATTGAAATAAAACCTCTATTCTTCTGAAGAGTTGTTTCATTCTTGGCTAATACAGTTAAAATATTTGGTACATTATTTTTTAACATAACTTTAAATAATAGTTTATTTAAAAGGTGATGTATTCAGTGGTCTCTGTCCTATGGGAAATCACTGGTTCTAAACTTTTGAAAAGGGCTGCTTGTGCATGAAACTACCAAAACTACAGTATTTCAATATTAACTACTTTTATTAACTAATGAGTACATTCACAAGACATTTTCCAATGTTCAATCCGCAGTGCAGCAGATCCAAATGGCACATTTACAGACTGTAAGCCATTAAAATGATACCACAAATAAGCCATTAAATTTTACCTGGTTAGTCAACAAATACATAATATGTTCTATTTTATTCAATGGCAGCCTTTGATTTTCACTCACAGGTAAAGGAATATGTTGAACTGGAAAACCTTTGCTGGTTACTCTCTCCTGCTGATGGTTTAGACATCTGGATAACTATGATACCACATGAAATTCCAATAAGCTCTGAACCTTTTCATGAAACAACTCAACAGCTGATAACAGGTGTTGTTATCAACCTTGTGAAACAGGTGACTGGTACATCAAAGAATGGTTACTGAGGACAGGTGACTCTATAGATGTAACGTGGATTGCAACATTCACTAGATATTAGAGCAGTGATTACCAAACTTTCATGTACCTGGCTCACCTGGGCATCTTGTCAAAATACAGATTTTTAAATTAATTTGTCTTGGGTGAAGCCCGAGGCTCTGTATTTCTAACATGTTGCAAGGTGATGTAGGTTCATGGACTACATCAAGATATGCTATTTATGGAATTTTGGTTGGGGAGACTATGGTGGATTAAATGTGTCTACTAACCATCTCATTATTAAGAAGACAATAACCAGCCTGGCCAATATGGTGAAAGTCTTACTAAAAATACAAAAATTAGCCAGGCATGGTGGTATGTGCCTGTAATCCCAGCGACTTGGGAGTCTGAGGCACTAGAATCACTTGAACTCAGAGGCAGAGGATGCAGTGAGCCAAGATCGTGCCACTGTACTCCAGCCTGGGTGACAGAGTGCGACTCTGTCTTAAAAATAACACATGAAAAATAAAAACTATAAATGAATGTGACATATGTGTAATATCTGGAATTTCTTGCACTACTTTCTAATACTTTTCAATCTGGGCCATGTCTATGAAGACCAGAAAAGCAGATGAGAAGTAAAAGAAAATAATTCAAAAGTCCAGTACATATGTCGGATATTTAATTTTCATTTGATTGTCTATTTTTACAAAAATGTCCTATTTCCACGAAGCGATTAACCATTTAAATGTAGATTTTTAGAACAACTTTCAAGAAATGCTATGTAAAAAATAGTTAATGGAGTCCTGTATACATCATTCTTAACCCATCTGAAAAGATTGTAGTCTTCCTTGTTTCATCTGCAAACTGTTTCATCTGCAATTTCCCATTGGATCACGTTGAGCCCAAGGAGCTTTACCTGCATAGATACTCTGGCCACATACCAGATGAGAATTAAGCGGGCTACCCAGGAATTAGACCTGTGACCTTGGTCTCAACACAATTCTCTGCTCAACTGAGCTAACAACCTGCACATTTGTAGCTGCCATGCTAAGGGAGATGAATGCCTCTTCCTTCTTTCTCCAGTTACTGAAGATGTTTCAAATGGTCCCTCTGGACTATTGAGATGCATTTGCTTGGAGTATCTGCCAGCTTAGGCTCGACATCAAAATTTCTTGGTGCATTTTGTCAAAGTACGAGGCTTACCTTGCTAAATCAAAGAGGCTTTCTGGACAGTATTGCCAGTAAACTAGATAATTGGGAATTGAAATCTTGGGAGAGTCATGGTACAGCCCAGGAGTATCTTTGTAAAATGTAGATGATTGTGTACCATCCTCTGCATACTGACAACCCAGGCTAAATCATTAAAAAATGTGATTTTGGCCAGAGCAAACCTTTTTCACTATCAAATCATCCATGTATAGCAGCGTCTGCAAAAGTGTTTGACAAAGGAAGTCACATCCATTTCCTTTTCACTGTTAACCTAGCAGAGCTTCCTAGACCAAAATTTTATTCTGCAAGAGAGCTGCAATGACAGGAATATCTATTTGGGTTTAAATAGGAAGACATTTGATCATCCTGATCAACGTTTGGGATCTAGTGATTCCCAGGTTCACCTTCTGCAAGGAAATCCCTTATCAGAGCATATCTTGACGCTTCATGGCAGGGATTTTACTGGAAATGAATGTTTTATTCTCTTAATCATTTTCTCCCTCATGCCAGGTCTCACTAATCCAGCTTACAGATAGAACTCCATATTTACTAATCCTTTTGTGTGTAACCCATTTTTAAAAACAGCATCAAACTGGACACTCAAATGTCATTATATACATGTGATATTTTATGCAGAACAGACTTCTAAAATGCAGAAAATAGTCTTGATTAAAATGGAAACCTTTTAAATAATCACAGGGTATAAAATTAAATGGAATAAGTCTGAAGTAATGCAAGTCAACCAAAACAGCTTTAACGCTGTTTTCCTCATTTCCCTCTGCTTTGTCCCCTGAAGAGTATAAAAATTCTTAGCAGTGTATTAATGGAGTGCTGAGTGCCCCCCTGAGAGTACCCGACCCCTCCTCTCCAGAGTCACTGGTGTAATCACTGCCGACTGTTCACACTGTCAGCATTCTTTCCTCGCTGCCTCTGTTCAGGCCATTCTCCTTTGAGGCAGGCATCCCTTTCCTTTTTCGAAATAAGGGTTCTCAACCGTGGGGCTGTTGATATTTTGGACCACGTGGTTTTCTAGTGTTGGTGGCTGTCCTGTACACCATAGGTTGTTTAGCAGTATCCCTGGGTTTCCTCTCTGCTAGATGTCAGGAGCACCCCTCCCTTGTATACCTGAAAATGCCTCCTGACAATGCCAAATGTGCTCTAGGGAACAACTCCTTTTTATCCCTTAAGCCCAAGCCACACCTATGTTATGAAACCTTTCTTGGTCGTACATACTATTCCATGATTTTTCTATTAAATGTATATTAAAAAACTCAATGGCCTAAACATCTACTCATGGTGAAAAACGTGAAACAGCATCGAACTGTAGAGAGTAACAATAAGAGAATTATGGTCCCCACATCTCTTTTCTGACTTCCCTCCCATTAGAAGTAACCACTATTGTAATTTTATCAGGTCCCTTTCCAGATTGTTTTAGGCCATCTGAAGGTTAAAATGTGTTCTTATTGTTTTAATTTCCTTCTTTTTTATTGCTAGTGAATTTGAGCATGTTTTTATATTCTTTAGCCACTGTTATTTTTTCTTTTTGTATTGTTTCTTTAGTCTGCTTTTCCAATTTTTCATATTAATTTGGATTAAGATCCATATTCACGTTGTAATTATAAATCACTTGCTTTTTATGTATATCGCAGATTTTGCCCCCCAGTTTGTACAACTATATGTGTTGTATTTACTATTAAGAAGAAACATCAAATTTTGAATACATACAAAACTATTAAGGTCCACATAAGGATTTATCTTAATAATTAAATGTAAAATGGTAGAAGAGAGTATGAGTGCTTAGCCTGCTGAATTTGGAGATGGAATAAAAGGCACAAAGATTGAAGAGAAGCACTGATCAACACGCCCATGGAGTAGGTGGTTAAGCCAAGACGAGGAAGCATGTGAGGTATATGGATGTTGAGACCACTACTGTGGTCTTCAGTACTTGTGTCTTTCAGCTGGATTTGTATGTTTTGTGCTCAGTAGCGCCTATTTGATGGCATAAACAAGAGAAAGCTGGGAAAATTGCTTATGAAGCAATGTAAATTCTTTGTTATCTTGACATCATTCCCCTCTTTACCATTTATATCTGAGCTAATTTGTATTGTAGTGACAGACTGTACATTCAGCAACATGGATGGATTTTAAAAACATAGTGCTGAGATGAAAAGGTAAACAGCAGGGAATTTTTTTGTACAATATTACTTATGTAAATTAAAAACAAACAGAACACTACATATCTTACAAGGACACACACATATTGGAGGATCTATCTCAAACACATTATTAGAGGAGGTAGATGTCTATTGGGAGGGAGAGGAATTGAGATGAAGACACAGAAAAGAGAACACAAACAGAGCTAGACAAGAAAGGAGAAATCTAGCAACAATTGCTGAACATAATGCACCGCGTACGAGGGAGCGTAATTAACGCAACTGCTCTGAGAACAGCAGCAAAATATGTCTGTTTATGATAAAGTACCAAAAACAGAAGTTTACATACAATGTGGCTAACTCACTCGTCACCTGCTTGTGTAGCGATTATCACTAATCAGATTTTTCTAGTCCATTCAAATCAGTTCAAGATTTCATTGTCGTCCATATGCTAAACTCCGTGCTTGAAATTCCAATGAAGGGCTTTAAAATTTAAAATTTCTGGGATGTGGTTTCCTTCAGTGTGAGATTCAGGGCCCAATGATGGTGTCTGCTTCTGAAGACATGGGTCAACTGAGGCATGTGTGTGCTCTCCCTGAGAGCAAGAATACTTTCTTTCCTGAGGTGTGTGGCAGCCCATCACGCAGACCCCCGGTATCTTTCCAGGCTGCTGTCCCACTCAACAATGTTAGGATTACAGGACACCTACAGTGTCCTCCCTGAGATCCCAGTGCCTTTGTGTATTTGGGAATTTCTGTGACTGCAGGTAGAGGATCATCAGAGCTGTGCACACGTTTGTCATGGGTGGGGAGGGAACAGCTGTCACTCCCTCAATCACTAGGCTTCTGTTTATTCTCGGGTTCCTTAGGGATCTCTTCTCTATTTTCTATCTTTTCTTCCTTTAGGCCCTATATGCACTCATTTCCCTCATCCTAAAATGCCTCCTCTTCACCACACCTCGCTGTTCAAGCAATGCCTTCTTTCTTCTCATGATGAAACTTACGAAATTCTCTCCAAACGTCTCAATTTAGGATTCCTCCCCTCAAGGATACAAGAGAGGAGCTGACTTTATCCACTGCAATATCTCTAATGTCTTTAACAGTATGTGGCATGCAGTAGGTGATCAGTAAATATGTGTGGAATCACTGAGAATGAATGAATGAATGAATTGCTAGAAGCCACTCTTTCAACTGCTCTCATCCACTCTCTGGCATATCACAAACTTTTCTTCCTAAATGTATTGATGCTGCCTTATTTGATAAAGTGGACTTTTTATTTGGCAAAATGTATGCCACTGTTTTTTGGCTACACTAATAATTGTTTTCTGTAACATTTGATCCAATATTTTCTCTCTCATTTCTTAAACACCCGCTTTTCCTTGGGCTTCCAGAGCACCAGCCTAACCTGACCCCTCTAATAGGATTCCGACAATCGTTTTTGCTCCCCTTCTTTGGATCAGCTTCCTTCACTGATGCTTTAAATATTAATGATCCCTTTTTCTCGTCACCCATTCTTCAGGCTGTTGACTTTGCGGGTGCCTCATAAATATACAACAGCGGCCTCTCTCTGAAATGGCAGATCTATATTTCCAAAAATTTGTATGACATTTCTTTGCTTGAATATTTCACAGCGACTTCAATATTAGCACTTTCTAAATTATACAGACAGCCTCCCCTCCAGCTAAATTTCTTGTCCTTTCTCCTGAATTCACTCAGGCTAGGATCTCACTGTGCACCCAGCTTCCCACTCTGGCTGTGCTCCTCCTCGTTGACTCCTTCGGCTCCTCCATCCCTTTCCGTCAATCATCCATCAAGACCTTCCATTGGACGTAAGGACTGTCCCTTAGGTCTGTCCCTTACTATCCATTTTTACTGTTATCTCTGCACAGTGTTTCAGCATTTTCTGTCTAAATTTTCTTGGTATCACTGCTAACATCTCCCTAAGATGCAAATAGGATCCCCCATCACGAACCTCAATTTTCTTCAGATTGCTGCATTACAAAACAGACTGAAATATTTGGGCCCATCCCCATTCTCCAAACTAATTTCCCATCTTTTCTCAATGAATTTTATTTTTTGTGCCATCTTGTCCCTTAGAAAGTTTTGTCTAGAACTCTTCATTGGCTAATACTCCATGATCAAGAAGGGTCTCTTCTAACTAACAAAGGCTTAAAGTTGTAAGATTTTCCCTCAAGAGAAAACGTTTCTGCCTTCATCATTCTCCTCCTATTTCAAGTCTCGCCTTTGAGAAGAAGGGCCTGGCATTTTCACTTCAAACAATATCCTGCCTTATACATATGAGGTATTCACCATCCAATCATTCTATCCCCCGACCCATCTATCCACCCATATCTATCATAAATCCTATAAGGTTGAATGCCAAATGGGGAAATTTTAATATACAAAATAAGTAATTTTATACTACATCAAAATCTACAAAGTTTTACCTGAAAGATTTTAAATATAGTATTTCTTACATGTTATTTTTGGAAGTATTGTTTTAATCCAACTCATTTCTTGAGTGCCTAGGTTTCTTGGACCTAAAATAATTTTCATAGTTGGAAGACACAGCAGCTATACAGTCAGAACTTATCAGTTTGGAGCCAGGGGTATTTATCCCCTCTGGCAATGCTGCGCACGCGGGAATCCTCAGAGCCCTAAGCTCAGCGACACCTCAATGCCAGTGGGGACATCCCAACAGTCATGTTAACAGAGTTTAATGCATTTGAAGTCATGCTCTGTGCTTTTTAGAAAAATCCATAAAATGGGAAGTTTACTCACACTGCCTCTCCATATGTGAAAACATGTCAGACACCCCACCCCATCCTGATGGTTGAATGTTCTACGTTCATACAGCTAAAGAATGAGGCAGGAAACAAACTTAACCTCCAATGAGGGGCTTCTGCCTTTATGTACTTTTCTTTGAGATATCATTGTGTAAGCAATAAAGCTGGGAGCACTGATTTAAAAACTGAAATATTAGGTTTTCACACATCATATGTTTTACAATAACAATTTTCCTGAGGTGGACCTAAGCTTAGCATCTTCATGGACGCTAATAGCAAATAGATTTATTTAAAAAAATTTAACATTTGCATAAGTAGCTTAAGGAAAAGAGTGTAGTAGGGGTTTTTTTTGTTTGTTTGTTTTGAGTCATGAGTATCTCAAAACGTGGGCATTTCATCCTGTAGCTTTTTACACTAGCTAAGTGGATTGAAGGAATATTCTTTTTTTTTGTAAAATAACAAACAAATCACACCTAATGTTTTTCAAAAAACGAAATGAATGAAATAGATTTACTTTTTATAGTAGAAATATTGAAAAATTTAAATGACTATTAGATGAAGGCATTACCTTAATCTCAGAAAAAATGATATTCAGTTTCACTTTGCACTGTTTATGTCTCTCTCTGAGCATCGCCATAGGGCCATCACTTAGGTTTTGAATTCTGCTGTGAAATAGTGGGCAAAATCTTCCCAGATACTTATGTCTTTTCCAGAGTTGTCTTTGGGGATTCTCTATAGCCACAGCTACCACAATGTGAGGCAACAGGGATTCAGGAAGAAGGCTTTGATCAGTGCCACCCATTTACCCAAACCCGGAAACACACAGTCCAAGCCATGTGTAGCCAGCAGGGTGCTGTTAATTACTCTTATTACCTTAATAACTAGAGAACCCTGGAATAATACATTTTTTACTTGTGAATTAAAAATGGCAATGCATTGGCTGTGATGCTGTCAGAATGAAATCTGCATTACCAAAATTCTGTGAGTCAGAAGATTAATTATATTTGTACAATCTTTTTGTGTTAGTAATAAATTGTAAAAGTACATGGAGTCTTACTTAGGAAGTAATTTTGAGTTATTATCTCAAATGGAATGCTGCTAATTTTGTTGGTCCAGTCAATGTACTGATTGCAGTACTTCTTCTGCTTTATTTTTCAGAGACGGAGTCATATTAAAATCTTTTGGAAATAGAACCAAACATTGTTTAACTGTTAGGTTAACCTTCACTGAGTCAATTATATTCCTAATGAATAAATCCATTGCATTATATTTGATTTGACTTTATAAAAACAGTATCAGAGCTAATAGACAATATAATGGAGGGGTTTCAAGAACTACTTTAGAGGGTTTTTTGGTCCCCCCTCCCCCTTTTTCTTTGTTTCAGAATTAGAGTTAGGCTTAGTTTCCACATAGTCTCATTCAAGTGCTGGGCCAGGACTGGACAGCCCCTGGTTATTAAAGAGTAGGTTCTCACTCCAGCAATTGGCCAAACTCTACTGCAGCAGTATCAATTGTAGGTGTATTATTGTATTCATTTTACTAAAGGGCATGTCACTTTTTCTTCCTCAAGGAATTTTTAGCAAGTGGTTAAAAATAACCTTTAAGAAAGGTTATATTACTGCTGAGGCCTAGCCAAACCTTTTGGATGGAAATCTGCATCCATCATACTCAGATCTGTCAAAGTAAGTCTGGTGGGCAGCTCAGTAGACACGAGGTTGAATTCAAATGTCACTGCGCCATGTTTCGTGAAAAACTGGCTGGCTGAGGTGACCTTTGCGTGCCAACGTTCCATTTTGTAGTTTGAAAGGGAAAAAGAAGCTAGCCTACAAAATTGTGCAGTATTAGGACCAAACCTGAAAGCAAAGACAGATTCAAATTTTAATTGTGAAATTGTCAGCTGTGGTCAAAGATGAACATGAATTGAATCACTTCTTACATTTTCATTCAATCTTAACCTGAAGTATTCTTTCAGGCCTGAATAAAATACACTGTTGGAAAAGAAGGTGTGAGTTTAGCAATTATAAAAAATCTATTTAGGTAATTCTCCATTAAACAATTGTTTCTTTAAAATATACTTTATATTCTATATTTTTGAACTGTGCCTACTAAGGTGGCAAAAGCAGCTAACCCTGGAGAACATCAAAAAGTTAACAATTAGTTATTAACAACTAGTGATTATGAAGAACATTCACTTGGGTGTAAAAGAAACCACTGTATAGAGAAATTTAATAAAAATTACTCGAAGACTACCAGTTGTATTTCTATATGGCCACAAAAAGAAAAAAAAAAACAAAGAGCTGAACCAGTTCTCATAGTACCAGTAGAAATCAAGGTAGTACTCTTATTCAATGAATGTTTATTTTGCATATTGTGCATAGCTATAAGTGGACACAAAGCAATATAATTAACCAGTGACATTCTATTTAGATAAACTAAAACTTCTTTGCAATAGGTGTCCACAGAGAATAGCAGTTGTCATTTCATTCAGCTTTCTTAAATGCCAACGACATTTAGATAAACAAATGTTGGATGATTTTGCTCCTACTTTCACGTTCCCCTTACTAATCGGCCTTTTAGAGCGTATGCTGGAGACATATGGGCCAGTTGAGCTTTTCCTAATTGTGGAGAGCAAGTCATTGCCTCCATGACTGTCTTATTGCATTCTGGGTGACATCTTGCTTGGCGGAGCCAAAAATAGAGCACTCACATATTCTTCCAAGATGTCTTCATGCTTATTCTTTTCCTTTTCCTCTTACACCCTTTTTCTGGGTCAGTTACTCTCTTGGTTTAAAATACCACCTCTATCTTATGATTCCCAAGATAATATCTTCAGTGACAGCACTCTTGTCTAAAGATTGTGACATTCATCTATCACCTGCATGTCTCCACCACAACGTGTCATAGGACACTCAAATGAATTCTCTCTCCTCCAGAAAACTTGATCTTCTTTCATTGTTTTTTTAATTTCAGTACAATTTTAGGTAACAAAGGAACATTTGGGAAGGAAGATATATTTTATGGTAAATAAGAAATGTGTGTTGACCACTTTAGATATATAATTCCTCTTTTCCCCAAATCTCTTACATTTAAAAACTGGGGTTCGTTGAGACTACATCTTCCCCTTCAGCTTGCTGATTTTACCTTTAGAAGCTTTTAATAGTAGAATAAATACGGAAAGTTGTACATTAATTAATGATTGTTGAGACTCAAATAATTTAATTGAATTCACATTACTTGATGTGCATGTAAGAATGGACTATTTAATACTCACCCAAAAATTAACTTGATAAAAATGGATTAAAACAAAATAATTAGTGGAATACAAAGAACTGTTATAGAACAAAGATCAACAAAACATGCCTTGTGGGTAAAATCCTTTCTGGTCTATATATATATATATATATATATATATATATATATATATATTTATATATATATATAAATTTATATATATATATAAATATATATATATAAATATATATATATATATTTATATATATAAATTTTAACAGCCTGCAAGCTAAGAATAATTTTTACACTTTTTTTTTTTTTTTGTCAGCGCGGGAGGGAACAGAGTCTTGCTGTGTCGCCCAGGCTGGAGTGCAGTGGCGTGATCTCTCCTCGCTGCAACCTCAGCCTCCCGGGTTCAAGCAATTCTCCTGCCTCAGCCTCCAGAGTAGCTGGGATTACAGGCGTACACCACCATGCCCAGCTAATTTTTTTTTTTTTTTTTTTTTTTTTTGAGATGGAGTCTCGCTTTGTTGCCCAGGATAGTGCGCAGTGGCGCAATCTCGGCTCACTACAAGCTCCGCCTTCCAGGTTCACGCCATTCTCTTGCCTCAGCCTCCCTAGTAGCTGGGACTACAGGCGCCTACCACTACACCCAGCTAATTTTTTTGTATTTTTAGTAGAGACGGGGTTTCACCGTGTTAGCTAGGATGGTCTCAATCTCCTGAACTCATGATCCGCCCGCCTCGGCCTCCCAAAGTGCTGGGATTACAGGCGTGAGCCACCGTGCCCGGCCTTTTTTGTGTTTTTTTTAGTAGACACCGGGATTCACCATGTTGACCAGGCTGGTCTCCAACTCCTGACCTTGTGATCCCCCTGCGTCGACCTCCCACAGTGCTGGGATTACCGGCGTGAGCCACTGCGCCTGGTCAATTTTTACACCTTTTAAGGGTTATAGAGCTCAGGCATGAATGCATGCACACACACACACACACACACACACACACACATAAACACAAGCATATTTAACAGGGATAATATGTGATATGGCCTACAAAGACTAAAATATTTATCGTCTCACTTTTCACAGTAAAGTTTGCTGTCCTGTTGCGGTGGAATAAGTAGCTAAATTTCCCAATATGAGTTGTTACCTGATACTTTATTACCAAGTTTTATAAACAATTTAGAAAGTTGATTTTATTATTTTTTAGTTTTAGTTTTTTTGAGATGGAGTTTTGCTCTTTTTTGCCCAGGCTGGAGTGCAATGGTGCCATCTCAGCTCATTGCAACCTCTGCCTCCCGGGTTCAAGTGATCCTTCTGCCTCAGCCTCCCAGGTAGCTGAGATTACAGGCATGTGCCACCATGCCTGGCTAATTTTGTATTTTTAATAGAGACAGGATTTCACCATGTTGGCCAGGCTGGTCTCAAGCTCCTGACCTCAGGTGATCTGACTTCAGGTGATCTCAGCCTGACCTCAGGTGATCTGACAGCCTCGGCATCCCAAAGTGCTGGGATCACAGGCATGAGTCACTGTACCTGACATAGAAAGTTGATTTTAAAAGTTCTTATGCAGGGGTGGGAAGTAGTATACATAAAATAAAGCCTTCTCAAATACTTTATTTCGTTTGTTTCTAAATAATAACTATAGTAATAATATTTTTATACCTAATCTTCTAATTTAGTGAGATAAGTTTGTAGTAAATGAATTATATTGAGACTATATTCTAGATACAGCTTTAAAAACTGGAAGGAGAAAATGAGGGAAAGATATTTAAGGTACCTAAGGAATTTCAAAATGAATTATATCCTACAATGATCAATTTCAAAGTGAACAAAATTTTATTAGGTATCAGTTTAAAGGCATTATGAGTATGCTTTGGGATACCAACACTAATTAGTGTATTGATTGATTTACTAAATCAGTGTGCATTTAATGAGCATGTACTTTGTGACAAGGATTGTTCGAAGCGCTTAGTGGCAAAGATGTAAGGTACACATAAAATGCTTGTGAAAAAATGAGATAAATGCTCTGAGAGAGACATGCATTAGGAGCAACAGCAGGAAAAATAGGAAAGATCAGCTTTGCCAGATGGTGGAGTTTCCACACAGGATGCTGCCTATGCTGGCTCTTACAGAATTGGTAGGAATGAACCAGGTGGACCTGTGTGGGGAACGCAGAAGAACACTGGTGAGGAAATAGTGTGAATAGCCTAGGCAAAGAGACAAGTGTGTGAATCAGCACACTGGATTGAAAACCACATGTACGTTTGGCATAGATGTATGCATGATGCAGTGTGGCACATGTCAGGGCGTGAAGCTGAGGTTCCTGACCACAGAGGGCTCTCTGTGCCATGGAAAGGGTTTGGTGTTTATCCTGGAAGATACAACGGTATTGTTGGCCATTGTGAATTGAGGCAGTGATATGAAAATTGCATGAAAAATTTGGTGGAAGAGAAAAAGATGAATTAAAAGGAGCAATGTGAAATAAGTTGGGAGCTATTGTAAGAGCAGAGGCAAGAAAAAAGAAGCTAGACTGACACACTCATAATAGACCTTGAGAAGAGCAGTGGGACTGGAGGTATATGGAGGGTAATATTAATGGGACCTAATCAATTTGATTTGGGTGTTGAGGGGAAAGCACCTAGGATGATCCTCAGGTGTGTAGCTTACAGACTGTGGGATGTAGAAACAGAGATCCTATTGGTTGTTTCTCTGGAGAGCTCTTTTGAATACTCCAGTTCACACAGGTGCCCACTGTCCCTGCTCTTCTTGCTTTCATTTCACTCATCCCCCTTCCCTGGCCTTACAGGCAGACTCCTAGGTCCTCATTTGGACCCATGTCTCTGAGTCAGGCCTTGGAATTTTCCTTCTGGGCTCCAAACACTTACAGCTGTGGATAAAAGATACTCCTGTATCTAGCTAAACCCTGTCCACCCTTTCTGCCTGGTGGACAGTACCAATCTTTTACAGGCAGCAGGGAAGACAGTCCATAAAGGAGGCCTAAAAGAAGTAGAAAGACAGGTAGGATAAGAAACGGAAAAGTTTCCAAGACCCAAGGCCAGCCATGCCTGGAACTCCCACTGGGATCAGGACTCCGGGGACCAGGCTGTGGTGTTGGACATGCCCTGCTTGTGGTGAAGACCTGACTTGACTTCCAAGTGCTCGACTTAGAGATGACTGTACAGGGCATCAGATCCTTTCAGTTTACCCCCAGGTAACTGACTTGCTGACCGGTAACATTCCATGTTGCCAAATGTACCCTTTCTCCATGAAGTTAATGTCTAAGACAACCCAGTCTGTTCCGAGAATTCTGGTTGTCTTTATTCAATTCTAACTGTATACATAGCATAGGAACAAAACACAGTGTCTGATGTAACAAAAATCACATAAATATTTTCAATAGTGTGTTTCCTCTTAAGATCTCACGGTTGTCCATATGGCTAAATATATTCATCTCCACGGAGCTCCTTGAGGTAAACAAGGTAGTGTGCATATAAAGGGCTAAGATTTTACTAGTACCTGCACAAATTACCAGGTAGTAGTTTTCATGTGAAAACAACAACAATAAAATACTGTATGGTATTTCCCCCCTTATCTGCACGGAATGTGTTCCAAGGCCCCCCACTGGGTGACTGAAACCACAGCTAGTGCCAAATCGTATGCATACTATATTTTTCCTATTCTTATCTATGATGAAGTTTAATTTATAAATTAAGCACAGTAAGAGATTAACAATAGCTAAAATAGAACAATTAGAACAATAAACTATAACGAAGTTATACAAATATAGCTTCTCTCTAAATATGGTACTGTATTCACCCTTCTTGTTGTGATGGAGATAGGAATGGCACTGGGTGGTCACAGGAGGATGGAAAAACCCAAATAACAGCTAAAACAGGAGCAAGATAAAGAAATCACAGGATAACAGAAAATTCAAAATGAGCGAGAGAAAAGGGCGAAAGCTCCCATCAGGGTGACATGTCCATGACTCTTCAGGCAAACCCAAGTGAGAGAGAAAGGGGGCGGTAACCATAGTTCCCTCAATCCCCTCTTTTCCAGAACACTTAATCATTATTCCACCCTCTAAAGAAACACCCATAAAATTAGAAACCCAAAGTCTGTTGGGCACCACTTTCTCGCCAGCATGCCTGCACTTCTCTCTTAAGTGTGAACTTCCCCTTTGTGATAAAAGCTTCTTGCCTTTCACTTCATTCTGATTCATCCCTGAATTCTTTTTCATGATGGTGTCCAGAACCTGGTCGCTGGCTGGGGCTGGGGTATCCCTGGCATCTGGAGAGCCTCGTGAGCCCTCTGGCAGCCTGTTGATGTGAGATGGTGCAATGCCCATGTGATGAGAGGAAGCCAGGTGAATGACGCAGGCAGTGGGCTACCAGTGACCTTCCCTCTTCCTGAATCCATGTAACCATCCCTCACTTGCAGTCAAAGGCATCACTGCTTTCAGGGAATTTCCTGCTGAAATCTTCTTTCAGGTTCAATGCTTTTCAGTGCAACATGTTGCTGTCAATTGAAGCACGTTTTCTGTTTGTCCACAAGTTGAATGCCTTTTCCATCTTAAGCACTTAGCACACACCCTGGCCAAAACTTTTCCAGGTTGAGGTGCTACAGCAAAACTAGCACAAACTTCTTTTTCCTTCCTCACAACTTCATAGTTAGAAGATTCATTCTTACTGTAGACCTTAGCAAACTCAGCCCACAATTTTTGTTTCTTAAGTCAAGAACTCCCAACTTTTCACTTGAATGGAGCACTTTACAGCTTCTTTGGCATCTCCAAATTGCCAGCATCACTACTCTTCTGCTTTGGGGCCATTATGAGGTAAAATAAGAGTGACTTGAACACAAGCAGCATGAAGCCTCATCAGCTGATCTCATCACTCAGATGGCTATTAAGGGACTCATGGGCAGGGGTATGTGTTGTGTGGAGACACTGGAGGAAGGGTAGAGTCACATCCTAGGTAGGATGCAGCAGGGCAGAGCGAGATTTCATTACACTTACTCAGTACAATCACAACTTAATGTTTATGAATGGCTTGTTTCTGGATTATTCCATTTAATATTTTTGAGCCGTGGTTGACAGTTGGTAACAGAAACCATGGCAAGTGAAACCATGGACAAGGGGGGACTACTATACTCCAGAGCCCTAATATATAAACCATATAAAACAGGGCTGCTCAGAGGGAGAGAGTTGGAATGAAGGAGCCTCCTGAGCCATACCTCTGTGATGACCTCCTATCCCTAAGGCAGCCTAGGAGGAAGCCTCCTGGGCCCTTGATCCCCGGGGAACATAGGATGAAAGTTGCTGCACTGGTTTCTGAAGATATGTATTTCAGCCATTGAATACTTCTGAGAACTGGAATATTGAGTCATGTCACTGCCTAAGAGTGAGCATGTTTCTTTCTCTTCCAGAGTTGCAGTAGTGAGTTGACACATGGTCAGTATTGAAGAATACCTAAATAATTAGGTATTCTGGAAAAGGAGGGGATGATGGAGACCGTGGTTACTGCCACCTTTCTCTTTCACTTGCGTTTGTCTGAAGAGTCATGGACATGTCACCTTAACTGAAGTGCTGGCCATTTTCTCTCCCTTATTTTGGGTTTTCTGTTATTCTGTGATTTCTTTGCCTAGTTCTTGTTTTAGCTGTTTGGGTTTTTCCATCCTCCTGCCACCACCCAGTGCCATTCCTTTCTCAATCACAAGAAGAAGAAGGGTGAGTACAGTACAATAAGATGTTTAGAGAGAGAAGCCATATTCGTTCTGTAAACAAATTCTCACCTTCAAGGTGTGAACACTTCTGGGAAGAGAAGAGCAAGTCCAATGCTCTTGGCAGCCTGAACTCATCTTCAGGGCTTCTCTGCCGCTTAATGGGTGACAGATGAGCGTCTCTGTTTTTCATGCTTCCCATTAGCCTTTCTGTATCATTTGAGTCTAGAACCTGCTGGGCTGGGGAGGGATGGAATCTTCTCCTTACTGGGCTCCGTTTATGAGCACACTGACATTCAGAGTCCTGAGGTCCTATTACTGACTCTTCTATCAGATAGAGAGACAGCATTTAGAAACAGTGCTTTCCATTTAAGTGGAAACACAAATTTAAAAGAAATACCCCAGATGCTTCTGTCTAGTGCACGGATGCTTTGCTGTCCTGATATTTTCTACATGGCTCTCGAACAGATCCAAAGTAATAGGCACATCTTTCCTTATAAATCACGATACCATTTTTCTGTAGAACAGGAGAGAAAGGCAGAACTCTCTCCGCCACTCTTGGGATGACACTCAATGAGGCTTCACAGAGTAAAGCCATATGGGGCAACATGACTTTGTCAGCTGTGACTTTGCAGGCAGAGCCAGAGATTATTTTTATTGGAAGGCAATCAATTCCAAATACTATCAATACAGCCTTCTCCCAGCCTCTTTTCAAGCTTTCATTATTATTGCACAGCAGCCTCAACAATTGTATTTGTCAGTGTGGTAGGGAGAACTATGCAACCTGTTGGTGGACTCAGCAAATTGGGGTTTGTCTTGTGAATACTGATGTCTTCAAAAGCTCTCTCCTGGCAGCTTGGGAAGAGCTTGCCATTCAGAATGACATTTCATTCTGTTTATTGTGATTATTTTTTTGCCGTAGAGTTTTAAAAGCGTAATTGCTTTTGTAGTCTGAGGAAGAAAGGGGCACAAAGCTACATTTAGAGATGTATATAATTGTTAAGCAGGTTTGAGAGGTTAAGAATAGTGAGCTTTTTTTAAAAGGCATAGTACATCATAGATTTGTGAATTTGTTTATTACAAACCTTTGGGCTTACACTAATGTAGATAATAAAACCTGAATTTAAAGTGGTTTCAAAGATAATGGAAAGAGAGCAAGGAAACCAGGGTGCTGTTCAACTGATTGCAGGAGACATTGGAGAGCCTGGATCTAACTATTTGGGCATATGTGACAAATTCATAGGGACAAGTGGAATAATACAATAGAGTTGATGGTTCATTTATGTTAAATAGTAATAGGCATATATAGCTGTTATGGTGTCTAATAAACTAATAGAATATACAAACATACATTAAAATAAAAATGTTATATGCAGGGTGCAAAAAATGTGTTTAATACAAGCCAGGGCTTATTTCAGATGATTTTTCTTATAGCAATGAAAAGATGTGGAAACAGTAGCAGGATCTATTCATTTATTTCCTTATTCAGTAATTTATTCTGAAATGTTTATTTTTCTTCTAGTGTATGCAAGACACTGTTCTAGACACCCAGGGAATAACTGAGCAAGAAGCCTTGTTTTATGGAGGTTATAACCTACTGAAGGAGGCAAACAATAAGCAAGCTGATAAATATCATTATATAATTACATTTCAGATAGTAATATTTTCCATGAAAATAAGAAAGAGAAATTAGAGAGTGACCAGGTGACAATATTTGAGTATGAGAAAATGACAATATATGAGAGGAAAATCAGAGGAACGAGACCTCTGAGTGAGTTCAGGAAAATTAGACCCAAGGAATAAGAGGAGGTTTGGCTCTCTACAGGGGCACATAGATGTCATTCATTACAATGGAAGGGGAACTTTTGGAGTGTTTCAGCTGAGGTCAGCCACTGAGTGTGCCTATTAGATATGTAAATGTATCCATGTCATGAAAAATGATTCTAAGAGGCAGATAGTGTAGTGTTTAAACTTATACAGATTCCGGAGCCAGAATGCTTGGGTTCAGGAAGCTCAGGTTGCCTGTCTGTAAAATGAAGATAATAATACCTATCTCATTAAATTGTTTTAAGGATTAAATGATGAATAGTTATAAAGCCCTAGAACATTGTCTAGCATATACCAAGCACCTAATACATGTTGTATAATTTTAATGGTAGCATTATTGATATTACCAAGAAGTTTTGGAGCTGACCCAGTGAGATGACTTTTGTGCAGACATAAAATTGTCCATTCTTAACACACAAATGTCAAGTTAGAGCCCATAAAAAATTAAAATCCATATTGTGTCTTCCAAAATTACTCTACAGTTGAGTCTTGTAGGGAAATAGTTTGAAAAACATCAACTCTTCATTTGCCAATATGTAAGAGTACCTTTGCTGCAATGGGGGGGACTTTGGACTGCTGAATGGAGAACAATTCTCAGCTGCATTGACATGTTAACAAATCAAAGTTACCCAAGACTAACATTTTGTCACCTTCTTTTCTATGAATTTTAAGTTGTATTTTTTTCACATGATGGGCCTTTTCTCTTGCAGAATCTGTTTCATCCTTGAATCTGTGATCAGAGAAAACATAGTTCACAGCAGTTGTATTTTGTTTCTTCATTTCCTTATGTTCCAATGCTATGTAAGACTTGTGCATTTCTCTTGTTAAACTATCTTATGTTAATTGAATTCTTAGACTCAGCTAAGACCCTAAAGGTTGGGATACACATTCACTTTGGAGCCCGTGGGTAGAATCCTGAGAGATATGACAAAACCCAGCAGAAAGTAGAAATTCTTATCAAGGTGAGCTCCCTTAGATCTGTATCTGTAATGTCTAGTTGAGAGAGGAAGATATTTCTTTGTCCCTTCTTATTTTTTTTTTCTAAATGTGGATTGGTAGAAAAGAAAAGCATTTGTAATAATTTGTTCTTTGAATTGTGACTTTTGTAAATTTGGTTTTGAGTGCTCATTGACTATTGACCCACAGCCTCCCAGAAATAGTTCTTGGTTTTTTGTTTGGTTGTTGATTTCTGTCTTTTGCATTATTCATCCTAAGGAGAATTTATCTTAATTTTCTCAACTTTTATTGCCTCGTTAGTAATGAAGGTCTTTTCTCTCTTAGGAGAGTACTTTACTCTCTCTGTGGGAGAAGTTTTGGATCTTGAGAGGGACTCTTTTGTACCCTCTTGAGGACACCTCTTCCATTGTTAAGCCATAGAAGGCTTACTGGTTTTGAATTGAAATTGAAGTAGGTATACCTTCGGAGATTTGGAATTTTGTACCTAAAAGTATTTTTTTTTTTAAGAGCTCACATTCTAAACAACTGGCCTATTGGAACCTATGAGAAGAATTGACTTTAAAAAAAGTTTAATACTTTCAGGAATGGTTGCTGTTTCTTCTGGCTAAAACCTAATAATAAGATATTTGAAAAGAATTTGTTTTTCAGAGACCTCTGGTTAGAAGTCAGCTGATATCTAGGCTGTAATTTTTTTTTTAGCACTCTCTGTTTCTGTATTGGTTCCTGCTTCTCCCATGGGAGCTTCTCAGTTAACTAAAACACTTTTTTTTCAAATTCGGATGAACCATATGCCCTGCTTCCTCTGACCACTTTTCTTATTGGCATAGTTTTTGACATTTGAAAATTGAGCAAATGAAAAATCTTAAATGTCTTTCATACTAATATTAGTAAAATGCTTTATTTAAATTGGTTCAGAGATAAATGAGCATACCTAAAGCTTCTACAAATGTGATAATTAAATACATTTCAAGTTCATGGGACTTGGGGAGATCTTTGATAAATAAGCTGTTTTTAAATTATTGATAAAAATAAAATAGAATGTCTTCAGATTTGTCTGCATACTTTTTTTAACCTGGGTTTGCTGGTCAGATGGGTTTATATATGTCTCTATTATATTTTTAAGATCATAAAACTATAAATTCAATCTGAGGAGAATGCACCAAGAAAATAAATTTGCTTTACTTTTTAGGTTTTTTATTAGAAATTAAGATTACTAAGAGTTAAAAATTCTTATTAATATATGTAATTTTGTATGCAAATTATACAAGAAAAATCTGTTTTTCTTATAATAGGATACAATTGGTTATATTAACAAGGTTTTGAATGAGATGTTATACTACATTTAAATTGTCTGTAGGTACTACAAGCAGAATCTAAAGTCAGCCTTGGTTTGTCTTTCTGCCCTTGAGAGATTTTAAGTCTCATATTCCTATGTAGTCAGTTAACATCTTTGATACACTTATATAAAAAATAAGGCCAAATCTGATGAAGCTAAACTTGTTATAAACAAGTTGGGCTTACTTTGATTATCTTTGGTAAAAATAGGAGTAACTGTAGAGAAAACAATTATGTTTCTGTGGCTCATGCCTGTAATCCGAGCACTTTGGGAGGCCAAGGGGGGCAGATCACAACGTCAGGAGTTCAAGACCAGCCTGGCCAATATAGTGAAACCCTGTTTCTACTAAAAATACAAAAAATTAGCTGGGTGTGGTGATGGGCACCTGTAGTCCCAGCTACTCAGGAGGCTAAGGCAGGAGAATTGCTTGAACCTGGGAGGCAGAGGTTGCAGTGAGCTGCACCACTGCACTCCAGCCTGGGTGACAGCAGGGTGAGGCTCCATCTCAAAAAAAAAAAAAAAAAAAAAGGAAAACTGTCTTACACTGGCTGTCACGTGTACCCCTGTTCATTATTTTCAAGTTTTTATTATTTACCTGCAATCTGGACTGAACCTTGAATTCTTCTAGGTTCCCTCAATCCAATTTTCCCCCACTATCTTTTGATCATTTAGTTGGCTACTACCTTCAGGCCTAGGTTCACAGCTAAAAATAGTCACATAAACTGGGGTTGCTATATTGCTTTTTTTACTCTGCATGATTCTTTTAAAACTTTGTACCTGTTGCCTGTCAAATTTCTACAGAATCACACCTCCTAACAGAATAATGCTGATCTGGCCCTTCAAAGGAACACTTTCCACATCTATAAAATGGACAAAATTGAATTTAACAATGAACTCCAGGAAAACTTAGCCTGAGAGCCACTCTCTTCAAACCCTCTTGTTGCTACAGTGTAGCTAAGAGGGTTTTTACCGCTGACTCCTAGTTGTCAATCTGTTCCCCATGACATGGAACAAGACCAATCAGGATAGGTCCATCCCAGCATTAAGAGACAATCAAAATCTAACTACAGAATTATCAGTAATGCTTTTAGAGAAAGACCTTTATCAGAAGGGACAAATGCAACAGTTGTCAACTGAAAATGAAGTCACTTATGCCAAACTCTAACAAAATGGAGTTGGGAGGCTAGAATGGAAGGCTCTCACACACACACATACCTATGATAAAAACTACTACAAGGACTCTTCAAAACCATGACCATGTATGAAGGCCATGACAAGCTTTCACAAGGAATACTTCTGCCAGGACGTCTGCCCAGCAACTGCCTTTTCAACCTTGGACTGACACCAGTCTTGTCATTGATTCTTGTAGCCAAGGATAATGAGTTCAAAATAACTTATGTAACCCTCCACATTTTGTCTTTAAAAATCCTTGCCTTCCTGTGTCTCCCTGGGTATGCCTGTGGCCTTCCATGGGATGCCATGTCATCAATATTTCCAGATGGTAATCCATAATTTATTCCCATATACATTTATTTGTTTTTTTATAATTTAAAAAATATTTTCTGTATACACACTTTTTTATTTTGAAATACTTTCAAACCTACAGAAAAAGTTGTAAGTACAAAGAACTTTTGCATGCCCTTCACACAGGTTCTTCAATTGTTAAATTTTACTGCATTTTCCCTATTTCTGTTTTACTTTTTCTTTAGAGAGGTATGTGTTGACCCATCACCTTTAAATACTGCAGTGTATAACTCCTTTTCACCTAAAACAAGGGTACCTTCTTATGTTACTACCATGTACTCCTCTGGTCAGAAAATAAACACTGATACAGTACAACCATTCCATTCTCAGACACCATTCACATTTTGCCATCTGTCTTAATAGTAGCTCCTTTTCCTTTCTAGTCTAGAATCCTATCACAAGCACACATTGCTTTTATTTATCATGTCTCACCAGTTTCCTTCAGTGTAGAAAAGTTCTTTAGTGTTTTCCTGACTCTTATATGCTTGACAGTCTAAAGAATACATAACTTTTATCCCCTAAGACTACCCTAAACATGGTCTATCCATTGTTTTCTTAGGACCAGACCTAAGCCATGTGTCCATGGCAAGAATGCTAGAGAATTATTCTGTGCTCTTCTTCATGCATCACATTTACAGTCACACCATGTCGACCTATCCCAAAGTGATTAAACTCATTTATTTTGAGAGCCACTCTCTCTGTTATTTTAGGTTGGTACAATATTTCCACCAAAAAGTCCCAATATTTCAGGGCCCCATGTATGTATTTGGTTGTCAGATAATTGGTTCTCCTTATGAATTTTAAATGTGAAAATATTAAATTTTTCCAAGTGTTCTCAAAATAGAAGAATTGGTAAAATTCTTTTTATGCAATGTAATTGTCCCCACAAATGGTCATATGCACAGTAAACGTTTTGATAAGGGCTTGTTACCTTACTTGCTTCAAAATAGCATTAGAGCCGGTTGTCAAATGAATCAATCAGAATATGAAGACTGACAGTGAAATCAACAAGACCAAGAGAAAGGCCCCAAATTGCTGAACACAGCTTGACTAAATTAAATTGCTTTTAAGAGAGTATTTAAAAATAGATTTGCAATACCTGTTATAATATACATGGTTTTAAGAGCTTCTCTTTATAAATTACCCAGTCTCAGATATGTCTTTATCAGCAGTTTGGAAACAGACTAATACAGCAAATTGGTACTGGTAGAGTGGGGCACTGCTGTAAAGATATCCAAAAATGTGGAAGCAACTTTGGAACTGGGTAACAGGCAGAGGTTGGAATAGTTTGGAGGACTCAGAGGTAGACAGGAAAATGTGGGAAAGTCTGGAACTTCCTAGAGACTTGTTGAATGGCATTGGCCAAAATGCTGATAATGATATGGACAATGAAATCCAGGCTTAGGCGGTCTCAGATGGAGATGAGGAATTTGTTGAGAACTGGAGTAAAGGTGACTTTTGCTGTTTTAGCAAAGACATTGGCAGCATTTTGCCCCTGCCCTAGAGATTTGTGCAATTTTGAACTTGAGGGAGATGATTTAGGGTATCTGGTGGAAGAGATTTCTCAGCAGCAAAGCATTCAATAAGTGACTTGGGTGCTGTTAAAAGCATTCAGTTTTAAAAGGGAAACAGCATAAAAGTTTGAAAAAGTTGCAGCCTGAAGAAGCAATACAAAAGAAATACCCATTTTCTGAGAAACTCAAGCAGGCTGAAGAAATTTGCATAGGTAATGAGAAGCCAGATGTTAATTGCCAAGACAGTAGGGAAAATGTCTCCAGGGCTTGTTGGAGGTCTCCATGGCAGCCCCTCCCATCACAGGCCTGGAGGCTTAGGAGATATAAATGGTTTCGTGGGCCAGGACCAGGGCTCCCATACTGTGTGCAGCCTAGGGACTTGGTGCCCTGTGTCCCAGTCACTCCAGCCATGGCTAAAAGGGACAAAGGTACAGATTGTGTGATGGCTTCAGAGGGTGCAAGCCCCAAGCCATGGCAACTTTCACTTAGTGTTGAGCCTGCAGGTGTACAGAAGTTAAGAACTGAGGTTTGGGAATCTCTGCCTAGATTTCGGAGGATCTATGGAAATTCTTGGATGTCTAGGCAGAAGTTTGATGCAGGGCCGGGGTCCTCATGGTAAACCTCTGCTAGGGCAGTGCTGAAGGGAAATGTGGGGTTGAAGCCCCCACACAGAGTCCCCACTGGGGCACTGCCTATTGGAGCTCTGAGAAGAGAGCTGCCATCCTGCAAACCCCAGAATGGTAAATCCACCAACAGCTTGCACCATGCACCTGGAAAAGCCACAGGCACTCAATGCCATCCCATAAAAGCAGCCAAGAGGGAGGCTGTACCTTGCAAAGCCACAGGGGCAGAGCTGCATAAGAACATGGGAACCCACCTCTTGCCTCAGCATGACCTGGATATGAGACATGGAGTCAAAGGAGATCATTTTGAAGCTTTAAGATATGACTGTCCTGCTGGATTTCAGACTTGCAGGGGATCTTTAGTCCCTTTGTTTTGGCTCATTTCTCCCATTTGGAATGGGTATATTTATCCAATGCCTGTATCCCCACTGTATCTAGGAAGTAAGTAGCTTGCTTTTGATTTTACAGGCTCATAGGCAGAAGGGACTTGCCCTGTCACAGATGAGACTTTTGACTGTGGACTTCTGAGTTAATGCTGAAATGAGTTAAGACTTTGGGGGACTCTTGGGAAGGCGTGATTGGTTTTGAAATGTGAGAACATGAGATTTGGGAGGTGCCAGGGGCAGAATGATTTGGTTTGGCTGTGTCCCCACCCAAATCTCATCTTGAATTATAGCTCCCATAATTCCCATGTGTTGTAGAATGGACCTGGCAGGAGATAATTGAATCAGGGGGCGGTTTCTTCAAATTTCTAACCTCTATAACTACAAAAAAAAAAAAAAGACTTTAAGTCACTCAGTTTGCGATACTTTGTTTTTGAAAGTCTGAGGAAATTAATACAGATATTATGTTACAGTGCTAATGCCAGGCAGGTCTTTAAGATTAATTCCTTATTGTGGGTATCTGCCTTTCTAGACAAACCCCTTTAATCAAAATCACTGTGATGTAATCAAAATAAATCAAATGGACAATGATGCACACTACCCATGGCAATGAAAACATTAAGCAACTTCATTAGTAATATCTATGGCGTCTGTGCCAGACACTGTGCTAATCAAACCTGTGAGGGTTCTATAATTATTTCTTTTTCACAAATGAGGAAGCTGAGACTTAAAGATGTTAAAAATCTTGCCTGGAGCCAAACAGCTAGGAAAAGGGGCAGTGGAGAAACAGCATTCAAGAATCAGTCTGATCCATGAGATAGATTTGTACTGGTTAATTTCACATGTCAACTCAGCTGAGCTAAGGGATGCCCAGATAGCTGGTAAAGCATTATGTCTGGGTGTGCTTGTGAGAGTGTTTTCAGAAGAGATTGACACATGAATTGGTAGACTGTGGGTGGGTATCACCCAATCTGTTGAGGGATGGAATGGGACAAAATGGTGGAGAAAGGGCAAATCTGCTTTTTCTTTTTGAGCTGGGTTATTCACCTTCTCTTGTCCTTGAACATTGGAGCTCCTGGTTCTTGAGCTTTTGGACTTTGAGACTTACACTATCAGACTTTCTCAATTATCAGGTCTTTGGCCTTGAGCTGAGAGTAATACCATTGTCTCCTGTGATTCTTTATCATTTGGACTTAGACTAAATTACACCCCCAGCTTTCCTGGTTCTCCAGCTGGCAAAACAGCACACTGTGGGACGTCGTGGCTCCCTAATTGTATAAGTCAATTCCCATAATAAATCCCCTTTTATTATGTGTTTGTGTATATCCCATTGGTTCTATCTCTTTCGAGAATCCTGACTAATTCAGTCTCTATCTATGATGGCTTCAGAATTATAGTCTTGACATGTGAAAAAGAAAGTATATAATCTTTCTCTTTTCTGATTCTTTGCTTCCTGTCCTCTTACCCTGTGGGCCAATTGCAGTGAATCAGAAGGGAGAGGGAAGGGAAGGAAAAGCAGTAGTAAAATCACTTTCCTTCTCTGATATGGAATGAATGAGAAGAAACCATCTCCAAAAGAACTGGAAGATTATTCCATGTTATTGCAACTTAACTAAGATCTTCAGGTGACGCACACAAGTGTTTGACACATGAAACATTTTGTTAGTTTCAAAACTGTATACTTTTAACCTTTCAGGAAATGTGTTTTCATATAGGAGTGGTGAGGAGCAATAGTAATGATGTGGAAGAGTTATCTAGTCTTAAAAGGGTAATTGGGGAAAATAGTACTGGTAGTAATTGCTGAGAATGAGCAAGAGGTTCCAAAATTCTGTTTCGCAATTTTCTCACTCATGTGCCATGTGGCTTTCACAAAGCATTGAACAATGGAACAGATGTCCTCTCTGTGCTTTTCCACACCCAGGAGATGGCGGTGTGGAGATGGGCCCCAGCTCTGGAGAACAGATATCACTTTGCCTTTGGTTTCACCTACTTCCATGGGAAAATAATTCATTTGAAACAGACTAATACAATAATTCCCTTAATTAGAAAATATTTCACAAGACAATTCTGGGAAAAGAAATCTTTCCATTAGATTTTGAAGGGGGGTTTATAGAGTCTTGTAAATATCATGGTTTCACTTTGAGGCACAATCTCTTAATGGCAAAATCTATAATCACTGGACTGTATTTTAGGCTCCTGTATTTAATGGTTCCTTTCATTGTGGCTCAAATTCATTTTATTGACTTAATTTGGCATCTCCATAAGATGATATAATATACTAATACTTTGTTGTGACAGTAGCTAATGGTAACCTATAAAGCTTTATATTATTTGAAATCATACACCAACATGATGGAAAAACAATAATATGTAGACAGATTCAATAATTGAGCTGTATAAACTATTAAAATAATTGATATCCTGTAGTATTATAAAACCAGAGAATTCCAGATCTGGAAAATACTTTTAAGACCATCTGGTAGTCCTTACACCTAAATATCTAAAACTTCCACTTGAAAATAAGGTTACTTGTCTAGGGTCATAATGGACGTTTTAATCTCTGCAACATTAGTAAGATAGTAAGACAGATTTCTTTTAACAACTGGCAAATGGAAAAAAGATCAAACATTACAAATCAGTTTTGATGTAATTATCAGGTGGTTAGGAATCCCATAGCCTAGGTTCAAATCTTTCTCCACCACTTTGGTCAACTTATTTAGCTGTGCCATGCCTCAATTTCGCTTCTGGATTTATAATAAAAAATCTGGAAACTAGTACAAATCTTGTTTGATTTTTAATCTACCCTGTCTTCTGAACTGGCTTGTTTGACAACACATTTATATGTCAAAAGAGGGCATTTTCGAATATGTAAGAAATAAAGGGCACATTTCCACTGGCGATGTGGCGATTCCCTAGATGAAATGTGCAGTCCACAGTTGCTATCTTGTAGCATTTCAATAACACACTACTTTTTATTGTAGCAATAGATGTTTTAAATTATCAGACCATATTTATTAAATCCAATTTATTAAATGATAGATTGTCCTTTTAGTTATATCGTTTTGAACATTTAAAAATATTTTTCATTTCACACAGTTATGAGTAATATGTAATTGAAAGAGTAAGGTAATTCTTTTACCCTTCTTTTCTTTTTTCTCCTTCTCCTGCCCTTTTTCTCCAACAATTTGCCAAATACCTTCTCCCCATTTTAACAACTAAATAATTGTTCCCAGAAGTCACTGCATTGAAGCCTGAATCATGATCCTTTGATGTGCCTCTCCCATGGTAAAATCAAATAATTCCCATAATTACATTTGGTAATTTTAGAATAATTATTTTTGTTAAGATTTTCTGTACTAAAAACAAAAAAAATTCTAGGTCAACAAGCCATCGTGTGCCAAAGTAGCATTGTGATAGAAGTAGGGAAGGAATGAGAATGTGTTAAATTACTTTTGGTTCTGGATACTGGGAGCCTTACTTCACTTCCCTAAATGCACAGTCTAAGTCACCTAAGTTGAAAACGATGACTTTTTATGTGTATGAAGTAACTCATTTTACAAACTGTGTCAAATTGAAGTGAATAATCTAAGTGGTCATGCCCAAGTTTAGAAAACAATGTTAGGGAGAAGCTGTAATATACACTTGAAATACTTTATGAAAGTGTATGAAAATCCACTTGAGCTCGAGTTAGTAGCAGGGATTTTCTGTGGTATTGTGAGACACTTTCCTAATGGAACTTCCAGGTGTTTAGGATTGTATTTTTAAATTATGTGACTACCCTATGAAAGTAAAAGCTTACAATTAAGTATCATATTTGCAAATATCACTCAATAATGTTTAGGCCATTTAAATGTTACTAGATTTGTCTTTTGTCTTTCAGTTGGTGGTTATAGGTGAGGTCTCCTGCAGTTCCTTGCAGGAAAGCATTTTAAAGCAGGATACGTCTTGTTCAACAAATTTTAAATGCAGTCCTGTCTGAAGGCAGGCTGATGAAGCAGATGATGTTCTCTGGTTCCTGGCAGCCTGTGGAATAGAGGATGATGTTGACATTGCAGTTAGAGTCAATCTTTTTTGGCAGGAGCTGAAACAAATCACTGGCCAGATGGCCAAATTGGACCGAGGCAAAACATTTATTAGCATCCAATTTGATCATTCATGTGACTGGATAGTACTGCACACCCTATAATCATTCCTACTTGGTCTTCAGTGAATCAAACTGAAGGATATTTTTTCCTGACCCATTTTATTTCACACCTAATAGCTAGATGTCCTTGTAATGCATATGACCTAGTTAGTTAGATGTAGGCTCTTTTTCTGGAGCAAGAGAAGAGGAAACTAGAACCTTTTCTTGCTTTCTTTCTTTTTTAGTTGAAAGGCCAAGCTTGGAGAAGCAAATAGCTGTCAGCTTTGAGTAATACAAATCATTTTTATGTATGGTTCCTTAGCAGTCTCTAGAGAAGTTTATATTGATGAGATTAAAATTCAAGTATGTACTCTTTGTCCAGCATCTTAACTTCTAGGAATTCATCCAAAGGGTGAATTATGTATGTGCACAGAGATTTAACCACAAACATGTTCATGGTAGTATTATTATTAATAGAGGAAAAGTAAATGTCTATTTAATTCACTTATTTAAGAATACACGTTGAGCTAGTGCTTTGAGTCACATATTATTCTATTTGCTAATCAATGTTAGATTGAAACAAATGTTAATGATAACTCATGGAGTGAAATACTATACAGGCATTAGCAGTGCTGTATAAGAATAGTCAATGACATGGCAAGATGCTGATGACATATTAGTGAAAACTTAGGCAATAAAAAATGACATACCTTTTGATGTTTACTTTGTAAGTGTTCTATAATGAAGTCATAGGAGTATTCTAATAGTAGAAACAAAATAATAGACCGTATTTCCAAACAACACACAGAAAGCCTCTCAAGCTGTTAACCTCGCACTTAATATAAACATGGTGATGGATTTTCTAAGGGAAAGGATTGATTCAACAAGTATTTATTGAGCTTCTACTATTTGCTGCTTTTTACAGAATGCCAGCACACAATTGTGATGCTTTCCAGGAATATTGGGTATGACCAATCGCACAGGGATAGGAGTGGCTTAAAGACTGCTATAGAGTCTCTGTATTCCTACACAGATATTAACATATTCTGTAGTCTCTAAGGCAAAGAGTTGTGTATTACCCCACTCCATTTCACAAAAAATTGGTCTATCTTGGGTATCATGTGATAATTTTGCCACATCTTTTCTGCCTTCCTTCACTGTATTCAAACTTGATTTCATGGTTGTAAACATTTTGGTGGTGTGGATTTTTTCCAGACTGTGTTTTTTTCAAGGTTTCAGACATTGCTAGCTTTGATTCCTGTGAGGTAACTCCAACAGCCCCCTGAGTGACACTAGTAGTACTGTATGCTGATAGTTAAAAGGAGCTAGTGATGGGGGAGTGAAAATTTTAAAAGTCCAAGCAATATAGGCTTTGAGGGGTTGGCCATCAAAAGTCAGTAACAAATATCTGGATTATTCAGTCTATGTCTGGGTATCACAGATGAAAAACGAAGGTCTAAGCTGAAGCTGGCCAGAGCATGACTTTGGAGCTATGGGCAATAATGATGATCAAGATCATCTGCATCTTGGAAATGTACCAGAAACATGGCTTCTTAAAGAACAAGGGCCGATAGAAGAAGCAAGACGATAGTCATGGAAGAGGATAATTTTACCATCTCCAAATATGGATATTATGAATCACCAAGGAAATTATATTTAATTAACAATTTAATTTAGCTAGCTCCTCTAATATTTTCTGGGGTGCTATTTCCATGTAATCAATCTGCCTACATAAAAGGTAAAGACAAAAAATCCTTCACTAGAAACTAGTTGAAGGAGAAATGCTTCTCTGAATTCCATGTTGTCCATTTTAGTATATGTGGCATTAGATTTTCCTTGAGCCTCCCTATAATTTCATAGAAAAAGTATCGACCTCAAGAGTGCCAAGGAAGTTAAAATGAATTTCTTCTTATGGAATGAAGCAAACTCTTTCTGATTTTGTTACTCTTATCTGTATTAGTGAGCTTAGGGTTTGGCTTCTCTTGGCATTCTAAACTACTGAGCAATTGCCTCAAGTTCTACCTGCCTGCAGCGATAAAGCTGACAAATGTGTTTGAGACTTCGGAGTAAAACAAACAGAAGCAAATAAAAGCCAATATTCAAATACATGCAATGTAATTAGATTAATCTATAGCTGAGTTTGTGAAGGAAAACTAATTATGAATCAGATGTATAGTTTTCAGGGAATTTTAATGTAAACTACACTGTATATACCTGTTATAATAAATTGCAATAAAGAGTACACACACACACCTACCCACCTACCCACCCACACCCACCCACCCATACACACAGACCTAGCAATTGAGGCCTACTGGGAACTACTTTAGATTTAAATTTGCGTCCACTTTTGGGAGGCTGGATGGTATTAAATAATTAAGATCTGCATGCCAGGGCTCTATAGTTGGTTTTCAGAGTTTATTGTCTGCAATTAGAGTAACCATTAGGAAGATTTTGTTTGTACATAGGCAAAGTGAGGTATAAAGTTGAACAATGATTGATGAATTTGATCAATTTAGACAGTCAACTGGAATAATTTAGGCAGAAACAGCTTTAGTAATGTTTTTCAAGAGTTTTAATTTTCTGAATAATTGTTTTAACTGTCTTCAGATAGTGCCTGTATAGGTATTGCTTCAAGTTACATACAATTTAGAAAATGTTTTAATTCTTATGCAGATTTTACTTTTCTTACAAAATTGGTAGGCATTTAAAATCAATACTTTTTTAAATGTAAAAAAGTAAATTTATTATCTAAATCATACTGAACTGGCATACTTATTTATGTTTTCAAGCCCAATACAAGAAACAGTTTTTATAATTTTTTTCATGCTTCAAAACTTACAAGGGCAAAAGAAAGAAAAGTCACTTGACTTCAATACTCGGGGCACTCTGTATTAAATCCACCTTTTTTTTTTTTTTTTGGCCAGGCTCTGACTTTCCAAAAGTTCTAATTATTTAGTTTCTACCTTGATGCCAATAATATGCCACTTCAAGCTAAGTTTTCCATTTTTTGTTTCCTTAAAATGGAGTTTCTGGCTTTCATCTCTCTGAGGTTGAGGATTTGAATGTGTTCTTATTGGGCTGGTATTCCTAGAAACAGTCTCATGACTTGTTTTCATTCTTTGTGATGCCCTCAGCCTTCCCAGCTCTGTGGAGATAGTTTGCACTTAGATCTTGCCATCATGCAGTATCTGCTGACCTCTCAGGACACCTCCCCCTTTAGGTTGGCCTCCCTGACACCAGCCTTTATCTGACACCTGTCCTCAAAGCTTTGACTGGGCCACTCCTCTTGCCCAGAAAAGTTCTTTCCTACTCACCAATCCCAGTATTGCAGAGTTATTTTCTGGTTTTATCTCCTTGCAGCCTGTTCTGTATTGTCATGTGGGGAATGTGTATATTCTACTCTCCTGATACCATTCAAGTTCCTTATTTTAGCTTTTATTTTTGGTTTGGGGGTACATGTGAAGGTTTGTTACATAGGTAAACATGTGTCATGGGGGTTTGTTGTACAGATTATATTATCACCCTGGTATTAAGCCGAGTACCCTAGAGTTATCTTTCCTGCTTCTCTCCCTCCTCCCACTTTCTCCACTCAGGTAGACCCCAGTGTCTATTGCTTTCTTCTCTATGGTCGTAAGTTGTTGTTATTTATCTCCCACTTATAAGTGAGAACATGCAGTATTTGGTTTTCTGTTCCTAATAAAACAACCAAAAATGACATAATTTGATCAATTCTTGTAAGACACACACACACATTATATAAGTTACCTAGTATCAAGCAGGATTTTGATGGAATACAGCTTACAACTGGTAGGTCTTGGTGAGAAGAAAGAGCTAAAGAAAGCCCCCTAAAGAATGTAGGTCTTCCCTAGACCTAGATGTATCCATTTTCTAAGGCCTCAATAATGCTGCATAACGAACAACCACAGCACTTCAGTGGGAATCAACTACAGATACTTAGTTTTGCTCGGTAGATACTTAGTTTTTGCTTTCATGCATCATAGGTGGTTGGATGGCTTTGCTGATCTTGTCTGCCCTCTTTCCCATGTTTGAACCTATGTTAGCAGGAAGGAGACATGTGTCTATTCCCTGTATCTTCTTCTTCAGCAGGGTAGTCCGGGCATGATCTCAAGGTGAAGGCAGTGGTGCAAAAGAGAGAAACCAAGATGTGTAAGTTTTTGCTTGTATCAAGTTGGCTGATGTTCCATTGGTCAAAGCAAGTCTCACAGCTAAGTCCAGAGGCAATGTGGACGATCCCTGCAGTGGGAGACATGCAACCTTGGGGCCATGAGTACAGTTAGTACACACCAAGTGAGGCAGGTATGCAAGGGCACTTCAGTGGATTGCTTCATGTACTAGCAAGGGGACAAGAAAGAGTCATTTCCAAACAGGAATTGTGCAGTCTTAGAACAGGATTCCTCAGGCCAAATCATTTGATCATTTTTCATAATCTTGCAGAATTATAATTCTTATATACAACAGGCATCCATAGTTTTTGACAAAACTTTCCATTAAGAAGGAAAATCCCAAAGTGTTTTATCATTTTAGGAGAGTTACAGTAATTTTGATATCCAGACAAATGTTTTTCTATTATGTGATGTAACACTCTAATGCTTTGCAAAATTTGCAATTATTATTTACTTTTAAGAATTCTATTGAAAATACTATTTGTCTTTTGCACACATTGGTCTTGGAGATTGTTCGTTTAAAAAAACCACAGCAAACAAAACCAAGCCATGTGAGTCTGAGGGAAGCTAGCAAGTGCTGCCTTTTCTTCCTAGGAACCTGTCACTGGGACCATGCTCCATTTGCCATCAGTGCATGGCTGGTTCTAAGCCATATGGGATTTCAAAGTCCTATATTTCTTCCAGCAGTGGATCCTCTTTCTTCTTTCCCTCCCCTGGAAGACTCCTAAGAGTTCCTTGTCAGTGCCTCCACAGTGCCTCCCTGAAACTGTTTCCCCAAAGGCAAGGCGTTTTGCTCAGCGCCTCCCAGAAACTCTTTCCCTCAAGGCATGGCATTTTGCACAGGAAATGCGTTCACCATTTCTTTATTCATTGATATTCTCTAGTCTGTTTCATACTCTCACATTCCTGAAAACTTGTGGTTTTGCAAAGATGTTAATTCATTGGTTACCACATAGCAGTCATCTTTTTAATGATTTAGGATGGCTTGGCTTATTTTGGGCTTAATGGTGCTGCAGAAGTGAGTTTAGGGTGATTAATATTTAAATATATTTATCTGACTTACAAATATGTATTTAAAAAAACTAAAAACTAAGAAAATGATTAAAAATCACTGATAATCTCACCAACTATGGATAAGCCAGTCAATTTTTCTCACTTTAGCACTTATGTGTGTATAATTAGTCAAACTTCATGGGACACCAATAGCAACTTTTGATCTATACAAACAGCAATTTCATACAGTTCAATGTTATATTTGTGATCATTCCTTGTATTAGGAACAAATAGGAGATATATGTGTGTGTGTATATATACACGTGTGTATATATATGCATGTGTGTGTGTATATATATGCATGTGTGTGGGGGGTGGGGAGAGAGAAAGATTGAGAGAGAGAGATTAAGGAACTGACTCATGCAACTGTTGGGGGCTGTCATGTCCCAAATCTGTAAAGCTGAAAATTCAAGGAAGAGTTGATGTTGCAACTTTGAGTCCAAAGTTTGCAGAATTTCTGTGTTTCACTCTTGAGGCAGAATTGCTTCTCCTTCAGGAAACCTCAGTCTTTGCTGCTAAGGCCTTCAGCTATTTGGATGAAGCACACCTACATTATGGAAGGCAACCTGATTAATTCAAAGTCTACTGACTTAAGTGTTGATCACCTCTAAGAAATAGATTATAGCAACAGTTGACCAAATAGGCATCATAGACTAGCCAAGTTGACACATAGAATGAACAATCACATTCCTGATAAATGGTTCTGCATCCTGGTTTTTACTACAATAATTATTCAGGTAAATAGGTCTCTATACATTTAATGAGTTTATTAAATTTATAAGAAGAGGAGTCACTGGTTCATTTATCCGACACATATACTAATTATGAAGATATCATGACATGTGCAATGATCTATCTCTGGGACATAGGTTCCAGCTCATGGGGGCTCCACTCTGCCTCTATTTTAGCCATTTTCTGCAAAGTCATTGGTGTGATAGCATCTAACTGTGAAACCAGATCATTCAAGAATGGGAAGCCAGAGGCTGTCTGTCTGAAAATAAGTTAATATAAACATCAATTTCTCTTCATGGTGGAGGATGCTTTTAGAGTCTTGGGCTTACTTTATGGATTTGGATAACTATTTGTACTAGATACTGTGTTTTACATTCGTTATTATATTTGTTTCCAAAAACACTCTTATGAGATAGACACTATTAAACCTACTTATAGTTAGAGAAAATGTGGTATAGAGAAGTTAAGGAACTTGAAGAGCAATCTGACTGTTAGATATTATTTATTGGCCCCAAAATGTGATAGTGTTATTTATTGCCAGAAAGTGGGGAGATGGTGGTGAAACCAGGCATTGGCTCAACTTCTGGGAGCTGGGAAGTTCTGAGAACAACTATGGCCATTTTGTTGTAGGGATAGTAACTGACATGGAAGACTGAGACTTGTGATGATCAAAGAACCCAGAGGTATGAGGAAATATAAATTCTGGTCATTTATAAAATATTTAGACATTATCTTATGATTCTCATTGGAAAGAGACATGAAAAGTATGTTTCTAATTGAAAGAACAAGTGAAAGTGAAAAAACCGTGTTGCCATCCCAGAGATTAATAATGGCAGATGCTAAGTTCATGAATGTGTGAGTGACAGTGTGTGTATTTGTGTGCCTGTGCATGCACTGTTTGTGAAGCAGGACCATTGCAGCATAGAGACTAAATTAAAGGATTATAGAATATTGGTGCATAAAAGGGCTTTTGAGACTACCTAATACAATTCCTTCACTGGAGGAAACTGATGCCTAGAGATACTGAGTGTTCAGAGTCTTTCAGTCAGTTCTACCCACTATGGCATCCATAAGAAATAGTAATTTTATGTTGAGAGAATGACTTCAGTGAACATATATCTTTGCACTTTCTGGACAGTGTCCTTTTTAAATCTGTTGACTCCAAACTTATTGATGTGTTCTGGACACTCGTATTTCAGGACTCAAATTATATCTCTCATATCATATTTCACTCTCTTAAATGGCACAAAGATTCCTGGTCAGACTGTTTGTTCCAACAGCTTTTGGTATGGAAAATATGTTCACCATAACCATGATTGAGTATGCTTGTTTCCAGGCCAATGGAGAAAGACGAATCATAATTTTCTTTCTCAAGGTGTTTTTGTTATTTTCCTGGCACCTTTAATCTTGCTCCCCTTGGCATCCTCATGCCCTCTTCCTTGACTTTGCACTTTCTGGTCACTGCCTGTTTTCTACTAGGGGGACTTTGCTTATCTCTGTTGAAATGATGGCCAGGAATTAGTAGGTACCGTAATGAGTTAGGCTGAGAAATACAGGCATTAGACTTACTAAAGAGGGGTTAGACCTACAATGTGAGAAATAATTGACACATGTGGAGGGTATTACATTCATCTAGAAAGAGTGTCCCTGTTAGTACCCTACAGAGCTGTGAGTCTCTACCGGGGTAATGGATGCACGATTCAAATTTACTTTAGAAGTCAATACAATACTTTAGAAGTCAAGTCTTCTCTTTCAACAAAAAGAATTGAATACAAGAAGGCATCTTTCTTGGGAAAAAACCACAATAATAGTATCGGATTCTTCTTGGAATGTACAGAAATTTATTGCCACTATACATTAGACTTTGTGCTGAGGACTGCTGGGAGACTTACGTGATGAATTCCACCTTACAGATAAAATGAGGCTCAAGGTAATTGTCAGGTACGTCAAGAGCTACATGATGGGCAGTGGGGATAACAGCCAGACTGTGGCACCACATCATTGGATTCTTTCTCTTATTTCCAACGAAAAATCTCCATCCTCACAGACACACAGCAGCAACAGGGGAGAGGCACGCTGTGGCACGTAGTGGTCAGAACGGCTTTCCCCAGGATGAATGGGGCCACTGAGAGGATCCATTACTCCTCTATTGAACTCTTTCTTCATTAGAGTTGAGCCAGTGGCAGATGGTGCTCCTTCAGTAACATGGTCTCGGAGTTGGGGAATATGTTTTCCACATGAGTGAGAGATTTGTAATCAAGGAAATCGTTTATCTTTCTTTATCCCTTAGAAGCTCTGTGCCATTTAGTTACAGGACTGGTAGTTAATCTTGGGCAGCTCTCATTCCTTCCTCACAGAACAGCTTAATCCAGGATGGTTTGCACAGCTTCCAGGTTGTGGCAGGCTCTTGAGATCATGCACAACATGCTTAAGCTATATGTGAATGAAGTTTCTTGGCTGATGTCCGACTAATGAGACCCAGCAGTATAAAGTTCCTAAACCACTAAAGCTAATCATCACATTTCTCTTGTTTCTACAAGACTGGCTGGCTAACGCTGCCAGCTGTAAATGAAGGAGACAAGGAAAATCACGTATCTTCTCACACTGAAGGAAAAAATAATGTCAATGGCAATAGAGAAAATGGGGAGAAAGCAAGGGACCGAGGACACCATTCTGTTGAGAAGTTGGGATGTTTGGAGGAGGATGTGAAATATTACCCCAGTCTCATTCCTCTATCAAAAGCATCTTGAATGAAGTCAAGGCTCTATGTCAAACCTTAGGTGACTTAACTCACAGCTCTGACTTCTTCACCTAGCTTTTTATAAATGGTGCTGCCCAATGAAAGAGAGATCCCGGCTATTGAACATGCAAGAATTTATACAAAATCTAGCTCTAACATTAGAAAAGCAATCAAGAACAAATGTTTTACCAAAAGCTGCCCTGGTAGAACAAACTTTTTTACAAAAGTCAGTCCACATTTTATTTTGGGATTAGATGAAACTATGTTGTAGAGAAACAACATTGCCCTTGATAGTTGATAGTACCAGTTTTCATTCACAAATACGCCCATTGGCATTGTGACACTGAATAAGCTGCTTGAATTCTCAGAGCCTTCATATTTTTATTTGAAATATTGGGACAATTAAAAGTGGTAAATGTATGAAAATCCCTTAGTGCATTTTTTTTTGTGTGCTTAGCAGCTTTTTAAAAATACCTAGCTGATAGAAATACCAAAGTTAGGAAGAATAGGTTGTAATATTCTATAGTACAGTAGAAAAATTACAGTTAACAATAATTGTATATTTGAAAATAGCTAGAAGAAAAGAATTGTAATGTTCCCAACACAAAGAAAAGATAAAATGATGGCTATCCCAGTTATCTTGATATAATTGTCACACATTGTATACAGGTACCAAAATATCACATATACCTCCCAAATATTTATAACTATTCTATGTCAATAACATAAATACCTAGCTTACAGAGTTCTTAGGAGAATTGAATGACCTGCTCTATAGTAAAGTGCTTTATAAATGTAAATGCTTACACATATATAAACTATTAATATTGTCTCCTCTATGTACGTGTGTACCCATGTGCAGGTATGTGCATATACATAGGTATGAGGACACTATGACTGTATGTTTGTCTACTTAGCTTCTAGCTTCACGTATGAGAGTTCTTAATGCAATGTGAAAAAGCAAGCAATGCCATATCTAATATTTTTAAATAATCAATTCCATTTAAACCACAGACTCACAGGAGAATTACATCAGCCTCCTGGAGGCTGCAATGTGGCTCTGGGTGAGATTGGATCTGTCACTCTCAACCTCCAAGCGGAGTGAATGTGCATTTGTGTTTTAATGGGTTTCCATGGTGGCTTGACCTTTCCGGTACACAGGTGAGGTGAGTCGAGTTCCTGGATCTGAAACCTTCTGAGGCACGCATGGCCTGGAGGGTAGAGGTATTTTCTAATCAATAACACTTCAAGTCAGCAAAAAACTACATAAACTCAATTTTGCAAAATCTTATAACACTTTGTGACAAAGTCATTTATGAATGTTCTTTAGCATTTAAAAGGCTCTTTGTATACTCTGTCAGAATTCCAAGCAATGAATTTTGCTTGCTTTCTGAGGGGGAGGAAAGTCTTCCATTTAATTTTTAAAGGAGTACATGAATAAATATCATTCGGCTTTAGTTGGCGACATCTGTTGTTTATTTCAGAGTCGGAATCATGAAATGTTAGATCTACCAGGGGCCTTAGGGACTTTTGAGTCCAGTGGTTTTTGAACTGGGCTTGGAAGAGCCCTGGAAATCTATGGAGGTGCCTCTGGGGTTCCCACAGGCAGGGACAGATGGGTTTGCTGATTGGCAGAGTTTCAAGAACACCAGCCCATTCAACCAAAGCAGCATTATTTATTTTATTACATCTTTAAAAATTTTTTAAGAGACAATGTCTTGCTGTGTCACCCAGGATGGAGTACAATGTCACAATCATAGCTTACTCCAGCCTCAAATTCCTGGGCTGAAGCAGTCCTTCTGCCTCTGGTTCCTGAGTGCCTGGGCGTACAGGTGTGCACCACTGCACCAGGCCCAGCATAATTTAAAAATGATTCATATGTTAAAATGTATATAATTTTATTTTAAAATGTTTCTTTCACTTAGAAAGTTAGCAAACCACCAATCTACTCCAAAGCCTTTGTTTTACAATTGAGGATTCAAGGATTCAAGAGAGGTAGTTTTCAAGGTCATGAGAATAGTGGATGGGTAGAATCCAGATCCAGTAATTCTTATTTCAATACCACCTCGACTAAGTAAAAGTGTTGGGGAAGGAGGGTTAAATGATGCTTGTTGTTCCTTTAATGGCAGGGAAAGACCTGATGAATGGGTGCTTGGCATTCTGCATTGATTCATTCATTATTTGTTTATTAATTCATCTAGTAAGCTCTCAAGGTGCCGTGGAAGAACAGAGAATAAGACGACTCCAACTCTAACTTTGGGGAAACTCTAGTGTCCAAGGCAAACATTGAAGCCATTAGTCATTATAGACAAGACATGAAAATGCACAGGATAAGGAGACGGAGTTTCGGGTTCAACACTAAGTTTAAGTGTGTTTTCATCTTAGAGGCATTATGCTACAATGAAGCAACATTGTTCACCATCAGCATCTTGCCAAGCCTGAGGGGAGAATGGATCTTGACTTGCCAAGGAACTGGAATGGAGCCAGGGGGCTAAAGTGCAGTGAGGTCAAGTGAGGGCAGCAGCAGGTGAGGTGAGGGATGGAGGTGAGGCCAGATCACCTGGTGGTTTAAAAGCCGCAGTGAGGTGTTTAGACCTAATTTTAAAAACAATGAAAAGCACTTGATTTAGTTTAGCCATCCATATGTGGCTTGTATTAGCTCAATTAGACTCCTGCCTTTTCGCAAGGACAGCAGTCTCTCTGTATCCCATACACAAGAGAATGATGTGTTTTCTCTTTTTAAATGAGATCTGTTTAGCTAGTTGTATGGAGAATGAACTCTGCTGGTCAATTGTGGAAACAGAGACTTAGTTAAGTAGACCTTCCTGAGCTTACCCCTTGCAGCCTTCCCTGAGATGGCAAACAGGAGGGCTGCACCAATCCTATACTGTCAGCAAAGGTCTGGATCGCTTTGCAAGGATTAGAAAGCCTGCACATGTGGGGCCTCAGACCATCTGTCCCCATGTCTACAGAAAAGTTCCAACTGCTGAATGGTTTTGAAATGCATGGTTATTTCCTGGGCCCAATCCAGTCCTTCATAATTTGGCCAAACCTTTATGCAGAGGGCTATGAGGCATTTTTCCTCCAGATTCTGAGGGTCAAAGCAGTCCCAATGGTTCAAGATACACTGCAGAGTAGTATAAGCTGGGGGCAGTAAAGAGAACTGGTTGTCCATTTTGAAAGACAGGGAATAGAGGCATCCCTCATTCAGGGTGTGATGGGGAAAGCAAGCAAGTGTCCTTCCTTCACTTTCCACCTGTTGTCCCTGAGCCTTGGTGACCTTGGCAGGTACTGGCCATAGGTAACAATACCCACGAAGCAGGGAAAACCTGGAGAATAGGAATTAACCACCCTCAGCTGTGCCTCCCTTTCTCCCTGCTGCCAGCAACCTTTGAGTTCCCTGGGCCTGTTTATACCGTGAAGCATGGCCTCCTTCCGTGGGGTGGGGTTCAGTCAGCAGGAATTGGTCCTGCGCATTTACATTTTGCCTGTTGCTTGGCTTTGAGCCCCTCAGACCTGGTCTGTCTTTCTAGGGCCTCAGCCTAAAGCTTGGAATTGAGTTTGGAACTGAAAAGGTATTTTAGAGGCTGTTTGTATCTGTTTAGAGTGTCTCAAATGTGCCCTGCCGAATTTGCGGTTATCAGCCAGAAGGGGTTTTTCCTCCGTTAATTTCCCTGTCAGAAACAGCTGGTGGGGGGTGGGGGAGGCCTCTCACTTAGAAAAAGAAAAAAGAAAAACAGTTTAAGGGGCAAAAAGGGGGAGGTTCTGGGGGAAGAACCCCTTGTTAGTGCAACTGGGCATTTCCAATCCTTACATCTTTCCCCTGGATCAGACTGAATTGAATTCCTTGGCCAGGGGAGGAAAGGGTTCCATTGGTACAGCGGATAAAAAGCACCCATCCATTGGCTCTGTTGGGTCGCAGCTACTACTGAGGCTTTCTCCCATGCCCCCCCTCGTGGCTGTTGGACTCCACTTTGCCTGCTGCAGGCACACCCAGTAGCCAAGCTGAAAGGGGAAAGTGTAACAGGAGGTACCCTGAGCCATGCATGCCTGCAGCTGTCGACATGGAGGCATACATGACGCCTCTAGGAACAACTGGTCTGATTTGGACCTTTGGTGGCTGAGCCTAATGCTCATTTTACTTAGTAACATTGTCACAGCCTGTAGAAAAACTCTTAACATTATAAAGGAATAGATAAGAGTCACTGCAAATCATGTGAAAGAGAGAAAAGAAAGTCTGGAGGTTTTTGACCAGCCCAGTTAGGGCAGACTTTTAAAAGTCCATGAAGGGAAACAGAGCCTCTTACAGGAAAAGGGGAGAGGTGGCAGGGTTTTGGAAGAGAGTCAGGCCTAACAGTTTCACATTCACTCACACTCACCTTCCGCAGTCCCAGACGAGCCCCCAGTTGAAACAGGAAAAGTTCCCTCGTCCCCTTCACAGGGCATGCAATGAGGGTATGGCTCACTTCTACAGTGCCCTACTGCTCAAACCTCTAGGGAAGCATATAGATGCATAGGCTGTGGGGCTTCAACACCATGGCAGTGTCTAGGGCTGAATGTTTACAGCTGAAGCCCCAGTGGGCTTGTGTTACAGGGTGCTCTTTTAGTTTAGTCATCTACAGGTAGTTTGTGTTAGCTCAATTAGACCCCTGCCTTATGGCAAGGACAGAGGGCTTTCTGTATCACTGTTCTTGCCTTGGTGTACCAGAAGAATTGGATCACATCTAGGCTTGGAGAATGAGTACACAGTTTTATGGAGTAGAAGTAGATCTCAGTAGATGAAGGAGCAAGAAGGGACATGGTTTTCCCCTGGAGTCCGGCTGCTCAGTGTCCTAGGCTCTCCTCCAACTCCCCAGGCCAAACTCCACATCATTCTGATGGTCAGTGGCCTGCTGGCTCTGTTGGTGTGCTCTTCTGCCACTATGCTCCTCTTGATGTCCTGGCGCTTGTGTCATCTTCTGCCAATCCACTTCTCTTGACGTCCACCCACTTGTGTGTCTGCCTGCTAGGGTCTTGGGGTTTTTATAAGCACAGGATTGGGGAGTGGTGGGCCAGGGTGGTCTTGGGAAATGTAATATTTGGGCGTGAAGGCAGGAGTGCCTGTCCTCATCTAGGCCTGTGGGCACAGGCCTGTGGGTGGAGCCTTTGCCAGAGACCTACCCTTCTCTTCTCAGCACTTCCCTGCCCTTCTCCCATATCAGCTTGGAGGTTAGAAGCAAGATGGAGTTGATTAGGTCAGATCTCTTTCACTGTCATAATTTTGCAAAGGTGGTTTCATGATCACTTTGAGATGCCTATTGGATATCCGTTTGGAAGAACATTGTAGGCACTTGGAGATCAGAGTTGGGATTTAAGGATTGGAGGTATACTTTGGCATTATATTGCAGGTAAAGCTGTTGTTCTAAATGGAAATCATTCAGGACAAGAGAGTAATAAAGAGGGACTAGGGCTAATCCCTGAACTACTAAACATTTAGAGGTCAATTAAAATATGTGAATAGATTGCTGGGCGTGGTGGCTCACGCCTGTAATCCCAGCAGTTTGGGAGGCCGAGGCGGGCGGATCACCTGAGGTCAGGAGTTCAAGACCAGCCTGGCCAGCATGGCGAAACCCTGTCTCTACTAAAAAAATATAAAAATTAGCTGGGCACAGTGGCTTGCACCTGTAATCCCTGCTACTCGGGAGGCTGAGGCAGGAGAATCACTTGAACCTGGGAGGCGGATATAGCAGTGAGCCCAGATCGTGCCACTGTACTCCAGCATGGGTGACAGAGCAAGATCTGTCTCAGAAAAAAAAATATATAAATAGAAGCAGCTGGTAGGTAGAAAACCAGGACAGTGTGGTAACATGAAAACTGAAGGTCAATGTCTGTCAATGTATCAACCCTGAAGTGCCTGGCATCTACTAGATACTGCATTGTTGCTATGGTAAGTTATAGTAATCCAAATAAGTGATAAGAAAGGACGGCCATTTTTGAAGAGACATTTGAGTTCATAGTTTGCTAACATACAGCATATAGATCTCTTCAACTGTTAGAAAATTTGATTTCCCCATTAGTAGAACTTTAAATATTCAGAGATTTTGTTATGTATACTTTTTTTTAGCCATGAAAAATTTAACTTTAGTATGCATGAGTCTTGAAATGGGAATGACCTATAGGAATAACCGAAAAACAAGGCAACTGGGTGTTGTGTATTTCAGAAGAAGGTAAAGCAGCAGGTGGAGTTAAAGGGGAGGATATTACAGTGTAACTTTGAATAACAATAAGGACACAGCATCATGAGACAAAGTAAATCTGGGCCTTGAGGCTCTTGGCCGAAGAGGAAAACTGAAAGATGTGAAGAGGGACTGACATGATTTGGGCTGAGCACTCTGCTGTGTGCAGATGTTCAATGGCATGAGATTGTAAGTGTCAGTTCTGGGTAGTTTAAATAAAGACACTTCCACTCCAGATTTTCCTGACTCAGGCATTTAAGTGACTTTGCACCTGGGGCTACAATAGGATATAACAAGAAGTTGACGGGAAGGTGCAGTGGCTCACGCCTGTAATTCCATCACTTTGGGAGGCTGAGATGGGCAGATCACTTGAGGTTAGGAGTTCGAGACCAGCCTGGCCAACACGGTAAAAACCCCATCTCTACTAAAACAATATAAAAATTATCCAGGCGTGGTGGCATGCCTGAATGAATTCTCAGCTACAGGGAGGCTGAGACAGGAGAATCCCTTGAACCAGGGAAGCAGAGGCTGCAGTGAGCTGAGATGGCACCACTGAAATCTAGCCTGGGTGACAGAGGGACACTCCATCACACACACGCAAAATAGACAAAACAATTTTAGACATCAAATTATTTCAGGAAGGTATTGAAAATTTGGATAGAGTACTGAAAAACATTTTTTATTACACTGAACATTATCTGGATTGAAAACAAACAGAAAATATATTTTTTGAGCTACTGGAGATAAAGATACTGAAAGTTTTATTTATTTATTTTAGTTCCTTTTGTTTATTTTATGCTTGTTTTTTTGTTTTATTTTTGTTATATGTCATCCTTGAGTTAGGTACTGAAAATTTTCTAGCAAGCAAGGGGATGATGCCTAGGAAGGAATTTTGTTGTATTTGTTACTAATAGTTTTTTAAAACATTCCATTAAATATTTGTGATAAATGCTACACTTTGCATAGAGTGTAACAAATCTATGGTCTATAATAGTGCTCAAAAAATCTAATGAGCTCTCTGTTCTCATGGATGTGACCTTCCAAGAGGGAAGACATGGACTTAACACAAATGTTATATAAAAATATCAATATGTGATAATGCTATGAAGGACCATAATAGAGAATGAAAAAGAAAAAACAGGGTGAACAATTTAGACTGGAAGGACCAGAGAAGAAGTGACATTTGGGATAAGGATTAATAAAATCAGGCTTGTGAGCACACTCTGTCCATGTATCCTGTGAGCGCCCATGGTGAGTGTGTGAGGAAAAGAGTAGAAGGGCATAAAATGTCTCCTTCAACCTCTGGTCTATCATGTCATCAACCTACAATTTTGTCTGCTGGTCTCCACTGCAGTCTTTCTGTTGGAAGTAAATACAGGTCCTGGCTCATCTACCGATGTTCAATGCATAGGAGTTGAGAAAGTAAATAAATCAATGAATCATTAAATGAATGGATATTATTCACAAAACTACTGTTTGTGAATGCATTATGTTGTGTGGAAGTAGAGGGAGTACCTGAGGCTCTTCCAAGCACACGTTATCACCCAGTAAGGCATCATCAACACAATTTCTCTTTATCAGATTATCTGATTATCTAATTTTCTGATAATCTAATCTGATAACCTAGTTTATCAGATTATCTAATTTTCACTTGCAGAAAGTAGAGAAAAGAGAACTGCTGGGTTTTCTTTATGGCCACCAGCAGACCATTATTATGACCAGCTAACAAATATATTACCTGGTTGAGAAAATTAGCAACATCCCCCCAGTCTGTGAGTGTCTCCTGGTTAGGTACATAGTGCTTTTAGAATTCTTACATGCTGATTTTTGCATATATATATAAGATTAACATATTTTTTTCTAAATAACGAAGAAAAGTGATGTAGATTCAGATGTAACTTGGGAATAATATGATTTCTTTATTTAACATACCAGCCATTTTCAGTATTTTAAATAGAGGCAATTTTTCAATGAAAACATAATTTTTCAATGCGTTTATTCAGTGTAGGTTGAGACAGGTATTCCTCTGAGGTAGACAAACTTAAGAACGGTTCTGGCCTCAATTTTTCCCCCCTAGCAAAAATTACTTTCCTCTGAGTTTTCAGACATTGCTAAAATGTTTTATTTACTTTTCTTACAATGACTTTAGTGAGTGACTCATACATCAAATTTAATTATCAAGCCTCAGAAAATGGATAAGAACTGAAAAACACATACAACGGGAATGATTTGACCTCACCAATTATGAGGAGGAAGCTTAGTGCAGGTGTCTTCCTGCATTTAATGACAATACCCCTGAGAACATGAGTGCATTGCAAGTTACAATGTGTTTCTACTCAAAAGACAGTTCTTGCAAAGTGAAAACACCCCAAGTGCAGCTCAGTACTTATTCTAAAATATACTTGGGTGTTTATAATCACCGATGTGTCGAGATAGTGTATGCTGTGTTTGATGCTGGTGTAGGCAGTTTAATTGGCCTTCCTAGAATTGAGATAGCAGGGGAGGAGAAAAGCAAATATGGGACTCTGAAGCAGTGCTCACTGAGATGGAATGCTGAGTATTCTGTTTCTAGGATCAAAGCAGCTCTGGATTGGAAATTAAAACACCCACACACATGTACACACAATCACACATCAATACAAAATAAACATCTAATGAAAAAAGGCACAATAATTGAAACTGGATGAACTCCTTTCATAGAGTACAAAAATCTGCAATTAGAAAGACTGATCTTTCCCTCCAGCAAGGTACTTTTGCAGTACTAATAAGAGGGGAAAAACTCCAAGGCCCCCAGTGAACTGGGACACTTTACCCGAATGGCCGTAAATATTCATTGTCCTTCTCACTCCAGTAAAGCTGGTCTCGTCAGAGTTTCCAGTGACCACACTAGTGCTAAATTCTATGTCAGTTTTCACTTCATGCCTTAGTAGCCCTATCAGCAGTGTCGGATACAGTTCATCACTTCCTCCTTTTTGGAACTTGTTCACTTGGCTTCCAGGAACACACACTCCTGGTTTTTCTCTTCCACAACTAACCTCTCCTTCTCTTGTCTTTTTTACTATACTTCCCATCCTGCTTACCCTTAAATTTGGGAGAGTCTCAATACTCAGTCCTTGGGTCTCTCATTATTTATGTTTGCTCTTTTTGTAAACTCAGCCTTATGGGTGTCAATAATCCGTATAGTGAAGGCTCCCTATTTTTCTGTCCAGTCTCAATGTGTCCCCCAAATTTCTGGCTCTTTAACTGCCATATTCATTATTCAATAGGGGTCTCACACTTAGTTCTAAACTGAACTATTCTCTCTCCAGGACCCCACTGTGCAGTCTTTCTCATCTGAGTTAATAGCAACTCCATCCTTTCAGTTACTCAAGACCAAAAAAAGGTATAAAAATTATTTTATACCCAATGTCTTTGAGCAACTACAAAAGAGTATCAGAGACTAGGTGGCTTATAAATATCAGAAATTTATTGTATTTCTGTTTTGGTAAAATTCATACACAATTATACATATTTATGGAGTACAGTGTGATATTTAGATACATTAATACAATAGGTTAATGGTGAAATCAGAGTAATTAGGGTATCAACTCAAATGTTTATCATTTATTTGTGTTGAGAACATTCCAAAGCTTCTCTTCTAGCTATTTTTGAAATATACAATAAATTATTGGTAACTGTAGTCACTCTACAGTACTATCAAACACTAGAACTTATTCTATGTAACTGTATTTTGTACCCATTAACCAATCTTTGTTTCCCCTCCTTCCTCTTTATTTTCCCAGCCCCAAATAACCACCATTCTACTCTCTACCTCCATGATCAACCTTTTTATCTCTCATATATAAGTAAGAACGTATAAAATTTATCTTTCTGTGCCTGGCTTATTTCACTTAATATTGTCCAGGCTCATCCATGTTGCTGAAAAATGATAGAATTTTATTCCTTTTTATGGCTTAACAGTCTTCTATTATGCCTATATACCACATTTTCTTTATTCATTCACTCACTGATTGACACTTAGGTCGATTCGATTTCTTGCCTGTTATGAATAGTATTGTGATAAACATGAGAGTGTGGCTATCTCCCTGATATACTTATATATATATATACACACACACACATATATACTATATATATATATATATATGTATGTATATATATATATATCAGTATATATACTAATATATGTATATGTGTGTGTGTGTGTGTGTATATATATATATTCTTTCTTTCTTTCTTTCTTTTGGATATGTACCCAGCAGTGGAATAGCTGGATTGAATTTTTTAAAATTTATTTCTATAGGTTTTTGGGGAACAGATGGTATTTGGTTACACCGGTAAGTTCTTTAGTGGTGATTTGTGAGATTTTGGTGCACCCATCACCCAAACAGTATACATAAAGACTATAAATTGGCTGGGTGTGGTGGCTCACGCCTGTAATCCCAGCACTTTGGGAGGCTGAGGCGGGCAGATCACAAGGTCAGGAGATTGAGACCATCCTGGCCAACATGGTAAAACCCAATTTCTACTAAAATACCAAAAAAAAAGAAAAAAAAAAAAAGAAAAAAATAGCCAGGCATGGTGGCGTGCACCTGTAGTCTCAGCTACTCAGGAGGCTGAGGCAGGGGAACTGCATGAACCCGGGAGGCAGAGGTTGAAGTGAGCTAAGATCGCACCACTGCACTCCAGCCTAGCAACAGAGCAAGACTTAGTCTCAAAACAAAACAAAACAAAACAAAAAACAAAGAAAAGACTACAAATTGGATTGGGAAAACTTTACATGTTTTTTTTTAATGGCTGTATTAATTTATATTTTCACCAACAGTGTACAAGAGTTCCACCTTCTTCACATCCTCACCAGCATCTGTTATTTTATGTCTTTTCTATAATAGCCATTTTAACTGGGGCGAGATGATACCTCATTGTGGTTTTGAGCTGCGTTTCCCTGATGATTAGTGACATTGAACATTTTTTCATATACTTTTTGGCTCATTGTATGTCTTCTTTTGAGAAGTCTCTATAGAACTCCTTTGCCCATTTCTTAATTTGATTATTTGTATTTTTGCTATTGAATTGTTTGAGCTCCTTATATATTTTGATTATTAATCCCCTGTCAGATGTATAGTTTGCAAATCCTTTTTGCCATTCTGCAGGTTCTCTCTTCACTGTTTGCTTTGCTGTGTAGAAGCTTTTTAGATAGATGTAATCCCATTTCTCTACTTTTGCTATTGTTGCTCATGCTTTTGAGGTCTTACTCAAAAATCTTTGCCAAGACCAATATCCTGAATTGTGTGTGTGTGTGTGTGTGTGTGTGTGTGTGTGTGTGTTTTCCTTAGTAGTTTTGTAGTTTAGGTTTTACATTGAAGTCTTTAATTCATCTTGACTTGATTTTTTATATGATAAGAGATAGGGGTCTAGTTTTATTCTTCTGTGTATGGATATTCAGCTTTTGGCACCATTTATTGAAGAGACTGTTCTTTCTTCTATGTATGTTCTTTGTGCCTTTGTGAAAAACGAGTTGGTTGTAAACGCACTGATTTATTTCTGGGTTCTTTATTCTGTTTCGTTGGCCTACATGTCTGTTTTTAGGCCAGTACCATGCTGACTTGGTTACTCTAGCTTTGTAGTATATTTTGAAATCAGGCAGTGTGATGCCTTCAGCTTTGTTCTTTTTTCTTAGGATTGCTTTTTCTATTTGGGGTCTTTTGTGGTTTCACACAAATTTTAGGATTGCCTTTTCTATTTCTGTGAAGAATGCCATTGGTATTTTGATAGGAATTGTATTCAATTTGTAGATCACTTTGGGTAGTATGGACATTTTAACAATATTATTCCAATTCATGAATGTGGGATATCTTTCAATTTTTTTGTCCTATTAAATTTCTTTTGCTAGTGTCTCATCATTTTCATTTTAGAGTTCTTTCACTTCCTTAAATTTATTCCTTAGTTTTTTTTTCTGTAGCTATTGCAAATGGAATTGCTTTATTGCTTTTTCAGATTGTTTACTCTTGGTGTATAGAAATCCTACTGATTTTTGCACTTTGATTTTGTTTCCTGCAACTTTGCTGAACTCATTTATTATTTCTGATAGTTTTTTGCTGGAGTCATTATATTCTAAGTGTAAGATCATGTTGTCTGAAAACAAGAACAATTTGACTTCATTCTTTCCAATTTGAGTTTCCTTTATTTTCTCTTGCCTAATTGCTCTGGCTGACTTTCACTACAACGTTGAATAAAAGCAGTGAAAGTGATCATCCTTGTCTTGAGCCAGATCTCAGAGGAAAGAGTTTTAATTTGCCTCTACTCAGTAGATATTAGTTGTGGTCTTGTTATATATGGCCTTCATTATTTTGAAGTTTGTTCCTTCTGTACCCTCTTTTTTGAGAGTTTATCATGAATGCATGTTGAGAGTGTTTATCATGAATGGATGTTTTTGTTGAGAGTGTTTGTTGAGTGTTTTTGAGAGTGTTTGTTGAGATTGTTTATTTTGTTGAGAGTGTTTATCATGAATGGATGTTGAATTTTATCAAATGCTTTTTCTGCATCTATTGAGTTGATCATATTATTTTTTTCATTTGTGGATATGGTGTATCACATTTATTGATTTGCATATGTTGAGCTATCTTTGCATTTCTTGGATAAATTCCACTTGATTGTGTTGTTTTTTTTGATGTTTGATTTAATTAGCTAGTATTTTGATAAGAATATTTTCCATCTATGCTCATCAGGGATATTGGCCTACAATTTGTTGTTGTATCCTTTTCTGGTTTTGGTATCAAAGTAACGCTTACCTTGTAGAATGAGTAAGAAAAAATACCCTCCTATTCAATTTTTGAAATAGTTTGAGAATAATTGGTTATAGTTTTTTTTTAAAGTTTGGTGAAATTCAGCAGTAAAACTATCCAGTCCTGAACTTTTCCTTGGTTGGAGACTTATTACTAATAGATCTTGTACTTGTTACTGTTCTGCTTAGGTTTTCTATTTCTTCCTGGTTCAATCTTGGTGTGTTATATGTGTTTAGGAATTTTTTCATTTTCTCCAAGTTTTTAAATTTGTTGATGTATAGTTATTCATAACAGTCTCTAATGATTCTTTTTATTTCTGTGGTATTACTTTTAATGTCTTTTTGTTTGTTTCTGGTTTTACTTATTTGAATCTTTACTCTTTCTCAGTCTGTTTGTTAATTTGGTTGTTCTTTCAGAAAAACCTTTCATTTTGTTGATTTTTTTGTATTTTTAAGTCTTGATTTTATTTAGTTTTGCTATGACTTTTATTATTTCTCTTCTTCCAGTAATTATGGGTTTGATTTATTTTTGCTTTTCCAATTTCTGATAATTAGGGGTTAATCATTTGTTTGTTTATTTAAAATATTTCTACTTCTTTGATGTAGCCATTTATTGCTAAAAACTTCTCTTAGTACTGCTTTTGCTGTATCCTATTGGGTTTGGAATGTGGTGTTTCCATTTTTATTTCTTTCAAGTAGTTTTTACATTTTATTATTGATCTCTTTATTTACCCAGTGGTCATTCATGAGCATGTTATTTAATTTCCACATATTCGTATGTTCACAAATTTCCTCTTGTTGTTAATTTTTATTCTATTATGGCCTGAAATGATACCTGATAAAATTTTCATTTTTGAATATGTATTGAGACTTGTTTAGTGGCCTAATATATTGTCTGTCATAGAGAATGCACCAGGTGCTAGATGAGAAGAATGTGTATTCTGCAGCTGTTGTATGAGATGTTCTATAAATGTCTGTTAGGTCCATTTGGTCTGTAGAGCTGTTTAAGTCTAATGTTTCTTTGTTAAATTTCTGTGTAGGTTATCTGTCTAATGCTGAAAGTGGGGAGTGTTGAATCCCCATCTATTTTTGTATTGAGTTGTATCTCTCCCTTATACTTTAATATTTTTCTTATGTATCTGGCTGCTCTGCTTTTTGGGTGCATATATGTTTGGAATAATTATATCTTCTTGCTGAATTAATCCCTTTCTTATTATATAATGGCCTTCTTTGTCTCTTTATCTTTTTTTAGTCTTAATTTCTATTTTGTCTGATGTAAGTATGACTACTTGTGCATGCTTTTGGTTTCCATTTGCATGAAATATCTTTTTCTATCCTTTCAGTTTATTTGTGTCTGTACAGGTAGGTGAGTTTCTTGCAGGCAGCATATAACATGGTCTTGCTTCTTTCTTTTTCTTTTTAAAAAATCTGTTCAACCTGTCTATATCTTTTAATTGGGGAACTTATACTATTTACATTCAAGGTTGCGATTAATAGATGAGAACCTACTTCTGTCATTTTGTCAATTGTTTTCAGATTGTTTGGTGTAAACATTCTTATTGCATATATTTGTGATTTGGTGGCTTTTTGTAGTGGATAACATTTGATTTCTTTCTATTTCTCATTTGTATATTTGCTCTTCCAGTGAGTTTTTGACTTCCCTATATTTTTATGATAGATACTGTCCTTTTGTTTCCAGATGTCGGACTCCTGTAAGCCTTTATTATAGGAGCAGTCTAGTGGTGATGCTGAATTCCCTGTTTTGTTTGTCTGGGAAATACATTATTTCCTTATTTCTGAAGGATTGGTTTGCTGGGTATAGTATTCTTGACTGATAAATTTGTTTTTCTTTGAGCACTTTGAATATATCATCCCATTCTTTCCTGGCCTATAAGGTTTCTGCTAAGAAATCTGCCGTTAGAGATTCCGTTAAATGTGACTTGATGCTTTTCTTTTGCAGTTTTGAGAATATCCTCATTTGTTTTTGACTTCTAACAGTTTTGCTATAATCTGCTTTGAAGAAAACGTTTTTTGGATTGAATCTATTTGGGGATCTTAGAGCTTCCTTTTTCAAGATGTTTATAACTTTTGCAAACTTGGGACGTTTTCAGCAATTATTTCATTAAACAGGATTTCTATGCCTTTTATCATCTATTCTCCTTGTTGAACTTCCAATCTTTGGATACTTGTTCACTTGATGTGGTACTATATGTCACACAGGCTTTCTTCACTCTTCTAACATTTTTTTCTCTTTCATTTCTTTTTTAATATATTTTTCTGACTAGCTTCTATAAAAACCTGTTTTCGAGTTCAAAAATTATTTTTTCTGTTAATCTACTTAATTGTTAATTTTATTTTTTATTTTATTCATTAAATTCTTCAGTTCTGGGATTTCTGTTTGGGTCTTTCTAATGATATCTATCCCTTTACTGAATTTCTCATTCAGATCATGAATTATTTTTCTCCTACTTTTGTATTGTTTGTGTTCCCTTGTTTCTCTGAGTTTCCTTAAGATTATTATTTTGAACAGGCATTGCATAGATTTCCCTTTTTTGGAGTCCTGTTACTGGAGTGTTACTGTGTTCCTTTCTTTGAAGGTGCCATGTTTTCTTAGTTTTTCTTGTTTCTTCTGTCCTTCTGTTGATATCTGTGCATTTGGTGTAACTGTCACTTCTTCCAATTTTATAGAATAGCTTCTGTAGAAGAAGGCTTTTTCTGTAGATGTATCTATAATGTCAGTTGTGTAAACTGATTTGTCCTTGGTTCTGGGTGGGCACTGTAGTGTAATCTTCATATAAATTCTTCAGCTGTAATTAATGCCAGCAGTGTCTGTGAGTTCTTTAGAGGCTTAGGCTGTGGTTGTTTGCAGAGGCTGTGGGGAGGTTTTCCTGGAGACAAGGGTGCTGAGTGGGTCACTCCTCAGCCCCTAGGTGGCATGTTTAGGCACTGGTTGTGATGGTGACATGTTCTGTGTGGGTCTGCCTTTGAGCCTCCAGGTAGAATGTATGTGTGATCACCTGCAGTGAAGATGGTGGGTCAGTCCTTGGGCACCTGGGTAAGGTGAGTGAGCACCCCACAGCAGTGTCTACGGAGGGGTAGAACAAGGGTCCTTGGCCTCCTGGACAGGGTACACAGGTGGTGTCTGTGGCAGGTTGAGTAGGTCCATCCCTAGGCCCCCAGGTGGAAAGCACAGCTGTGTGATGACTCCACTGCTTGTGGGGGGTGGAATCACTGTCAGTGGTGGTGGCCCCAGGCATGCTGCTCTCAGGCTCTGTGAAGTATACACTTTTGTTCCCTATGTCCTGGGGGCAGCCTCCCTAATGTGCTGGACTGCCCATTCCCCAGGGTGTAGGGTGCTGTGTGAGCTTAAGAGCTGGTGGTGTGGCACATCAATAGGTCCAGGAAGTTCTGTGACGCTGTAGCCCTCTGAGTGAATGTATGAGAATGTTGGTAGGACCCCAGGGATGTGGAGATGCCGGGGCTATTGGGTCCCAGGGCAGGATATAGTCTCCTGTTGGCTCTGCGTTCAAACTGGTACTGTGCTGCAGCACCAGGGTCCCAGGGGTAGGACCCAGTGTGAGTTCTCCCTCTGGAATAATGTAGTCTTGTTGACTCCAGGCAGCTCCCTATCTAGGCTTAGGGCTTATGAGGACTAAGGGGCTTTATTGTAGCTAGGACTGAAGATGTGTGGATGTTGATGCTGGAGATCTCTTGTTTACCTTTTTCCTGCAATTGGGAGTCCCTCCTGACTCTGAGCTGGTCTGACTGGCTGTCTTGCTTCCCTCTCTGTGCTGCCATCTTGAGCTGCCATGCCTCATAGGGTCCCTGTCCTATTTCTCACAGTTCTGGAGCCTGACAGTCTGAGATAGGGAGTCAACATGGTTGGGTTTTGGTGAGATCCCTCTTCTAAGTTGCAGACTGCCAACTTTTCCTTATAGCTTCATGAGGCAGGAAGAGTGCTAAAGAGCTCTCTGGAATCTCTTTTATAAGGGTAATAATCCCATTCATTAGGGCTCCACCTTCATGTACTAGATTTTATCTTTCAAAGGCCCTACCTCCTAAAACCATCACATTGGGGGTTAGGATTTCAACACATAAATTTTGGAGGGACATAAACATAAAGTCTAAACACCTCACATTTTGTCAGGACATTTATAAAGTCTATCTTAGAACCATACGCAAACTCTAACTCATTCAAAAATTGTTTTTCATAGTACCTGGTCCATGCTACCCTCATCTCTAGATGGGATTATTACAATAGCCTTCTAACTGTAGAAGGTTACAATTCTTCCCTTCTTCTTCCACGTTTACTTCTTACAATCTATCTAAAACAAACTGTCACAGTGATCTTTTACAACATATAAGTCCTGCTTAGGAAGTCCTATAAAGCCTTACAAAATCAAAGAGGACCCTATGGCTCATTTCTGATTCCATTACTTATAACTTTTTCTCTTATGCCCATCTGGCTAAACCATAGTGGCTGTTTGTGTTCCCTTAAATAGGCCAAGCTTCCTTCATCCTTTGAACTTTGCATATGCTGTTTATTAATCTGGAACTCAAACTTTAAGGCCTTTTCTCAAAGCTATCTTCAATGTGTAACTCTTTCTAACCATTCTATACAGAATTGTAGCATAGTAGTCCCTACTTATTCCTGGGGTATATGTTCCAAGACTCCTAGTGCCTTGGAAGCCACAGATAGTACCAAATTTTTTATATATGTACCAAATTATGTATATATATTTTAGTTTTTTATGTACATATATTAAAATGCTGTTTTTATATAGTATGTTTGTTATATATATAAACTATATTATATATATAAACTATGTTTTTGATACTTACACACCTATGATAAAATTTATAAATTAGGCATAGTAATAATATTAATATTTCGGGGCTGTGGTTGACTGTGGATAACTGAAACCATGAAAAGTGAAAATGTGGATAAGAGGGGGTTACTGTATATCAAATTCTAACAAAAACAAATGGTCCCCTTACCTCCTTCCCTGCTTTTTCCTGCCATGGCTCATATTGCCAGAGCTACATGTATTGTCTGTCTGCCCCACCAGTGTAATATAAGTTTTGCCATATTGCTTACTAGCTAAATGAGTATCTGTCATGTTTTAGGTTGCCTAGTAAATATATTTAAGTAACCTTGTTGGACTTGCTTAATATTACTTTGGTTATATACGTGTTCATCCTGCTATCTTGGAAAGCCACGATAAGCCTTTCTAAGCCTCAGTTTTATCTTAAAAAAAATGGAAATACTAGTACTATCTACATTACTTGGAATTAATTTGAGGATTAAATTTTAAAATGACCTAAACATTTAGCATGGTCCCAGGTACATTAGAAAATCGCCAACAGTGTTAATTATGATTATGGTAGTGGTGAATATTATGGTAGTTATTTAGGTGCTGTTATCTGCAAAGAACTATCAGGCATGTATTTTACTTGCATGGAGCTAACGTGGGAAATATATATTTGTCAGAGTTTTCCAGAAAAGCAGAAACAATAGGAGATATATATACACACACACACACACACACACACACACACACACACACATAATTATATATGTTTGTATGTAATTACATATGTATATACATATATAATATAAATGTGTGTATGTGTATATTTATAATTAAGGGAGATATATGTTTATAGATCTATTTATTTATTACAACAAATTTTCTCACATGATAATGAAAGCTGAGGAGTTCTATGATCTGCGTATCTGCAAGGTGATGACCTGGAAAAGCTGGTGGTGTGATTCAGAGTCTGAAGACTTGAGAACTAGAGTTGCTGATGATGTAAATCCAAGTCTAAGGGCAGGATAAGACTGATGTCTCAGTTCCAACAGGCAGAAAAAAGACAAATTCCCTCTTCCTTCACCTTTGTTGTATTGAGGTCCTCAAGAGATTGGCTGATGCCCTCCCATATCATCCAGTAATGAGGAGGTCCATCTGTTTTACTGAGTTCACTAAGTCAAATGCTAATACCTCACAGACACATCCAGAAATAATGTTTAGCCAAATATCTGGGCATTCTATGACCCAGTCAAGGTGACATGCAAGATGAACCATTACAATATGTATACAGGAGTTTCTAATACAAAATAGAAAGTAAGTGCTTTAGAGAGGTAGATGAATATTGTAAAATCTAGGTGGGGGAGTCAGGATTTCACTGAGCCTTTCGAGTCAAAAGGCTATAGTTAAGATGACTGTTCTGCCTTATGCTAGCTATTTGAACTTGGATGAATTACTCAACCTTTCTGATATATAGAACAAGAATAAAGATGATGATCATGATAATGATGATGACGATTCTATCAGAGGTTTGTTGAGAAGATTAAGTGAAATAAGGGATAAAAAACATTTACTTGCAAGGTTGACTCATTTCCAAACAGAAACTTAATGTAGGAAAAGGAATTTCTATGTTTGGAGGAAATCCTTTGGGGACTATTTTTCTTAGTTTCTTATGTAATGTGAATGGGTATATATACATATATATATATAGAGAGAGAGAGAGAGAGAGAGACAGAGAGAGAGAGAGATGAGAAATATGTAAGTAATGTGGCACAGAAAATTGAGACTTAATGTTTTGGCTGAGGTTGAATTTTTGTGGCAACCACATTAGTATATGTCTTCCATATGAATTCTCTTTGACTAGGAATGCTGCCTTTATGTATAGTTTTGATGAATGGGCTAGTATACTATGTTGAAAAATAAAATCAAGTTTGTTTTATATAAAATGTTCAGACTATTAATATCCACTAGCCACCGGGAAAAGTATCTAAGAACCTAGACTACAAAAATAAGTCAGACTTGTGTAGATTTGAGTAAGAAACAAAACTGAGCTCTGATATGGTTTGGCTGTGTCCCCACTTAAATCTCATCTTGAATCGTAGCTCCCACAATTCCCATGTGTTGTGGCTGGGACCCGGTGGGAGGTAATTGAATCATAGGGGAGGGTTTTTCCTGTGCTGTTCTCATGATAGTGAATAAGTCTTGTGAGATCTGATGGTTTTGTAATGGGGAGTGTCCCTGCACAAGCTCTCCTTTTGCCTGCTGTCATCCATGTAAAATGTGACTTGCTCCTCCTTGCCTTCCACCATGATTGTGAGGCCTCTCTAGCTATGTGGAACTGTGAGTCCATTAAACCTCTTTCTTTTGTAAATTGTCCAGTCTTTGGTATGTCTTTATCAGCAGCATGAAAATGTACTAATACAATACATTGTTACCAGTAGTGTGGGGCACTGCTGTAAAGTTATCCAAAAATGTGGAAGTGACTTTGGAACTGGAGGTTGGAACAGTTTGGAGGGCTCAGAAGACAGGAAAATGTGGGAAAGTTTGGAACTTCCTAGAATCTTGTTGAATGGCCTTGACCAAAATGCTGATAATGATATGGACAATGAAATCCAGGCTGAGATGGTCTCAGATGGAGATGAGGAGATTGTTGGGAACTAGAGTAAAGCTGACTCTCGCTATGTTTTAGCAAAGAGACTGGTGGCATTTTGCCCCTTCCCTAGGGATTTGTGGAACTTTGAACTTGAGAAAGATGATTTAAGGTATCTGGTAGAAGAGATTTCTCGGCAGCAAAGCATTCAAGATGTGACTTAGGTACTGTTAAAGGCATTCCGTTTTATAAGAGAAGCAGAGCATAAAAGTTCAGAAAACTTGCAGCGTGACGATGTGATAAAAAAGAAAATCCCATTTGCTAAGGAGAAATTGAAGCCAGCTGCAGAAATTTGCATAAGTAACAAGGAACTAAATGTTAATCCCTAAGACAATGGAAAAAATGTCTCCAGGGCATGTCAGAGGTCTTAATGGCAGCCCTTCCCATCACAGACCTAGAGGTCTAGGAGGAAAAAATGGTTTTGTAGGCTGAGCTCAGGGCCTCCCTGCTGTGTGCCACCTAATAACTTGGTGCCCTGTGTCCCAGCTGCTCTAGCCATGGCTAAAAGAGGCCAAGATGATAGCTCAGGCCATGGCTTCACAGGGTGCAAGCTCCAAACTTTGGCAGCTTCCATGTAGTGTTGAGCCTGTGGGTGCATAGAAGTCAAGAATTGAGGTTTGGGAACCTCTGCCTAGATTTCAGAGGACATATGGAAACTCCTGGATGTCCAGGCAGAAGTTTGCTGCAGGGGCAAGGCCCTCATGGAGAACCTCTGCTAGGGCAATGCAGAAGGAAAATGTGTGGCTGAAGCCCCCACACAGTGGCCCCACTGGGGCACTGCCTAGTAGAGCTGTGAGAAAAGGGCCGCTGTTCTTCAGATCTTAGAATGGTAGATCCACTGACAGCATGCACTATGCACCTGGAAAAGCTGCAGACACTCAATGCCAGCCTGTGAAAGCAGCCAGGAGGGAGGCTGTACCCTGAAAAGCTACAGGGGTTGAGCTGCACAAGACCACAGGAACCCATCTCTTGCATCAGTGTGACATGAATGTGAGACATGGAGTTAAAAGAGATCATTTTGAAGTTTTAAAATTTGATTGCCCTGTTAGATTTCAGACTTGCATAGGGCCTGTAGCCCTCTTGTTTTTGCTCATTTCTCCCATTTGGAATGGGTGTATTTATCCAATGCCTGTACCCCCATTGTATCTAGGAAGTAAGTGACTTGCTTCTGATTTTACAGGCCCATAGGCAGAAGTGACTTGTCTTGTCTCAGATAAGGGTTTGGACTGTGGACTTTTGAATTAATGTTAATATGATTTAAGACTTTGGGGGACTATTGGGAAGGCATGACTGGTTTTGAAATGTGAGGACATGAGATTTTGGGGGGGGTCAGGGGTAGAGTGATATGGTTTGGCTGTGTTCCCACCCAAATCTCATCTTGAATGGTAGCTCCCACAATTCCCATGTGTTGTGGGAGGGATCCAGTGGGAAGTAATTGTATCATGGGGATGGGTCTTTTCTGTGCTGTTCTTGTGATACAGAATAAGTCTCATGAGATCTGATGGTTTTATAAGTGGGAGTTTCTCTGCACAAGCTGTCTTTGCCTGCTGCCGTCCATGTAAGATACTGCTTGCTCCTCCTTGCCTTCCACCGTAATTGTGAGGCCTCCCCAGCCATGTGGAACTGTAAATCCATTAAACCTCTTTCTTTTGTAAATTGTGCCATCTCAGGTATGTCTTTATCAGCAGTGTGGAAATGGACTAATACAAGCTCCTTAATCTGCTATAAAATTATCAGTCTCCCATCAGCCAGTGAAACAATGCAAGCCACTTCTTTTCTAACTAACCCATTAGAAAGTGTCCTTATCCCTGTTTAAAAAATTAGTTTTCATAATCTGAATTGTTTTTGCTGGGTCTTGATGAATTCTATTTACTAGAAACCACAGGCATGCTCTTTTCTATTTTTTCAACAGATGCATCTCCACTTTTGACTAAACCTTGGTGTTTATTCTAATTTTTTGATTTCTACATATTTAGTTTCCCTTCAAATATTATAAGATAGTCACCTCTCTTTTAAACACTTATTCTGGTAAGGGAAGTGTTGCACTAGAGAATTGTTTTAAATCCTAACATTTATTCTATACTATATTCCTTCTGAGGAAGGTATATATATATTTAAAAATGTATGATGTTCATGTTAACAGAATGAAGGATATAAATCACAGTATTGACTAGGAAGGCTGCATTTTATGTATATTTTTGATAAATGGGCTAATATACAAGGTTGAAAATATATAATCAAGCTTGTTTTATATAAAATTGTCTGACTATTAGTATCTACTAGCCACTGACAGAAAGTAAATCTATATCAATAGATTTAGAAAAAGCATTTGACAAAATTCAACTTTACTTCATGATAGAAACTCTCAACCAACTATGAGTGAAAGGAAATTACCACAACCTAATAATATAAAAAGCTCACATCTAACAGATATTCAAAGATAAAAATTTGGAAGCTTTTTCTCTGGAATCAGAAATCAGGAACAAGGCAAAAAAGCCCATTATTTCCACTTCTATTTAACATAGTACTAGAAGTTCTATCCAGAGCAAGTAGGCAAGAAAAAAAAGGCATTCACATCAGAAAGGAAGAAACAAAATTATCTCTGTTGCAGATGACATGGTCACTTGTGTAGAGAACCCTAAATATTCCACAAATAACTCCAAAAACAAAAACTGTTGGAACTAAAAAACAATTCAGAAAAATTATAAGATACAAAGATAACAATCAAAAATCAGTTGCATTTATATACATGAACAATAAACTGTCTGAAAATAAAATTAAGAAAACAATTCATTTACAAGAGTGTCAAAGTGAAGAAAATACTTAGAAATAACTTGAACTAAGAAAGTGAAAGACCTGTACACCGAAAACTACAACACATTGCTGAAAAAAACTAAAGACACAAATAAATGGAAAGGTATCCCATGCTCATGGCTTGGAAGGTTTAGCACTAAAATCTCTCTGTTACTAAAAGTGAGTATTATAGACTCAATGCAAATTTTACCAATATCTCAATGGCATTTTTTTACAGAAATGGAAAAAGAATCCTAAAATAGATAAACTGCAAGAAGAGTGAGTAGCAAAAACTATTTTGAGAAAGAAGAACAGAAGTGAAGACATTTCACTGCCTGATTCAAAAATATATTACAAAGCTATAATTAAAATGATATAATAATGGCACAAAAACAGACATATAGACCACAACAGAGAATAATTTACTATAATCGAAAACATAATAGAGAATACAGAAATAAACCCATGCATATACAGTCAACAGATTTTAGACAAAGGTGTCAAGAATACATAATGGAAAAAGGATATTGTCTTCAACAAATGGCATTGGGAATACTAAATATTGATATGCAAAAAATACAATTGGATCCTTATCTTGTATATGAAAATTCAAAATGGATTAAACACCTAAATGTAAGACCAGAAACTGTAAAATTCCTAGAAGAAGACATACGGGAAAAAGCTTTAGGACAGCTACTCTGGTTTGAATGTTTTTTTTCCTTCAAAATTTATGTTAAAATTTTATCTCCAATATAATAGTATTAAAAGGTAGGGCCTTCAGGAGGTGATTAGGTCATGAGGGCTCCTCCATTGTGAATGGATTAAGGCCCTTATAAGAGGCTTCATACAATGTTCACCCTTTTTGCCCTTCTGTCCCATCTACCATGTGAGGACACCGCATTCTTCCCCTCCAGATGATGCAGCAACAAGGCACCACCTTAGAAGCAGAAAGGAGCCCTCTCTAGACACCAAATGTATTGGTGCCTTAATTTTTGACTTCCCTGCCTCCAGAAGTGTGATCAACAAATGCCTGTTGCTTATAATTACCCAGTGTCAGGTATCTTGTTATAGTGGCACAAACTAAGAAAACACTGGTCTTGGCAATTCTTTTTTAGATAGGACATGAAAAGTTTAGGCAACAAAATAAAAAACAGATAACTGAAACTACATCAAACTAAAATTTTCTGCACAGCAAAGGAAATTAACATAGTAAAAAGGCAACATATGGAATGGAAGAAAATACTTGCAAACCACTTATTTGATAAGAACTTAATATCCAAAGTATATAAAAATCTCAACTCAATAACAAGAAAACAAATAACTTAAAAATGGGCAAAGGACCTGAATAGACATTTCTAAAAAGAAGAACATCTTTTGATCTTAACATCTTTTGATGTACCCATTGACCATTTTATATGTCTATAATTATCAGGAGCTGTAAACCAAACTAATTATCAAAAAACCATAAACCAAAACTACAATGAGATATTACCTCATACCTGTTAGTATGGCTATTATCAAAAAATACAAAAGATACGGCCAGGCGTGGTGGCTCATACCTGTAATCCCAGCACTTTGGGAGGCTGAGGAAGAAGGATCACTTAATATCAGGAGTTCAGGACCAGCCTGAGTAAAAAAGTGAGACCCTGTCTCTACAAAAAATTAAAAATAACTGGGAGTGGTGGCATGCATCTATTGTCCCAGCTACTTAGGAGGCTGAGGAATGAGGATTGCTTGAGCCCAGGAGTTTGAGGCTATACTGAGCCATTATTGTACCACTGCACTCCAGTCTGGACAACCTAGGGCAGACCATGTTGCAGAAAACAAACAAAAAACAAAAGATAACAAGTGTTGATGAGGATGTGGAGAAAAGGAAACCTTTGCATACTGTTGGTGGGAATGTAAATTCGTATGGCCATTACGGAAAAGAGTATGAAGGTTTCTCAAAAAAAATTAAAAATAGAACTACCGTATGATCCAGCAATCCCACTATTGGTTATATCTCCAAAGGAAATGAAATCAGGGTCTCAAGGAGATATCTACACTCCCTTGTTTATTACAGTACTGTTCACAATAGCCAAGGAAAGAAAACAACCTAAATGCCCATCAACAGATGAATGAATGAAGAAAATATAGTACATACACACAATGGACTATTATTCAGCCTTAAAAAAATAAAGATATCCTGCTAGATCCAACAACACGGATGAACCTTGAGAACATGATGTTAAATAAACCAGTCACAAGGATAAATATCTCATGATACCTCCTATATGAGGAATCTAAAATAGTGAAATTCACAGAAGCAGAGTACGGTGATTGCCAGAAGCTGGAGGAGGGGAAATAGGTATTAGTCAAAGTGTACAAAGTTTCAGTGATTCAACATGAGTAAGTCCTAGAATCTGCATGGCAATAATGACTATAGTTTACAATACTGTACACTTAACATTTTGTTAAGAGGACAGATCTCATGTGTTCCTACTACAATTAAATGAAAAATATGTATAGTTAATTTTAAAAAGGCAGAGAGTGGATGTTAAGTGTTCTCACCACAAAAACAATAATTCTGTGAGGTATTGCATTTGTTAATTAACTAGATTTAACTATTTCATAATGCATATATACTTCAAAACATGTACACAGTTAATATGTACAATTTTTCAACAATTAAAAAGTATGGTTATATAGGGACTTAACTTCTGAGCAAAATGCATCAAATATGTAGAATTCTTGATAATACTAACAAATTACCTACTTATGGAAGGATAGACAATCATGCTTGTTTGAATAACGAGTCTCCTCAGTGTTTTAAGTTATAACTTATCTAACTTATCTAATTGTATCAGCCTATTCCTTTCCTTTCCTATCCTATTCCTTTCCTTAGTAGCAGTCACCCCAGTTTGAATTGTTCAACATTTGTTTACTAGTTGAATGTCTATGGAGCTTCACTGGAGTATAAGCCTCCTGAGAGCAGGAACCCTGTGTCTGTGCTGTTCTCAGAATCAAAAAGACTTTCTGACACATAAGAAGAGACTAATAAATATTTGTAAATATTTGTCCAGTGACCTGCAGATGATTGGATTCAGATATATTTTAAAGACTCAAAGTTTATAAATGCAAAACTGGATAGCTTATACCTTTGGGATACCATTTTGATTGACATTCTAGAATGTGAATATTTTAAAGTTTAGTTGCTCAAGGCTTATGGAGCCAGGAGAAGACAGGATGAGATCAGTTCAAAGCAGATGCCTGGCCAGTGTCAGCAGTGTTCTAGCAGATCCACATCCTGGGATAATGTCTAGGGAGGAGGCTGAGCCTAGTCAAGGTGAATTCCTGCTTCTGTTTGACTGCCAAAGTCAGAGCAAGTGAATTAATTTGTGTTGACAATTTAAGTTCTAAGAGTTTTTATGTCTATTTTTATCTACTTTACTGTAAGAATGGTGGGTGGAGAAATAGTGCTCATTTTTCATTTTTAACCACACAAATATTACCCTAACCTACCCAAGCAAAATTTCCCTTGAATCATTGAAAGTATTTTATGAATTTTAAATGTGTAGAATAACAATAGTCACCTGAAAGGAAGTAATACAATATTTCCAGTGTGAAATCCTGTTTATAAAGCAGATCAGGAGAGAGAAAAATGCAAACAGATTTACATGAGAGTCAAGTTTCTAGAAGCTCACATAGAGATGGACTATTAGGGAAGAAGTATGGTGCACACAGCCTGCAGGGTAAGATGACCTGAGGTTTCACCTGTGTAATAATCCCCTGCTGTGTCTTAGGCCAGGGATCTCTCTGCCTTAACTTACTTGCCTGGGAACCTTAGATGTGTTTGATCATCTCACTGCAAACCTGCCTATACTTAGAGCTGTTGCACATTTTTTTTTTCTTTTAACGTGTGCACCTGTGTTCTGACTCAGTCTAGAAAAGGAACACAAGTTGCGCAGAAACCATGGCAAGAAATAAGGTTTCTGACTGAGGAAAACCAGATTATCATTTCAACTCTACACACCAACTGTTACAGAAGCACTATTTTTTTTTTTTTTTCCTCTGAGCTCAATTTTGTCATCTGCTAAGGGGTAATTCGTTACTATGTGTACTCCAGATGTTTTACATACAGGGTCTCCTTAATCCTCACAATAACCCTATATGATGGGTTTTTGATGTGTCGTCTTGACTAGGGTTTTATTGATCCTGTGTCACCCAGAATTCCTTTTCTCACCTGTTCTGGTTAGGGTGGGCCATGAGTAACATCCTCTTTCCCTTTGGAGCTGGAAGGTTGAGGGAGGCACAGCTATTTTGTAGCACACATATCTTCTCTCCACTATTCAAAGACTAGTCTAGGTCCTACTGTGAAGGGATTTTGCAGTTATAATTAAAGTCCCTAATCAACTGACTTTATGCTAATCAAAACAGAGATTCTATTAGGCCTGAAAATAGTTGAAAGGACTTTAGTAAAAGAGGGTGTAGGCCTTCTTCTTGAGCTAAAAGATTCTCAACAATGGCTAGATCTGTGACTGCGCTCCTTCCCCCATGTCTTCCTTCTTAACTGAACCTGTGGGTGGATGGCAAGCTTCAGCTCCTGCCCTTGGGGTTCAGCTGCTCATCACCTTCCTGACTGCCACTCAAGGACTTTGGACTTCCTTTGCTGCCACAATGGTGTGAGCCAGTTCCTGTAATAAACCTCTTTATGCTGAACCCTGACTGCTACACCCCATCAGGTGGATAATATTTCCAACACTATTATGCATATAAGGAAGCTCGAAGAGTTTATTATGTTACCTTGTGTTTTGCAGTTAATAAACTTCAGAGCCTTGAGTTGAAGCTACACTGTCTAGGGATCACAGAGGTTACCAAACTTCCTGAAAAGAGCTTAGATAATCAGATAGGAAAACAGACCAGGTCCCTGAAGGCAGGCATTGTATCTCTCTTGCTTACCACCGCAGCCTCATTTCTTGGGAGTCTGGCGTGTGGAGGTATTTGTTGTTGAATGAATGAATAAATGAAAAATGCAAAGTGCTAATCATATATAGGTTTTATTATTACAAATGACAATATTTCAATTGGCTTGGGATCTTATAAAATCATACTTAGTTAAAGCAGTTTTTGTAAGCTTGGAAGGAAAATCTCCATTTCTTTTTTTCTTTAGCTCTGTAATTTGAATGGAAAACCAAAGATTCATGATCTTGTCTCAGCTTGACCACTTTGTTTTCTTGGCCAATCAATTTAAGAACGCCGACTCAAGTTTCAAGCATATAAAATAGCAAGACAACAGCACTCACTCTGTGTGTCACAAAAATGCCATTTAGGGAGATTAGATAATATCTGAATGCCTGGATTTTGAGTAGCTGTGGTGAGCAGGGCTTTGTATTTGACACTGAGAGAAATCAAAAGAGGCTGCAGTCTCTGCACCGCAGGGAATGGACAGTCAGGGGCACACGGGACAGCATACCTGGAAGGAGCAGAGAAGTAAGACAGAGCCAAGTGCATATTCTTTTTGTGTAAATGTGCACCTTTAATGGAGCAATTGGGTTTTGAGAAATTAAAATAGCAAATTTTCTATTATGAAGACAGGGATTTTGCTTTTTAAAGTTATGTCTGTATCTGCAGCAACTAGGACAATACCTTGCAGATAGTAAGTGTTCAATACATATTTGCTTTAAACAATCAAGTTTTAGATGAGTTTTCAGAAGAGGAATAGAACACAGTGTATCAGAAAGAAGGGCAGCAAGCAATCTGAACAAGGAAGGATGTACAAAAAAAGCACTAAAGTCTCAGCTGTCCTTGAACTCAGGTGCTAACATTTCTCTGTTGTACAAAACGATTTACCAGGCTGTGTTCAAAGTCATATTCTGATTCTGAAATATATTATTTCCTAAAGAAAGAATTCTAGCCTTGGGCTGTGACATTCAAGCTATTTTACCAAAGAGGTTTCCCTAAAGTGTAACATGAATTTCTCTTATAGCTCTAAAGAACAGATACAATGGCGGGGGTTTACTTTAGGGATTCTTTTAGAAATACCTTTTTTCCAGCTTGATTGTTTCTCACAAGGCCATAATTACCTGAGAAGCTTTCAAGCCCTTCCAAGGGACTTTAAGATCATGGGGGATTTGAAAGCAGCTCTAATGATAGAGGCAGGAATGAGGCACTAGGGTGCTCTGGGTAGAGAATTTCTGTGGAAAGTTGTTTCATTGCTTTCTTCCATATTAAATTGTCCTCTGTGGTCTCCAGTTCCAGGCCCTTATTTCTGCATGAGAGCGGGCGAGAGCCCAGTGTAGGACAGAGTGATGCTTGCTGGGGCAGAGCATGTTGGGATTTTTGTTTCATTTTGTTTTGACAGCCAGATCCATCTTACAACCTTCCTGTTCTTTGTTTCCATTCCCAGTCTTAAGGCGTTAATTAAAGATTCCCTCTCGCCTGATTCACAGAGCATCTGTCTGAAAGTTCAGGGCCGTCAGCAGAAATGTGCCGTCACGCAGCACCAGCACAGTCCTAGGAAAATACCAATAAGCACATTAAACAAAAGAGGAGTTAAGAGGCAATAAGACAAATTTCCTAGATATGTGCCATTTCGCTGCAAATCCACTTTAATATCTTTCAGGTTAAACTTGACTTGTGCATATAAAGCATGTGGAAACAAGAACTGAAACCTAATAATTCAGAGAGCAAGAATGAAATGTGACAAGGTTTTCATGATTGAAAATGAAAATGAAATCAATTGCTTGCTCTCTTGGGTTAAGAGAATAAATTGGATTACCAAAACTTTAATTTAGCCAAGAAGACACAGCTTTTGTTGAGAAAATAAATGACTTTGTTTATCAATTATCTATGAAGTATCAAAGAGTAGGATGCAGGGAAAGAGGAATGCACTTAGAGTCCTTGCTTCCAGGCTGAAAAGAAGCATGGAATAGTTTCAAGCAAGCTATTTAACCTTTCTATGACTCAAATTATCCATCCTTTAAAATGGCAAACCTATTATCATCATCAAAAGCATTTGCTAAGCGCCTCACTTTGCATGGTGCTGGGATGTGGGGAAAAAAGGAGAAACTTCCAGATTATACCAAAAGAGATAAAAGCTTGACTGAAGTCAGTATATTAAAAAGAATGTCATGCATTAATAAAAAATACTGTTTTATTTTTGTCCAAGAATCAAAGTTATTTTCTATATTGAAATTGGAGTCTTATGTGAGATATAAATGCAGCTATATATGCTCATGTGTGTGTATCTATCATCTATTTATCTGTCTACGACAATTTTCACTGACTCTTAATTATATGATAAAAATGTCAAGGGACTAGAGGGGAAATAATCTGAGCTTCACCCAGTGCCTTCTGCCTGCCATCAGCTATGGGCACTTCAGGTTTGTTGCTTTACTCTACCGCAAAATGACTTTATGAAAACAGGCTTTATTAGCTGTTCTCTATAGTTGAGGATCTAAAGTGCAGAGAGAGTACATAGCACAGTCCAGTTCCACACAGTAGAGGGCAGCTTCCAATTGGATGTGGCTGATTCTTATGTAAGAAACGGGACTGGACTCAGGAGGCCAGGTTCTGACACTGGACCAAATTGAGGACTAGCTGAAACAGGTCCCTAGTGGAAGCAGCTTTCTATAAGACACACCCACCAGCATGCCATGTCAGCTTACCATTGCCATGGCAGCACCTGGAAGTTACCTCCTCTTTCCATGGCAATGACCCAACCAACCGGGAGTTAACACTGTGATCCTGGAAATTTCTGTATAAACTGCCTCTTAATTTGCATATAATTAAAAGTTGGTGGAAATAAGAGTTCAGCATTGCCTCTGAGCTGCCACTCTGGGCTCGCTGCCTATGAAGTGGCCCTGGTGCAAAGAGCGTAAGTACCTCTGCTGCTACTGTACACTGCCACTTCAGTAAAAGTTACTGTTTAATAAAAGTTGCTGTTTAACACCACTGGCTGGCACTTGAATTCTTTTCAGGGCAAAGTGAAGAACCCTCCTGGGCTAAACCTCAGTTCTGGGGCTCACCTGTCCTGCATGAACTCCACAGCCTGAGCTCCTTTTGTCCCCCCAACTTCCATTCTCTGCAAAAGATGAGGCTCCCCAACATCATCAACCAGCAAGCAGAAGATTGGTCACGAAGGCCATTGTGGTGATTGGAGCTTGCAGAGCTCACTTTCCAGCAGGTTGACCTGAAGGAGGACTGCCAGGCCACCCAGATGGTGTCAGAACTGTACCCTCAGTTTGGCCATCTTGTTACTTGTCCTGAGTGGAGATAGACGTGGCAAGCCTGTACCTTCCACAGTGAGCCAAGGAGGGAAATTTAGGTCATCATCTGACAGAAATATCCTTTTGCAAAGAAAGTTGTTTTAGTGGAAATGAGACTAAGTTTTCCAGGTTGCCTGTCTGCACTGATGAAATTACCTTCATCAAAACATGTCTTTTGGGCTTATGTCAGGCGCTCAAAGAGACTTGTTTGTTGCCATGGTTTTGAGCTGTCCCCATAAGGCTGGAACAGACACTTTCTAGGTATTGGAGTAAGGTGGCTCTGGGGTTGAGAACAGTGACAGGTGAGCTAGGAGCAGCATTGTCAGAACTATGCTTCCTGTACCCCTGCTCTTCTCCCCTGTTCCCTTCCCAAGCCACGCTTCACCTAAACAAAGCAGGTGTGACGTTAGATGGAGAGAACATTACTACATATAGAAAACCTGGCCGGGCGCGGTGGCTCACGCCTGTAATCCCAGCACTTTGGGAGGCCGAGGCGGGCGGATCACGAGGTCAGGAGATCGAGACCATCCCGGCTAAAATGGTGAAACCCCGTCTCTACTAAAAATACAAAAAATTAGCCGGGCGTAGTGGCGGGCGCCTGTAGTCCCAGCTACTTGGGAGGCTGAGGCGGGAGAATGGCGTGAACCCGGGAGGCGGAGCTTGCAGTGAGCCGAGATCCCGCCACTGCACTCCAGCCTGGGCGACAGAGCGAGACTCCGTCTCAAAAAAAAAAAAAAAAAAAAAAAAAAGAAAACCTAATTTCAGTAAACCAGGATTTCAATCCTCATTCTACCACCTCCCAGTGACGTGACTTTAAGAAATGTACTTATGATTCTGAATATCAGTTTACTCAAGTATATTCTCCAAAGTGGGAATAACCTTTGTGAATCACTGGAAGATGTGAATAAAATCATGTGGTAAGTACTTTGCATGATGTTATCATGATAAGTCCTCTGTTAACATTAATTTCCCTTCCCTTTTTAGGTTCATCTAAGCCTTTTTATCCTCAAAGAATAGGTAATTAGGACATGCTATCTTTGATGCAAACAGTTTAGAGCCATGTGTAAACTAAACAATTAAGGTGAGCAGAGACCAGGTAAGCAGACACAATGATTAGGAAACAGTAAGTTTTAGCCATCAGCCAATTGAGGAAGGAGGGGAAAGGAGAGGTTTTCAGCATGTGTGAGAATGTTCACAGTCTGTATTCCAAAGATCAAATCAGATGTGAACTGATTGGAGTGCAGTTACACAACACATGGGACACCACTGGGGTTCCTTCCCAAGACAAGGTCAAAAGAGAGGTAGGGCAGAAGCAAGATCCCAGCAAGGCAGAAAACAAATTCGAGAATTATTAAAAAAACCAAACACCACATGTTCTCACTCATAGGTGGGAACTGAACAATGAGAACACTTGGGCACAGGGTGGGGAACATCACACACTGGGGCCTGTCATGGGGTGGGGGGACAGGGGAAGGATAGCATTAGGAGATATACCTAATGTTAATGACGAGTTAATGGGTGCAGCACACCAACATGGCGCATGTATACATATGTAACAAACCTGCACATTGTGCACATGTACCCTATAACTTAAAGTATAATAATAATAATAAAAAAAGAATGGTGATGGTGAAGAGAGGAGCAGAGAGTTCATGCTCCCTCCATGATATCCAAGGATGGAATTCCGGGAACTTGAATGGGAACATCTTTATTTTCACTAATCTTCTAATTGTAATTTTGTATTTCTTTTAATAATGAAACTTAGATAACAAGCGGGATAGTATTAGCAGTAACCCCAACTTGCTCAGAAATCACATATATTACCTTAAGGTTATTGTTGGTATTACATATTATTGTTACACTCATGATTCTAAAATTATGGTAGTTACTAGATCTGACTCTAGATTTGTCCACTGGAGAATTAATGAATCACATATCATTGTTAATATTATTTTGATGACTTTACCAATATAACTGGATTCTTTGGTAAACCTAAATATCTTATTTACACACATTATTCCAAGAAAGGATCAATAGGCTTCACCAGATCTCAAAGGGTCTACAGCGAAACCTGCTTAAGAAAGCTTAAGAGGGATATAAAATAAAAGAAGGGTAACTTTCAAAATGACAGAGATTAGACCCTGTTATAGCTGATGAGGATTAAGCCTTGAGAAAGTGAAAACATAAAATTCCAGGTTAGGGGAGCAGACATTTTAAAGGAGGACTAAGAAAGACATCTCATTTACAAGTTGGTGTTGAACAAAAAGTGATAACTCTTCCTATGAGACTGAAAAGATAAGACTGATTATGGAGACAGACTCATTTTTAAGAGGCAGGTGTTAGAGTTTGAAGGAGTTCCTGCTTGATGATTTCAGATTTTCTTGATGTGGTAGAAGGTAGGTTTTCAGTAAAGACTGAGGTGTGGATTAGGGTGAAGGCTTAAGAATAGTTAAAATTTGGAGTAGTCATTGAGAAGTCGGGGAGAAGGTGCTGACTCAGGACACAAACTAGGCTTCCTGATTGCAGTCCTGTGATTGTCTCTGACTGGGTGCAGCTGCTACAGGTCACATGGAATGACTCCCAGCTCAGCTAGACCCTTTCCTCACATGCTAGGTGCCATCTGCAATCAGCGTCCTAGTTCACATATTACCTGCTCTCAGGTCCCAGCTCTCTGGCCCCAGCTCTCTCAGTAATGCGATTGGCTCCCTTTCTAGTGCTCCTGCTGGGGCATCTGTAAACCGTTGCTGCAGAAGCTTTGCCCATCCAGAGATGGCACTGCTTTGGTTCAGACTCTTCTTTGACTGCCATCTTCCTAAAGCAGCATGAAGAATGCATCACTTTCTGCTTGGCTGTAGAAATCCACATACATGGAATTGAAATTTCTCTACCATGATTGGTTAAGTTGTTGGGACTTTGTAGGGGAAAATACCAATGGCGTAATAAAGAGGGCTGTAATGAAATGATCCCCCTCCCCTATCCTTTCATTTCCAGATCCTTCTCCCTAGTGATCACATGGAGCCATGATTGCTCCCACTTGGTAGTGCCCTGAGCAGGCAGGGGTAGGATGGGTGAAGAGAACTCAGGGCTGTCTTTTGCCTATCCTAAGGCTCTAGGGCAAATTGAAAATTTGGCCCAAACAGGGATTCAGGACTGCACTTGATGCTAGTTATTGGGCCTTACCATCTCTGCAAAGTATCCAACTTCTGAGAAGGAATCTGTGTTTGATTCATTGCTCTCTTTGCTGCAGTGTCCTTCTTTTATCAGGCTCTCAACTTATATGTGTTTAATGGATAGATATGGGGCAATACAGCATAGATTATATGACATGAATTAGTATGTGTTCATATCCAACACATACAAAATGGAAATTAAAACACCCAATTAATGTGATCCATGCAGAAATTCAAACTGAAAATCAGACCTGAATACAGGTTTTTTTTAATGTCATTCAGTTTGCCTGTATTGAAAAAAATTGTTAAATCTATGAACTCTTGGTCATTTTTGTATAAAAATATATTATGACTTGTTATTTATTCTCTCCATAAAAAACTACAAATCAAAACTGTGTGCCCTAATTAAGTTTAGAGAAAAAAAGGAAAAACAGAGAAAAATGCCTTATGTGGGTTTTACCATTAAAAATGTATACTAGTACACTAAAGAAACAAAAATATTTTAGAGAGCATGGGTATATACAGATATAATTTTTAAGCCTAAAGATAAAAATAATATTTAAGAGACTTAATTTCTAACATGAGAGGATGTTGACTTTTAGACAATCTATTGGATCCTATGGAGGGGTGCTGAGAGCACGTCATGTATCATTTTTTTATGAATGCAACAGTCCGCTGGCTCTTTCCCACAGGGAGTGCCGTTCATGAGGCATGGAAGTCCTATGCAATTTCTGCAGTTTTGAAATTCCAGAGTGAATCACTGACTAGCCTCAGAGGGTTAGCTTTATTTTGGCTTGTAGTTGGTTTCTCTTTTTTTTCCACCCTGTACCTACTTCTTAGGCATAAAACCAGCTGGTGTAAGTTCCCAGGGTGCTGAATTTCCTTTAAATTGCATAAACCTGTCCCTCCTCATGCCCTAACGTCATGAATCAATGCAAAATTTTGGTTTCTATGTTACTTCTCACTTCCGAAACTGTAATCCAATTCATCACAAAAGACCACAAAGTAGATAAAACTCCACAATTTACGGCAGGCTAGAGGTAGTTCTTCCTTATCAGAGTTCAGTTTAAAAGTTTACAGTGAGCTATTCAGGGACAGATTCCAGGGAGGTGAGATGAGCTGTCACCATTACCGGCTCACTGATGGCCTGTGAACTGGAAATGAGCACAGAGTAAAGTCCTCGTCAAATTCCTGTCTTCTCTCCTTGGCTGTTCTCACGTACCGTTCTCAGAGGTAATTTAAGACCCTCCAAATGTGTAAGCCTGCCTGTATAACATAAACACTGAAGCGCCTGCCCCCTTCCTCTCAGGAAGCAATGCAAGCATTCAAAGTTCTCACCTTTTCACCACGACTGCTGCTGGCATGCCCTCAGTCAGCTCCTACAGTAGGGTGGACCCATGCGGCTGCCCCCGACAGAAAGCAAAGGACCTGTAGGAAACAGATTTCCTTCCTGAAACACATGCAGGGGCATTTTAACACAACATGACAGAAATAAAAAGGAAAGAGAGGCCCCTTCCCCATTCCTCATCAGTTACACCTGATTTTCAATGAGTTAATTCTTCACCGATGAGCTCTGAGTTTGCTCCATGGAAGCACTGTCCACCAGCACTTTATGCTGTGTTAAGAATGCCCTCCAGCTTCACTGTCCAGTCCAGTAGGCACTAGCCACATGTGGCATTGAGCATTTGAAACCTGACTAGCATGACTGAGGAAATGGATTTTAAATTTAATTTCACTTGATTTCATTTAAATTTAAATAGCTGTATGTTTGGACAGTGTAATTCTAGAGTTTAGGTTTAATTTAAGTCCATGGTGGTTTTAAAATCATACAAGCTGCAGGTGGACTATGTTGAAAACACTAACACGATATTATGTTAATTTTTGTCCAAACATGAATGTCTTTTATTTACAAGACTACACTGGTTGCCAATTGAAGGTGGTGGACTAAATGTTGGTTTTGTCTTCCCTTGTCTTTCCCCATGCTTTTTCCCCCCTTCTCCTCCAAAACACTGCAAACATAATATAGAATTAGTGATGAGGATAGATTTACAGTAGCAGAGATCACGGGAGGCAGGGCAGCAGTTACTAGATGCTGAATTTCAAATTTTTCTGAATTCTGAAAACATATGAGAACATACTGATGGAAAAAGAGGGTTAAAGAAGCTATGGGCCAGAGTGGGATAGTAGTGGAAGTTAAAGATCATTTTCTTGTAAATCTCTTGATAAAAAAAAAATGTGGCATCCAACAGTTATCAAAGATGGGAGTGAGATGGGTGGAAAATAAGGAGTTAATTCAAATGGCATCAAATGAACGTTTCCCTAGATAGAAACCTCACCACAGAACAGAGATAGGCAATTCAGAATTGATCTTTGGACAAAACCCAGAACGTGTTTATGCAAACCCTCTCCCTTAGTTGGACAAGTTTCCTGAGAATGAGGATTGCTGGTGGAAGGTGGAGAGTCCAGAATAGAAGCTTCACTGAACCAGCTCTATAAGGCCCCAGACAGGCCTGTGCTCCCTGCCTGTCCACTCAGCCTGCAAGTGCACCCACACAAACAGAACCCCCAGACTGGCTTTCATTCAAGGAGAAGCCCAGCAAGAAAACACACAAGATTTGTAATAGAGAAAATGGAGATGGACGGTTCCCAACGTGCTGAGGACTGTCAGCATGTGAAAGGAAGATAAAAAGCACAAAAAATTCAGGAGGAAGCCAAGAAAATTTGGAGATGAGTCAACATTTTGAAAAATATTATTGCTCTCATTATTTTATAAAGACTTTAATTATCCTCAGAGAAACCAAAGAAATGTCAAATATAAAGGATAAATGCAGGCTGCTATGAAATATGAACAATCAAGGACAAAGAACATATCTTAAAAATTAAAAATATGCTTGCTGAAATAAAAATAAATGTTAATAAATGAAAGATGAGTGATTATAGTTGAGTAAAAACTCCAGAAAATACAAAGCAACACATAATATCAGAGAAAGATCAAAAGCGTAGAGGAACAACATAAAAAGACCAATGTCTGATACATAGGAGTTCCAGAAAGAAAGAACAGAAAAAATGGCGAGGAGAAAATTAAATAACAAAAAATATTTCTTGGAGGTCAAGTATAACCCAAATCTTTAAATTAATATTACAAAGCAGTACTGGAAGAATGAATGAAGCATAAAATATCTTGAGAATGCCATTGTCCAAATAGGGTGAAAAGTAAAATCTGGGACGCATTGAATACCTGATGAATCCCTGACTTCTAAGCTGGGAACACTCACTTTTGAATTATTGATGTGTCGTGACCTTTGACTTGGGAAGGGTATATGTTAATGTCTGTCTAGCATGGCTCCACAGGGACCAATATTTACTAGAAAGTGTAAATACGTATTACCGATTTTTAACTTTAGTGCTTAATCTACACTCAGAGCTCACAAATTATGATTTCAAGACATAAATGTTAATCTTCATAATGTGAAAGTTTATGGTTAACTGAAGATGGGAGTGGGGAGTTGGGAAGATGGAGGTAAAAACTGCCAATAATATCCTACTTATAGGCTAAACTCTCAAGCAATAGTGCTCACCATTGCTGGAACAGCAAATAGAGTGTAAGCATATCATTTGATTTTATAAATGGAGTTACCAGAGATATAATATTGTATTATAGCTTTAAATAGTTGGAGAGAGAGAAAAAAATGATTGTGAACAGTGATCAGTGAGCTAAATTTACAGCTTCTATGCTCTGGTGTCGATAGGTAATACCTAAGTAGAAATAGTGGTCTACTATTTACATTTATGAAAATACTGACAAAAAAATACGAAACCCATTAAGAGCAATTTTGAGTCTCAGAAGTGAAGCAGAGCAAGAAAGGGTAAAATGAAGTGGGTTAAGAAAGCATTGCTCAGATTTGCCTGTATAACAAACCTGCACATGTACTCCTGAACTTAATATAAAAGTTAAAGAAAGGGAAAGTGTTGCTGTTCATTACAGGTCTTCTATTGGTTTTTCTTTAACGATGTATGCATATTACTTTGATTAAAATAAGAAAATCTGGGCACATTCAACTTTTACAGAACATTTGAAATCGTTGAATAAATTTTAACTATCTGAGAAAATAGTGGGGCTGAACTAAAAAAATCTGCAGAGGTCTTAGAGAATTTAGTCAATTAAGGCCAGGCGCGGTGGCTCATGCTTGTAATCCCAGCATTTTGGGAGGCCGAGGCGGGTGGATCATGAGGTCAGGAGATCGAGACCATCCTGGCTAACACGGGGAAACCCCGTCTCTACTGAAAATACAAAAAATTAGCCGGGCGTAGAGGCGGGTGCCTGTAGTCTCAGCTACTCGGGAGACTGAGGCAGGAGAATGGTGTGAGCCTGGGAGGCAGAGCTTGCAGTGAGCCGAGATCGCGCCACTGAACTCCAGCCTGGGCAACAGAGCGAGACTCCGTCTCAAAAAAAAAAAAAAAAAAAAAAAAAAGCATTTAGTCAATTAAAATGACCTTGATACTTGAGTATTACAAAAGATGTGTCAATAAATGAAATTATAAATGAGCAAGAAGTTTACATAAAGATAAGCAATAAAGCTTCCTTTTAATTCATGTGCTATAGGCCAGATTAATGGTTTAATTTCTGTTCACATCATTAAATTTAAAGAGTTTTACTATAAATATTTCAAGTCCTAAAAAACTCAGAGATACTGCCTTTTCAGTGGGCATGTAGGCCCATGTTTTAAATTTTTTTTAATCTAAAAAGGACTTCTCAGTTCATCACACATTTTTTGATAAGAGATGAAGGATGTATGTGAATATAACAGGTATCAGATCAAATCCCATGTGTTCTTCCGGTTGTCTCAAACAACACGTCCTAGCTATGTTGACCTAAGGAACCAGTAACAAATTTGCACCTTCAACTCTTCACCAGTTCTTGGCTTCTAGTCTGCTTAGCCATCTGCCTGGCAACCCAACTGGCTGTCCCGTTCCTGAGTGCTTCCTTTTTTCTCCAAGAGTCACTATTATCCAGACTAATGAGCCTGAAGTGCACACATTTACTACACAGTTGCAGGAGGACCATCTCTTTTCTTAGACAATGGTAATACCAGTAATAATACCTATAGGCAATTCTGAACACCCATAGGTGCTAGTTGCTTTACTAATGTATGTTATTACATTTTTTTTTTTTTTGACATGCAGTCTCGCTCTGTTGCCCAGGCTAGAGTGCAGTGGTGTGATCTTGGCTCACTGCAACCTCTGCCTTCCGGGTTCAAGCGATTCTCCTGCCTCAGCCTCCCAAGTAGCTGGGACTACAGGGGCATGCCACCACGCCTGGCTAATTTTTTTTTATTTTTAGTAGAGATGGGATTTCACTGTGTTAGCCAGGATGGTCCCCATTTCCTGACATCGTGATCCACCCGCCTTGGCCTCCCAAAGTGCTGGGATTACAGGAGTGAGCCACCATGCCCGGCTTATTAAATATGTTTAATCTGATGAAGAAACAGCATCTTTGTGTACGTAAGTGTCTTATTCAAAGTCACATCATTGATCACAGTTAGGTCTAAGGTTTGAATCCAGAAATCCTGGATGTAGGTCAGATATTTTCTCTAATACATCATAGCTCCCTTTCTGGTTCTTTCCAAGGCATCTAAATCTGTGAATAATCATTCATTTCTATGTATTTGTCATTATATGCATGAAGGAGAGATACTTGCAATTTTTTTGTATCTTAGTCACAAGATCAGAATTATTTTAGGATATTGAGCCAAGTCATACTACAAAGAATAAACAATTCACATTTTTAATTTTGTACAGGTAGGCAGTTTGATGCAATGGAAATTCATGGCTTTGAGTCACAGAGGTCTTTCCTTGTGGTTTTGAGAAAACCACTTAACTTATCTGAACCTCAATATCCTGACTTCTAAAATAGAAATAAACAGGTCAGTATGAGAATTACTCAAGAACATGGCTGTCAAATGCATGTCATTTATGAACATAAGCATTGACTTCCTTCTTATCTACATCCCATCCCATGTGCCCTAGTGGGTCATTCTTGTCTTCTGAAAGTAAAGGGATCTATTTCTCGTACACTTAATATGCATTCCACCTTGGGCTATTATGCTTTTATTTATTTCTTCCTGTTCTTTGTCCAGTTTCCTGTATAGTTAAAATGGTTCGAGCTGCTTTCTCCTTTATTGTTTCTTCCATGCTGTAATGCTGGGTGGGGCCTGAGTTGGGCCTATAGCCCAAGGAAAATCCAGCCTGCTCGCCTGCTCATCTCCTTCAACTCCCATATCTAAGACAGGTCTTTGTGTTCTCTCAGCAGCCCGTGGTGACATGAGTGAGTGCCTCTGTACACGCTGCACTGTCTCTCTGGTTATCATCTGACAGTCAGCCTTCCCATCGCTCTTCCTGTCTTTACAGTTCTAGTGAACGGAAACTTGTTAACCTTGACAGTGCCTCTCTTGCAGCATTAGCCATCCTGAGAGCGTCCTTCAGTTTCTGTGTGCTGGTTCTGCCCAGGAATCAAACAAGCCCATACCCAAATCAACATTTTAACATTAAATTAGAACATTTTAAGCAGTGCATTTCTTTTACAAATACAGTGAGTGTCTTCTTCCTAGAGGCCAGTCACTTTTTGCCTGTATAATTTTTCATGCCAAATTCAAAAGTTTTGAATATTGTATTACAGTGGTATTTCTTGAATGGCAATATCTCAAAGTGAGATTATTCCTGAAGGACCCATATTATTTCCTGTAATAGCATGGCGATGGGGAGGCCTAAATAAATGTGTTAGCAGCAGCATATTCTCAGACCACCCTGAGCATGCAGTGAAGTGAAAAAATCTAGAGTCCACCCACAAGATCACTCCTAAACAAAACATCCGGAAGGTTACCTGAGCAGCTAACATTCATTCATAGTTCAACATATTCTTATTAAGTGACTACTGTGTGCTAGACATTCTTCTAGGCACTGGGGAACATCAGTGAACAAAACAGATAAACTCTCTGCTCTCACATTCTAGAGGAGGAGACAAAGGAGCAAATAAACAATATATGATATATAGTGGTAATTGCTAGAAAGAAAAGGAAGGGAAGAGGAAGTACATTAGTTTTCTAGGGCTGCTATAACAAATTGACGCAAACTTGGTGGCTTAAAACAGAAATTTATTTTCTCACAGTTCTGGGGGCCCAGAGTCCCAAATCAAGATGTCAACAAAGATTAATGCACCCACAACCCACTGATTTTCCACAAAGATTTTAAGAACACACGTTGGGGAAAAGACAGTCTCCTCAATAAATGGTGCTGGAAAATTGAATATCCACAATGCAGAAGAATAAGACTAGATCCCTAACTCACTGTTTACAAAAATTAACTCAAAATAGATTTAAGACTTAAATGTAAAAGATGAAACTACTAGAAGGAAATATAAGGGAAACACTTCATGACATTGGACTGGGTAAGAATTTTTTCAAAATAACACCTCAAAAGCACAGGCAATGAAAGCAAAAACAGGCAAATAAGATTATATCAAACTAAAAAGCTTTAGAACAGCAGAGAAAACTATTAACAGAGTCAAGAGACAACCTACAGAATGAGAGAAAATATTTACAAACTGTATATCTGACAAGGGGATAATATCCAAAATATACAATGAACTTAACAGCAAAAATACAAATAAACCAATTAAAAAGTAGGCAAAAGAGCTTAATAGACATTTCTTAAGAAATACAAATGGCCAAAAGCTATATGAAAAAATGTTTAATATCACTCATCAGGGAAATGCAAATCAAAACCACAATGAAATACCACCTCACTCAGAGTGGCTGTTATCAAAAAGAAAACAAGTGTTGGCAAGGATGTGGAGAAAAGAGAAGACTTACACACTCCTGGTAATGACTACAGCCATTCTGGAAAGCAGATGGAGGTTTGTCAAAAAATCAAAATAGAACTACCATATGATCCAGCAATCCCACTACTGGGTATATGTCCAAAAGAAAAATCAGAATCTCAAAGAGATATTGTCATTCCAGTGTTTATTGCAGCACTGTTCACAATAGCCAAGATATGGAATCAATCTAAGTGTCCAACAATAGATGAATGGATACAGACAATGTGGTATAGACACACAATGCAATACTATTCAGCCATAAGAAAGAACAAAATCCCATTGTTTGTACAACATGAATGTACCTGGGAACCTGGAGGACGTGTTAAGTGAAATAAGTCAGACACAAAATGATAAATAGCACATGATCTTATTTGTGGAATAATTTTTAAAAGGTTGATATCATAGAAGTGGAGAGTAGCACAGTGGTTACTAGAGACTGTGACTGGGAGGGAGGAGGAGATAATGGGAAGAGGATGGTTAATGGGTATAAAGTTACAATTACCTAGGAAGAGTAATTTTGGTGTTCTATCATAACCATAACCACAGTGGGTAACTATGGTTAACAGTCAAATATTATCTATTACAAATTAGCTAGAAGGGAAGCTTTTAAACAATCTCACCTCAAAGAAATGATAAATGCATGAGGTTATGGAAACATGACCCTGATTAGATCATTATGCAACATACATATGTATTAAAACGTACTCTATAAATATGTACAATTATGTCAATTAAAAATTAGAAAAAATATAAAAATAAAGATGTCAAGAGAGCCACGGTCCAGCCGAAGTCTGGAAGAGAGACTCCTTTTTTGCAGCCTCCCCTATCTAGTGGCTCCAGGCAGTCCTTGGCTTGTGACTACATAACTCTAATCTTTGCCTGGTCTTTGCACAGATTTCTTCTCCTGTCTCTTATGAGGACATTTGTCGTTGAATTTAGGGCCCACTTAGTTGATCCGGGATGATCTCATTTCAACATAATTATTTTTGTGAGTACCCTATTTCCAAATAAGGCCACACAAGCCATTTCCCTCTGTTTTACACTGCAGCGTTAACAAAAAGAACCCCGGGTGAGGAAGAAAGAGTCTACCTTATTTGGAACAAGGATCTTTGCAAATACACTTAATTAAGGATGCCTGGATATGGATGCATCTTTTGAAGGTCCAATATGCAACCCGTGACAGGTAGGGAGGTCAGAGTGGTGGAGCCCCAGATACTTTTAAACGGAATAATTGGGGGAAATCTGTCTGAAGAGTTCATGTACGAACACAAACATTAATTGGGGCGCTAACTCACATGCATAGCTTAAGAATGAGCACTCCAGTGGAAGAAACGGTGGGACCTTATGGTATGAAATGGACATGAGCTTGGCCTTTCTAAAAATCGCAAGGCAAAGTGAAGTCATTGAGGGGAAAGAGATGAGGGTAGAGAAGTACCTAATGGTTAGAGCATGAAGGTTTGGCAGCCCTTGTGTGGCCATGCACTGGAATGGCACAAGAATGACAGGCATGCCCATGAACTCAGCATTCCAGGTGTTCCCTGGTGCCATTTTCTGACTGAGATCACTGACTTGATATTTTCTGTCAAGAGACGCTCAAGGAGCAGCTCCTGCTCCTGGCTTCAGGAATGTTCTCTGCACTTTCTTGTCTACACTGTTTTCCTCTGTTCCATTAATTATCTGGTTGAGGGAGGAAGCAGGAACTCTTCTTTTTTCTGCTTGTCCCTTTCAGTTCACCTCTGCTGGCCTGGATCCAAATATGCTCACCAAACTGCTTCCAGTTTTCTAAGATCTTTCCTCATTTTGAGATCAGATTATCTTTACTTCTCAAGTGCAGCTGGGTCTTTTAAAGAGATGATTGTTCATTTGTCATAAATTTCAAATTTTTTGGTAACTACTAGTTATGGGGAAAGGCAGTGCTAGCTTTCAAGTCTCCCTGCTTATTTTTATGGTTTCTTAAGTAGAATGCCACTTTCATTTCTGTAACTTCCACATGTAACCACAGTGAGATTCTGGGGACTGAGCTGCATTGCTTACTCTAATATACATGGAGAATTTCAAAGACCAAAGAGTCAATCACTTGGCCTTGTGGGAGTGCTAGGAGTTGAAAGACTGTCCAGACCACACAAGCTGTTTCCCTCTGTTTTCCACTACAGGGTTAACAAAAAGGATTTACGTTGGGTGAGGAAGGAGGAGTCTGCTGGGTGATAGTCTGTCACTCAAACACCCACAGCTCCCATGAGCATAGAAGGAAGAGATGAGAAAATGTAATCTTCACCACCTGTTTGATATGTTAAGTGGAGTTGCTTTATTTTGTAGTTTCAAAATGTACCTATCCTAATTAAAATCACCCTGGGTATTAGATTAACTTGAAATAAATAATCGAAGTTGATTTATGTTTTTCTAATCAACTATGTACAGGAATAAGTGAATATTACCCTACCCCCACACCCTGCAACAACACCCTTTTTCTCTGGGCTTGGCCTGAAACCTGAGCCCTCAGATGCATTTATAACCCAGGACACTGGAAGTGAGTAGAATTAAATGCTTTATTTTTGGACTTGCACTTAGCTTTTCCTTTTTCTAAGAATACAGATGAAAATATAAAAATTATCAGCTCAACATAAATCTTCGCCTCCTAAGCCTTCAACAAAGGCAATAAAACAATTTTTTCTTTAATATATAATAGAATATTTTCAAGGAAAGGATGTTCAAAGGTGACTTTCTAAGAAAAAATATGCTCCCATTAATGACTGCTATGATCTTTGGAAACATTTTATGAAAATGTGTGTAGATTGCATATGTTTATCCAGGAGAACTATATCTATCCTTGGTCCTCTTATGATCAAGCCATCCAGCTATGGTCCCTTTTCATGACAGCAAAATTAAGCCTATGTCGTGGTGTCTCCCTGTTTTGCAACTAGGAATAAGGACTTTTGCATGTCAGATAGACTGCAGTTTATAGACAAAGAGTCACAAAACATTCTTGGAGCCACATGGGTAAAAACAGCCCTTGGGAATCTTATATTTAAAGTGGTATTGCACAAAAGTAAAACAACAGGTTATTTGATTTAGACACTGTTCTCCAAGTCAAACTTCAATACTCTATCACTTTTTATTCTACATGAGAAGAGAACTGAGCCATTTCAAAGTTTAAATACAGACTATGTAATTGTTTTCTTGATTTTTCCTATGAAAAAGAGAACTGAATACATTTTCTTCCTGAAACAAAGATGGGGACCTCAAGTGTAACTCTGAAAATGTAACAGGGGCAAATTGCAGCCACTGATAATTAGGAGACAACAATCCCTCCCCAGCCTGGCAGCCCACCCTGGCCCCAGCCTGCATAATTTAGAAGTAATGAACATTTCAGCTGGTGCAGGGAACATTCTCATCCACTAAGCAGCAGGGGAGAGGATTTGAAATTTTGCACACGATTTTATGGTGGAATTTAACAAGTCAAAGCATTAATTGGAAGGAAATATACAATTGTTCTCCAGAAGTGTCACGGGGCAGTTCTATCATTTGGTCCCTCTCACATGAAGGGAGGTCATTGTAAAAACAAGGTAAAACAAATTAGAATAAAAGAACAACAATAACAAAACAGCATAATCTTTATGCAACTGATGTTATTATCCTTTTAACTGCTGAAGCATGTTTTGGATTAAAAACGTGTATTTTTTTGAAAGAATCCACAGGTTGGTAAACATAATTTAGCAGATTCCTCTGCAAAGCCTTAAAAGGTCATTGAGAATCCCCAAATCATGATAGATTGCTGGACAGTTTGCCTTCAATGCTAGTCTGAAAGGCCTCTAACATTCTCCATCTGTTCAGTGCACACTTGAAAAGAGTCTGGAAGCCCAAACAGTAGTATGAAGTTACCTGTGATGACGCTTTCTTGTGATGGCTATTTAATTTTAACTGTGCTGTTTGGAGACCAAAAAAATGATTTTCATAAATATTTAATAGACTTTTTTTCCAAGCTGAGATACCTACACACACACACACACACACACACACACACACACAGAGAGACACACACCCATGACAGTTGGCGAGTAAAATCTATTTTCAATTCTATTTGGAATTCAGCTGAACTGTCGGGTATACTTTGGTCTGATGTACACAGGCACACTGAGATGGGAAATTTGAAGCTGTAATGGGATACATGGGTTTTTGAGCTGAAAACTTTTTAGGCAGCAGTGGTTTACTGGCATAGTCTTTAAAAACACCAATGGAAAGAAAATGAAAACGTGTTCTAAGGTGTGTAATTACCAAGAATGTACCACATATATTTGAACAATCACTGCTTATAGGCTCAGGTGCCATTATGTTGAAGACTTTAACAGCCTGCAGTTTAGACTTTTATTTTCATACTTTAATTGCATGGTTTTTTGCAGCTGTAAGACACTTTGAATTGCATGTTTTTCCTATTTGGGAATGCACTAAGGATGGGTAACTTAAGTACAAATAGCTTTAGATTCCTCTGGCAACAGGATCTTGCCTTACCTTCTTTAAATTCTTGAGCATGAATAGAAATCAAAGATCCAGACATGTTGACTAGAAGAGAAGCTTGCTCAGGAAGGAGGCCAAATTGACTAGAGTCTTCTCACTATTTACTCTAGTACTAGATTAATAGGCAACATGGCAGCTAAATATCAAGCAAGATTCTCCAAGTTCCACAGATGCTGAAAGAATTTATTTTGAATCACTGGAAGCTTGAAACACATGACTACAGGACTTTAAATGAAGGCTATGTGGGGAAATATACCTAGGTAGAGAAAAGCTTTGATTTTGCCTATGATCAATAATCTTTCAGTTTCCTAGTAACAAAATACAGTGTCTCTTTTCTGTATCTTTTGGCTCATGAAAAAATGTTTGCTTGTGAGAGGATGACATTTTATAGGAATGTTAATAAATTAACATTGCACAAATATTGGACTACTGTCAGAGCCATTGCTGTCAAGAGTTACAGTTTCTAGAAGATTGTAAGATCATTGCTTGTAAATTCACTCTTCCAGTAGAAAATAAAGGACTAGAAAATATTTATACATATTTGCTATAACATAAATTACTCAAGTGTGTATTACTGTGGGACTCTTACAAAGAAAAGAATCTGGAGAAATTGGGCCTAGAGCGCTATAATGAAGAAAGTTAGCCTTTTCTTGTTGTTTTTTAGTTGGATTTAGAAAATCTTAAACAGGGAGTAGTTTTTTAGTTGTTGTGTTTTAGTGATGGATGAAAATGTAAGGTTTTTTGAAAGTAAGTTAAACATATATATCAGAAAAAATGAGAAGTTATACATGATTAATAAAATGAGGTTAGAAGATATCTAATAAACCAGAGGAAAAAGTGTGGTTAGATACCCGTATGCATTATTACTGTCATTAGTGAGCGAATTAGTCAGTGGATTGGCTGGAAATCAAACTTGAATTAACTTAGGCAAATATTTTTGGGGGAAGTGTTGGCTAGCAGAATTAAAAACACGTAGCAGAGTCTCAGTCTCCAGTGACAATAGGGTCATGAGCACCCTGAGGATTCAATCTCTGGCTCTCATTTGGCTTCTTTCTGCATGATGGCTTTTCTCAGATTTAGCCTCTTCTGTGGTGAACAGAAACAGAAATGCCTGACATTTCCCAATGTTATCACCAGATAGAATGGAACTCCTAATTTTTGTTTCTAAATTCAAAAGTCACAGAGAAGGGTTGATTGGCTGGGACTGAATTGAGTGCATATTCCTGAACCAACCAATTCTTACCTGGGAATGGGTTCTTTTATAAGACCAGACTGGCCAATAGCCTGTCCCTAGATTAGGCCCTGTGGCTGGGGATGAGAAAATTTAAGAAAGAAGACAACTCCCAATCCAAACTCATGGTTAAAGATGGGGAAAATTATATGGCTGAGAAGAAGTGAGTGCTGTTTAGAGCAGATGAAATAGTAGGCATTTACTACTTTCACTTCGCATATGTTGAGAACTTTCTCTGAGACTAGCAGACTTAATTTTGATACAGAATTTATTCCCCCTTCAGTGCAAAACTCTTTCTTATGGAAGATGATTATTTGCTGATAATATATTTTATTTTTATTTTTTCTTTGAGACAGAGTCTCTGTCGCTCAGGCTGGAGTGCAGTGACGTGATCTTAGTTCACCAAAACCTCCCCTTCCTGGGTTCAAGTGATTCTCATGCCTCAGCCTCCCCAGTAACTGGGACTACAGGTGCGTGCCACTACACCTGGCTAATTTTTGTGTTTTTTGTAGAGATGGGGTTTTGCCATATTACCCAGGCTGGTCTCGAACTGCTGACCTCAAGTGATCCGCCTGTCTTGGCCTCCCAAAGTGCTGGGATTACAGGTGTGAGCCACTGCATCTGGCCAGTAATATTTTTTAAAAAATAAGAAACCTAAACTTTGGAAAGAATTGAGAAAAGACAATAATATAGTCTCAAAACTTAAGCAAAAAAAAAAAAAACTAAGGAATATTAACTTATTATAAATAAAACATAAAATAGTGAAATAATGAAAAATCTAAATTCCCTCCTCTTACAACACTTATATGATTGAGGCTTCACTTATCTGTGTGGGCCTTTGGGATATTAAGCGACTCGTTATAGGTATAAGATGAACTGATGTTTACAGGTGGTTTGGAGCTTGTAGCTGTTACCTGGCTGTTCAGTACTGATCCACAGAGTACTATTTCAAGGAAGACGACCAGGAGTGAATAGTAATGACTATTTTGGAGTTAGAAAAGATGGCTTTTAAAAATGTTTCAGAATGGCATTATATATAACTTAGCTATGGAAGAAAAAATTGAAGTTGATTGTTTAATAAAATATATTTGATAAAACAGAACATGTCCATAATTGTGTTAATCAATCAATGCATAATGATGTCCCTTCTTAATAGAGATTAAAAGCTTTGTTTAAGTGTGGACTAAACCAAAAATTTAAAAGGCATTTTGACAGAAGTCTTGTTTTTTGCCCAAAGTAAGCACTTCTTTAATTAGGTTCTTATTTGTTTCACTAGATGTATGGATTAAATTCTTTACAGTTAGAATATTGCATGCTCATAAATCTGAAACATAATGTTGATGTTTCAATGATATTTACAGGTCTTGAATGCAGGATGTGAAGCAGGTTCACTGTGTACTACTTACCAACTTGTTTGAGTCCATTGAGAGCAAAAGTGCTTACACACAACACATTACAGGAAGCGGGTTTTATTACTTACAGGTAGGTAGCAAAGGACAGTAGAAGCCTCCATTCCACTGGCAACAGGTCCCCAAAAGCCCATAAATCTGTCCAGGAGTCTTGAAGCCTCAACTTTGTGTGCCCCACTTGTACCACAGACAAGGGACTCTGAAGGGCAGCCTGCTCTGGGTTACATACCTGGGGGTCACAGGACTCACTGAGCTAAAGTGTTAAAGAACATCCTGTGCTAGGGGTTATCAGGGCAGAACCCAGGCTGTTCCAGCCAGCTCCTGCTATCTCAGGGTGCTGTGTTCCCAGCACGTGCTACAGTTATTCTGGAGAACTATGAGAGAGAAATAGGCAGAGAACTGAGTTGGCCCAAAGCCATTCAGAGAACTACTGCAGAGAGGGCTTATATAAATCAACTGGTCAGGGAGAAATTGCAGAATTCTTGTAAGGAAAATATATTTTCATTTTTGATCTACATTTACTTATTCAATAAATATTTATCAGACACCTGCAGTGTGTGAGGCTCTTGGTTAATGCTGTAAACAGAAAGATTCCCTGACATTAAGGAGCTATTTTAGTGACACACATACTTACATGACCATAGTATAGAAGGCTAAATGCTGTAATCCAGGTTACAGAATCTGCTGTGGGAATGCAAAAAAAGGAGAGCAAACTGATAACTGCTGACTTTTTTGTATGTGTTATTCAAAAGGTGAGTATTCAAAAAGAGATTTGCTAATGTCACGTTAATGAGATAGTACATACCTCTGAGTCAAGATAGTTAAAAAAAAAAAAAAAAAAGGAAACTTTGAATGGTAGTCCAAACTGTGATTCCATGTACCTTCAGCAATATAATCAAGTAGACATCTCATTGAGTGCTGAGAACAGAATAGAACTTAGAAGCTTAGGTGAATTTTAAAATGTTACATTCCTTAAAGCTTCTTAATTTTCCCCCTTTGTTCTTGGATTGTCACTCTATGAACAAGACTTAAGTAGATATTTAATAATTGCAGTGTAACTATAAAGTATTTCTATCATAGGGACTCCATTGAAAATGTCAGTGGATACAGAGCTTTCTTCTGGTTTTAGATTTAAATAAATGATTTCAACTAACCATCTGTAGAAGAGGCCAAGCTATGATGAAGACATTCCTTATATTATGTGGACAATGGTGAAGACATTTCAAGTAACTTTCAAAATTACTTATTTGGAAAAGATTTTCTTTCTAATTAAGTGAATAGGTGGAAAGGAAAATGACTTTAGCCAGAACTATTTGATGTCATTGACAAGCAAGCATACATCTGAACATTATATTTTCAATTTTTTCTTCTTTATTAATCTTTTGTTTAGGAGAAGAGAACTGCCTGTGAATAGGCATTTATAGTTATATATGCACTATGATAATATGGAAAAAATACAAGCTGATGAAATAAGACATTTTCAAGCCTCTAATAAATTTCTTAGACAATGAGAAAAAGGAAATTCTTAGAAAAGGGTGCCTTGAGATCTAGAACCATTCTTATGTGCAATGCCAGTTCAGAGTCACACAGAACTGCATATTCATTCATGACATTCCAATTTTAAGCACAGATAATTATAGTGATAATGCAGACCATGATGTGTTTCCGGTGCTTTGTTTAAAAAAATCTTTCCATGTAATGTGTCTTAGTAGTTGAATTTATAATAATGTGCATTGCAGTTGATATAATCAGAAAAATGTCAATGACCCTAAAATAAAATGAGGAAAACAAGAATTAATAAGCAAACAATAAAGCCAGCTGGTGGTTGATGAGGTAGGATTATATGTACTGTATATTGCATATCGTGCTACATTATGTGATATATAAGAGAACAGTGCATCGTGGGTTGTCAATCAAAATGAGACAATTCCTGGGATCTGATTCATCTTTGAGCTGTTCCCACAACAGAAATGAAGCGCAAAACATCAGGGCTCTGTTCTAGATAGTAGATAGGAAATAATAATAGTTCATTTTCAGAGTTAGTGAACATAAAACTATAGAACTGGAATGGAGAGAGAGAAATGAAGCAGTCATGATAGTGTCAGGAGGCAGAGAAAGCTGGCTGGTGGGGCACCCTAGGTAGTCCAGGGAAAAGATGGCAGAGTCCACAGGGCAAATCCCCAGGGCGAGCGCTGGGTGGATTAGGGAAGTCTGCAGTAGGCTGGCTGTAGGGGGCGTGGCAGTACTTGGGATACTACTCTGCCTTTCCTGTTCCAGGTGTGCACTCTGGCTCTCTCTACTTCCTGGGAATGGCTACTCTCTTATAAGCCTGAAGAAGAGAGCTAAACTTCAAAACCTAGAAGATACCTACCTCCCCAGCTCCTAGGGGGATCTTTGCAATAGGCAAGATGCTTCAGTTTTATTCTTTGACCTTCAAATATAACCGCAAAATAAATTTTCTGAAATATGTGAATAAATTCAACAATGAAACCAAATCCTTTTATTTAGTAATAATTCAGTTTTTCATTTCAGATCTCAGTGACTTATCACAAAAGCATGATCTCAGTCATTATTCAGTGGTTATTATGGTGTCCCCTTTTATGTCTAGGTCAGATTGAATAAATGGCTCTTCATGTTGTTTTCTTGTTTATGTTTCAGACGGGCCATCTTTTTTGATACCCAATGACTCATTTTAATCCACTATCTTAAGATAGATTTAAATGTTCATACGCTGTGTGATTATGATCTATTTGTTATGCTGATGATTTTTATACAATATACACTTACTGCCTCTAACATGCAAAAGGCGGCTGGATTCTAATCCAATTTTCTCTCGTATCTGTGAGGAAAGCCTGCTTTTGGATACGTTCTGGCTGATGTTTTACCACTGCAACCCTGATCAAAGTGCAGTGTAATTTTTATTTCAATCCAATCTTTTGTGACTAAGGCAAGATTTGAGAGGGAGCAGGTCTGTCCTCATTAGTAGGAACACTCACATGAACTTTCCTCCTTGGTACGGGTGTAGATTTTGCCAATCAAAAATGGAAAGAGAACTCTGGACTGGCTACCAATTTTCTGTTTTTGGAGATTTTGCGTTTTGTACTATTAATAAGTTGAGCTATGAGGTAATAAATATGTTTAATTTTAAATGTGTGGAAACGGAAATATCCACAGCAAAAAAAAAAAAAAAAAAAAAAAAAAAAAAAAGAAATTATTACCTGTACAACTTCCAGGAAAATTCAATGACCCCCTCATGATGGAAGGTGGCTTAAACGCCCTCCATTCAGTTTGTTGTTGAGTACAACTGGGCAAATTCAAAATGAGGGATTATTTTGATTATAATTAAAAAAATTAACAAAATTGTTAACACTTTTTTACAAGATTGAATGCTGAGAAGCATTATCCTAGAGAAAATGATTTTTAATCTGGTTGAACAAGGATAGAACTACTCCTTCCTGAAAATTCCGCTGAGGTCAAACTCCATTCATCTGTGTTTCCCATGAGTCAAGCACCTGGTCGAGTGAAGGGAATAAAAACAATGAATATTTTATGTTTTTCTCAAGAGGCTAACGGTTTTATCAGAGAAATGGAACTAGCAATAGAAATGTATACAGCAAATGGAAGCAGGCAGAAGGAGCGCTAAGGTCCCAGGTGTGATAGGATGAGGGCACCCTTAGCCTCCTCTGAAGGATGATTCCAAGATGGGTGGAGGGACCTCTGGAGGAGGAATCCTGAGGGGCATCTGAAAGCTGGGGAGCACGTTAAGACCTAGAGGAAGAAAGCGTGATGGGAAAGGCACAGGACCAAGAGCCACGGCCCGTGGGAGCGGGAGGACTCTGCTTTTGAAATCACGAGTGCGGAAGTAGCAGATAAGGCTAGACTGAAGCGTGTGTCAGCCGGTGAAGGTCCCTGTGTACCATCTGCGAGCAACTGATGAACTCCAAGGAGGAGCGTGACATGATTAGATTTGTATTTTGGAAAAAAAGTATTGCTGGTGTTTTTAGAAAAGCCGAGCTTCAAAGGGGGAAAAAAAGTGGAGTTAGGGTCCAAGTGAAGAAGGCTTGGATTTCAGTAGCGTAATGAAGGAAGAGGTCATGACATGTTTTATTTAAAAAAAAAAAACTGTGTGGTAACAACAAGTCCTGCCATTGAGTAGAGGCTGGGTAGGGGAAATGAATAATAATTAATGATCGTATTAACAACGATAGCTGAGAATAATTTGCTTTTTTTTAAGCTCCAGAATAAACGGGATGAAGTGGAGAATACATGTGTTTCTTTATTCATTCATTTACTTATTTATCTGTTCATTTGTTTTGTCATTTCGAGCTTATGATCTAGTGAGGGAGACTGATAAGTGGTTTAGTTATTACAACACATTTAAAATTACAAAACATTTATACCAAGATTCTGTAAGATCACAGAGAAGTAGCCCTTACAGAACAGATGCTTTAAAAGGTTCTACATGAGATCTTGTTTAATAAGTAAACATGTTCCTATATCATTACAGCAATTGGCATTTGGTTAATAAAATATGCCATATAGATAGCTGTAATTATTTAAAGGGACAAGAATTAAAGGCTGATAACAATTGAAATAAATGTAAGAAATGTTCATCTAGAGGTGACCTATAATGCTAAAGTTTTAAACTGACTCACTTTTTCTGGACTCAAACAAACACCTGCCCGTGCACATGCCTAAGATTTATCTTTGTCACCTACGTCCCATCAGACACTTGAGGAGTTTCATCAATGTCAGCCAAGAACCATTTGTAACATTGAATGAATACAACTTTGAAGCTATATCTCATGTAATTCCATTTTTGCCGAGCTGGAAATGTGCACAGTGTAGATGGTAGAGCTCTATTATGGGATGTACAGGGTGACTGCAAACAGGGCAGCAAAGAAATTCTCTGAGGATATCCCAGAAGCGAATTGCCTGCAATGCAGCAGAGCCCTTGGCTGTTGCAAAACAAAAGAAGCAAACAGATCAACCTTAGGTACAGCAAGCAGAGATGGGGCAATAAATAGGTTGCTATGAATTGAAGAAATAGAAAAGTATAGTCACGACTGGGCTGACTGTGTGTAGGCTTCAGGATAAAATATATCCTGACCATGGCTATGTTAAAATCTTAATATAGTTGCATCTGTTTAAATCACTGTTTTGAAATGGTGCTCACATTCTGTTTGTAGGGTGTAAAGGAGTTTTAAAAGTTAAGACAGTTTGCAATAAAGCAAGATTCAAACCACTGTAGTTTCTTAGGGGCATTTGGGGTCCTCAGCCACTTTTCAAAAGTGTACTGTAGAATTCTACAGTACTATGTATATGATAAAAATTGGCCCTGGACAGAGAAAGAGAGAAAGAAAACACTTTATTTCTCCTCTGAAATTTTTGGGATAACTCTGATTGGAATAAACCTGAAAATTAAATGAATAAAGCAAGACAAAATTTGCTGGCAGAAGCTGTTTGTTTGCGGTGGCTCTGTGGCAGCCTGAAATGAATTCTCACAGAGGCCCTCTGCTTCTGGTGTTCCTTCTAGCTTTGTCACCACCAGCTCTGGGACTCTGGTGATTTATCAGCATCTCTAGGCTTCAGTTCTTTCATCTGTAAAATGGGGATGGGAAACTACCATCTTATTGGCGCAGTAAGGTTTAAATGAATTATTACATGCCTGGCACATCATAAACATGACGTAAGTGTTTGTTACTCTTACTATATATACAGTAAAAGCAGTTAGCAAATTTAACTGTTCCATCCAGCTTTACAGCTTAGCAGTGTTCTGTATGGCAGAATTTTTGTCTGTGCTATTTCCAAATAACAGAAAATTCCATAGTGTGCCAGAATGAGCTGATATTTTTGGATAAGTGATCCAGATAAGACTGAAATTGTATAAATAAGTAAATAAGTAGTCAGTGATGAGTTTGCGGTTGAGAGCATGAGCTTCCAGGAAGTTAGGAAGGGGCCTTATTTGCCACCTTGTTCCTTATGAATCTCTGCTATGTATAAGTGGTGGAAGAAAATGAATTATGCTTACCATGTGCATTTCAGGGTAAAATAAATGCATTTTAGTTTTAGGAAATACATAATAATGTAAAGACTTTTAATACAAAGCTCATATGTTTTTTTTCAACAACTGAAAATTCCTTGGCAGAGATGCAAGTGTGCCATTATATTGTGAGTTTTATCTTCTGGTATAAAAACTATGAGTTTTTACATAGATACAATCAGAACATTTTCATAAAGGAAAAGAAAAACAAAAAGTGCATTAAGCTAGCCATTAATATAGTGTTCGTGTCTACTCATTTTTTTTCTTCTAAAACAAATAATCCATTTTAGAGCCTGTGGCTATCCGACCAAAGGGGTTCATTATCCCATGATTACTATGGGAATTTGAACAGCTCCATAAATCCAGGTACTGAAATGTGTCATATCATGAAAGTGATTTCAGGAGTAAGAGATTGTTTTCTGCATATTGTGTCTGGCTTGTATTTGTAGAACAGGCATTTACAATGGTCATTTAGGAACGTATATCTTCATTGGTGATATCCATTAAGAAAAACGAAAAGGATTTCTTTTATCACCTAATCACCCAATCACCCCACTGATAAACAGAGATGTTGTCTGAAATAAGTTATTAGAATGATGTTTTATATTTTGTTACTTTATTTCTCTGCTCTTTTATGATTTTCAGTAGAGAGGACTAAGTTGGGACAAGCAAGCAAAACATGAAATTTGGAACGTGCCTCTAGTCTTCACTTAAAAATGAGTCTGGATTTAATGGAAAAATTTTATTAGGTATTTTTAAGATATGTTTTAGATTTCCCATTATTTTGATAAATTGCAGTTCCAGCTTTTATAATAATCAGGTTCTGATTTCTCAGTATTGTTAAGAGGATAACTATGTAGAGAGCAGAAGTCTGCATTTTTTAAGAGATTTTACAAGACAAAGGGAACTTTTTTTTTTTGCTTGTTTGTTTATTACAAGGCAATGTTTCATCCAGCTTTAGATTTCAGATTCTAAATGAGGTGGCAATTTCCCATTATTCTTGTGATCTAATCTGCAATGAGGCTGTCATTGACTATTATAATAGTCTCTATCCATGTTGAAATAAAAATCCCTAGTGTCTCTACCTTTTAGACATTAACAAAGACACATCCTTTTTATTTGTAGCAATTATCACAGTTGTTACATGATATTATAATTTTTATGTTATATAAAATTATATTTTTATATTGTTACAAATATGCGTTTAATTATAAATACTCATTTTGCTCATTACAATGAAAAATCAATGAGTGGAGAGCTGTGTCCCATTTTGCTAACCATTATTAACCCAACACATAACACACACACACACACACACACACACACACACACACACACACACAAACACATAGACAGAAACATTTCTTGAAATAATGACTGACTGACTAACTAAATGAATGAAATGCATTGTGCCGAAAAATTGAGGGGGATTTTTCTACAAACCAAAAAAAAAACATTGGGAATCATGTACAACACTCTCTTTTATAAAAAGTTTCCTATGTCGGGTAGTAAAGTGACCTAAAGGAATAAACCTCATTCCTAGAAGTAGCATATGCATATAAAAAAATCCATTTCAAACGATTATAAGTAAGAGTAGTGCATTTTTAAGAAAAAAGGGCTAAAATTCAGCAAGAGTTTTTTTTTTTTCTAATGGACACACACAATTCCTTAAAGTGTTGATGTCCCATGCTTAGCATAACTTCTTAGCCTGATATCATACCACCTTAAAAGCCATCATCTTTCTGAATGGCTTTTAAGTTACCACCTCACCAATCTTCTCTGTTCCTCGGCTCCTGTAATAACAGGGTTATGGAAATTAGTGTTTTATGCTTCCAAGTGTGCAAAGATATTGAACATGCCATGATGGTGAGGAAGCATATGTTTAAGGTAGCTGTTACAAGTTCAAGATGTTAGCAAATGATTATGGTTGCAATAACATTGCTTTTCTGTACTGTGTCTCATGACATTTAACTAACTGCCTTCTTTCTTTTGACTGTTTCAGTGCTCCTGGAAATTATTCTAGAGGACTGCGTATTTAGAGACCAAAACTGGATTTCTTTAAAATAATTTAGTCTATGACAACGTCACTGGACTCAGATTTCCTTTTACTGTATTTCTCAAGGAAACATTATCATTTTGTGATTCAAATTGTTTGTCTAGGATTTGCCTTTATTATTCCTTTATTTTTTTTTAATCTAGAGATATATTACATATGAATTTTGAAACTGTTTACATTTTGTTCTCTTAAAGTTTTTACTTTAAAAAATCTCAACCAAGAATAGGGTTTACAAAAGTGAGAGACCAGTTTGCAACACATAGCTAGAAATACAGGAAACAGAGTGAGCACGCTGTAGTGAAATCTCAAATCCTCAGGGAATGAAGCTGGCAATTTTGTCTTCGGAATGACTCTTCCTATGGGGCTTAATCCTATCAGCAAAGGTGTCTTACAGATGAAAGCCCTACAGGAAGAAAGAGCAAAACCACTTTGCAGTGATATTTGTCTGAACTTCCCTGTAAGTATTAAGGATTTTGAGAGTTTCCCCATAGTGAATGCCTTGGGTAGCTGAGGGAGGAGGCTGAATTCCCCATTCCTCCGTGTTGCCTTTTATAACCATAGTAATGCTCTCTAGTCTCATATGGCATTGAGTGCTGAGGCATAGTCACTATTACTGTGTTATGGCACTAGGTCCCATAACAATCCATGAACATTCCAGTATGCATTGATAGGGGTGGAGAGTATGAGTGAACCCCTTAGTTCACTCAGCATCTAGTAAGCATTTACTGTGTTCAGTTACCCACCACAAAGAAGTATAAAGCTGGCTGTTGTCCTCAGGTATTTTATAGACACTAGTATCCACTTTTGCATGAATGATACCAGGCATTGGTATTGTAATGTTTATGCTAAACCCCTATTTCAGCCTTAACTTACATTTCTAAGTAAAAAACCTGAAATTACTTATAACAGCAACAAAACTATAACTAAAATGGGAATAACAGTAAAAATAAATAGTGTTTAGCACTTACCAATAAATATTTAGCAACCATGTAAGTGTTTTTTTAATATCAGGTAGTTTCATATTATTCCATTTTATAGCTCAGGAAACTCAACCCTAGAGAAATTATATAACTCACCTAGAGAGACACAGGTAGTGCACAGCAGAGCTGAAATGTTAGTCTTTGTCAGGTGGGCTCAGGGCCAGAATGATTGGTCTGGCTGTGTGATCTTGGGGAAATTGATTGATTGGTTGATTTATGAGACCGAGTCTAGCTCTGCTGCACAGGCTGGAATGCGGTCGCATAATCTTGGCTCACTGTGACCTCCGCCTCCCAGGCTCAAGCGATGATATGAATAAATTATTTTTTGATATTTAGGAGACTTTCTCGGTGTTTTTTTCTTGTCTGTAAGGAGAAATACAGGAGGAAGCATTATGGAAAAGGAACGCTGCTAAATAGCTTAATGATGACCAAAGATCAATCAAAAAGAGAATGAAAGTCAGGAGGCTTAGCTCTGATTTTCTGTTTGAAATCTGGGCTGAAATTGATTTTGAAAGTTGTGTGTACATTGGAATCGTCCAGTGGTTAGATGCTATAGGTAACTGCTAACTTGTAATTTGAGTGTCACTTGGATATCTTTCAGCCTACTCACTAATCTCTCCCCTGTTGTTTCCACTGGGGGTAATTGCATTATTATAGATTTATTTCTTTAGCTTAAGAGATTGTCCAAAAAAAAGGAAGGTTAATAACTTGGTTAGAGGGGGTTGTTAGAGGAGGGAGTCATATATTTTATATATATGTAAAGTATATTATATATTCATATGCATATCTGGGTATATATTTGGATATATGTGTGCATGTATGTGTGTGTGCATATTTGTGTATATATGTGTACACACATATATGTATGTGTATATATATATGTATATAGGTATATATGTGTGTGTGTGTGTGTGTGTGTATATATATATATCCTAATTCCAAAAAATATTTATTATGGTATATACATGACAAAGGAACACAAACACAAATTAAAAATGAGGCAAAAGAAGATGGAAATCAAAATAAATTTAGTTAATTACTCAAGATCTTCAAAATAATAGAAATATCTCCTGAGGTTTTTCATTTAAAAAAGAATAAAACATTGTGATGCAATTAACACCATTCTGGACAACAAGTTCCCACAAGACATAACAATTGTGCATCACTGGGCTCTTCGAGTGGCTTTCCATCTAGGCTGATGAGGTCATAGCAAGAGCAACTCACTCAAAAGCAGTTCTGCAGAGGGCCATTGCGGTGTTAGGGAGGTTCTGAAGTCTTTGCTGATGCATTATTCAGTCACTGCCATTTTTGTTGAGAACTAATTGGAAGAATGGGTAGACCAGATGTCTTCTGAGAAATCTATCTTGGATAAAATATTTGCTGATTGAATTATTAAGGTTCATAGATTAACTCTGTACATTTTCATGTTGCCCTGGCAGGAACTGGGGAATGAACATAGTTGCTATATTTTCATAAAACTGAGGAGCTCACTAAGGACACAAGTCTACTTAGAAAGTTATCTATGATTGTTCAAGGTTATCTCATAGTCCATAGTCTTCTAACTAGCCCAGGATTCTGGTTAAATGTTTATTTGAAACTTGCTCTATTGAACAGATAAATTAGTGGCAGAAGTCCAAAGATTTTACTCTACATGGCATGGATAAAATAGTTTCAGCCTGAAAACACTTCAAGGTACATGCAAACTGATACTCCTCATGGCCCCACTAAATATCTTCAATGTTACTTTGAAAATGGTTGAAAAATTAATACTAAAGTAACAAAATATTCCCTCGTTAAATGGGATCCTTATTTATAAGCTGTCTGAAGTGGGGAATGTTTACCAATAATTTTATTCCTAGAATATTTGATGCTTAGCTATTTTAATTTGTAATTAATTTGGTAGCAGGATAATTTATATGTTCCAAACATTCTGGTTATAAATAATAATAACAATAGATGTGCTAAAATATGATATAACAAATTTGTTTTCTTTATAGCATGAGAAGTTTGTGCATATTCAAAAGCAGTAGGTTTAAAAGAATGGAGTCTGAGGATGATCCTGAACTCTCCAGTTGGACATTTTAATTGCTGTGTCAAAAGGTCTTCCTTCTTTCCAGTTTGGGCCCTCAGCAGGAAGTTGAGTAGTACATGCCCTTCACATGTTAGTTACCAGGGTCTAGGCAAAAATAACATAGCATGAACCACAAATGATTCCTTCCTATTCACAAGGTCAAAGGCCAATAAAAATGAAGCCAATAAAAACTGCAAATAATCTAATATTTGTTTCTGATATATTTTGCCATATTCAGTCATTCATTGATTGAACAAATATTTGTTGCATGCATATTATAGACAAGGTCCCATTGTACTCACTGAGCATACACTGTGAACAAAATAGTAAGAGAATCAGAAAAGTGAATTTGAAGCCTGTCTTTTGCTCCAGTAAACAATGGCCTGAGCTTTGCAGGCTTAGTGTTTGTCATCTACTAAGGCACTATGCTCGTGCCAGGGATATACTAAAAAATAAGAAAGATAAAGGTCATGCCAGCTGGAGGAGACAAATAACGGATAAGTAAATGTAAATGCATACCCAATTGCAAATTTACTCAAGTGTTAGGAACAGTGTTCTGCAATGGAAATAAAGTGGGGGTGGTGTGTATGTGAGTCACTGCTAAAATAAGGTATTGGGAAAATCCTGCCTGAGAATAGTATTTAAGCTGATAGTTAAGGCTGAGGATACGGCCATGTGAACAGCTGGGGGTGAACGGGAAGAAGACAAAGCAGGTGCAAAGCCAGCCTGGCTGGAGCACAGTGAATGAGAAAAGTGGTGCAAATCACGTTGGGAAAAGGTGGACTTTCTTTTTTTTGCTTCCAATATACCATTCTACCTGAAATATGGCAAAGTAGAAAATGCAGGGCAAGAGAAAGGCAGGCAGTGGGGACTTCTGTTATAATGATGTCATATTTGTTCAGGTAATTGATAGCGGTGATTTGGACTCCATCGTTGGCATGCGTATGGCAAGAGATGCATTCTAGGTATTTGTTGAAGGTCAAATGTACAGAATTAACAAAGGATTGTGTGTGGGAGATGAGGATAAGAAGGAATCAAGTGTGCTAATATACTTGTAACAACAGAGTGAATGGTGCTGTCGATGGATAAGATGTAGAAGACACCTTGGCCATACGGAAAAGAAATACATCTTGGGGTTGTGATAGTACTGGGAGTGATCACAAATTATGATCCCGTCTGTTCTTCCAGGTACATGTTATGTTTGCATATCACCAGTACATCAAAGTCACACATGGCCAGGTGACCTGCTTTGATGAATGGCATGGCTATGGAAATGGGAATTAAAGTGTGTCACTTCTGGGCAGAAGCTTTAGGAGCAGCAAAATGTTTTAACATTTTTTTTCTATCAATAACCAGTTGATATAAAATTCTGGAAACTCCAGAAGAAATTTAAACCGGAAATATAATCGTGGGAGTCAGCAGCATTCAGATGGTAGTTAGAACTATGAAAAAGTTGGAGACTGCTTTGGCAGAGGAAATAAAGAGAGAAGAGAAAGGTTCAGCTGTAAGAGGCTCCCATATTTACACCAGGGTAGACCAGCTGGAATTGTAAAGGAGCAGTGAAAGAGTTGGAAGACAATCTGGAGAAGATGGCATCTTAGTCTGTTAAGGCTGCCATAACACAATACCACATACTGGGTAAACAACAGAAATTTATGTTCTCAGAGTCTGGAGGCTGGAAGTCAAAGATCAAGGTGCCAGCATGGTTGGTTTCTGGTGAAGCCTCTCTTTCTTGCTTGCAGATGGCTGATTTGTCCTTACATGGCCTTTTCTCTGAAGGAAGGTGTGGAGAGAGAGTGTGGTACAAAGGAGAGCACGAGAGTGCTTTTGTGCTATCTCTTCTTATAAGGACATGAAAATTTGATCAAGTCCCACCCATATGACCTTACTTAACCTTAGTTACTTCCTTAGAGGCCCCATCACCAAGTACATCCATATTGCTTGTTAAGGCTTCAACATATGATTTTGGGGGCAATTCATAAATATTCAGTCCATGGTAGGTGGCATAGGGAAAGCCTTAATAGAAAAGCATTTCAGGAAGCAAAGAATAGTCAACTGTTCCATTTGCTTCCTGCACATAGCATAGTAGAATTAGCACTGTCTGTTGGATTTGGCAACATTTAGATGACTAGTGACCTTGGCATCATTTTCATTGCAATAGTGAGCGAAAAATCCAGATTGAAATAAGTCAACCAGTGCATAGAAATTCAAGAGCAGAGATAATCAGTAGGCAATATTTTAAAATGTGCCTTTTAAGAGAAGCAGAGTAATGTGAGAGTACCTGGAGAAGGATAAGAAACCAAGGGAGGGTTTCTTTCTCTTTCTTTTTATTGTATATAATGGCAGATTATAGAGCTTTTTTGTTTGAAGACAAAGACCCAGTAATAAGAGAGAGATTGAGAATGCAAAAGAGAGAGAGGGGTCACTCCAAGAAAGTAAGGACTTTCTTGGACGGAGATGGATGGATAGATTCTTCATTAGCTAGGAAACAAAAACAAAAACCTTCCTCTATTTTTACAAAAGAAAATAAATATGGGTAAAATTATAAGAAACGGGAAGACCAGATCCTGTCTGAGGATTGCCTCAGTGAAATACTGGTTAATGTGTGCAGATGAAAGGAGAAAGTAGGGTTTGAGGAGGGAGACCATGATATGAGACAGGCTTTCTAAGGAGTTAATGAAGTTTCATCGTGGATAAATAATTGTTGAAGCAGGTTTACAAATGTAACCATTGGAACAAAACATGCATCCTTTTCTAAATACCAAAGATGTATCAAAGAGATGAGAGGGCTGGGGAAAGAAAGGGGGAGGGGGAGGGGAAGGGAAGAGAGAGAGAGAGAGAGAGAGAGAGAGAGAGAGAGAGAGAGAGAGAAAGAGATTATTGATGCTATTTGGAAATGCATTTGGAATCTTGGCTGGTGTTGAATCATCCTCTATGTGATTTTATCCAGCAATTTCCAGCTGTACAGATGGCCAACATGGGGAAGTCAGATGTTGACTAACTGAATGACCGCTTTTAATTTTCCAAGTGAGTGTGGTGGAGGAACAAAGAGAGAGTGAATATGTTTACAAGGAATTGACCATAATGGTGGATCATGAATTCTAGCTTAAAGAATAAAGAAGAAGGGAGGGGACAGTGGAGAGGCCAGCAGATTGCAGGTCTTCATGATGTTTACGAGGTATTTTCATAGGCATGCTTATACAAGAAATTTTAAGGATAGAACTAGTGAGATGATTAAATCATTGATTTTGAGAGTGGAGCCATTTCATTGAAAGATAAATATCAGGTAACTCTTAGATGTCAAATTCAGTTGATTTATCAAACGAAATAACAGGTCAGTAATCTTGGGGTGAAAGATAATTGACCTTTCCAAAGATACAGTAAACCCTGGGTCTATATGCTTGTGGAATTAATAATGTTTCCTGAAGAAACAAATCATATTTTCAAAGTATTTTTTCTGCTTGAAATATTTTAAATCAACATTGTATTAAGGTAAACATTCACCACTCATAAAATAGTTGCTATATTAAAAAAATGGAAGTTGATCTTTCTTCTGAAGACCTGGTTTTCAGACCAAATTCAACAAATTGAGTTTTCAAATGACAATTTTCCCCTAAATTTACCCATTATAGAATCTATCAGCCTGGCTAAGGTTCCCCTTCAGGGTTAGTAAAACCTATAATACACTTAGATTTCAAAAGGTCTTGGGTGGATACTTCCAAATTTTGTTTTACATAGCACCTTATTAATCTTTTCAGAATTTGTTGGCTGTGTAATCAACAAGTCAGACTAGGTGTTAGGAAATTTCTGTCTGTGTTTGCAATTTAAAACTGACTATAAGCTAGTCTCAATCTGCTATTGGAAAAAGGGGGAGGGATAATTCACACTTGAGACATTGAAGCAGTTCAAAAAGTGCCCAGCCCAAATGGGTTCCCCAGAGAGGTCCAAAAACTCCTCATTTGTCTTTCCTCTTTGCTGTCCTTGTTCTTAAAAATTCTTCCTTGACTGTCTTACGATTTAGCTCCAACACATCTTAGATCACCTGGATCTGAGAGCCCATAGACACACTTGCTGGCATGGACTATTTTGGGAATGGTCTGCTTTGGCCTAGAAGAAACCACCTGATAGATGCTGGATGCACTGGTGGCATACTTAACAGCCAAGTTAATGGATATCTATTTTCAGAGCTGGTAGGTTACGATATATTCAGAAGTCTCCTTTTCTGGCTTGAGGGGTTTTGAAGTTAAGGATTATATTGTTGAATGATGCTGTGAAATGTTTTAAATTTTTTTGTTTTTGAGGAATCTGGATTTTAGTACAAACATTTATCTATATTCAAATGTATTAATTCTTTCTCTTGCTTTCTTTGGTAGAAGTAAAAATGGATTACTCACCGTTATCTTTCTTGGCCTTTGGGAATCTCTCCTGAGCTGTCTGACGCAAGTGGGAGGAATCTCTTCTTGAAAGACTTTATTCCATTCCCTGGCAAACAAGATGTAGTTCCTCTTAATGCTTATACTCCTCTTGCTAAGGTGCATGGTACATTTCAGCACATAGTCTCAATTCTATGACCTTTTAAAATTATATGGTCTGTGTTCCAAACTGCAGAGCTAATTTTTGCAGAGAACTGAACTATAAAATTAGTAGCAATCTGATAAGAGCTGTTGAAGAATGAACGGAATGCTTTCTTTTCAGAATATAATATTAGAAATAGACACATAAAAAAGCTATCATAAACCCATTTTTATACATTCATGGTAGTATTACATTGTGTTGGGTATAATAAGTCTGGAAATAATTTTTGCTACATCTCTATTCTTGGAGCCAGCATTATAGGTAATATTGTAAGTATAACCCAATGTGGCTTACCATTTTTAGAATTAAGGATTTAGGAAAAATTGCAATTTTCCTCTTGTTTTAATCCTGAACATAAGTGGCCCAGTGCTGATCAATCCACACTATAAGATTAAGGAATTGCGCACTATGTCAGTCAGTGGAAGGAAGGTGGAAAGAGAAGGAAGCATATAGACCATTTTTTTTTCAACATGTCTAAAGGGACTCTCATTTCCTGAACCCAGACATCCCACTGACTTACATAAAATATCGGTAGTGGAACAGGTTCATTTAAGTGTAGAAAAAGTCCGCTGACTGGAGTTATAATCAAAACAAAAAAAAAAGGAGATGAAGAGAAGCAATTACATTAATAGTTGATAAAAGTTTGCCTGTATCCTGCATTTTGACTCATTCATAATTTGGAGACTCTAGTTTCATCAGGATGGCATATGATTTTCATCACAAACATAGTAAGTTATTAACTCATGCAATGTCTGTCATCTTATTCACCAAGGGTTTTACTAAAGATTAGAGACCATGGCTTCTCATGACAACTGAGAAGGGGCTTTATTTTTAATTCGACATGTCTTCCTCCTGGATCTTGATGATTTACCAAGTAAAAGATCTGTAAGAGTAAAAGAAATTTCTAAAACTTAGGAAGCTTACCATACAACAAATATTATTTCAGAATTCTGCTTCTGACAATGTGGTAAAACTAAAATGTTCCAAATATTCTCTCCTTACAGAATACCTAGAAATATTGAATAAAATAGAGAAACACTTTAAAGCACATAGTTGAGTTCACAAAGTATGTGTGTAAACAAGTCTGTAAATATATAAACAAGATAAGAGATATAACCTGGGACCAAAAGCTAAGACAGAGCTGAAAACCGAGTGGTATGCAAGCAGTGATGCTTTAGCTGTCTTGGGTTGGCTACACAGAGATAGAAAATAAAACACTGACCCTGTAGAAGATGAAGAAATGAACTCGGATTTTCTCATGAACTATATACTTAGGAAAAGGTGGGTTAGGAATAAAATAACTGATCTCTGGGAGAGAGACAAAATAGGCAAACTTGGCTGCCTAAGTCTTGGCACCAAGTGAAAAATTAATATATTAATGAAAATTTCTTCTTTTTTCATGTATGGGGTTTGAATCTACATAATTGCGTGAGTTAGGAAATCCCAAACCAAGCATTAATTTAAATGACCTCTAGGATGGCAGTGCCCTAGGACACTCAACATGAGCAAGTGGGACTCTCTGGAAGAATATGCCCTCAACCTAGGGGCCCAAAGATGACCACCAGTTAAAATCAGTGAGCTATAACTTTATGATCCTAAATTATACAACACATTATTAAAGGGAACCACCATAAATGAGTCCAGCAGAAACTGCAAACAACAGCATAAGCTCAGCAAGATAAGATATTGTAAAGTACATACATAGATAACTGTTTAAAAGAAGCAAAATATGGAGTAGAAAAGATGGTTCAGGAACAGGAGACTAATAAAAATCATGAGTAAATTTGCAAAAGAACCAAATTGAACTTCTATAAATAAAAAAAATGACTATTGAGTGAAAAAACTCAGTGGTTGATTAAGCCAACTGGAAACACTTTTTTTTTTCTTCTGGGAAAGGAACACAACGCAGTAAATCCAAAGGAAAAGGAAAGAAGGAAGCAAAACTGTTTTCATAAAGACTTTTTTAGTTCTAGTGGGACAAGCAGTGTTGCCCCAAGATAATCACTGGTCTTGGTTTGTATGCAGCAGTCTCAATTTATCCCCATAGTCCTCATGCAATCATTAATAATGCCCTGTTTCATTCTCAAAAAAAAAAAAATCCTATTTGGAAGATAGGAGTTGAGGGAGGGTCTAGGTAGGTGTGGCACAGTGAGCTAAAGGGTCATGTGATGGTGTTTCACAGCTGGAAGGTTTTACAACTTTGGGAGTTGAGAGCCAGAATGCTGAGCAAGAAGCCCAGTTTTCACAGAGGAACAAGCATCTGTGGTTCATCCTCAGGTGGCTTGGAGAAGGTGGTTAACTAAACAAGGGGGAGCTGAATTTCCCAAGATGCCCTGCAGCTGCAAACTGGGAGGCCCGAGTGGGTGGAGCAGAGGGGCAGAAGGGCATTGAGTGCTGTGGTTATGGAGTGGGGACTATGAAACAGCCAGATCTTAGCAATGATGTCATTGATGACTAGTCTACCCACAGGCTAGGAAAGATAGAGACCATTTGGAGTACAAGTCCCTGTATCAGAATTAACATGAGGATAAAATGAGAGAAAATGACATTTTCTCGTTTAACTTAGCAGGTACTTAAATTATTTCATTGTTTTGTTTTTATTCCCTCTCTCCATATTTCCTTATCTCCAAATCAATAACTTAACAACAGTACAGAAAGAATCAAGTAGAAAGTCTAGAATCAGAGGAAGATATATTTTCTTAATTAAAGATACATTGTTCAGAGGACATCATACTAGGGTCCCTTATTTCCCATTTTAGAGAATGAAAATACATGCTAATAAATAGGGTCAGATGGTATTTTCTTGAGCAAGTTTAACAGCAAAGAAAGTTTAGAAGATAATCTTTTTAAATTATGTAGACTTTTACAAAGGGATAGGAGTGGGTAGGGAAAATCTTGAACCTGTCAAAAGTAGACCAATAAAATAAAACATTTAAAAAATCAGACACAATTTTCCCAGTCTGAATAAGAAAAAATAAGAGATACCTAATCCTGTTAATCTTCTTGTTCCATCAGTGGAAAGGAACTTGAATGAGAGGAAACATGTTCAAGGAGGCACTCAGAGTAAGTGAGCAGTACTGGGTGACATGCTGAAGCGGAATAGTGATCTGATCAAATTACTTAGACTGAAAACCGTGAAAAGAATTTCACACTGTGTCTAGCTAAGAAAACAGTTTTATCAAGTGCATGATCTTAAATTTGCTGAGATTTCTTTCTTTTTTTTATTCTTTTTTTGTGTTGGTTTCTTTTTGCACTGTCTTGCTTCAGTGAATATGCTACCTGGAAAAGTGAAAGGCATTGTTGATGACAGTTCCTTAAGTGGAGGAAGAACAATGCATGGCACTAATGTGTTGAGTGCTGAGTCTGAACTTTTGAGTAGGTTGGCATATTTTTAAAATACGTATTTCTATTTACTTTCCCATGAGAGTTTTAATTTTCAAAATTGTATTCTATTTTTTTTTAGAGTGTTTGATCTAGGGATCTTGAAATCCATGCCCATACATGGACACCACACATTCTATGAATGCCTTGACTGCAGCATTTGTATTTGCATGTGTAAATTTGTTCCAGAGATAAGGAAAATAACATTTCTCAGATTTTCAAAGTTGTTTATGATTAAAAACTTTCAGTTTTTAATAAGTACAGTATTGGCATGTACTCTCTTTTGCTGCATGTTGGCTAGAAACCTTTGCCATATGCCCTACTGTTCCATTGAGTGAAACTCACCTTTTCCCATTTCTGCAAGTGGAACCCCCAGAAGGACAGAAATATTCATACAAAAGCTAAAGGGGAAAAATATCATTCTTGAGTATGAACCTTTGGATATAATGGACAACGTAGAGGCCAAGTTCAGGATTAAAAAAAAGATTCTACTGATCAGCAGATCAGGTTTTACTGGCAAGTTCCTGAGAGATGGTTGCATTCTCTCTGGCTTTGGCCTTTAGAAGGAGCTCCTATTTCATCCTGTGTTAAAGCTCAATGTTGTGATTCCAAGACCAGAATGAAGTCCTACACTACTCCCCAAAAGAAACGGCCCAAGAGCAATAAGCTTAAGATTTTTCATCTCCTGAAAAACTGTGAGGAAAATGAAAATGGCGCAGGGTGGCTCCTTCATTGGGTACTCATTTATGGGGAATGTGGAGCGGGTCTTTCAAGCCCGCCACTCTAGCTGTTGTTGGATCCACTGTCAAAAAACTAGAAGAAAAGTAAATGCTAGATGCTCTTGTGTTAGTGAAGAACACTAACTCCCAAAAGACAAGCAAAAATCTAACAAAAAAGACTGCTTCTGGTTATGTTTTCCTAATTGCCAAAATGGTAAAAATGAGAATAATCATTGAAAGAGAAAGCATAAAGTAGCGAAAATCCTTTCCAGATTAAAAAACGAAGCAAAGCATGTTTCCCAAGTAATAATACTCTCATCTTCCTCCCTAATCCTTTACCCCACTACCAGAAGAAGAGTAAAATGTCCGGATATGTTTGAAGGTAAAGATTTCTCCTTTTAATAAAATTAGTCACCTTGTACACATCAGTAGATCTTGAGAATGAAAAGCTTTTCTAGTACATTCATTTCAACCTATAAATGTTTGACTTTTCTCTGTCATTCATTTACGACCTGTGATCTTTTCATTCCCTTTCAGTTAGAATATTTTTCAAATTTTTATTGATATTTTCTATTTAACCCATAGGTTATTTGGAAATACATTGTTTAATTTCTAATATATTTGCTTTTTTTTCTACTTATTTCTTTTTTTCTTAATTCCACACTGGTCCAAATATATTCTGCATATGATTTAATATTTTAAGTTCTGTAGAGACTAACCTTGTGCCCTGCATGTGTTTAATTTTTGTATATGTTTCATGCGCACCTGGAAATTATGTACAGATTGCATTTGCTGTATGCAGTGTTTTGTATAAGTTGACTAGATTAACTATGTTGTTAAATATTTTATATCCTTATGAAATTGTTTTCTGTTTGCTGTGCTAGCAGTCAGAGAAGTATGTTATAATATCTCACTTAATGACAGTGAATTTCTCTATTTTTCCCTTTTAACACTTTCCACCATTTTAAAACATTTTAAAGTTATTAGTTGCATAGGCATTTACAAGTTTTATATCTTCCTGACTGATTGACACTTTATTTTTTTCTTTATTTCTAGTAATGTTTGTTGCCTTAAAGTCTACTTTGATGTTAACATAACTATATCAGTTTTCTTTTGATTAATGTTTGCATGGATTATATGTTCTCATCTTTTTACTTTTACATTACCTGTATCCTTAAATTTAAGGCATTTTTTTGTATGCAGAACATATTTAAAGTTTGTTTTCTACCCCAGTCTGATAACCTTTGGACTATTTTTAATTAAAAAATTTAATGTGGATCATAATACATTTGGACTTAAATCTGTCATTTTACTATTTATATTCTATTTTTTCTCATATGTTCTATATTTTTAATCCCCTTCTTGTCTTTTAATAAAGATTAATCAGGATTTCTTCTTTTTCATTTTATTTTTTTCTATTAGATAGCTAGTTACATTATTTTACTGTTTTTTAGTGGTTATCCTAGAGTTGACATTAATCTTGATCATAATCTTGATCACTAATGCTTAATATAAATTAGTACATTTGCCACTTCCCAAGTGAAACTTAGTACAGTTTCAAGTCATTTAACCTCTATTTTTGTTTTCCTGTCATGTATTTTATTTCTAAGCATTGAATTCCCTAAATCATATATTACTATTTTATATGGTTAATATTTATATTAATTTTCTGCATATTTACCTTTTGATTTTCCATTGATCTTTATTGTTCCTTCATTTTTATGCTTTACTTTCATATTATTTTTGCATGGAAAACTGTTTTTTGTGTGTCTTTTATTGTGGATCTGCTGGAAATGGATTCTCTCAATTTAGTGTGCAAATGTCTTTATTTAGTCTTCATTTTTTGATATTTCCAAAGGTATGAGTCAAGGTAGGCATTCACTTTTTTTCTTAAAGTGTAAACATATTATTCTCTTTTCTTCTGGGTTATCCGCATGGTGGATGATTTTGTGTGTCACCTTGACTGGGCTAAAGGATGCCCAGATAGCTGGTAAAACAATGGGTTATGGGTGTGTCAGTGAGGGTGTCTTTGACAGAGGTCAGCATTGGAATCAATTGTCTGAGTGAACAAGATCACCCTCACCAATGTGGGCAGACGTCATCCAATCTGCTGAGGGCCAGGACAGAACAAAAAGTCAGAGAAAGACACATGTGCTCTTTCTGTTTAAGCTGAAACATCCATCTCCTTCCATCCTCAGACATTGGCACTCGTGGTTCTTGGGCCTTCAGACTCAAACTGGGACTTATGCCACTGGCTTCCCTGGTTCTCAGTTCTTTTCATTTGGACTGAAACTATGCCCCAGACTTCCTGGGTCCCAAGCTTGTAGGTGGCAGATTATGGGACATCTCAGCCTCCAAAATTGCTTGAGCCAATCTCACATTATAAATATCTTTCTCTGTTTTCTCTGTATCTCCCATTGTTCCTATATCTCTGGAGAATCCTCACTATTCCATCCCTCCTCCTTTTTTCTTCTGAAGAACTCAGGTTTCAGCATTATTTTTCCTCCTTTTAAGATAATGCCTGTTTTTGTTGTTCTTGGTGCTCCTAATATTTCTCTGTCTTTGAATTTTAAAGGTTATTTCTTCATATTTATTCTTCTTGAGGCTTGCTGCATTTCTTGAATTTGTGGGTTGATGTCTTCATTAGTTTTAGAAAATGTTCATTTATTACCTCTTCAAATATTGATTCTGCCTCATATCTGTCTCTTTTCTCCTTCTAAGGCTCTAATTATGTAGACATTTTAGCATGCTCCATTTGTTTCTAAGCTTCTTTCCTGAATTTTATATTCTTTTATGTCTTTGATCATCAGCTTTTGATCTACAATTCAGATTATCAGTTCACCTTTCAGCTGTGTCTAATGAAGTCTGTATTTTGAGATTTTAGTTTTAGTTCTGGTATTATCAGTATGACAATTTTAAATTGATTCCTTTTTAAATATTTTAGTTCCTGGTGAACTTCTCCATTTCCCTTTTATCCTCTTGAGTGTATTAATCACAGTTTAAGCTCATGTCTGATAATTCCAATATCTGGAAAACCTGTGGATGCATTTCTAATGCTTATGTTTTCTCTTGGTTCTGTCTTGATTAATAGGGTTTTATTATTGCTGGAAGTTGTTAATTTTAAACTGTCAGAGTTCTGAATGATGTTATCCTATTCTAGAAATGGTTTCCCTTAGCTTCTGGCAGGCAGGCAATGTAGGAGAAAATTTCTTTAATTAAATGATGGATTGAGCTGATTTTAAGTCTGGCTTTCAGTCTTTGTAAGGTCTATTCTATTTCCTGTTAGTCTTAATTCCTAAAGTATAATACTTTAGGAGTTTTAGTTGAAACTCTGTGGTGTTTACCAGGTCTCTTCCACCTTGGCTGGTCTCAAATTCCAGTTTCTGTTTCCTCAGCATTTGGAAACTGATCCTTCTTAGATCTTTAGCCTGACAGCAGAAGTTTTCTGCTGGATCTTGGCCCCTCAAATCCTGGCTATCCTTAAAAGTCTAATGCTACCAAAGAGACTTTTAAAAACTTTATGCAGCTTTTCTAGTTTTCAGAGGCAAGATTAGTCTGCTGAGAAGTATTGGATGACACTTTGGAGAAATAGCTTGTACTTACTTTTTATATATATGGATATATCAGTATCTACAATTAATCCATATAATTCCTACCTGCTATAAGATATTTACACATTTTTTGCTAATTTGCATGTATGAATGTAATATTTAGTTTCAAAATATGATCTTTTCCCCATTATCTTTTCTTTCTTGAGCCTTTTTATTTTAGAATTTCCTGAAGCTTTATGACATATTTACACGTAAACGTGTATATTTCTCCTTATATTGCCATAACTTTTTCCTTTTTTTAATCTATCATTTTCTTTCTTTGATTTTCTTTCTGTTTTGCTAGTGTTTTTCCAGAAATAGTTATGGGTTGAAAATCTCTGAGTTCTTGTACATACAAAAATTTTACTGTTGTCACAGTTGAATCTTAGTTTAGATGGTTATAGAATTTTTATTCAAAATGCTTTTACTCCATAAGTTTAAAAATATTGTTACATTTTCCTCAAGTATCTGATGTTATTGATGAGAAGTTTAATTCTAATTTGACTCTTGTTCCCTTGTAGGTACTATTTGTTTTCCAGTTTGGGAAGCTTACATTTCTTAAAATTCACAACATATAATTTACATACTACACAATTCTTTTTAAAGTATACAATTCAATGCATTTAGTATGTTTTAGTACATATAACTTAAATTATGTATATACAAAATCTCTTTATAATATTTGTAGAATATGTAGCATATTCACAAGATTGTTCAACCATCACCACTCTCTATTTCCAGAATCTTTTCCTCCAAAAAGAAACCCTGAACACTATGATGAATAGTATAGAAGTTTCTAAAAAAAACTACAAATAGAGCTAGCATATGACTCAACAATCCCACTACTGGACATTTATTCAAAGGAAAGAAAATCAGTGTATCTAGGAGACATCTGTGCCCCCATGTTTCTTGCAGCACTATTCATAATAACCAAGATATAGAATCAACTATATCAAGCTGTCCAATAATAGATGAATGGGTACAGAAAATGTGGTAAATATACACAATGTAATGCCATAAGCCTTAAAAAGAATAAAATCATTTTATTTCTGGAAACATGGATGGAAATAGAGGACGTTACATTCTCACTCATATGTAGAAGCTAAAAAAAAGTTGACCTCGTTGAAGTAAAAAGTCAAACAGAGAATACTGTAGGCTGGGAAGTTGGGGAGGGACAGGAGGGACAGGGAAAGATTTGTTAAAGGATGCAAAAGTGTTTTGTGTTTGTTTTTCTGAGACGGAGTCTCACTCTGTCGCCCAGGATGGAGTGCATTGGTGTGATCTCGGCTCACTGCAACCTCCGTCTCCCAGGTTCAAGTGATTCTCCTGCCTCAGCCTCTGGAGTAGCTAGGATTACGGGTACCCGATACCACGCCCAGCTAATCTTTGTATTTTTTTTAGTAGAGATGGGGTTTCACCTTTTTGGTCAGGCTGGTTTTGAACTCCTGACCTCAAGCAATCCACCCGCCTCGGCCTCCCAAAGTGCTGGGATTATATAACTTCTAGTGTTCTATATCACTGTAGGATAACCATACTTGACAATAATAGAGAGCTTCAAATAGCTGGGAGGAGGATATTGAATATTCCCAATATAAAGAAATAATAAGTGTTTGAGATGATGGTTATCCTAATTACCCTGATCTGATCACTATACATTATATTTATTGAAATATCACTATATAGTCCATGAATATGTACAATTATAATTTGTCAATTAAAAAATAAAAGTAGTAGCTCAAAACAAAAGAAAAAAAAAAAAAAAAGAAACCCTGTACCATTAGCAATCACTCCTGTTCTCTCCTTCCAGACCCTGGAAACCACTAATGTAGTTTGTTTCTCTATACTTGCCTATTCTAGGTTTGCCATATAAGTGGGATCGTACAAGTGTTGCCATGTGTGCCTGGCTTCTTTCGCTTAGAACAATGTTTTCAGGGTTCCTCTAAGTGTAGCATATGTCGGTTCTTCATTCTTTTTCACCGATAAGTAATATTCCATTGTGTAAATATACCACTGTTGCTTATCTGTTTGTCCATTTATGGACATTTACATTGTTTTCACTTTTTGGCTAGTATGAATGATGCTGGTATAAATGTTTACGAATAAGTTTTGCTTAGAGGTGTGTTTTCAATGTTCTTGAGCTTATATACAGGAGTAGCATTGCTAGGTCATTTTGATAACATGTTTAACTTTTTGAAGTACTACCAAACTGTTTTCCAAAGTTTCTGTACCATTTTATCAACAATCCATGTATATTCTAACTCCCCACATTCTTGCCCACACTCGTTGTTATCCATTTTTAATTGTAGCCATCTTTTGCTTGTGAAATGGCATCAAATTTTGAATTCTATTTGCGTTTTCATGATGACTAATAATACTGAGCGTCTTTTTAGATGCTTATTGGTCATTTGTATATTTGAATAATTATTCAAATCCTTTCCCCTTTTAAAATTATTTGTCTTTTTGTTGTTGACATGTAGGAGTTCTCTATATATTCTGGATATTAGACCTTTAAAAGTCATATGATTTGCAAATATTTTCTCCCATTCTGTGGTAACGTCACTTGATGAACAAAAGTTTTTCTTTTTTAATTTCGATTAAGTGTAATTTATCTTTTTTCTCTCGTTTTTTTGTGGTTTTGGCATCATATCTGATAAATCATTGCCAAGTGTGAGGTCATAAAGGTTTACCTCCACGTTTTCTTCCAAGAGTTTTATAGTTTTAGCTCTTGCATGTAGATCTTTGATATATTTTAAGTTAATTTTTGTATATCCTGTGAGGTAAAGGTCCGATTTCTCTCTTTTACCTTTGGCTGTCTGGTTGTTTGAGCACAATTTATTGAAAAGGTGGTGATTCTTTTCCAATTGTCTTTGCATCCTTATAAAAATTAATTGACAATAAATGTCAGGATTTATTTCTGGACTCTAAAGTCTATTGCATTCATTCTTGTGACAGTACCACACAGTCTTTATTGCTATAATTTTGTGTTAAGTTTCAAAATCAAGGAGTGTGTATCCCCCACGTTATACTTCTTTTTTAAGATTGTTTCTGGCAGTTTGGGGTCCATAGACTTTTAATATAAATATTAGAACCAGCTAGTCAACTGAAACCAAAAAATCCCCAGTAACACCCAGCCATTATTTATATAGGAATTACATTAAATCTGCAAGTAATTTTGAGGACTGTTATTAAGTTTTCCAATCTATGGACATGGGATGTCTTTCTATTTATTTAATTTTAAGTATATAAGTCATGTACCACTTTTGTTAATTTACTCCTACATGTTTTTAATGCAATTGTAAGGGAAGAGTTTTCTTACTTTTACTTTCAGATTACTCAATTGGGTACACATACTACTGATTTTTTTATATTGATTTTGTATTTTGTAACACTGTTGAATTTGTTTCTTAGCTCAATATTATTTTGTGGATTCATTAAGATTTTCTAAATACAGGTCAAGTAATCTGCAAATATAATTTTATTTACTTATTTTCAATTTGTATGACTCACTTCTTTTTCTTATTTAATTGCCTTTGCTAGTTGGGAACTTTTACAGGCATTTTTGGTTTTCCTTATAGCTTTGACAATTTAGCAGCATGTATTTAAAGTGTGTGTGTGTGTGTGTGTGTGTGTGTGTGTGTGTGTGTGTGTGTGTTTTAAAATCAATCTTCTTTCACTCCGTGGGTACCTAGGCATTTCAAAGCTTGAATATTACCTCAGTTCTCATACATTTTTCTCTTCTTCATAAGTTGGGGTATTCTTACCCACTGTTTTTGCTGTCTTGTCTGGGAATCTCTTTAGAGACACATGTTAGACATCTTTAAAAACCTTTCTGTTATTTTTTTTCTCAGACTTTGCATCTCTTTATCCTATCCTGTGATCCCGATTCTACTCTGGTGTCTGATCTTCTCCTCTGTTTGAGTTGCTATTCTGTCTGTGTAAGAAGTTTGTATTTTATCTTTCATATTTTATATTACCAAGAGTTCTGTTTTTTTTTCTTTCCATAGCAACCTTCTTTCAATGGCCTTTATGCCCTTTGAAATGTCTCTGAAGATACTAATTATAATTACCTTAAATTTTCTTCTGTCCTTATATTTTAATTTTTAGATGTGTTACATACTGAGTTTTTCATTTTTTTTCCTTGTTTCTGATCATACTTTAAATGACAGTCTGGTTTAAATTAACAACTGAAAATGTATTTTCTCAGACTAAAGGATAATTACTCTTGCCTGGCAGTAAAAGCAGCTGGGATTGCAGCAGTTTCTCTCCTGTGAATGGCCAGTGGATTTGTGATGGTTGTGATCAAGTGGAGTTTCTTCATAGTTTGTTTTCTGGAGAGGGTGGTTGCAGACAGCCGTAAGGACCTGGAAGCAGCATTCCATTTATACAAACGTTAGAGTTATCTGTCAGGAGAGTGTTGGTACTGGCTCACCTGTCATAACCTTTAATTAACTACCACTTCATTGCATATGACACACTCCTTCTCATAGCTTTGTTATCCCAGTTTTGGGGAATATTCCAAGGTTTTGTCAGAAGAGGCTCTTTTTTTAAACATTATCTTGGTTTCCATTTGCTTTATGTCTTTCAAAAATGATTTACATTTGTGGTCTGGTGGTAAGATATTACTAGTTTTTTCAACACCCTCATCAATTTATTTTTGTATTCATTCTGTCTTTGAAAGTGGTGTCTAGGCGTGGAAGAAAAATATCTTTTTTCTTGTTGTTCAGCAATTTTGATAGCATAATATCATCTCTTTTCAAATGAACCTTTTCTCTGCCACTGAGGCACAGCTGTATTGAAACACTGACTTGGCAGGTTTGTAATCAAGTTCTAACTTAAAACTTACTTTCTACATAAAAAAGAAAAGTTTATTAGATGATGACATTGAAATATTCTCATCAGAAAATTCTAAATCATAAACTCTAAATCATGATATCTGAGCCTGTCTAGTTTCACAAACCTGAAGAAGTAAGACTCTCTTTTAATTCTTTAAATACACAAAAAGAGAGAAAGAGAGAGAGAGAGAACGAGAGAGAGCGAGCGAGCTAGCAAGCACAGTGCACAGCCTGGTGGTGAAGTCTTTCTTCACTGTAGATCTTTATTTACTGTTTTTGTATATAGATAAAATTATTAAAAATACATATAATACCTAGTGACCTAGTGCACTCTATCTGCTATAGCTAGTCAGAATTTAAAATAAATTCCACATGATAAAATTCTTTGTTTCACTTAGAGTTACTAAGTGACATTCCAAGGGAGAAGTTCAATTGAAAAGTAAAATTAGTGGATCTTTTTGAAACTTCTGTGACCACATAGCAAAAGTCATTTGGTTGCAAAAGATGTCTTCATCCTACAGTCTTCTGTCTTCACCCATCCTTTGAGATGCAAATGAGATGGCTCCAGGAATCACGCCCACAAGCCTTAATCCATGAGACAGATGTATTGGTTTTCTCACTTCTTTGGGTCACTTTTCTCTAGTATTTTGGAGAGAAAAAAGGTTTCCTTAGCTCCTCTCCTGAGTTTGTAGAAGTAGTAGGATTTTTTTCTTCTTCTAATGTTACCTGGTTTCTAATGTTTGCTCTAGATTCTTAAGGCCGCTGTTCTTTTCAGCATGATTTTACTCCTGTCCCTAGAAACCTTACCATTCCTGCTACAAAGTGCTAATATCCTGTACTATATTAGTGTGGCAGCATTTTATTGAAGATTTGGGTACTAAGGGAATTTTATGTGGGAAAATAAAATGAAAAAGAACAATAAATTTATCTTTCCCAGAACTTAATGGAAGAAAACCAAAGGCATTACTTGCTATTATTTTTTGTTCTTCTCTTATTGCACATTCTAGTTTCTAACCTTTCTTTTTTGTCTAAAAGTTACAAAACTGAAATCCTTTCCCACCATCTTTTCTTTTTCTCTCCTCTTTTTTCAACTCCGTACTAGACACTGATTAATGCTTGTTCTTTTATGTCATTGTTTTAAAATATTTTCACAAATTGTTTGGAATTTTCTCTTCAGGAAGTAGAGTCTATGACTCTTCCCCTTGAATCTCCATGGGACTTTATTGCTTCAGAGACAAGGAATGTCGCAAAAGTGATGCTGCTTGACTTTTGAGAGTAGGTAAGAAAAGACCATGAAGCTTCTGCTAGTACTCTTGGGATACTGATGTGAAAGCCTTTAGCTGCTTATTTATAGTAGTCTGTTTATCCTGGAGCCATCATTTGGGGAAACTCATGGGGAGACTACACACACACAAACACACACCTACACCTCTTCCCCCCAAAACACACACCAGAAGTGTGCACTCTTGAGAACAATGTCAGGGAGCCCCAACTATTTCACCTCACAGCTGTTTCAATCTTCCTAGCTCTGGAAGACATGTGAGCTGAGATGGTTTTAAGATGGCCCCAACCCAGCCACCATCTGACTCCAATAGCATGAGAGGCTTCTAAGGAGAACTTTCTTGATAAGTCCAGTCAACCTCACATTTGTAAGCAAAATAAATGATTTTTTAAATTGTTTAGTTATTGTTTTAAGTGATTTGTTATACAGCAGTAGATAACTGGAGCATTTTATTATGCAAAAACATTTAATTGGTTTTGTTTAAACCTCTCTCTTCTAGACTATGCCCACAGAAACCCTTGATATCTCCTTCAGAATGATTCTTAAATGTCTTGCCTTCAATGAACAAGCTTTTGACTTCTGAATGTGCCTTCTCTCCTAGCAGCATAGCTCCCCTTTTCTCCATTCTATTCCTTTCTCTTCCCCTCTTTCTTTCTTTGTAATGTTTTTTTCTTTCTGTTACAGAAGCCTCTAAATTTGAACAGAAGAGAGATTTTTTAAAAATTCCTTTCAGATATATAAAACCGAGGGACAAAAATTGGTATCACCTCAAAAAATCAGGACTTATGGATTCCAGTTTTTCCATTGACCATTTGAATCCACAATGACTCATCAGTGTACATTCATATATCAAGAATTGCCTACATATCACAAAAGTGTATTTTTTGACATCATGTCGGAGAAGATGTGGTTAAAATTCCTATTCAGACCCTGAATTCACTTAGGAGCTAAGTTAGGAGCACTTATGTCTTTCGTGCTTTGATTTTGTTATTTTTGTTTACAAATCATGATTTGCATTTGAGAATAATTCTGGTTGCACTTTTAAATGCAAGTAAATAACTTTTTTCTGTCTCAAAAGACAATAATCAGAAAACTATAGGATTTTAGGCAAAACAGATAGAATAACAACTTATGGTTGACTATTTGGAAATTTGTATGGGAGGAGGTCATTTTACCTTTCAGTTTTGTGGATGGCAGTGGAGTGGCACTTGCTTTGGTGGAGTGGACCAGTCGTTAGTGACCCCATCTGAAACTACGGGAACATCTTCAACTTCTGAGGCCATTGCATGTAATGATCTGTGTCCTTGAGCATTACTTGTAATTACAAGAGAAGAGACACCATCCTCTCAGTACTAAAAAATAGCACTGCAATTAACTGTAGACGAAAATCAATGCCTCTTCACTCTAGGGATATAGATCAGTAATTCTCTTCATAATTTCCCAATTCTTAGTACTATCCCTTTTCCTTTTACAGAAAAACAAAATCATAGAAGTAAAAATGGGAACTCCCCATTGAGCTGTCTCTTAACTCTTCTTAATCATTTGTCCATTCCAATCCTCTCCTTGCTTTTACTTAATACTAAGTGAGGTCTTGGTTCTTCAGCTGAAAGGTTTTTGTTTTGTTTGTTTTCCTTCCAGTTTTGCTTCATTACTGTTGGCGTGTCCATGGCTTTGAAAAATAAAATGTGCATAGGGTTTTCTAATAAAAATAAACTTTTCTTTATTCCTAAAGATGCTATAGATTCTTAATTACTACAAAGCCCGCTCCACAGACTTCAATGAAATAGTATAGGGAGTTGGTGAATAAGGTTCTTATCCTGCCCCAAGGCTCTTTTCATTGATGAAAATGATAATGTAAACTTTGTTAAGATTAACCCCTCAAAATCATCATATTGGATATTCTCTTTTACATATAAATTATTTACAGAATCCTAAACATTATGTATAATAATGCAGAAGGGATCCAGGATATCACCTTTTTGTTTTCATCCTCACATAACTCTGTGCATTTAAACCATAAAATATGCACAAATATCTCAGATGCATCACATATTCCATTTTTTTTTCTGTCTCCTCCTGGCATAGATGTCACCACCAGCTGAGTTTTGGTTGGCAGTCACTTGTTCCATCTTATGAGGAAGAGAGGTGTTGGTCATAAGACATGCATGTCTAGGCATTGTGGTATCTGGTGTCCACTTTTCTTTTGCAAAAATTAGCCTGGCCAGTGCTGATATCAGTTAAGCTTCAGCATTGAAAATTCAAAGCCTAAATGTCTGCTTGAGGAAAATACCTGCTCCAGAGAAATTTCCATATTCTTGGTATGATTATTATGTTTTTTCATCAGGAAGGAATAAGGGGTGACTCCTGATGCTGGCTGTATTAGTCAGCATGAGAAAGAGAGAAAGAAAGACATTTAGGAATTAGCAGATATGATTGTGGGGGCTGGCAAGCCTTAAATCTATAGGGCAGGCTGGCAGGCTGAAAATTCAGGGAAGAGTTTATGCTGCCATCTTGAGTTGGAATTCCACAGAGTAGCAGAGAGGAAACGCAGGCAGGGCTTCTATGTTGCAGTCTTGTGAAAGAGTCCTTGTACATCCAAGAACCTCAGTCTTTTCTCTTAAAGTCCTTAAACTGATTGAACTACTAGGAAGAATCATTTGCTTTACTCAAAGTCCACTGATTTAAATGTTAATCACATCTAAAAAAATGCCTTCACTGAGAAATCTAGACTGGGGTTTGACCAAATACTGACACCATAACCTAGCTAAGTTGACACAAAAAATTAACCATCACACTGGACTTTATATAGGGCTGTGTTTAAACCACCCTAGAGATATCTGTTCAGTCTTTAAAGTCTTTGCTGAGAAAGTGTGCCATAGACTTTCTTGAATTTCAAATTGAATGAAAATTCCTTTTTAAATATTTGTCTTAAAGTCTGTTTGTTTGTTTGTTTGTTTAAAGGCAGAGTCTCACTCTGTTGTCCAGGCTGGAGTGCTGTGGCTCAATCTCGGCTCACTGCAACCTCTGCCTCCAAGGTTCAAGCGATCCTCCTGCCACAGCCTCCCGAGTAGCTGGAATTACAGGGGTGCACCACCACACCTGGCTCATTTTGTATTTTTGGTAGAGATGACGTTTCACCACGTTGGCCAGGCTGGTCCTGAACTCCTGGCCTCAGGTGATCCTCCCGCCTCGGCCTTCCAAAGTGCTGGGATTACAGGCATGAGCCACCACACCCTGCCAAGTTTAATTTTTAAATCTACTGTCCTTACACTTTTCTGTAGTAGAAAAGGATACTAATTAGACTTCTTATATAATTCCTATTAAATTGATATGATTCTATAAACAACTTTTAAAATAATCCTCTAACAGATTATTTCTACATGATATGAACAGTCCCGCATGTGCCTTGTGATGTGGTTTTAAGCTCCTAGGTTTAGCTTGTTTTTTTAAAAGCAGTTTTTATTGTATAATTCACATTTCCTACAAATAATTCACTTAAAGTGAGTAAGTAAATGGCTCTTAGCATTTTCAAAGAGTTTTACAACCATCAATATCATCAATTTCGGGACATTTTCATCCCCCCAGAATGAAACCCTGTGCCCATTAGCAGTCACTCCATATTTCCTCTCAACTCTCCCTCTGCACCAGCCTGGGCCCCACGAACCTACTTTATGCATCTTTGAATTTGTATATAAATCTGGACATTTCATATAACTGGAATGGTGCAATGTGTGGCCCTTTCTGACTTGTCAAGGTTAGTTTTAAACTTTCAACTTTGTTAAGACCCACAAAATAGAAATGATTCCAGTAGAATGACTGAGAGCAGGTTAAAAAATTATTTTCAAAAATCCATTGGGCATTTATTTTTTTATTAGCTCCTCTCACCAAAAGTGAGTCACTTTGTTTACTTTTTAAAAATGTTTTAACAGAATCATGAGTTTGGTTCTTGTTTTGTGAATTCTGAATTAGGGCTTATTTTTCTGAAACAGACGTGGAACGTTTGCTCAGTTTTTCTCACAGTCCAGTCACTCTCTTCCTTGCAGCCTGGAGATGGTTTAAGGGGCCAACCACATCCTACCAGAAGCACCACCCACCCCGCGCACTCACTCCTGCATTCCTGACTCAGTTCCCAATCCTGCTCCCTTGTCAGCAGCGTCTAATATGCTCCCATTTCCACTTTACACTATTTAAATCACAATTTGTTTTAAATATAAAATTTGTCACCCAATTATCTTATTTTCTCCACATTGCTTTACTTTGCACTCGGTGTTCACACATATATATTATTCTCAAGTGATTGTCAAAAATTTTTGGTAAAATCTGGGATGTAGCTATAATTAATTGCTTTGTATACAAATGAAACGATAGTTTTCTTAACTGATATTCAGAAAAAATTATTTTTCATAACCGTGTAGCAATATCTTCCTATTAGATGTACATATTTAAAAACAAAATAGGGTGAATTATCATATAACCAATGATTTAATAACTGAAAAGTATGTGAAGGATATGTGTTAGGTGTAAACAATTACATTAAGAAATTACAACTAAATTTTTTAAAAATATACATATTACACATACATATATATTTGAGATTTACTTTCCTATAATCACTCTTATTTCTCATTTTTTTGGAGGAGAGTTGGTATATAAACTGTAAGTACATACTAATAATTTTTCTATTCATTACTGCCTAGAAGCATTATTTCTAACTATATTATACCAATCAGCTAATAACATGAATATGAATCCTGATGGCAGCCATACCTAATATCTAGTATATTACCAGGAGAATGGGCTAGAGGATTTGTTATGTATCTGATGGCTTGATTTAGTGACTCAGCTTTCTGTACATTGAAAGTTGTCCTTATTAAAGCAAATATTTCTTGTCTTATGAAGTTATCACAGTGGATGTATAAGATTTTTTAATACTAAAATCTTTATTCATTTATGTACTCACTTGGCCACTCACTTATGACAACTAAATTGTCCTCAGAGCTGTGGCTTGGCATTGGGAGGACCATGATGAACAGACAGAGCCTGCCCTCGTAAAACTTAGTCTCACGTGGGAGCAGACATTAAGGCAAATATTCAGACAAATGAATGCAAAATTGTAATTGCTGTAAATACTGAAAGAACACTGCTGCTTCTCAACTGCTTAGACACAGGAAATAACAACACATTCTGGCTTCACAGAAATGAGTATTCTTTGTTTTACTTTGTTTTTTATATGTTACCAGCTGGTATTATAAAACATTATTTTTTTCTTTTCAGCCTCATATTGACAAATATCCAATCAAATATATTGGTATTCTTACTTAATTAATTTTAAAGATTAAAGTTTTCATGCCAGCAAGAATAGAGCGGGGCATAGGAGAACAGAGAGCAGGGAGAAGCATTTCAGAATTTATCACAATGGGAGTCCCTGAGCTGCAATTATTTATAAAAAAGAAGGACTTGCCTCATGGTGTATTAATCCTTCGTAAGAGGCACAGATTCAGCTCTCAGTAAAGCAGGCTTTGGACCAGTGATGGGCTGCTTCGTGCCCTGCTTGGTTGAGATGGAGGAGGGGCTGAGCAGGGCCTTCTCTTAGAGCCTCAGGCGTGTGCAGAGTACCCAGACTGTACTGCTGCTCTGGGCTTGGACCAATTACTTTCTTATTTTAAATAAAATATATGAGACAACAAAGTAGTAGATAAACATATGTATTATTTACAAGGCTTAATAATAGATTCTATGCCTGTAATCTCTCCACCAAAGTAAGCACTCAAACAATACAAAATGACATTGAGTCTATGTAAGTTTCCATCCCCAATCACATCTTTTTGCCTTTCCCTTGAGGTAACTACAACACTGAATGTTTTCTTTATTCTTCTCTTGCTTAAAAAGTTTCACTACTTACCATTCCCCACAAACTCTAACTTAGATCTGTTTGGTTTTGTGGGAGTCTTGTGTAGCTTTTTTCCTTTCCCTCAATACTTGTCCGTCTCCCAGTCTCAGAGAACGGGTGACCTGTATTAGCCCGTTTTCACACTGCTGTTAAAGATATACCTGAGACTGAACAATTTACAAAAGAAAGAGATCTATTGGACTTACAGTTCCACATGGCTGGGGAGGCCTCACAATCATGGCGGAAGGTGAAAGGCATGTCTCACATGGCAGCAGACAAGAGAAGAGAGCATGTGCAGGGAAACTCTCCTTTTTAAAACCATCCAATCTGGTGAGACTTTTTTACTATCACGAGAACAGCATGGGAAAGACCTGCCCCCATGATTAAATTACCTTCTACTGGGTCCCTCCCACAACACATGGGAATTCAAGATGAGATTTGGTGGGGACACAGCCAAACCGTACCATGACCTAAGCTGATGCTAAATCTTAGTCTTTAAAAATAGGCAGTGTGATTTAGAAAAGGGAAACTGTGAGAGTCTGCTCAGCATTCTGCATAGACACAGAACATACAATAGTGCAAAAGTTTACAAAGCACATGGAGCAAGAGATCATAAACTTTAATATTTCAGAGGTTTGGCTGCTAAGATAATAAAAGTGATCAGCAGAATGGCTTGGTGAAAAATCATGAAGGCTCTATAATTTACACAGGCCCAGGTTTGAATCTCAGCTTTTCCACTTAGTAGTTGGGTGACCCAGAGACATTAATTCACCTTTCTGAACCATGATTTCCTCACTGGGGAATGGAACTGGGAATGCGTCTCTCACAGGTTGTAAAGACCTGGCACCTTGTAAGGCTTCAATAAATATTATATTTTCCTGTCTCTGTGTAATACCCACTTAAACCTAAAATGCCAATCATTGCTTCTCTGCATTCTCCATACATTTTAAAAATATGTTACACTTTTTATCTTGAATTTATTGTGTTTAAGTATTTGCACTGCCAGACCACAGTATGGTAATTTTGTCTGGTTCTGTCTTCTGCAAAATCTCTCCCAAATCTTAGATAGTTAGGTTACCCTGTCATCTGGCCTCTTAGCTTGGTCTTTTTTTTGGCATTTTTGCTGTTTCTCAAAAATAAAATTTTAGCTTTCTCTATGTCATTAGTAACAGGCAACTACAAGTTTTAGAGTCTGTGTACTTCAGCTAAAGCTGGACAAATAAAGCAACACGAGGAAGGACAAATGTGCCAATAGATTGATTCTGCTTCGACCAAGGGCCTACAAGGAGCCTGATCATATTCCTCCCTGCTACTCACAGCAGTCTAGAAGCTGCTGTGAATCTGAACTTAGAACTATGTGGCTACCTAACCTTGTACTGTGTTTTAAAAAGAACTCAGATTTAATCCTGTGATTTGCTGTGCCTCTGGTACATGTAATTGCAAGCAGTGAGCTAACAGTAATGACCTGGTAGGTGATGGTCCAATGTGGACATTTGAGATTGAGAGGAGAATGAGGATCTGACACAAAGTAAGATTATTATTTCCTGCAACAAGAGCTGCATGAACAAGAGAGAGAGGTGATAGCACGGTGACGTGTCAGAAAAACGTTGGCAAGAGCAGGGGAAAATAAAGTTCTCCTTAATACATTTTCTTGTATGTAGTTGCACTTGTATCAGCAAATTTTCACAAAATTAATAGATGACACATTTTATGGGTCAAATGTCAGTATTGATCAAAATGTTAGAAAGTGCAATACTCTTCCAGGACATATGCTATTGATTTATTTTATTGAGTTCCTACAGGTCTATTAGGGATATTCCTTAGTGGGTGTTTTACATCTGAAAGCACAATTAAAATCCATTTATAATATCTGTTCAAATAAAACATCTGCAGGTAACAGCCACAGAATTTCCCCTCCCAAGCTAGGTTTTGACAAAGAACACAAGTTTTGTATGTGTACATGTGTGACTTTGCTTACTTAGGCACCTGGGAGATGGTTTAAAATCAGTTGTCAAATGTGAGCGTCGGAGGGAGGGTGATGGTTTTCACATAAAGGTCAGATGAAATTGTCCTGGAAACATTGGGGGTTTTTTAAAGTAGTTCTGTAAGACAGGAAGTTTTTTACACTAGATGGCCCAGGACATATTGAAGATTCTAGGACACCGAAGGATGGTATACTTACATAAACCTACTTTATTCATAGAAGTGTGTGTTGCTTAAAGAATAAATTAACGATAGATTGCAAAAACTTGAACACATAGGAGCTTAGAAAATTAAATATTCAAATCAGTAACTGACTGATGTCCACGTTGAAGACACTTGGGTATGATGTAAGATGCTTACAGACCATACTTGCCTTGGGGATGTGCTTCGTCTAAGACATTGTGGGTGTATTAAGCCTTCATTTGTGCCCCAAGTTTCGTGTTTCCTTTATGATGACTCTGTGCTGCATTAATGAATGCTCTTGAATATGTTATCATTAAAGTTGATAGGAAGATAAAGAAGTTTAGAAAATTGTGAACAGAATCAACAGAGGAGGAAGAAGAAACGAGTGTCTATAAAAGGACATGGCAAGGATAAAGCATTTTTTTCCTTTTAAAAGCATTGACAAATGACAAAGTAGATGATCAATGCTCAAGCACTGATGCAATTTTTCTTCTTTATTCTCTGTCAATATTGGCGTAAGGAAAACAGGCTAACACGAGGAGTTAGAAGAACTAAGCGCTAGTTCCAGCCCTTCTCCAAAAGCTTTGGTTTCCTCATTTTTTCTCATCTGTCATAGGAAATATGAAATACGTGATTGAAGATTTTTTATTGTAAAACCAATGTCTTAAGCATTATTAAAAAGTTACATATGCCCAGGCTAGTAAATGATGTTAATGTGAAGTAAATTATTCTGTGTCATTTGGCTTGCTGATTGATTAGATAACGATCCTTTCCACATCATGAATCAAAGCCACAGCTCCTGCAGGCCCAGGGAGTGAGCAAGATAACAGTGGTCCTAAGGGCTTAATAATCATGAACCTGTCTGGTAGGCTCACAATTTTTTTTTTCAATAAATTTCAGATGCTAGGCTATATGGTAGAAACATCGGAAGTCAGAGGAAACAAATCCACATTAATGATCATCAGCTTTTAATTTATTTCAATATGGAAATTATTTTCTAAAAGATAGTTATAATAGGAAATTAGAAATATGACTAATGATGTTAGTAGAATTGAGTAATAATTGATGTAGGTTTAAATCGTCATCCTTATGAGGTTTTGTAGGTTTTTTTTGGTATGTTTTAACACTTAGTATATAAAGCTTAGAACCATAGAGTTGTCTTTGACCTTGGTGTCCTGTGCTTTGTGTTTCAGGCCACGCTCCGTATCTCATCATTTTTTTCTTCTCAGGACTCTGCACTTCTGTCCCATTTCTTTACTTGTCTCCTACTTCAAGCCTTTCTCACCTCAGGTCCGAATAACATGTTGCATTATTTTATTCACCATTATAGTATTTGGCGACATGATTTTAACATCCAAAAGGATGAGTCACCTCCTGAAAACTGCACTTTAAAAATGAATTTCAAGGAATTTCTCTTTATGATTTGACTCAATCATTGACTAAATAGGATTTTGATTTCATTCTTCTTTGATTATTTTACTTATGAATTGATGCAGTTAAATTGGAATTTCTCTTCCTTGAATTGACTCAATATTGAATGGTAAGCCAATTATTCTGGTACATTTAACTTGATGCAGATGCAGGGTTATCACCATTTGCACATGTATTTGTAAAGCATGAAATTGTACATATATTAGTTATTTTGCCATATGTACTTGACTTTCTAAAGACATATTTGCCCAGACTTGATACACGTGAAATAAAATCTTCTTTCAATTCAGCCAAGTGTCAAGATCATGTCTAATCAAGTTTTATTTCAACAGTCGTATACTATAATGATATTCATTTAACTGATATTTTATCAGAGAAAATATTAAGACAACGATGATACCAAAAGCTAACAATTGTCAAGAATTCCTAATAGACCAGGAACTTTATGCTCTTTATCTTTTCTAAAGCTCACAGCTCTGCGAAGTGGGTATTACTATCTTAATTTTCAGTTGGTGATTTGAGACTTGATAAGTAAAGAAACTTGCATAAGATCACACAAGTACTAAGGGAGAAAGAAAATTTTGAAACCAGCTACCTGTACCACAGGTTCTAAAACCAGCCCCCCACTTTTATTCCTCAAAATTTGATCCAAGGACCAACATCAGCAGCAGTATCTGAGTGCTTCTTGGTAGTGCAGAATCTCAGGTAGAGTGACAGATTCGCGGTGGTGGTTTGCTAAGAATATACCCAGTTTTAGCAAGAAAAGTCCTTTGTCCCAGGAAACTCTTCAGTTTGAGACAACACCAGATGGTTTAGCCCCCTAATCACAGTTCCTGTCTCTGAACTACTAAATCAGATCCTGCATTTTAAATATCCCCAGGTGACTAATATGCATATAATAAGTGAGAAGAATTGTTTTTTAAAATTTCATTTGTTTAATGAATATTTTCTAAAAAGATTTCTAGAGACACTAAATCTTGAAACCAGCTTTCATTCTTTGCATTGACAACACCTGAACTGACCTAGTCGCACACCGTGCTCATATGGATTAAATTCAGATTTGTGTACAGAAATTTACTTCTGCTGAAAAAGTCGTCTTAAGCAACATTAAACTACTTAAGTTATTCTGATTTGAGCTTGCAATGCTGCAGAAACTATAAAAATATTAAAAGGCTATAGAATTATTTTCTCTGTAGGAAGAATGTAGGCTGTCAAAAATTGTAATTTCAACTGAAAAGTGACGTATCGATGTATTGATGCAGTACAGAACATATCTGACGTGTATTGCCAGTCTTGGTTTGTATTTTCAGTGGATTAGGAAGCTGTATCACTTTATTAGTAGAGGGTACACTTGTCATACCCCAGTTTAAGTGGTATGGCTTGTTTAATAAGCCTTTCATGTTTTACTTACATACTTTTATGCCTAGGATTTTGCAGATAAAATTCTCCCAGCATGTGATATCTCAGGGGACATGTCTAGAATATTGAGAAAGTTAGCAATGACTGTTTTTGTCTTATAGCGTAAATTAAAAACAGTTAGATCTGGAATAGACCCTGAGGAAAATATAGTCCATTTATTTTATGAATAAGGAAATTGAGACCTATCAGAGTTAAATGACTTTCTATAGACATCAAGCAAGTTCATAGGACAAACAGGCCCAGAATTGAGTGTGGTTGAGAGAAAACCTGATGTTATTTGGTTTACCTTGAGTGTTTATCATTTTACTTAAAATATAAACTAATAGCTATACCCTGAAAGAAAGTGTGAGACTCTTCTTGAAAAATTATATGATTGCAGATATCTATTTAAATGAAGGTACAAAATGACACTACAGAGAGACAGAATGACAGTTTACTCTAATTTGCTCCGCTTTCCACCCAAGGTCAAGGTAGCATGGAACCAGTCTGCCATAAATAGCTCAAGTTCAAACAGTTACATTGCATATTTGATTTAATTTTTTGTCTTAGTTCATTGGGGCTGCTATAACAAAATGCCATAGACTGGATAGCTTATAACATTACAAATTTACTTATCACAGTTCTAGAGGCTGGAAAGTCTGTGATCAAGGTGCAGGCACATTTGGTGTCTGGTGAGGACTGATTTCCTGGCTCATCAACCATGCCATCTCACTGTGTGCTCACACGGTGGAAGAGGCAAGGCAGCTGTCTGGGGTCTATTTTATAAGTGCACTAATCCCATTATGAGGACTACCTCATCACTTCCTAAAGGCCCCATCTCCTAATACCATCCCTTTAAGGGTGAGGATTTCAACATAGGAATTTTGGGGGGACACACATGTTCAAACCAGAGCAATTTTTAACCTTTGAAAAATTAATTAACTGTTCTGTATCTTCATTTTCTCATCTGTAAAGTAGTTTCCAAAGCAGTTCTCTCCTGATTAAAATGATTATTAGAGGGAAGACATGGTCACCGTGTGCTTAATGCATGATACTACAAAGTGGGGATATCAAGGGAGACTTCTTAGGATCATGTAAATTTTCCCCTCAGAGAAGAGGAGAAAGGAGAGTTACATGGAGGGTCTGAGGCTCGAGAGGAAAACAGTAGCAGTGAGATATGGAAAAAGAAACCATAATCAACATGTTTTTTCACTTTTCTATTGATTTTATTATGATTTCTTTTAGTGTTGACATACTATTTTTTTTACTATTTCTTACCAGTTTTAAGTGTAGAGTTCAGTAGTAATAAATACATTTGTATTCTTTTTTCCCCCTTCATCCCTCCACCACGCCAGCCTTCCCAGACTCTGGTAATCACCATTCTATTCTTTATCTTCATGAGATCCAGTTTCTTGGCTCCCACATATGAGTGAGAACATGAGATATTTGTCTTCCTGTGCCTGGCTTATTTCACTTAGTCTAATGACCTCCAGTTCTATCCACGTTGCTGCAAGTAACATGTTTCATTTGTTTTTCCTATGGTCAAATAGTTTTCTATTTCATATATATAGGGAAAATACTTCAGGACATTGGTCTAGGAAAAAGCACAGACAAAAATAGGCAAATGGGATTATATTCAACACAATAGTTTATCTTATATATATGATGTGGCATATATATTCCACATTAAATATAAAAAGCAAAAGAGCTGGAGGCATTATACTACCTGACTTCAAACTGTACTACAAGGTACCTATCATAACCAAAATAGCATGGTATTGGTATACAACAGAAACATAGACCAACGAAACAGAAGCAAATCCAGAAATCCGTGTCTTTGTACCCAACTAATTTTTGACAAAGATGCTAAGAACATACACTGGGGACAGAACACCATTATTTCAGATGTGTATGTGTGTGTGTATCACATTTACTTTATTCTTCCATAGATGGACACTTAGGTTGATTCCATATCTTTGCTATTTTGATAGTGCTATGATAAAACACAGCACTATTGCTAGTATCTCTTTGATATACTGATTTCTTATCCTTGGGGTAAATACCCAGAAGTGGTACTGCTGGATTTCTCTTTGAGAAATAGCCATACTGTTCTCCATAGTAGTTGTACTAATTTACATTCCCACCACAACTGTATAAGATATTCCTTTTCTCTTCATCCTTATTTTAGTAATAGCCATTCTAATATATGTAAGCTGATACCTAACTGTGGTTTTGATTTGTATTTCCCTGATGATTAGTGGTGTTGAGCATTTTTTCATACATCTGTTGGCTATTTGTATGTCTTCTATTGAGAAATGTCTATTCATATCCTTTGCCCACTTTTCAATGGGATTATTTGTATTTCTAACTGATGAGTTATTTGAGTTCCTTATATATTACTGAATATTATGCTTTTTTGGAATAATAGTTTGCAAATATGTTCTCCTGTTCATCAGGTTTTCTTTTCAGTTTGTGGATTGTTTTCTTTGCTGTGCAGAAGCTGTTTAGTTGCATATAGCCCCATTTGTCTACTTTTGTTTTAGTTGTCTGTGCTTTTGCCTAGACCAATGTCCTGAAGTATTTTCCCTATGTTTTCTTCTAGTAATTTTGCAGTTTCGGGTCTTTCATTTAAGTATTTCATCTATCTTGTGTTCATTTTTGTATATGGCAAGAGATAGAGTTCCAGTTTTGTTATTCTGCATGTAGATGTTCAATTTTCTCAGCACCATTTATTGAAGTGGGTGTCCTATCCCCAGTGTATGTTCTTAGCACATTTGACAAAAATTTGTTGGGTATAAATATGCTGATTTATTTCTAGATTTTCTTCTGTTTCATGGGTCTCTGTTTTGTTTTTTTATAGTAATACCATGCTATTTTGGTTATCATATCCTTGTAGTATAGTTTGAAGTTTTATGGTATGATGCCTCCAGATTTTTTGCTTTTTTTTTTTTCCTTGCTCAGGATTGCTTTAAGTATTTGGGTTCTTTGTTGGTTCCATACACATTTTAGGCTTGTTTTTTTCTAATTCTATGAAAAAGCAATGTTGGTATTTTGGTAAGGATTACATTAAATCTGTAGATTGCTGTGAGAAGTATGATTATTTTCACAATATTGACTCTCTCGATCCATGAGCATGGTATGCCTTTCCATTTGTTTGTGTCATCTTCAATTACTTTCATCAGCACATTATAGCTTCCTTGTAGAGATCATTCACCTTTTTGGTTAAATTTTTTTCTAGATGTATTAGTCTGTTTTCATGCTGCTGGTAAAGACATACCTGAGACTAGGAAGAAAAAGAGGTTTATTTAGACTTACAGTTCCACATGGCTGGGGAGGCCTCAGAATCATATTTGGAGGTGAAAGGCACTTCTTATATGGTGGCAACAAGAGAAAATGAGGAAGAAGCAAAAGTGGAAACCCCTGATAAACCCATCAAACCTCATGAGACTTATTCACTATCATGAGAATAGCATGGGAAAGACTGGCCCCCATGATTCAATTACCTCCCCCTGAGTCCCTCCCACAACGTGTGGGAATTCTGAGATACACAACTCAAGTTGAGATTTGGGTCAGGACACAGCCAAACCGTATCACTAGGTATTGTTTAATAGCTTTTGTAAATGAGATTGCCCTCTTGATTTTTTTCTTGGCTAGTTTATTATTGGTATACAGAAATGCTACTGATTTTTATATGTTGATTTTGTATCCTACAACTTTAATGAATTTATTTATCAGATCTAAGAGTTTTTTGGTGAAGTCTTTAGGATTCTCTACATATGAGATCATATCATAAGCAAGAGGGACAATTTAATTTCCTCTTTTCCAATGCAGAAAGCTTTTATTTCTTTTTCTTGCCTGATTGCTGTGGCTAGGGCTTCAAGTAGTATGTTATATATAAGTGGTGAGAGTGGACATCTTGTCTTATTCCAGTTTTCATTCCATAATATTAAGTTTGATGTTAGCTGTGGGTGTGTCACCCATGACTTTTATTATTTTGATATATGTTCTTTCTGTGCTTATGTTCTTTCTGTACATTTTTATCATGAAGAAATGTTGAATTTTATAAAATGCTTTCTATGTCAATTAAAATCATATAGTTTTTGTCCTTCATTCTATGATGTGATGTGTCATGTTTATTGATTTGTGTATGTTGGATTATTTGTGCATCCCTGGAAAAATTTTCACTTGATCATGAATGTATTATTATTTTTCTGATGTGCTGTCAGATTTGGTTTGCTAGTATTTTGTTGAGGATTTTTGTGTCTATGTTCATTAGCAATATTGCTCTGTAGTTTTCTTTGTGTGTCCTTAGCTGGTGGTATCAGGGTAATGCTGGCCTCATAGAGTGCATTAGGGAGAATTCCCTCCTCTTTAGTTTTTTGGAATAGTTTGATAAGAATTGGTGTTAGTCATTCTTTGAAAGATTGGTAAAATTTGGCAGTGAAGCCATCTAGTTCTGGACTTTTTATTGTTGGAAGACTTTTTATTAATGTTTTGATCTTGTTATTATAATTGGTCTGTTCAGGTTTTCTATTTCTTCCTGATTTATCTTGATAGGTTGTATGTTTCCAGGAATTTATCAATTTTCTTTAGATTTTCTAATTTTTTAGTGTATACTTATTCATAATAGTCTTGGATAACCTTTTGTATTTCTGTGGTATTGATTGAAATGTTTTCTCTTTCTTTTCTGGTTTTATTTGGTTTTTCTCTCTTTTTTACATGGTTAATCTAGCAAGTGGTTTATTTTATGAATCTTTTCAGAAAACAAGTTTTCCTTTAATCAATATTTTGTATTTTGTTAGTCTCTATTTTATTTAGTTCTTCTCTGATTTTTGTCATTTTTCCCTTGCACTAATTTTGTGTTTAGTTTGCTCTTGCTTTTTTAGTTCCTTGAGGTGCATCATTATTTGAAATCTTTCTACTCTTTTAATGTAGGCACTTATTGCTATAAACTTCCCTCTTAGCACTACTTTTATTATATACCATGGGTTTTTGTATGTTGTATTTTCATTCTCATTTGTTTCAATTTTTTAAAGAATTTTTTTCATAATTTTTTCTTTGACCCAGTGGTCACTTACGAAGCAGGTTGTTCAGTAATAGTTGTAGACTTTGACACCCCATTCTCAGCATTAAACAGGTTGTTGAGACAGAAAATTAAGAAAGGAACATTGGATTTAAACTGTACATTAGACTAAATAGATTTAACAGATATTTACAGAACATTTATCTAATGTCTACAGAATGCACATCATTCCCATTAGCACATGTAACATACTCCAGGATGGACCACATATTAGGTCACAAAATAAGTCTTGACAAATTCTTTCAAAATTCACGTTGTATCAGGTATCTTCTCAAACCACAGTGGAATAAAATTAAATCAATGGCAAGAGGAACTTTGAAAACTGTACAAATCTTGAAATCTTTTTACTTTTTTGATGTAGGCACTTATTGCTATAAAGTTCCCTATTAGCACTACTTGTATTATATCCTATAGGTTTTCATATGTTCTATATTCATTTTCATTTGTTTCAATTTTTAAAAACTTTTTTTCTTAATTTCTCCTTCGACCCAATGGTCATTTAGGAGCAAGTTTTTAAATTTCCATAGATTTGTACAGTTTTCAAAGTTCTTCTTCGTATTGGTTTCTAATTTTATTTCATTGTGGTTTGAAAAGATACTTGACATGATGTCAATTTTGAAAAAATTTGCCAAGACTTATTTTGTGACCTAATATGTGGTCCATCCTGGAGAATGTTACATGTGCTGATGAGAATGATGTGCATTATGTAGACACTGGATAAATGTTCTGTAAATATCTGTTAAATCAATGTAGCCTAACGTGCAGTTTAAATCCAATGTTTCTTCTTAATTTCCTGTCTCAGTAATCTGTTTAATACTCAGAGTGTGGTGTCTAAGTCTACAACTATTACTGAATTGGAGTTTGTCTCTTTCTTTAAATCCATTAATATTTGCTTTATATATCTGGATGCCCCAGTTGTGGGTGCATATATATTAATATTTGTTATAACCTTTTGCTGACTTGATCCCTGTATCATTATATAATGAGCTTTTTTCCCTCCTTTTGCTGTTTTTGAGTTGAAGTCTGTTTTATCTGATATAATTACTCCTGTTTATTTTTGGTTTCCATTTGCATAAAATATATTTTCCCTTCCCTTTACTTTCAGCCTATATGTATCTCCAGAGGTGAGATGTGTTTCTGGTGGGCGGCATACAGTGAGGTAATGTTTACTTTATTTTATATATTTTTTGTATCCATTCAGCCAGTCTATATATTTTAAGTGGAAAGTTTAATCTGTTTAATTCAAGTCTATTATTGATATGTGAGATGCTTGTCATTTTATCAAATGATTTCTAGTTGTTTGATATATCTTTTCTTTCTTTCTCTCTTACTGCTTATCATTGTGGTTTAGTGTTTTTCTGCAGTGGTAATATTTGAAACTTCTCCTGTTTGTATATTTTCTCTAGTAGTGGATTTTATATTTTCATGTGTTTTCATAATGGAAGATATCTCTTTTTTTGCTTCCAGGTATAGGATTCCCTTAAGCATTTCTTGTAGAGCTGATCTAGTGATGATGAATTCCTCAGCTTTTGTTTGATAGTGAAAAACTTTATTTTTTTCTTTATTTATGAAGGATAATTTTCCAGGCCAAATATTCCTAGGATGGCTTTTTTTTTTTTTTTTTTTTTTTTCAGTGCCTTGAAACTAACATCTCAGTCTCTCTGGCTGATAAAGTTTCTACTGAGAAGTCCGCTACTGTAGTCTGATTGGGGAATCCTTATAAGTAATTAGACCCTTTTCTCTTACTGTTTTTCGTATTTTCTTTTTGTCATTGACTTTTGACAGTTTGACTATAATGTGCTGTGGAGATATTTTTGCAATGTATCTGGGGATCTCTGAGGCTCTTTTATTTAAATGTCTAAATACCTTGCTACAGTTGGGAACTTTCATTTATTATTTCATTAAATAGGTTTTCTAAGCCTTTTGTTTTCCTTTTTCCTTCTGAAACTCTAAAAATTCAAATATTTTGTTGCCTTATGTTCTCTCATATGTCATGTAGTCTTTGCTCACTGTTTTAAATTTATCTTTTCTTTAGTTTTGCCTGACAGGGCTATTTAAAAAGAATTGCCTTCAAGTTATGAGATTCTTTCTTCTGTTTAGTGTATTGTTGAAGCCTTCAAATGTGTTTTCTGTTCATTTAATGAATTCTTCAGCTCCAGAATTACTGTTTGGTTCTTTTTTATGACACCTATCTCTTTGGTAGATTTTTCATTCATATTCCAAATTGTTTCTGTTTTCTTTGTATTGTTTTTCAGGACTTTTTATATCTCACTGAACTTCTTTTAAATTGATACTTTGAACGTATTTTCTGGGATGTCATAATTTTTTAATCGAGATCTGTTGCTGGAGAGTTACTGTGTCCCTTTGGAGGTGTCGTATTTCCTTGCTTTGTCATATTTTCTATGTTTTTACTTTAATACATACACATCTGAAGTAATAGTAGCTTATTTAAATTATTTGAACTTGCTTTTGTAGGGGAGGAAACTTTCCTGAAGATGTATTTATGGTGTTGGCTGAATAGAGAACTTTGGCCTTGATTCTGAGTGTGTGCAGTAGTGCAGTCTCTGTATAATTTCCTCAGCTGTAACAGCTCAGTGATGTTTGTAATTTCCTCAGACATTACAGACTGATGTAATGATGTGGTGGTTAGTGGAAAGTGTGGTGAAGTTTTGCTGTGGCTTGGGTTGCCAAGGGGCCAGTTTTTGGGCATCAGTGGTAGCAGCAGTGGGCTGACTATACTTGTACTTGGACCCTGGGGTTGGCATACATTGGCACCTGTATTCATTTTCACGCTGCTGATAAAGACATACCTGAGACTGGGTAATTTCCAAAAAAAAAAAAAAAAGAAAAAGAGGTTGAATTCGACTCACAGTTCCATGTGGCCGAGGAGGGCCTCAAAATCAAGGCAGAAGGTGAAAGTCATGTTTTACATCGCAGCAGGCAAGAGACAGAATGAAATATCAAGCAAAATTGGTTTCCCCTTATTAAACCAGGTTTCCTGAGACTTATTCACTACCATGAGAACAGTATGAGAGAAACCGCCCCATGATTCCATTATCTCCCACTGGGTTCCTCCTACAACATGTTGGAATTATGGGAGTACAATTCAAGATGAGATCTGGGTGAGGACCCAGAGCCAAATCATATCAGCACCAGCGTTAGCAGGTCCAGGCAGGCCAGATCGTAGGCCTCTAGGTGGCTTGCTCTGATGCTGGTAGTGGCAGCAGTGGGCCTGGCAGGTGGGCAACTTCTCCAGTCCCTGGACATTTAGCATGATATGGTTTATGGTAGTAGCTATTTAGGTCTTGGGGAGTGTGTGGGACCTAGCATGAGCTCCCTCCTTCAATCAGTGCCATTGCACAGTTTTCAGACAGCTCTCTGCTAATTTGAGAGCCTGTGAGGCTTGAAGGGCTTGCCTTTGGCTAGGATTGCAGGAGTTTACAGTGGGAATGTGGAATGCTGGGGGTCTCCCACATACCCTTTCCCCATGTTGAGGAATCTCTCTCCAAGCTCCCAGCTGATTCTGGCCAAGCAGCCTGCCTCACTTTCCTCTCCTTCCTTGCTTTAGGTGTTTCCCATCATTTTTCTGCCAAATTCCACAGTTCTCTCTGAAGTGTGATTATCTATTCACTAGAGAATGGCAGAGGTTTACCAATCATACAGTATTGCTGCCATTGCCTTTATATTTATCTAAAAATCAGATTTTTTGCCTTTCATCTGTGTATTCAACAACAACGACTGAGCTCTCACTTTATTCAAGGCATGATTTTAAGTGCCTTTCAAGGCAGATTTGATATCGATAGGAATTACCAAGGGAGGTAAGGCTTTGAGTTGGTTTCATTTCTCTGGCTACAAGGAAAAGAAAGTTACACTGATGTAGATTTTTTCACACCCCTTTGCTATTCTACCATAACAAAGCGACCAGGGGCATCTCTGAGCACAGCCAGCATTAGAACCTGCCATCTTTCCTTTCACCACCAGGCTGGTGGATGCCTTAAGAGTCCCCTTCAAATATTATTATGAAAAGTCATGGGAAGATGGAGTATGAAACTTGTGAAGTCCCTGCTGCGCCACACGTACACATGAGAAAATATGCCTAAGAGTTATCTCCATCTCCGGGCACTACCAGATGAATATTCTGAGGAGAACTTTGCTGCATGACAGGAAAAGATGGCCCCAGCAGGGAATGTCATGATGAAATAGGAGATAAAGTATCTAGAGTCTTTCTATGGAAGTGCACAGATAATATCCCCGCCATATGCCATGAGAATTCACTTAGAGAAGAAGATACACAACAAAATAAATTGGGGAAAAATTATTCCTCACCAAGAAAAAAACAAATTGTTGCGATAGTGGCATAAGAATTAAGGAACTTCTTAAAGGTGGCAGTTTGCTTTGGAAGGAGGAAATTTAAAGAAAGATAAACAATCCCAGGGTGAGGTGGGTAATTGAAGGTTAAAAGAACACAATGTCAATGGTGGGAGAAATATTTGGGAAAGACAGTAAGGGATGAAAACAAAGCAAGACTATTTAGAAATGAAATCAGTCCTTGCAGCTGGGGAAAAGTCTTTAGCGGTACACAAGGGACAGAGAAATTACCTGAATAACAGATTAAAGAACAAATGAGAAAAGTCTGCTTTCAGAGCACCAAGATAATGGGAACCGAGGCCGAAGATAAACCTGAGGAATGGCTGGTGCAGAACCTGATGCCCTGGTTGCTGCTGGTACTTGCATCCCTAACATTATTTATCTTACAAAACTGTTAGTTAAAAGAAGTTACTAGCAAAGGTTTTTGTTATAATTCTTAAGAGGATACTGTCTACGGTCAATTGATTTTACAGCCTTAATTCAGGATACTTGATGGGAAAAAACAGGTAAGCTTTTGGTGAAAGCAGTTTGCTAGATAAATTACTGCTCGGATTTTGTTTTTAATTTTAAGTATAGGTGCTTTAAACAAATGCTTTCAGTTAGGCACAAAAAAAGTGATTTCCAAAGAAGCACAGGTTAGATCCAGATAGGATAATGATGCATATAAATCACTCTAGGGAGGTTTAGTCATCTTTACATACTCAGGTTCTGTCTGGCACATAGTAATTGCTCAGAAAATGTTACTCTTAATAATAGGCTGTCAGGAGTTTCATAATTCTATTTTCAGTATTAATGAAAGGAGAGAAATATAAGATTTGTGAGCATTATGCTGCACACCCTGATGGAGAAAATATTTTTTCTTCTCTTTTTTTTTCTTTTGGCCTTACAAGTATAGTTACCTGTGCATTGATATACTACCATTGCCTCTCTATTAGTCTAAAATTCAGATTTTCTTCCTCCATCTACGTATCCAACAACAACAACTGAGCTCTCACTTTATTCAAGGCATGATTTTAGGCACATTTCAGTGAGCCTGACCTCATCATTGTAAGTAATGAGAGAAAAATGAACTGAGGAATTTAAGGCCCTCACTCTATGGACAGGCTGTAAAACCTGTGCTAGTCCTTTCGTGAAGACAGTGGACACAAGTGTGAGTTGGCAAATTGGTAGAGTGAGCCTGGCTGAACCAAAATTCCCAGGACGAGAAATTTGTGGTAACAGATTGTGGTAAGCAAAGGATGACAAATATTGATGCTAGTAGTACATCTTATGATATTTAGTTACAGAATATTTTTATATGTATGTACTTTAATGTTTGCAAGAATAGGGGTAATTCCAGGCAGTTATGGCCATCTTCCCTTTGTAGTGGTATAGAACATTTCAATGAGATGTCTAATATCAATCACATGAATAACAAGAGGTAGAGCTTGGTTGAACCCAAGTCCCTTGACTGCAAGCCCAAATACATTAACCCTCCCAGTGATGTGTTCATCTTAAAAATTGTGTCGCACAACGCCTAACCATTTAGATATTAGTCATAAGTGGGAAGAATTCCGACTATCTGGTTGAGGGCATAATTTTATGGTGGAGAACCATAATTTTGTGGTACCACCCCCAATTAAAATTGAGTTCATGTGACCCTCAATATTAGAAGGGAAACAAGGAGAGAAAAGAAAAAACGTGGATAGATGTCTCAATATATCTGAATCAGGGGGTCATTAGGGCAGAATATTTGGTTTCTGACTATATTATAATTTGATTTGATAAAAAATTAGACTGCCTGAAGAATCTGTGAGGTGTGGGAAAATGTGATTGTTGTTTAACTAAAAATAGTACAATCAAAAGGTGATACAGTTCAGATGAGTTAGGGTGCAAATTATTAACAAACATAAAAGTAACATTTAAAAGTAATGTTCTGGAGAGTATAATGGAGTAAGCATATTGGCAAAGCCATTTATCATTATTAAAGTAATAAGTGGACTATTGATGACAAAGAGGTCAATTTCTGCTTTCAAGGTCATGAATATATGGAGTACTCAGAGTTAAATATCAGTAAATATGTAGGTAGAATAATTTCGGGAAGAAAGAATTAGAATGGGAAAAGGTCCCATTACAATCCTAGCCATATTCAGAGCCAATCCCAACGAAGAAAATAACACTTGGGTCAGGATAGAAAAACATTTTCAAAGAAAATACATCTACAGGGAAATATGAAGAAGGGATAATTGCCCTTGCTTAGAGGCAAAAATAACATGATTAGATCAATTAGAAATTTCATTACTGTTCAGGAATGGCTTTGGGAAGTAAGCCCGGGGAATGGCTGGGAAACCTCACAGTCTACTTCATCCTCCTCTCCAGGCTAGACACATGGGAGGAAGACAAGCCAGTTCTTCACAATAAGCATTTTCATCCTGCTTTGAAGGCAGGTGGCTGTGTGTTTCAACTCACAGGCTTGCAGAGGTTGCACCACAGTTCCTTTCATGAGACGATTCTGGTCATTCTTGTGCTCAGCAAATCCATGCACCAGGGAGAGATTCACCTCCCCTGTCCCTGCTCCATGAAGATGGGATTTCTAAACACTTTGTATTTCTAGGAGCTCATCTTCTCTCCTATTCTCAGTGGGAGAGAGGATTAGGCTCACATGTAAATTTAAAAACTCAGCTCATTTTCTAATAAGTTCAAGTTTTATGATTTAAAAACTTTTATCAGTAAATAAAGGTCACCCATCTGGCAGCAATGTGTCTATTTGGCTCAGCTTTGGTTTTCTACACTACGTTATAAAAATATTACAGTCTAGTATGACATTAGCAAAGTGTGACATCTGGGCTTATACAAAATATAGGAGTTGGCAGAGGGACTAATTTCTCTTCTGAAAAAATGCCATGGCTAATAGGGACTGAGGACAACACAGTGGCTGACAATCCAGCCCTGGACATTGCTGGAATTCAGCCAGACTTGCCTGTGAGCTTAGCAGCGTCCTCTGCAACGTCTGCCTGGAAATGGGGAAGGGGCCTAATTACCCAAGAGGACAAGATTGATGGGTTGCTACGGGCCTTTGAGAATAGAAGCTATTTTAGTGCAACAGAAAAATTTTCTCTACCTGCAGTGCTAGGTGGTCATGCATTCAAGAATTAAATGAGACTGCTTCAGAAAATGCTATAGGTATGGCAGTAATAAAGCTGGCAGCTTTTCAGTGGGTTTAGATGTTAGAGCATTTACTTTGGGGGTTGAAAAATGTATAATTAAATTTTGGCATTGCTTTTAGGTGGTAATGATTTTTACTAAATTCTTTTTTGTATGAATCCCTTTATGAGTTCAAGACAAATGCCATGTTTATTTTTTCCCTCTAGGCTCTCTGGGTTTATTTTAATACACCGTAATCTAAAAGATATTGAGTCACTGACAAAAAGAATACATGCATCTAGACAGGGCCACTGTGCAATCTCAGAAGCTTATTTATTTATTTATTTATTTATTTATTTATTTATTTTTTAAAGAAAAGAGAGCAGATCACATTTAAAGAAAATTTCTTTCCTCATCTCTTAGCATTGAATTTTTGTGAAGATTCAGGCACTATTAATGGCCAGTGGAACTTCCAAAAGTTGGAAATTGCAGTAGCAATTTTTTCACAGGGGTGAAAAAAAATCCCTAAGCTTTAAGAAATTTGGATATCAAAAGCTATAATGCCCATTTAGGGAAAATTAGGGTGAATATTGCTTAATTAGTCATTCAAATGATGGAAACTATCTACTCCAATGCTTTTATGAAGCTCTGCATGATGGTAACAGGGAATAGATTTCTGTGACTTGGGCAGGGAGCGCGGTATTCCCATTTTTTTTCTTAGGTAAGTGGTGGTGGCCGAGATTAAATGCCATAAGCTTCCTTCTGCCTGCCCTGTGTTCCCTGTGCCCACCCATCCTTATTCAAATTTGCGTTACAAATTGCTGCGAGTCTCCGTCTGCCTTCCTTGGAGCACCTTTCTCAAGGGAATATACAGGCAGATCATCTGGGAGGAAGAGATCAGTGTCGAGAGCCGGCACGTTGGGAGCCCGTCTCAGAATGGACAGGGAACACAGGCTTCTGCATTTTAATTTTTCACATGAGGAAGTCACTGCACGGAGAGGTTAACAGAACTACCAGGATCAATGAGGCAGTAGGGGAACCCAGCCTGGAGGGCAGGTCCCCAGGCCCCTCCCCATTAGCTCTTCCTGGCAAATTAACTGCCACCCGCACCACTGGGCTTTATCATTCATTACTTTCCTCAGACTCAGAATAATTTCCATTCCAGTAGTCTAGAGAATGACTGCGTGCTTCTGGAATTTATGGGCATGATCACCGGGGTCGGGAAGGGATCCAGGCACCAGGGTGGTTTGTACTTTCCTTTAGTAGTTCTACAGAATTGTGTCACAAAGAGCCTCCTTCCTAACCTCGCAGCCACTTTGTTATTACAGAGATGCAGCACTTTCTGCTACAGACTTGGGAAGCTGTGGGATTTAATGAGCATGTTTTGCAGTGAGATTTTCCTGCCCTCTCTCAGATGTGGCTGCTCTTGTCATTGTTCTTCTGCACTTAATATTTTCCTTCTTTCCTCAGGGGATACTCAGAATGAAAGAAGAGGGTGACATACTCTCTGGGGTGGAAGTAGAAGGGTATCCCAAGAGCACCCAGCAGGGCACACGGAGATTCCTATGAAACTGACCTGTGGCTGCCTGTGGAGAGTGCATTTCCGTTTCTTTTGCCCTTGATCCCAGGCTCCTGGAATCTGTCTTTATTGCTGCTCTGCTAGCAGGCCAGCTCTGGGCTACCTGCCTCAGTCCCTAAGCCAGTCTGGACGAAGGGTTGGCTTATATGAATAGCCTTTCTTTCTACTTCTTCTACGGCTGTGGGGTTTGAACTTGAGATATGTTATCAAACTGGGAATGGAGTCAATGGTTTACAAGTCATAGCACTGTATACTACCAATAACATAAACATGAATGCTATATCTCCCTTTCTATTTTTATTGAGGCTTAATTTGCACATCATACAAATGATTATTTTTAAGTATACAATTTAGTAGTTTTTAGTACATTTACAAGGTTGCACTACAGTCACCAATCCAGAAAGTTTTTATCACCTGGCAAAGAAGTCCCATAGCCATTGAATGTCACTCCCTGTTCCCCTTCATCCCATTCCCCTGGTAACCACTAATCTGCCTTCTGTCTTTGTGGATTTGCCTATTTTGGGCATTCCATATAGATGGAGTCATACGACGTGTGGCCTCTGCATTTTTTTTATTTTGTATAACATAATGTTTTCAAGGTTCATCCATGTTATAGCATGTGTCAGAATGTCTTTCTGTTTATGGCTGAATCATATTCCATTGTTATTTATATATCACATTTTGTCCATTCATCTGTTGATAGATATTAGCTATTTCTACTTTTTGGCTATTAAGAGTAATGCTGCTGGTCAGGCACAGTGGCTCACACTTGTAATCCCAGCACTTTGGGAGGCCTAGCGGGGTGGATCACCTGAGGTCAGGAGTTCGAGACCAGCCTGGCCAACATGGCGAAACCCTGTATCTACTAAAAATACAAAAAAATTAGCTGGTCATGGTGGTGGGCGCCTGTAATCCCAGCTACTCAGGAGGAGGAAGCAAGAGAATCCCTTGAACCTGGGAGGCAGAGGTTGCAGTGAGCTGAGATCGCGCCACTGTACTCCAGCCTGGGCAACAAGAGTGAAAACTCCATCTGAAAAAAAAAAAAAAAAAGCTGCTACAAATTTTTTTTTTTTGGTACAAGTTTGATGTGATTGTATGTTTTCCATGTTCTTTTCCCTTTTCATTTCTTTTGTGGGCTTAGGTCATAAGGCTATAAGGCTAGTTCTCTACCTTCTTAATTAATTATTTTAGAGATTCATTGTCCTTCGTGGAAAGAATATGGACTTTGGAGGACATATATACTTGGGTACAATTTCTGATATTTTATCTCTCAGCCTCAGTGTCCTCATCTGTAAAATGAGTATTTGAGTATAGCTACTTTATAGAGACAATGTGGCTTAGGTGAGATGTTAATTCTCTATTTAATAAATATAAATTCTCTATTCTTTAGCCTTAGTTTCCACCAGTTTAACCACCCAGAGTTTTAGCTGTCTCTTGCCCAAATATAGTCCAGAGACGAGAGGCTCTACCACTTGCTCTGCCAAGAAAATTGTCCCGTCTGCATGGGATTCCCTTAGTTGACCTCCCTTATTAATGATGGTCTAAGGTATTTTGTGAATTGAATTCCATAAGGGCTGTTGTTGTGTGAATGAAGCCTGATTCTGACAGTGATGTGTCCTTTGTGTCGCAGGCACCCATCTGTCCCTCTGAAGCCAGCCCTGCAGCAGGGAACATTTCTCTAGGCCTGGACTCTATAGATACTTTGCTTATTCTCTGTCCTTTTTCTAACAACATGGTTCTGACTAGAGTAATCTACGGCAATAAAAGAAAGAAATTAACATAAATAGAAAAGGATTTTGTGGAGGGGGCCAGAATGATACTGAGTGCTCTGCAAATATGTCACATTTAATCCTTACCACAGCCCTGTACGATAGGTATCCTTTAGTCCAGATGGGAAGATTGAGGCTCAGGGAGGCCAATTTGGTGAAGAGCATATAGGTAGCAAGTGACAAATTTGGTGTCTGATCTTAGATAAGTGTGATGCAAAAGCTCCTGTTATTCCAGGACTACCACCAGCTCCAGACCTGTGAAGAACGTCTCATTTTATGATCATGCTACATAAGATGTGATGGTTTCATCCATTTTTTTCTAGGTTATCCTGTGGCTAATGGACAGTTGCCAAACCTCAGTGCTTTATGGCAACAAAAGTTTATTCTCACTCATATTAATTGTTGATATACATATACTCTTCATGTCATATTTATTTTGGGTTGATGCTGGAGGAATAGAGCAAAGACCGGACAATACAGTGGCTCTTAAAGCTTCTTACAGTAAAACACGTCACTTCTGTTCACATTCCATTGGCCACAGCTGGTCACATGGCCAAACCTTAGTAAGTATTATATGACTTATATTCATCCCATAGGGATAGTCCCTGGGGTGGGAAATGTTAGAAAATACAGTGAATACTTTAAACAAATAATCTACCACATGTGATTTCTGCATTACAATGCACGCGGTAGGGTTTGCGACACCATGCTTTCCTGGACTTCCTCATGTTTTGGTGGCTCCTCTGTATAAGTTTCTCTTACTGGCTCTTTCTCTTTCTCTAACTGATGTCTAAACACAAGAGAGTCCTATAATGCATTTCAGGCACTCCTTCTCTACGCTCCAACTCTTGATGACCTCATCTGGTATGGCTTTAATTACCATCAACATGCTGATGACTGTCTAATTTATCTTTCAAATCCTGACCTCTCTGGGGTCCAGCTGTCTTATGTTATCTCCACTTGAAATTCTAATATGCAGCTCAAATGTAATATGTCCAAAATTGAACTTCTGATTCGTATCCATCCCTACCCCAGCTGGCAATCTTCCCTGTTGTAGTAAATGGTACCAGCCACCACCCAGTGACTCAAAGGAGAAGTCTAGGCTCCCTCCCTTTTCCTTACTCCTACCTCAAATCCATCAACCACACATGTTATTTATATCTTTCAGATAATTCCTCAAAATGTCCATGTCCTCTGACTATAAATGCCAACACACTAACGCAAGCCTCTCTCATTTCTCACCTTGATTACTGCAGTAGTTAACTGACTTCTATACTTTTCTTTTCTCACTATAACTCATGTTTCACATAGTAGTCAGAAAGATCTTACAAAAGTACAAATGAGGTTAAGCCTTTTCCTTTGCTAAAAACCTTCTGAAGAATTAACATTGTATTTAGAAAAAAAGGTCCAAGGTCCAGGTCATAGACTGCAAGGCCCTAAATGATCTGGCAATTGGGTTCAAGAGTATCCCCCCAAAAATTTATGTCTACTGGCCGGGGGTGGTGGCTCACGCCTGTAATCCCAGCACTTTGGGAGGCCGAGGCGGGCGGATCACGAGGTCAGGAGATGGAGATCATCCTGGCTAACATGGTGAAACCCCGTCTCTACTAAAAATACAAAAAATTAGCTGGGCGTGGTGGCAGGCACCTGTAGTCCCAGCTACTCCTGAGGCTGAGGCAGGAGAATGGCGTGAACCTGGGAGGTGGGGCTTGCAGTGAGACAAGATTGTGCCACTGCACTCCAGCCGGGGCGACACAGCGAGACTCCGTCTCAAAAAAAATTAAAAAAATAAAAAATTAGGTCTACCTGGAAACTCAGAACATGACCCTATTTGGAAATAGAGTCCTTTAAGATGTCATTCGTTGTGATGAGGTCATACTGGATTAGCATTAGCCCTAAATCCAATGTGATGGGTGTCCTTAAGAAGAGAAAAGACACAAAGATACTGAGAAGATACACAGGGAAGAAAGCCATGTGAAGATGGAGGCAGAGGTCAGAGTGATGCTGCTACAAAATAAGAAACACCAAAAAATGTTGCCAACCACCAGCAGCTACAAGAGAGGTATAGAGACCAGACTCTCCCTCAGAGCCTCTGGAAGGAACCAACTCTACTAACGCCTCCTAAACTGTGAGCTAAAAAATGTCTGTTGTTTTAGGCCTTGCAGTTTGTATTAATTCATAATGGCAGCCCAAGGAAGCTAACACAGCTGCCTGCTGTCCTTGCCTCATCCCACCCCTGCACTCATGCCGTGATGCCACCCTGGCCTCCTTTTCATTCCAAAGCTTAGTCTCATCTTGAGGCCTTTGAACTTGCTCTCCTCATTATGTCTGAAAGCTTTCCAGGACTTCCTCCTTTATATCCGTATGTTTCTGCTCCACTACTTAACCTCTGATATTGGTTCTACATGTTCACAGTAAGTCCCTGGTTTGGGTATATGTAGAAAGTGTTTGTTGCATTTACTGTTGTCACCCATTTCTATACTTAAGGAAGTCAAAGAGAGGTGTGTATATTTGAAGCATCTTTAAACAGTAAGATTAAGTTGGTTCCAACTGTGGGTCAGATAAGATGGAGGATTTGTGGGTATAGGGAGTATGCAGCCCACAAATTTCCCCAGGATCCGTTTTCTTGCCTTTAAAAACCAATGCGCCAGGCACAGTGGCTCACGCCTGGAATCCAAGCACTTTGGGAGGCTGAGGTGGTTGAATCACTCGAGGTCAGGGGTTCAAGACCAGTCTGACCAACATGGTGAAACCCCGTCTCTACAAAAATACAAAAGATTAACTGGGCGTGGTGGCACGTGCCTGTAATCCCAGCTACTCTGGAGGCTGAGGCAGAAGAATCGCTTGAACCTTGGGGCGGATGTTGCAGTGAGCCAAGATCATGCCATTGCACTCTAGACTGGGTGAGAGAGCAAGACTCCATCCCCAAAACAAAAAAAACAAAAAACAAAAACAAGAAAAACCAGTGGCAGCAAATACCCTCCCACTGTGGTAATGATGGAGAGATAAAGAGCTTCCATACAATGTCCCCACAGAGGGGATTTCCCATGTGAAGGGCGCCAGCACTTCCAGAGAGCATACATAGGAAGACATTTTGTAAGTAATAAAACAGGTTGCACAGGATTTCTAAACTCTGAAGAATTATTGGTGGAGAATGTAATGATTCTCTAATTTGGATTAAAAGTTCAGATTCGAGGATATTGCAGTTCCAGAGCAGAGGTCACAGGGCTTCAAGATGAGCTTGTAAACACTGGTCACTAATTATGCGGAACTCTGATAAGGAATAAAGAATATCCGCATGGTTCTGAATATGGGTTCTCCCTCCACCACACTGTAACATTTACTAGTTCCCAGTAATAAAAAATTGGAAATGAGCATATAACCAAGCTGTATATTATTTGTAGTTTGTGATGCATATTTGTGTGATTAGGATTAACTAATTCAGCAAACTATAGTTCTCATTTTATAGGTTTCTGTGGTTATTCTTTTGGAATACTTTGTAAATGCTTAAAGAACTTCTTCAAGTAGTATGTAGGTAAATATCAAAACTAAGTTACCCCTGATTATTATTATTATTTTTAGAGATAGGATCTGGCTCTATCACCCAGGCTGGAATGCAGTGGTGTGATCATGGCTCACTGCAGCCTCAAACTCCTGGGCTCAAGCAATTATCCTGCCTCAGTCTCCCTAGTATCTGATTACAGGTGCACTGCCATGTCCAACCAATTTTTAAATAATTTTTTAGAGACAGGGTTTTACTATGTTGCAAGCTTAGTATCTGGTGTCCCCTTCAGTGGTAAAGAAGGAATTCTAACATAACCTGTCTATCCATTTTAGGAATAAAAATTAACCTCTTTTTGGTGGATTCACAAATGTTTGTATGTCTCACGTACCCACAACCTCTCCCAACAATGGCTCACCACAGCAATGACTTACTCTGGAAGATTTTCTCTGGCTACATGGAAGCACTCTGGCTCTGTGACTTCAACACAGTAGCAATTCTTGCTCAGGGCTCCACCTACCTGTTGGACATGCATTTCAGAACTGAATGGGCCAATGTGCTCCAGCTCAGTAATGTTTTCTGTTCCCCCAGACTGGGAGTCATGAATTCAGTTTCTTTTATTTATTTATTTATTTATTTTTTTTGAGACGGAGTCTCGCTCTGTCGCCCAGGCTGGACAGTGCAGTGGCGGGATCTCGGCTCACTGCAAGCTCCGCCTCCCGGGTTCACGCCATTCTCCTGCCTCAGCCTCCCAAGTAGCTGGGACTACAGGCGCCCGCCACTACGCCCGGCTAATTTTTTGTATTTTTAGTAGAGACGGGGTTTCACCGTTTTAGCCGGGATGGTCTCGATCTCCTGACCTCGTGATCCGCCCGCCTCGGCCTCCCAAAGTGCTGGGATTACAGGCGTGAGCCACCGCGCCCGGCCCAGTTTCTTAATGATAAGGCTCGGCACCCTGGTCATGTTTGTGTTCATAACAGAATCGTTCATTTACACTTTCATAAATGTGCATTCACTCTTCTTATTTAGTTTGTTCCCCTCAACAACTGGGTATGGACTTTACCTTCTTTAGCTAATCTAGAACCAGATGTGGCTTAGGACTGAGCTGGTACTGGAAACTAAGCACCTTGGACTCAGGTTGCTCCCAAATTGGTCCTGAATCTGGAGAATGGGTAGAATATCAGACAACCTGTGCTCTAATAGACTGGCAACTGATTTGTTCATACCTACTGCAAACTTCATTCTGGGGAGAGCTGACTATCTTAATACAACCCAGTAGATTTAGATAAAATCTTATGGCCATTTTTAAGACCAGGCATCTTGGGCATGGAAATGTTAAGAAATAAGTTAAGGGTACATAGACCTAGTAAATGGTAGAACGAGGCCCAATGGAAGAGGGTAGCACCCATCAGGTGGAACTGTATATACATATCCAGGCCCCCTTTTCCAGCTGCCAAGAACCATGGGTCCAGTGTTGGCAAGTACCCAATGTATTTACTGTTACCTTTAAATTTACAGGCCGTGAAATATCTGTGAGGAGCCAAGATAAAAGGGAAGTTCTTATCACCAACATCTCAGCAGGTTGTTAACAGCCAAAGTCCACAGATAAGAACAATACAAATGAAAGAAAGAAAAACCTAGAATTTTAAAGATAAAAAGTGGTTTGATACGACCAGGTGTAATAACAAATTCTTTGTGAAAAATAATGTTTTACCATATTTTAAAACTGGAATATGTAAAAATGCAGAATTATTTTTATTATAAATCTGCTACCTCTAGGAGTCCCCTTTAGGAAACCACGTAGTGAGCTTCCTCCTGGGTGTGCAATAGATTTGCTCCACTATGAAACTGTATTCACCATTCTGGTATAGATGGCAGCTCCTCAGGCATCAACCCTCAGGAGGGCAAATTTTCTTTGCTTTCTGTTTCTACGTTCTGTTTTCCTTACCAACTCTCTCGCTATTTTTTTTCTGATTCCTGCTTAAAGAGTAAGTTAAAGCAAACTTAAATCATGTAGCTCAATTTAAAATAAGCAATGTTATATCCTCAAAAGCTTTTAAAGAAAAATTTCTGCCTTTGAGAAATACGAAACTAAAGGCCCCCTTTTATTATTATAATTTCAGTCCTTTCATTTGTTTTGTCTCTTTGCAGTTGTTACTCGAGATTTTAAATATGTCTGTGTGGAACCAATACTTTTAATTTTTAAAGATAAGCACAAAAATGTTACATTTGATTGACTTGTGAGTTGAGTTGTCCTTCTTAAGCCACAGACATCTTAAAATTCCTTTATGCCTAACAATTCTAAATGCTCAGAGTAGATCACAAGCATTGACATAAAGATACAAGTAAATTTCTATGCATGTGTATAAATTCATTTTAAGGTTCTATATGTTTCTCCTTTTCAGGATAATTTGAGGATCATTTTCTGCTATTTTTCTAGAATATTTAAACCCAGATCCAGAATGTAAAATAAGAATTTATTTTCTCTTTATTTTACGCCATATGCAAAAATCAACTCAAAATGGATTAAAGGCAAATGTAACACCCGAAAGTGTGAAACCCCTAGAAGAAAACACAGGAGGAAAGGAAGCTTTAGGACATTGTTGCTGGTGATGATTTCTTGTATAACAACAGAACCACAGGGAACAAAAGCAAAATGAATAAGTGGGTCTACATCTAACTAAAACGCTTCTGCACAGCCAAAAAACAAATCAACAGAATGAAAAGGAAACCTCAATGGGCGATAATATTTGAGAACCATATATCTGCTAAGGGGTTAGTATCCAAAATACATAAGGAACTCAGTTAAATAGCAAAAAACCAAAAAACCTAATTTAAAAATGAACAATGGACTTAAATAGACATTTTTCCAAAGAAGACATACAAATAGCCAACAGGTATATGAATAAATGCTCAACATCGCTAATAATCAGGAAAATGCAAATTAAAACCACAATGCAATATCAGCTCACATTTGTTAGAATGACTATTATCAACACAAAAATAACAAGTGTTGGCCTGAATGTGGAGAAAAGGGAACCCTTGCATGTTGTTAGTAGGAATGTATATTAGTCCACTTATTATGGAAAATAGGATGGAGTTCCCTCAAAAAATTAAAAATAGAACTACCCAATGATCCAGCAATCCCACTACTGGATCTATATCCAAAAGAATTAAAATCAGGATCTCAGAGAAATATCTGCACTCCTATATTCCTTGCAGCATTATTCACAAGAGCCAAGATATGGAACCTACCTAAATGGCATTTAATAGATGAATGGATAAAGAAAAAGTGGTGTATTTATGCAATGGAATACTATTCATCCTTTAAAAAGGATATCCTGTCATATGCAACAAGATAGATGAACTTGGAGACATTATGTTAAGTGAAATAAGCCAGGAACAGAAAGAAAAATAATACCACCGGATCTCACTTATATGTAGAATCTAAAATAGTTGAACTCATAAAGCAGAGAGTAGAATGGTGGTTGCCAGGGCTGGTAAGGAAGGAAATGAGAGTTGTAGTTCAATGGGTATAAAATTCTAGTTATGAAAAATGAATAGGTTTTAGAGATCTGCTGTACAACATAATGTCTATAGTTAATAATGCCTTATTGTGCATTTCAAATTGTTGAGGGTAGATCTTATGTTAAGTGTTCTTAACACCCACACAGAAACACTCACACACTTACAAAGGGGCAAGAGGGAACTGTTGGAAGTAATAGGTACGATTTTTCCTTTGGCCAACATATTCCCAACCTCTCCTACCCCTAGGCCCTGGTAACTACCATTTCTACACTCTGCTTCTATGAATTCAACTATTTTAGATTCCACATAGAAGTGAGACCATATGGTGTTTGTCTTTCTGTGCCTGGCTTATTTCACTTAACACAATGTCCCCAGGTTGATATGTGTTGTTGCATATGGCAGAATATCCTTTTTATTTAAGGATGAATAGCATTCAATTGTATACATGCAACACATTAAAAAAATTATCTGCCAATGTCTATTCAAGAGGTTTCCATGTCTTGGCTATTGTGAATAGTGCTACAATGAACACAGAAGTGCAGATGTCTTTTTGAGATCCTGATTTCAATTATTTTTGATATAGATCCAGCAGTGGGACTCCTGGATTATGTGGTAGTTCTATTTTTAATTTTTTTCAGAAACCTCCATACTGTTTTCCTTAATGGCTATACAAACTTACATTCCACCAACAGTGTATAAGAGTTTCCTTTTCTCTGCATCCTTGCCAGCATCTATTATTTTTTGTCTTTTTGATAATAGCCATTCTAACTGGAATGAAATGATACCTCATTTGTGGTTTTGATTTGCATTTCCCTAATGATTAGTGATATTAAGCATTTTTTCCTATACCTGTTGGCCATTTGTATGTTTTCTTCTGATAAACATCTATTCAGGAACTTCCTATTTTTACATTGGGTTTCTTTTTTTCTCACTATTGAGTTGTTTGAGTTTCTTTTATATTTTGAATATTAACCTCTCATCAGACGTATGGTTTGTAAATATTTTCTCCCATTCCATAAGTTGTCTCTTCAGCTCTTCACCCTTGATTGCTTTTTAAATTTTGTTTTGTTTATTGCTATGCAGAAGCTTTTCAGTTTGATGTAATTCTGTTTATTTCATATGTTTTGCCTGTGCTTTTGGAGTCATATTCAAAAATCATTGCCCAGACCAATGTCGTGTAGAATTTTCCTGTAGGTTTTATTTTAGTCATTTTATACTTTCAGCTCTTAGATTTAGGCTTTAATATATTTTGAGTTGATTTTTGTATATGATGTGAGATAAAGGTCTAATTTCATCCTTCTGCAGGTGGATATTCAGTTGTTTCAACACCATTTGTTGAAGAATGTCCTTTTCCTATAGAGTAGTCTTGGCACCTTTGTCAAAAATCAATTGATCATAAATTTATGGATTTATTTCTGGACTATTTATTCTATTCCATTGGCCCACGTTATGTTTTTATGCCAATACTATGCTGTTTGGGTTACTATAGCTTTTTAGTATATTTTGAAGTTAAGTACTGTGATGTGTCTAGCTTTGATCTTTTTGCTCAAGATTGCTTTGAATATTCAGGATGTTTTGTGGTTCCATACAAGTTTTAGAATTGTTTTCTCTATTTCTGTGAAAAATGTCACTTGAATTTTGATAGAGATTGCATTGAATCTCTACATCACTTTGGCTAGTATGAAAATTTTCACAATATTCTTGTAATTCATGAACATGAGATATATTTACATTTATTTTTGTATTCTTCAATTTCTTTCATCTATGTTTTATAGTTTTTAGTGTACAGATTTTTCACCTTCTTGGTTGAATTTATTCCTAAGTATTTTTTTTGTAATTCTTAAATGTAGTTTTCTTGATTTCTTTTTCAAATAGTTTATTGTTAGTGTATACAAACTATTGATTTTTATATGTTGATTTTGTATCTTGCCACCTCACTGAATTTGTTTATTAGTCTTAATAGTTTTTTGGTGATGTTTTTAGGGTTTTCTATATGTAAGATGATGTTGTCTCCAAACGGGCGATTCGTTAACTTCTTCCTTTCCAATTTGGATGACATTTATATCTTTCTCTTGTTTAATTGTTGTGGCTACAATATCTAGTACCACATTAAATAGAAGACAAGTAGCAAGAGTGGACATTAGAATATTTATTTTTACCTTGATTGTAGTGATGGTTTTAAGTGTATATGCATATGTTCAAACCCATCAAATCTTATAAATTAAATACGTAGTTTTTGTGTATCAGTTATATTTAATAAAACTGCTGCAAAAAGAATTTGTTATTCATCAAGAACTTTACTACAAGAAGGAAGAAAAGTGGCTAAGGAACAACTACACCATCTTACTGAACACACTGACGTTATGGGATTCCTTTTATAAGGATAGTCTTAAAATTACAGAATTACTTTATACCTAAACTCAAACATAGGCTCTTCTGAGAATTGCCTTTAGTCAGCAGGACCTTAAGATACTCAGGTAGAGAGATGAGACCTTAAAGTTTTGATGGTGGAGGAGGGCAGGCCTTTGTGATCTGTAGTTAGCAAATATTATTGGGGCTAATGACATATAATTGAAGGGTGTCAGAGTATCTATTTGGACAACAATTAAAGTCCTGAGTATCCACCTGGACAACAATTAAAGACCTATCATTTTCTGAAGGCTTTTACTTTCTTCCTTTTAAATATCAACATGTAATATAAAGGGGCTGATTTCTTCATCACTATACATGGCTAAGTCTGTGAGAAGGGAAGGGAAATAATAACTTCATTTTAATATTATCTGGCTTAATAATGATTATATTTCCCTTTCTCCTTATGACTAATGCCCTTAATGTAATATTAAAGCATTATTTGAGTAGCAAAGCTAGCAGATGATCATAGTAATGAGACTGATAATGATGATGATTTTGATGATGATGACTATAAAGGTATTTTAATTTTGCTGTGGACTCTCAAATAATTGGTTTGGGTTTGAGGACTGTAAGGAGAATACCTAAAAGAAAAACTAGTTAAGCCATGTGAGTAGGTTTATCTGAGGACCCTGACAGACATTGTCATTATCAATGTGTAGCATTAAACCACTGATACAAAAGAGGGAATCATATATTCTGATGTCAAAGTGGTGACTGTTCCCATACCATGGTTATTCCTTAATCACATAGAAAGTTGTATTAGTTCATTTTCATACTGCTATAAAGAGCTTCCTGAGACTGGGTAGTTTACAAAAAAATGAGGTTTAATTGACTCACAGTTCCACATGGCAGAGGAGGCCTCAGAAAACTTAGAATCCTGGTGGAAGGGGAAGCAGGCACATCTTACATGGTGGCAGGTGAGAAAGAGAGCATGTGTGAGCGCAGGAGAAACTACCTTCTATGAACCCGTCAGATCTCATGAGAATTCACTCACTATCACAAGAGCATAATGGGAAAACACTGCCATAATCCAATCACTTCCTTCCCTTGACATGGGGGGATTACAATTGGAGGTGAGATTTGGATGAGGACACAGAGCAATACCATATCAAAGGTCATGTAAGCATAACTCTCTAGTTCCTCATTTTGTCTTCATGACTTTGTCCTTTTTCTTCTGCCCTTTTATTTCTCTAAATTTGTACAGTGATTTTCAAATACCTTTAATATATGTAATTCCATGTGATCTCAACCACTCAGCGCATTTGGTCAAGTTCACACAGTTGTAACTCAAATTGTGATTCAAATACAGAATTATTTCCACTTTACCATAGTGTACTTCTCAATTTTGGATTGAGTAAGCTACATATTTTACTTTTGTTTAAGTCTTGGTTAGGAAGTTACTTAAAATGCCTAATATCTAATTTGTTGTTCTTTATTTCTGTACAATGGTACTAGTCTAGACTTCTGTCTGTGCATACATGAACACTTATTAAATTGAGATATAGTGTTTTTGGTTGTAACTGAATCTCTTTGCTTTAATGTATATATTTCTGAGGTGCATCTGCTGTAAATTAAGTGATACATTCATAAGAATTAAGAAAAGTAAAAATCATTTCCCCTTAAGAAATTAAAATATTACCAGCTGAACTTTTTGACCTATCCATAAACCAACTTTACCCTCATGTATTCTACTTCTCAGTTTACAAACACTCTAGAGATTGTAGCCCTCCCAGATCAGTCCTAACTGGGGGTCCCAAGGGTCTTTTTGGACACCTCATGCTTTGGAAACATGATTCATGTTGCTAAATTTCAAATTGTTATTTCATCATGTGTCTCACAAAATATTACCTTATCCCGTGACTCACTATTGTCAGTTGGAGGTTACCTCAGATTTAAATTATTTTCATGCAGGCAAGGCTTTTGCTTTCATAATTTTTCTCAACTTAAGCAGCTTAGAAAGGTCCAGATGGAAATGAACATATTGAACACTTAAAAAGAAATGTTTGTATTGTTTATGCAGGAAGTAAGTCTCATTTCTTAATACACAGAGAAGGTTGTTTCCCTTTTTATTAGAAGTTCCAAGTGAAATAAAATCTTGGACATCTGCATTTCCCTGCAATAGTTAAGCTTATGCAGCAGATACTTTGGTTTTAATTATTTATGGATGAGCCATGTGAAATGCCTGCCAAAGGTAGCAAAGGGAAAATAATGGCTGGTATTACACAACTGACCTTGAATCCAGCCCTGATTGAAATTAATTACCCAAAGTTTGAAAATCTCAGCTTCTTATATTGTTGGTAATGTCCTTCTCTGGTGATAATGAATAGCACCACTGTCTTACCATGAGCTTTACTTATCACAAGTATTTCTTTCACAGTATTTGATATATCTGATCTTTGCAGAGAAAACAGTATTAATTGACTTGTTTTTTTTTTTCTAATTCCTGCATACTGTGTTACTCTAATATTCATCCCTTGGCATTCCATTAAATCCAGATGTTATTTTATAGAATGATTGTTTATAAAAACTGCCTCAATTTCGGACTGACCTCTAGAATATTTTGCCACACAGAAGGTACTAACAAATTATTTCACATCTTTTCTTTGTATTTCCATGTTGTCAGTCTAGGGTGCATTAGATGTGAACAACTGGATGGGGAAAATTATTGTTTCTGTTAATTCTAATTAGCTGTCAGTCTTCCAAGGAAAGGGTGTTTTGGTCTGAATGGGAGTGGTGTTAACTCATGAGTGTATAATCCCATCTTTAGAAAACATTTGCTCTGAAGGCACAGTAGCTTTTCCTATTATTTTAAAAGGCTGATTTAGTTTTTATGTACTTGAATTTCAACAAAGATGTTGCCTCCAGCATTCCAGGTGCGGTTCCCCCTCAGTCTCTGGATGGGTGCATACTTTGGATGGTCATATCGTTGGTAGCTGGGGGCAAAGGTTCTGAGAGAGGAAACCTCACTGACAGAAAAATGAAAAGCACCACATTGGATTGCTGAGAAAATTCATTTACAATAAACAGTAATTAAACACGGATTATTAGGGTGGCACATTTACGATGTGCACGTAGAAGTTGTGTCAACACCTTATAAAGTCCAGAAAGTAATTCAGCTGAAACATTTGCTCTGGGCTGAAGAAAAAGGTTCTATTCTAAGGAAGAAGTAGGTTTGTTGTTTGTTGTACTGAAAAACTCTTTGTAATAGTCCTTTTGGTTTTAACCATTTAACACACCTTTCCCAGGGTTTAATGTCATATAGTGCTATGAAGTCTAAGAGATTATTCCTCATTATTGAGCCTTTCTCATAACTGATTTTATTCTCCTTCTAAAGCCATCATTTGAAATACACATGGTAACTTAAGTTTTGTTTTCTGAATACAAGTCTCAGCAATATGACAGCTCTTAAAAACCAACGTTGGGAAGGTTGGCTCTCCCTTGGTCATTGTCACCGACCTCTGCTGGTTGCTTCATCCTTACAATCTACTGGCCTCATCTGTCACTTGGGATGGGTCACCTCAGCCTCAGGCAAAAGTAATTAGGTTTCCCCTGATGCTCAGTGTCTACTCAACCATGCCCTTTATGTTCCTTAATAACCTTGTTGAAACTAAACTCTTTCATATTTTACCTTCTCAGAGTTGACTTGATGAATGAGTGCCCTCTAATGTATTAATGGATAGGAAGTAGGAAGACAGCCTCCTTTTCAATATATCAATATTTATTTGGCCTTCTGAAAGAACTTCTGCTTACAAAATAGATCTCTAATAGCAAGTTTCAACAAGGAAAGGAAAGAAAACCAGCACAATGATTGTTGGGTAGGGAGTGGTGGGAGGGTAGTGTCAGACAGGGAGTAGTTGGAGGGTAGTGTCAGATTAGCCTTGTTTGCCTCTTTCAGATTATGTTCTCTTTTTGGACGTTTTATATAAGTTACACATTACACTTTGTGTGAATGGTATAAGATTTCACTTAAAATGACTTCAAAAAAAAGTAAGTGGAAGTTAGAACGTCATAAGAGAGAGGACTATATCTGCCTATAAAAGTATCAACACCAATTTCTAGAATGTAATTTAGAACCTATAAAAATATTTTCCTCCTTTATTGTTCTAATATCACCCAGTTAAAGGAACTAATAACTATGTATAGCCAAAGATCTGTCTAATTCAGATTTACTATGTAAATAAGTACGATTGATATTTTATTTAACTTAATAAAATTGATTGGGAATATAAAGGTGATTAAGACAGCAAATTTGTCTTCAAAAAGGTATTTAGATAGTAAAACCTACTACTACTAGATTTATTATTCAAAAACCCATATTACGTCCTATTAAGTAAATCAGATTTAAGTAGCCGTAGGTATAAATAACAAGAACATTCATCTTAAAGAAATATCCTATGCACAAGTAATCCATGATGATTGTTGGAACTCTCAGTTCTCTGTGGTCTTGCCTTGATTTGAAAAATGAGCCACATTTGTTTTAAGTTTAAATTGGAGTGAATTATCATGTATATGGGCCATTTTTTAAGAGAGAGAATTCCAGAAGATAGAAAAAGCTGACACTTGAAGAGAGAGAGAGATATGATAAGTCTCTCCCTACTTCTGTCTCCCAAACAGGACATTAATGTTTAAAAGTTCTGTGGAATAGCTTGTTAGTACAGGGCGGGGCAGTGATATGCCTGAACTGTGGGTGAGGGGTTGGGGGATAGAGAAATCTCAACTGGCAAATTTAGAGAGGATGAGGATGAAGATTTATATTTTCTCTGATTTTTATGGAAAGAGAAAACAAGTTTTTGCTGTATAGAACATTGATGAGGAAATGAATAGACTCTCAGTAACAGAGGCTCCCCCAGGAAAAAGATGTAGGGTAAATGACAAATGCAGACACCTGAGGAAAGCGGTGCACAAATAGCTCAAGTCCGATGACATTTGATAGTGGAGAGGTTGGCCCAGGCAGCTTCAGAGGCCCCATGGGCTTAAATTGGAGGATTCTCTGCTTTTTGTCTTTTTTCAAATAATTTAAAATAATATTTATGGGCCATTCAACAATGTTATGAGGCTCTGCAAATTCATGTTGAAGATCAAAATTTTCTAATTCATTTTCTAATATTTAAATTTTTCTTCCAGAAATCTTTCTAATTGAATAGCTCTGTGATGCCCAGAAAAATAAATTTGCTATGATTCTTAGCTGGAGTCTAGACAAAGATAAACAGGGTTCTGACATCATTTCTTGTCAGCTTTCATGTAAATAAAATTAGCATTTCTCCTGATGGGGGCATCTTCAAACCAAGGGTTACATGTGTGGATTGCTTGTTCATGAGAATGTAAATCATAGGGTAGCATGGTGGAAATTGCCTGAATATGGTAGTCAGACAGATCTCAGTTGAAATTCAAGTTCAATAAGTTACTAATTGTGTAACTTTCATAAATTGCCACAAGAGATATGTTTGTGATATTTCCATTCCATTTTTCTTTGGCAAACTAAGAATAACTGCATGATTTCCTTCTCTATGACACTAGATTGGCTTCTTCTTCAATTTACTTGAGCCAATGTTTAAGTAAACTTTTTGCCTGGAAAAATTGCAGCCAGCAAACTAATTCAGTTACTGTTCAGAATAAATATACAGGTAAATTCTACTATATCAATTTCACAATTTATCAGAACACCCAAAGGGATTAACCAGGATTGCTCCTGAATATATTCCATTGCTTCCAAAACTCATAGTCATTGAGTTTATTTCTTCAGGAAACAAAGCCAGTGGGTGAAGAGAACAAAGAATAAAATTTTATTTACATACAAATAATTTTTGCCTTTACTAACAATCTTATATCGCTAAGAATACACCTTGGTATAACTTGTATTCCTTATTACATCATTCATTATGCTTGGAGAAATTTTACTGCGTACTGCTGGGTTATTCTTTGTTCTTTTCTACATTCATTTGGTTTCTGTGCTTAAAAGTTTTCTGAATAATACATCAAGGAAGAAGTATATATTAAATAAAGGGAAAACAGCAAAATAATATAAAATACATATTTTTAGTGACATTATTTTATGCATCATAAATAATATATATTTGGTATTAGTGTTAAAGTGCAAAAGAAGGAAGAGTATTAGAAACTTATGACTGAAAATATAAATTTCCTAGTATGAAACTATTGTCTATAGGCTAAGATTTCTCAAATGACAAACACAATAAGGAGCTAAAACTATACAAAAATTGCAAAATTCGGTAGTTTTAGAGCATAGGTTAAACAGAGAATAAATAATATTCATGTGGCTTCCATTCATAATGAAGAGCTCATCTATGTGTGTTTATGAGCGTGAGAACGAAAATCCAGTTAACCATACGGTTCCTTATTCAAATTGAACCACATTGCTCTTTTGAATGGTTATTTTAATGCATCAGCTTTCATGAATTCTGTTCAGAGTAGGACATCAAATACATAGCTAACTCTTCCCCTTGTAAGTTCATCAGAAGATCCATCAATAGCAAACACAATGAAAGGGTTACTAGTATTTTGACTAGAGGACAATATAAATCTTTTAATGGCAAACTCTTTAGGATTTAAATTGATATGAAAAGTTTTCTATGTATCAAGCAACAGAGACCTGTGCAGGTTAAAATATCACAGCCTTCCAGTCATGTCAATCTATATGTCAAAATGTCTTCTTGGTGGATTATAGATTATATCCCACATCTGGAGCTGTTGTGGTAATAAGAATACTGTTACAGCATGATTTGAAGTCTGAAAAACATGTATAAGTGTTATTAGGAGGGGCACTGATTTCTCACTTGTCTTTGATCTAAAATATATTGTACTCAAAAGTGATAATATCCATCCCCATATTGGTTTTGTCATGCATCCATCCATTCATCCATCCATCCATCTAGACATATATTCATCTTTCCATTCATCTATCTGTATGACAATTGTCTATTGAGAGGCTACTGTATGATGGGAAATAAACCAGGTACTGGAAATACAAAAATGAATGAAATAAAATCCTTAAATTTAAGTTGCTTAGGACCTCATGAAAAAAAGACAAGCATGCTGGTACCTAAAGCATAGCAGTTAATACTAGATGCTGAGTATTAAAATATAATAATAAGAGGTATAAATCATACCTCTGTACCTTATTAGCTATATGACTCTGAAAATGTTACATAACTTTACTGTACCTCAATTTATTAATTTGTAGTGCCATCAATAAATGTACTATCTTTGGGGAAGATTATGGAAAAAGCACATAAATTTACCTAGTTGATTGGGGTGGAAGATGGAAGAAATGAGAAAAAAAATCAGAATATAGTTGATATCTTAAATGGTTTTCAAAGTCAACTTGTGACTGTAGGGAATGAAGGACTATAGGGACATGGAGATCTAATATGAAAAACATAGACATGAAAAGGCAGGGGTAATTTAGATAAAGGCTTTTTGAAATGGCCGAACTACAGGGTACATTTTAGCAGTGGGAGATGAGGGTAGCTGGATCACGGAGGAACTTGTCAACAACATACTGAGGCATTTGGACTTGAGCTAGCATGCCATCATTTCTCAGACGTGGGTAACATATGGATGCCTTTTAAGGAAAATAACGCTTATGACTTCCATTGTTCACTTCAATTATTTATATCATATTCTTTCTTACATATGTATAAAACATATATAAAACAAAGTACAAACTCTTTACATAGAAAGCTCTTACATAACCAAAACAAACTTATAAATTAAAAACAAATAGAATCATACAACAATGAGAATTCAAAGTTGAAAGAACGCTATTTTTCTTTTTGATTAAGTTGCTGCTCTGAAATGAACATGCTTTGGTGCAGTTTTTTTGGCTTTCATTTGCCCATGCTAATAGTAACGGGCACTGTGTTATGGCTTAATTCAGTCTTCACGTCCCTCTATTTTAACTATAGTGGAATCTTTACTTGTTTATATACCAGGCTGGGATGACATATGGGTCAAAGTCATTAACTTTCCCTATGTTATTTATGTTTTTATCTTAGCCACAACAATAAACTGGCGTCACTGGTTGCTAATGAGACTTTCAGGTACTGAAATCCTGTGGTGGTGCTATGCCATCTTTATCATACAGAATAGGCTTATATTTATGTTTTGGATTAGCATTAAGCAATGCATACTTTGCCAATGCTTAAAGAAGTCCAGAAGCCCTGAGGCCATGGCCATAAAAATATCTTTGAAAAATACTTCCAGAAACAATAAAGGGTGCACTGAAGGGCTGAAAGTAAGGAAGAAATATGTATGGATTTTCTTTTGGAAAATTCACTGGGAACAGATAGAAAACAACACAGTCTAGGCAAAGGATGATTAAAAAAATTTGTAGCAGCCATGGGAACAGAGAGGAAAAAACAGATTGGAGAATGAGATAGGTAGATAATCAACGGACTTGGTCTCAAATTGGATGTGGGATGTAAGGGAAATTGAAAATTTAAAGATGATTCTCCTATTTCTCTCACGGTTGCCTGGGTAGTAGGGCATGCCACTGGCAAATGGAGAGAATGTTAGAGATGGAGTAGGCTGTGGGAGGAAAAGAATGAGATTGGCTTTGGATACATTCCATCTGAAATGCAATAGCTGTGATAGAATAGACAATCTGAAATATGAGCCTGGAGCTTAAGGAAAGAAATTATGCCTTGGATTGAGAATTGGTCATCATTGCATACCTGTGGTTGTCGTGGCTTTGGACTTGTGTGAGATTCCTACAGTAAGAGCATCAGGAGTTAGAAGAAAGCCAAAGATGGCCTCCCAAGGGATAGTGACACTTTTAGGTGGGCAGATGGAAGAACAGCTCCAAGAGAGACTGATGAGGGCCAGAGAGATGAATAGTCTCAGGAGAGCAGGCTGTCATTGGAGGTACTGCTGTGTCTTGCCTGAATCACTGTAGCATCCTCATAAATTATTATCGTGCTTTAGATATTTCTGTTCTCAAATCCATTTCCATCTTTGATGCCATAGTAAATATTTTAAGTCAGAACTATTTCTTCTTGGTAATCTAGTATGTTTAAATGTTATTTATGCTTTTCCACTATTGTTTAACTTGTGGTCCTCTACAAATATCACATCTTCTGCTATGTATATGGTGGCAAACATAGATTAAATCAGGATAATATTTGCAAAGGTAGATCCTTACAAAAGAAGCATGGTTCTTTCCATCTTACATGCTTTCCATTTTTGAGTGCCCCAGGGCTCATCTATCTATTACCCATCTATCTATTATCTATCATCATCTATCTATCTTTCCATCTGTCTGTCTAGCTATCCATCATCTGTCATCATCTTGAGCTCTAAAATTTATATCCAGCTACCTACTTGCATTCTGCACTTGGCTCATCAGTAAACATCTCAACTTTGAATGTCCTCATTCTCTGAACTGTTTTTTCCCAAGTGGTGCCATCTGAGTAAGCCAAAATTGAACAATAATCTTTTATTTTCTTCTACTCTTATCTCAAACATTAAAACGTCAGCTAATTCTTAATAGTACATCCTTAATTCAAATATGTATCTCCTCCAAGTCCCCATTAACTGTCACTTAGATGCTGTAACCTTGGTCAGAGTTCTTCAGAGAAACAGAACCAACAGAACTATATATATTACTCTCTCTCTCTCTTTCTGCCTCTCTCTCTCTGTGTCTGTGTGATCATATATAATCAGGAATTGGTTGAGTCTAAATCAAAAGGCAGGAGAAGATCAGTGTCCTGTCTTGAACACAGTCAGGCAGAGAGAGCGAATTCACCATTCCTCCGCTTTTTGTTCTATTCTGGCCTTCAATAGATTGGATGAGGCCCATCCACACTGGGGAGGGACATCTGCTTTACTCAGCCTGCTGATTCAGATGTTAATCTCATCAAGAAACATCCTCATAGACACATGCAGCAATAACGTTGAAACAAATATCTGGGCATCTGGTAACCAAGTCAAGTTGACACATAAAATTAACCATCACAGATGCTCCCCTACTCCTTTGTGCTCACTGCCTTACAGTCTAGTTTTCACACAGCCATATAAATTATATTTTAAAAAATTAACTCTGTTTAAATCATTTCCTGACCTGAAACCCTCTAACAACTTCCCAATGGCCCTATAATAAAACCCAAACTCCTTACCATGGTGTCTAAAACCCTATATGAGATCTACCATCCTTGAAAATCCTGCTGCTCATTGTGGTCCAGCCAGATGGACCTCCCTTCTGTCCTTTCTGATCTTCTGTGTACTCCCCAAGTAGGCAAAGCACTTTGCTATCCTAGGGCCTCTAATCTTCTGTCTCATTTCTCAGAGTTTTTCAGAACTGCTTTCTTCTTATCATTCTAGTCTCAGCTCAAATATCACCTCTTGGGATACAGCTTCCCCATAGCCATATCTAAAGCATCATTCTGGCCTTCATCTGCTCACTCAGTTGTGCTACCTTGGGAGGTTACAGAAAGAAACATTCCCACCAGCTGGGAAGTCTGGAGAGCAATAAAAAGTTGTGGATACCTGAACATGTCAAATCTGACCCTAAAGTTTAACTCTGCCTCTTACCAATGTGCCTAGTTATGAAACATTTTTGGATCTCAGTCTTCTCACCTAAGGCAGGGAAATGATTATCTCACAGCTGTAGTGAGAATCAAGTAAAAGCAACATGAAAAACATACCACATGACTGAGATCCTAGCACATGATAATTGCTTACCAAATATAATTCCCTTTCCATCACCCCCATTCCTACTCCTTTTCTGTTTTTTTTTTGTGCGGAATTGTTTAGAATATAATATGTTAGATATAAAAGACATTGTGGCTTCTATCTTGAATTTGTCTCACTCTCCAGTTTTTATAATCTAAAAATTAACTAAATATACTGGAAAGTCAGCCATCCAAGTCACCAAGGAAGGTTTTTAAAAAGACTCACTCACTGAACCCATCCCAGGGTATTGTACCAAGCCTCTGTCAACACTTGGCAGAGACTGCAGCATTCATGAATTCTGGAGCTATTTGAGAAAATATCAGAGGAACTTCTGCAAGGAGTTACTTTTCAGATTCCATAGAAGTCTGCTGCATTAACCCTTTGTTTTCAATCCTGTCATGACCTTGCAATTCTATAAACACAACCCTAAGCCACATACAGACTCTGCGTTTAGACTGACTTGACCTAACTGACCACCATTTGTGTATGTTGAATGAGACGTCATCAGATCAGAGCCTGTAGGCCAAGTTTAGCTGTCAACCTGCTTGTGTCTAAAAAGGGTTTTTTTTTCAAGCAGCCACGCTTATTTATTTACATATTGTTCAAAGCTTCTTTCACACTAAAAGGGCAGAATGGAGTTGTTGCAACAGAGACCAGATGGTCAGAATATCCTAGAATATTTACTCTTTGGTCCTTCACAGTAAAAGTTCCCAGATGCCTGTGTTATGCTGTCTATCCCTTTTTATTGCCATCTTTTTAGTGACAAAGCACGTGTTGAGGACTTATTGAATGCCATTCCCTGGGCTGTACACTGAGAGTAGAGCAGGGAACTAAAGCAGCTGCTGTTCTCGCGGAGTCCACAGTCCACATCAATAACTCACAACCAACTGTTGGAGATCAACTATTGTTGCCCACTTTCTCTCATTGGTCTCTGCTCAGAGGATACTGTTAAGGAAAGTAACAATAAAAAAGAAGATGCTTCGTATACAAGACTTTTCCCCCACACCTAAAGTTTGTCCTGGTTCAAATCCCCCAATAACAGACGAACAGCCAAATCATGAGTGAACTCCCATTCACAATTGCTTCAAAGAGAGTAAAATATCTAGGAATCCAACTTAAAGGGATGTGAAGGACCTCTTCAAGGAGAACTACAAACCACTGCTCAGTGAAATAAAAGAGGATACAAAGAAATGGAAGAACATTCCATGCTCATTGGTAGGAAGAATCAATATCGTGAAAATAGCCATACTGCCCAAGGTAATTTATAGATTCAATGCCATCCCCATCAAGCTACCAATGACTTTCTTCACAGAATTGGAAAAAACTACTTTAAAGTTCATATGGAACCAAAAAAGAGCACGTATTGCCAAGTCAATCCTAAGCCAAAAGAACAAAGCCGGAGGCATCACGCTACCTGACTTCAAACTATACTACAAGGCTACAGTAACCAAAACAGCATGGTACTGGTACCAAAACAGAGATATAGACCAATGGAACAGAACAGAGCCCTCAGAAATAATGCCACATCTGATCTTTGATAAACCTGACAAAAACAAGAAATGGGGAAAGGATTCCCTATTTAATAAATGGTGCTGGGAAAACAGGCTAGCCATATGTAGAAAGCTGAAACTGGATCCCTTCCTTATACCTTATACAAAAATTAGTTCAAGATGGATTAAAGACTTAAATGTTATACCTAAAACCATAAAAACCCTAGAAGAAAACCTAGGTAATACCATTCAGGACATAGGCATGGGCAAGGACTTCATGTCTAAAACACCAAAAGCAATGGCAACAAAAGCCAAAATTGACAAATGGGATCTAATGAAACTAAAAAGCTTCTGCACAGCAGAAGAAACTACCATCAGAATGAACAGGCAACCTACAGAATGGGAGAAAATTTTTGCAATCTACCCATCTGACAAAGGGCTAATATCCAGAATCTACAATGAACTTCAACAAATTTACAGGAAAAAAACAAACAACCCCATCAAAAAGTGGGTGAAGGATATGAACAGACACTTCTCAAGACATTTATGCAGTCAAAAGACACATGAAAAAATGCTCATCATCACTGGCCATCAGAGAAATGCCAATCAAAACCACAAGGAGATACCATCTCACACCAGTTAGAATGGCAATCATTAAAAAGTCAGGAAACAACAGGTGCTGGAGAGGATGTGGAGAAATAAGAACACTTTTACACTGTTGGTGGGACTGTAAACTAATTCAACCATTGTGGAAGTCAGTGTGGCAATTCCTCAGGGATCTAGAACTAGAAATACCATTTGACCCAGCCATCCCATAAAGGGGTATATACCCAAAGGATTACAAAACATGCTGCTATAAAGACACATGCACACTTATGTTTATTGCGGCACTCTTCACAATAGCAAAGACTTGGAACTAACCCAAATGTCGAACAATGATAGACTGGATCAAGAAAATGTACATATACGGCATGGAATACTATGCAGCATAAAAAATGATGAGTTCATGTCCTTTGTAGGGATATGGATGAAGCTGGAAACCATCATTCTCAGCAAAATATCACAAAGACAAAAAACCAAAGACCGCATGTTCTCACTTACAGGTGGGAATTGAAAAATGAGAACACATGGACACAAGAAGGGGAACATCACACACTAGGGCCTGTTGTGGGGTGGGTGGAGGGGGGAGGGATAGCATTAGGAGATATACCTGATGTTAAATGATGAGTTACTGGGTGCAGCACACCAACATGGCACGTGTACACATATGTAACAAACCTGCACGTTGTGCACGTGTACCCTAAAACATAAAGTATAATAAAAAAAAAAATATTTAGTTTTTTAAATTTAACTTCATTTATTACTCAATTTATTTGTGAATAAAATTTTTAATGCAGATAGAAAAAAGATAATATAACAAAGTTATGTTTAAAATAAGGTGCATTTTATATGTTTGCACATTTGTGAATCAAAACGTGAAAAGTCTTTTCAGAAATTAAAAATATGAGGATATTATCTAATTCTGTCTTCTTTGTAAAATCGGATTTTTGTATTATCTTTTCTCTTTTGAACAAAATTTAGATTTTTTCATTTTCCCTTGAAATATTTTAGTATTTTACTTTTACAATTCAAGTTTCTAATGTATAGAACACTAAATTAACTTTATCCCTCCCTGTTCTAATGTTCTATGGTCCAGGAAAAAAAAATCCTCAATTTTTCACAGATCTTTAAAAGGAGGCAGGGTGATGTCAGAGTGAGAACCACATTTCCCACCTCCTTTGAGTCTTTGTGTCTACCATCTTTGTTTCTCTGAATGTTTTTGAACTTGGCTGTTCCCCTTTCTCAATTTCGCTCTTGAGCTCTGTACTGTTGAAACAGCCTTACTGAGTGACTTATGACTCAGTTTTTCTGACTTTGCTTGGTCAAGGGCTCTCACTGGCTGCATGGCAACTTCTCAGGCCTCATCTCATCACAGAGCGCCCAGGAGCCTGGGTTTGGTGCACAGACCCTGTGAGGTGCAAAGCTCAAGGAACACTTTTACCCTTCTCCTGTGTTCATCTCCTCCACACCTTTCCACAGCTCCTTAAGTCCCTCCCACCTCGCTGCAGTGATCATCTTAGAATCTGAAGATAGACAGCTTTTATCTGTGGCCCCCTTTCCATTCATATATCCGTTTTCTATTTCTTACCTGACTTTTGGACTGGGGATCAATTATTGTGCTAATCCTAAAAATAATTATGGCAAGAGAGGCGATCATCTACGGAGCATGTATTACGTCCCAGCCACTGTGACAAATCATTCATATTCAGAAAGCTCTTTTAACCTCACATCTCCCATCAAGATGAAAATTATTAGGCCAATTTAGAGTTACAGAAACCTACGCTTAGTAAAGCATTATTTGAAATCTGACTGTGAAGCTGATTCAGAGACTACATCTATCTCAGTTCCAGGCTCATTTAGTTTGTACTGGGCCTTACGACTTCATATCCCCATTTTATCCCTTTCCTTCAACACATTCCTGAACATTCTGAATTTCAAACCTGCCCCTCCAGTACCTGATGTACATATCTATTTCCCTTATCTAAGGAAACCTCAGTATCTCTCTCTTCATGGTCTCCTTTGCTTTTCTTTAAAAATACTCCACTGAAGACTGCATTACTTCATGTGTATTCGTGATCCTTTTCCACTACTATCTTGACGGAATAATTATTATAAACCTTTTAGGTGACTAAGCTGTTTTGGGCATGGATGCAAATAAACATGAAAATATATTTGTCAATTCCTGGATGGATAGACAAGGCTTTTTCTTATGAAATATAAACTAAATACATAGAGAAAGATTTGCTCTAAGTTATGTGGGAATTTACTAATCCAGTATAAAGGAGGTTTCTTGGTTTTCAACCTTAAATTCTCTGCTTTATTTAATTTTGGTTTTTCTTTTACCTTCTGACTCTTTACATTTCTGACACCTTTTCCTCCCTTTGAATCTTTTATCTTGGCTGTTTTCTCTTCTCTTTGTTCCGTTTCTATCTCCCAAAGCTTTGTTCTGAGTTATTTTCTTCTTCTTTTTCATTATTTTTCTTTGCTATATTACAACTCTTAAGTGGTTTTCATTCATTATCCCCAATCCTCAAATACAATACTCCTTTTATAGATGAGGAGAAACTTTTACAAATTAATTAAGAAACTCAAGGAAGTTCTTACAGCTGGTGTTAAAATGGGTGGGGATGAGATTCAATCTACCCTGTGATAGTTCTCCATCACCATGTTGGTTTAAAACAGTTTATTTTTTATGTAATAATTATTTTGTCCGGCTTAATGACACAATGAGAGTATTTCAAGCAAATTATGTTGGAAGTAATTTGGTTTGGTTTGGTTTGATGATTGCATTTAGAGAGATGAAAGATGAAAGTGGGGTCTGGAAGCCAATGAAGTCATTGTGAAACTGCTGGAGTGTTATTCTAAGCAAACAACTTTCTTAATTTCTACAGTATCTAGGGATCTATTGCTATGATCTCCAGCAGAGCCTTCTAACTGTTGTTAACAATTAATTTTCCAATTTTGTTTTAAAGAGAATGGATATTTCCCTTTAAGCCTCTCTTGATGCAGGCCCAATCATAAAAAAAAAATAGTCTAAAGAAAAAGGAAGGATCAGGCAGATGTGCAACCCTTTTCCTTTCTACATCAGGAAAAGATCATGGTCAGTTAGAAAATTTCTTTGTTTTTTTCATTCTATTCTCTGGGTCACCTGGCAGTTAGCAACCTTGTGGGTCGGTGGGGGAGGAAAGAGCATGAGGAAAAATGCTTTGTCCCTTCTTTCTATAAATTTAAGCCCATTTCCTCTTGTCCTTTCTCAGGGGTAAGCTTATATTTCCATTTTAAATATGAGCTCCCAAAGGGCATTAACCATGTCCTTTTTACTTAACTGCATTTTATTTTTTTAAGTGTGATGCTGTGTTCACATAACTGATCTACAGTCATAGGAAGAAAATGATGAAAACTGCATTCCAGTGACTATAAGCTAATATTTTATAGGCCACTGTAATGAAAGTTTTGGTCATGATTGTAAATCATACCTAGAATATACATTACTTATTATCTGTATTAAAAATATTGTGAATATATCATAAAATACTAGGTATTTTGGTTTGAACTCTCCCAATTAGGGTTTTGTGATAGTTAGCCAAAGCAGAATAGTATTTACCTCTGCACTCTGCGTGGAATGAGGACATTTATAGCCAAGAAATTGATAGCATAAACAAAGGCACAGGGGCATGTTTCACTTCTCTGTGCAGTTTTGTAGAAGTGGACTACAATGTTTTTATAGATTTTATAGAATGATTTTACAGAAGTGGATTATAATGCTCTAATGGGTTATAATTTTGTAAACTCATGATAAACCACATGTATATTTTAAAACATGGAACATTTCAGCTCGAATGTGAATTCTAAAGTCATGATATTTATAATACATGAAAGTAATTAAAACATATTTTCTTATTATTTACCTGTTACAAAAACACTTAGGCAAAACCACCTTGCTGTGATTCCATGCAAATTAGTAAATAGTTACACATATTACTAATTCTTTTTAAATTTTTTTCTCTTCCTTCTTTTCTTTATTCCTTTATGGTTCTTTCCCCCCCTCTTTTCTTACACAAGGAATTACAAACAAAATATATTTTAATATATTAGGTGGTTTCCTTTGGCAAAGCTGTGAATCTAGATAATGGGGCACATTGGGCTTATGTTTTTATGTACAAATCTTCTCTGTTTGAGGAATAGCATTTTAACTTATTTCTTTCTCTATGAACTTTCAAATGGAAGGCAATTCATTTTGGTTTCCTGTCATAGTTCAGTGGAAGACAGCTTTTGCTCTGGTTTAAGGATCTCTATTTTCCAAACCCTGGGAGGTTAAAAAGTTACCTTCACTGATTAACAGAGAAATGAGTAAATGTGTGCCTGGAGAGCTAGGAGCTTGGAGAGATGGGGTGTTGAGGTTATGTACATTTTAAATGAATTCTGATTTTATTAAATTCATTTGCATAATTTGAAGAATGCATGCGGGTTGCATAAAATACTTCTTTAGGGTTGCTCATCTTCATAATTTCTGCAATTTTGTGTCTATGAATGCTTAATAGATTTTCCCTGTTTTTCTCTCTTGCCCCACTCCTTTTTAATTGATAGTTCTAATTCATTTGTACTAAGTTTAGCCTCAGGAGATAAAAATAGCAGGAAATGCCCAGACGCCCTCTCCTTGGAAGATTCTCAGGAGAGAGCAGTCTGCTTTTCAGGAAAATGCCTGTTTTTCTCTTTGCTTGCCATCAGTAAGGACTTACTTTGCACTTTTGCTAGAAGGTCAGCCCAGCTGGCGAGCTTATTTCATTGAATAATGAGGACTGGGCAACCTAGAGCACTCCCATGGCAGAGCATTTTTATGAGGTTGGAGTCAATTGGAAACACAGTGTATAACCCTTATTTTCCCTCTTTCTGACCAAATCTTGCATTTTCCTAATTGTATTATATTTTTGTGTACCAAGAAATTTGAGATGCTACACAGGGGATAATCCTACACAATAGAGAACTCTAAAAGAAATTAGGCCAAATTTAGGCAACAGAGTCAACAAGGCACTGCAAAATAACTGGTGTTGATTGATGCTCATCAGGGAAGCTTGGGCTGAGACTTGCTCTTTATGTCAAAGCACAAGGTGGTTTTCAGTTTTCCCACATCCACACTTCCCTGAGAAACCCCTCAAGTGGTCAAATAATTTTGATTGTTAATTCTCCTTGCAACATACATTATACACCACCTGAATGTCATTGGAGTAATGCTAGGCTCTGTATACTGATCAAACTGAGGTTCATAGTTATTTTTAATATTTCAGCAATGACAGCCTATATAATAATCTAGCTATCTGTAGACACAGCACAAGCCTTGAAGTTGAGAAAGTGTAGCCTGACTTAATGCTCCATCGTTTACTGTCAATGGGTGAAGGAGAGTCATTGAGTGTCCTAGTTTCATTATTCATACAGTGGAGTTGTTAATAATAGTGACAATAATAAGCTGGGTGCAGTGGCTCACACATGTAATTCCAGCACTTTGGGAGGCTGAGGCAGGCAGGTGGATCACCTGAAGTTCACGTGATCACCTGAGGTGTAAGCTTTAACACTATGCCCATGACAGCTGCATGTTCTGTTGTTCCTTCCTATCATTGTGCAAGCTCTACCCCTCTATGGCTAATTTCTGGCTTATTTGAATATAGCAATGACTACACGAGTTGTTGAAAACAGTCTTGCATTAGTCCCTTCTCACACTGCTGCTAAAGACAAACCCAAGACTGGGTAATTTATAAAGAAAAGAGGTTTAATTGATTCACAGTTCAGCATGGCTGGGGGCTTCAGGAAACTTAGAATCATGGTGGAAGGGTAAGCAAAAGTGTTGTTCTTTACATGGCAGCAGCAAAGTGCCAAGCAAAATGGGGAAAAGCTCATTTTAAAACCATCAAATCTCATGAAAACTCACTATCATCAGAACAGTATCGGGGAAACTACCCCCATGATTTGATTATCTCCACCTGGTCCACCCTTAACATGTGGGAATTATAATTCAAGGTGAGATTTGGGTGGAGACACAGAGCCAAACCATATCATTCCTCACCTGGCCCCTCCTGAATCTCATGTCCTCACTTTTAAAAACACAATCATGCCCTTCCAACAGTCCCCCAAAGTCTTAACTCATTTCAGCATTAACCCAGAAGTCCACAGTCCAAAGTCTCATCTGAACCAAGGCAAGTCCTTTTAGCCTATGAGCCTGTAAAATTAAAAGCAAGTTGGTTACTTCATAGAGACAATGGTGATGCAAGCATTGGGAAAATACACCCTTTTCAAATGGGAGAAATTGGTCAAAACAAAGGGGTTACAAGCCCCAAGCAAGTCCAAAATCTAACGAGGCAGTACTTAAATTTTAAAACTCTGAAATAATCTCCTTTGACTCAATGTCTCACATCCAGGTCATGCTGATGCAAGAGGTGGGCTCCTATAGCCTGCCCCTGTGGCTTTGTAGAGTACAGCCCCCTCCCAGCTCCTTTCACAGGCTGGCATTGAGTCACTGTGGCTTTTCCAGGTGCATGATGGAAGCTGTCAGTGGATCTAACATTCTGGGGTCTAGAGGACAGTGGCTTTTATCTCACAGCTCCACTAGGCAGTGCCCCAGAAAGCACTCTGTGTGAGGGCTCCAACCTCACATTTCCCTTCTGCATGCTCCTAACAGAGGTTCTCCATGAGGGCTCTGCCCCTGCAGCAGACTTCTGCCTGGACATCCAAGTGTTTCCATATATCCTCTGAACACTAGACAGATGTTACCAAACCTCAGTTCTTGACTTTTTGCTTCCGCAGGCTCAACACCACGTGGAAGCTGCTAAGGCTTGGGGCTTATACACTTTGAAGCAACAGCCTGAGCTCTACATTAACCCCTTTTAGCCATGGCTGGGACACAGGTCACCAAGTCCTAATACTGCATAAAGCAGCAAGGCCCTGGGCCCAGCCCACAGAACCATTTTTCCTCCTAGGCCTCAGGGCTTGTGATGGGAGGGGCTGCTGTGAGGACCTCTGACTTGCCCTGGAGACATTTCCCTATTATCTTGGTGATTAACATTTGGCTCCTCTTTACTTATGCAAATTTCTGCAGCTGGCTTGAATTTCTCATAAGAAAATGGGTTTTTCTTTTCTATCACATCGTCAGACTGAAAAATCTTCTGAACTTTCATGCCCTGCTTCCCTTTTAAACATAAGTTCCAATTCCAAACCATATCTTTGTGAATACTTAAAACTGAGTGCTTTTAACAGCACTCAAGTCACCTCTTGAATGCTTCGCTGCTTAAAAAATTTCTTCCATCAGATACTGTAAACCATCTCTCTCAACTTCAAAGTTCCATAGATCTCTAGGGCAGAGGCAAAATGCCACTATTCTTTTTGCTAAAATATAGCAAGATCAGCTTTATTCCATTTCCCAACAAGTTCCTCATCTCCATCTGGGACTACCTTAGCCTGGACTTTATTGTCCATGTCACTATCAGCATTTTGGACAAAGCCATTCAACAAGTCTCTAGGAAGTTCCAAACTTTCCCACATCTTCCTGTCTTTTTCCAAGCCTTGCAAACTGTTCCATCCTCTACCCAGTTCCAAAGTTGCTTGTACATTATTGGGTATCTTTACAGCAGCACCCTACTCTACCGGTACCAATTTACTCTATTAGTCTGTTTTCACACTGCTAATAAAGACATACCCAAGACTGGTAATTTATAAAGAAAAGAGATTTAATTGACTCACAGTTCAGCATGGCTGGGGGCTTCAGGAAACTTACAATGATAGTGGAAGGTGAAGCAAACACATCCTTCTTCCCATAGTGGCAACAAAGAGAAGTGCCAAGGAAAAGGGGGAAAAGCTCCTTATAAAACCATCAGATTTCATGAGAACTCACTCACTATCATGAGAACAGCATGGGGGAAACTGCCCCCGTGATTCAATTATCTCTACCTGGTCCTCCCCTTGACATGTGGGGATTATTACAATTCAAGGTGAGATTTGGGTGGAAACACAGAGCCAAGCCATTTCAAGTCTACTCTGGGTTTTGTTGCAAATATTTTATTGCTCATTTGAAAACTTGTAACAGTTATTGCTAAAAGGATAAGGACACGCTAAGCAGTGAGACTTACGCAGTTCCTTTGGCTCATTTACTTGACTTAATCTAATCAACCTCATGAGATTTTTTTTTTTTTTATCAGTCAAACAAGTGCACCAAGTTTTGTCCTTGTTGTTTCTGCTTTTGGTATTTGTAGCAGTTCCTTGCTTATTTTGATAAGGACATATCTGATAAGACTGAGGTCAGATTTTCTATTTGCCTCTGTCACTGATAAATGAGAAATTCTGTCCTTTGTACCTAGACTTGTACTTTATATTATAAAACCATTCCGCTTTCATTTAGCACCTATTTGAATATATTTAACTTATCAACCAAGAAAATGATTCCTTAGAAATGGGACTTTTTACATTGGTGATTTCTTTGGGTTCTATTTAAGGTCTTACTCCATTTTGTAATGTCACATTCTTTTTATCTGTAGTGGAGATGGTAGGATGTGTCAGTGGAATCTTTTTATGTTAATATAGATATCTACTCCTCTGGAGGAATTTTGAATGCTAGAGAGATATCTTATTTCTAATGTTAAAAATCCTCACCATGTTCATACTGGCTAAAGTCATTACTGATTTCTTTGGAGTTCAGTTGAAAGTGAATTATATTTCATTTTTCTTTGTGTTTAATGTTATCATATCATGTTATTATGTTATTATAATAATAGTAACATTAGAGCAAGTTTCATACGTGGAATATTCTCTTTCCTAAGCTTTTCCCGAGTTTTCCCAAATTCTTGAATTCAAGAACAAGTCTTTTAAAATACATTCTGAAGGTGACTGTGGGAACATGGCAACTTGAACATAACTTGCTTGCACTCTACTACTCATCCTGAAGCAATTTGTTTTGTTTTTCTTGAGACAAGTGACTGCTGTGGAAGGGAGCTATTGGTTTTGGTGAACTTTTAGGAGGTGGAGAAAAGAGTCGCTTCCTCCTTGGCAATCGGGAGAAGGTCAGCTTTGACCTCAAGTGAATTGTCTTTTCTTTTTTGTTTATACAGTTGTTAAAAATTGAGAAGTTAAAATTGTATAGAGTTATGGTACGTACCACGATGTTTTGATATATGTATACAATTGATTAAGGTATTTAAACATTTGCATTACCTCACATATTTATCAATTTGGAGGCTGAGGACATTTTACTCTCTTAATAATTTTTAAGTATTTTTAGTAACTGTAGTCACCATGGTGTACAACAGATCTCTTAAACTTATTCTCCCTGTCTAATTGAAATTTTGTGTTCTTTGACCAACATCCCCTCAATCCCTTCACCCCTAGCCTTTTGTTGCAACCATTTACTCTATGTCTTTGAGTTCAACTATTTTAGATTTCAGTGCATGTGAATTTCCAGGGTTTTACTGATCCCACAAAAGCAAAACTTGATTGAATTAGAAGGCTGAGGTTCCATGCGTTTGTGTTTGAGATAATGTGAAAGATAACACAGTATTTTTATTTAAGGGCTTCACCTGAGGCTCAGAGTTGACCTGAAGCCCCAATCCGTAGGGGCAGAGATAATTTTAAACAGACTTACCTTTTATCGAAGGATGAACATTGAAAGATGTATAGACAAATTTATAAAAACCAAAACAATTATATTTGTTGTGCTAAAACTTCTTAAACTCTCAGATAGAAACAAGTTTTATAAGCTTCTTGGTTGGTGGTTCTCAGCTGGGAGCATTTTGACACTAGGGAACATTGGGCAACGTCTGGAGACATTTTTGATGGACACAATTGAGTATGGTGCTCTTGGCATCTAGTGGGTGGCCAAGGAGGGCAGGGATACTACTCAACATCTTACAATGCACAGAACAGCCCCCATGACAAAGAATTATCCAACCCAATAGGTCAGTAATGTTGATGCACAAAGAACAGTTTCTTACAAAGGAAATGAGATAACTATAAGAAGTGGTATAGCATCTATAATTTGACAGCAAAGGACTGCAAAGGAAGAACTTTATTTCCAGCCAAAAGTGTGTCATCCTAGTACCTAATTTGAGGAAAGTACTAAGAAAATAACATTAATACATGACAAATTGACCAGAACAGAGATCAAGATCTCTTAATCCATCTACAATATAGAGTTAAAACATAAAAGCTAAGGATAGACATAATATAAACACAAAAGCTCTTGAAAGTGAGTGTTCATTCTTTCCTAGAAATATTGATAATATCTGAAATTTTTAATCAAAGTCTAGGAGTAGGAGGAAGTAGTGAATGAGAAAGTGAGGATACAGACATTTCTGAGATCTCATGAAGAGTGGAGGCGGGGGTAGGAGAAAGAGAAAGTAAGAGGATTCTGCAGGTCTTATTGTATGGGTAGGGGCAGTGGTGAAGTAGATAATTTAGAAGGCCATTGTGAATAATTAGAGGTTATCTTGTTCAAATTAATTCAATATATGCTAATAGTAACCATTACTGGAATAAAAAAGTATAGTAGAGTTACAAATGAATGAGGGAAAATGAAGTGGACAATATTCGTATCCAACTAGCAGAAGTAAAGGGAAAAGTATGCAACAAGAAAAGGAAAGAAAAATGCAGAATAGCAGGCATACAATTTTATGTATATCAGTGATTCCGTGATTAATCTAAATGTGAATGGAGTGATTTATCTTTTTAAAATATAGAAACTTTCTAATTACATAAAAAGGTAAACAAATGCTAACGTGTGGCAAAGATGGCTTGATATTCAACAAATCGATTGCCTTTTCTTCTCTGGCTCACAGCTAGACTGTGTCCAGAGCCTCTTTGAAGCTGAGTGTGTCCCTGGGACTGAGTCATACCTAATGGAGTATGTAAGCAAGTGTGGCCAGCTGATTTCCTGGCCTTGACCATAGAAATTCCTCCTATGTGATTCTCTTCCCATGAGAGCTGGCCAGAGTGCTGAGTGATGGTATTACAAGAAAGTTGGACAGAGGCTGGAGTTGTCCCTAAAGGACTACATGGCTGCCTATCCAACGTGTGCACTGAACTGGTGTGGTAAAATGTTATTGCTGAAATCACTGAGATTTTGGTATTTCTGTTGCAGCAGTTAACCTCTTTGATGACTACAACTATGCATGTGATTGCCTTTCTGTTAAATGTGGTCAGCATCCTCCTGGGCATGGCAGCCTGTCCTATTGACAATGATTTAAAATAATTAAGATACCCTAGTTGGTGAGGATGATGGAAGAGAGACACTTTAGTCAATCAGCGTTGTAAGTTTAAATTTTACTTAACTTTCTGGAAGGCATTGGTATCCAAAAATCAACAGACCAAATAATGTTCATTCCCTGTGAACCAGCAATTTCACTTCTAGGAATTTGTCCTAAGAAACATCTGGAGATTTTTAAAATGATGGATAAATAAAAGAGTTTTTTAAAAGAGAGATAAATAAAATTTCATCATTGTAAATATAGAAATACTAACACTGTAAAAATACAGTAGGATATTGGTTAAATTGTAATGTTTTTAAGATATACTAATAAAGAGTTGTTAAAATCACATTGAGTCTGAATATCCCTAAATATCCCAAATGGAAAATTTTCCAGTTATATGGTTGTCTGAAAAATTACAAGATATAAAAGTTATATGTATAGTATATTATCTTATTGGAAATAGATGTACCAAGATACTAATGGTTTTTATTCCGTGTTTGTGTAAGCCATGTTTTGATTTCTAAGTTTTCAAAGATGAGCAGTTATTACTTTTGTGATTTAAAAAACTAACAAAAATATGTAAAAATTATCTTTTTCTTTCATGTATCACCCAATTTATATCATTCAGAAAATACAAAAGCTTTAAGGAACTATGTGTTCAGGCTTTCTTCATGTTGTGCAAGGAATTCAGTTTTAGCCTAGATCATAATAAACAAGTTGTACTGCAGGTATTGCATCTTTACATAGTTGGGTTTATTTTCCATGAGGACTGGGTTTTAAAATCAACACTTTAAGGAAAACATGCATATTATAAAATTACCCTCAAAAATCCCTTAGGAAAGTGCTGTCTAGAAAAAGTTTTTACCACTTTTTTCTCCAAAATTATATCAAGTCCTCATTCTTCAGCTGAGTAATTGATTCACCTGTGTTTAGGGACAATTGGGTAGCAAGCTGAGCATAATTTAAGAGGCAAATAGCAAGGATCAACTGGGACAGCAACAGATTCAATCCCCTGTTTCACTCTCATTCAACACAAGCACTTACTGAGCAGAATGGAGGGAAGAGTCACCAGAATCATTTCTATTCATTCTTTCTCTCTAATCAAGCACATAGGGCAGAATCATCAAATGTCACACCCATATTTGCTTTGACTCCATTGTGCTATTTTCACAGTCTAAGCTCCATTAAGGTGAGACCTGCATTGATTTGACAATATTTTTGGCACTGTTTTAGTTTGTTAAAAATGTGCTGAGCTGGCCTCTGTTAGTTGAGAGCATGCATTTTTAAAGAGACATTATAACCTTTTTTTTTTCAGGACAAGAAGTGAACTTTTGGAATTCAAGACTGCAAGAAAGTAGCATCATTCTTGCAAAAACATTTGATACTATGGACATTTATTATACTCCAAAACTTTTTATCCTAATCCCCCAACTCATTTTTATCTTATTTAATATAGCCTGTGATTGAGGTGACTAAAATTAAGAGGAATTGCATGTGAATGAATACTCATCAAAATATTTTAGGGTCAACCACACATACATTCAAGCTCATGTGTGTAGGCTACTTTTTAAAATTTTATTTTAAATGGAGAATGCATTGCAAAGTGTTTAATGAGGTGCCAGAACTAGGGACTTATACAACCTTCTGTAATTTCACACCCATATTGCATGCATTTTGTGTGGAGAAAATTAAAGTTTCCAGCTGCTGTTGCATAAGATGAAGAAGTCCCCAATACACTTATAAATGATATTTCCCTTCACATGGAAGAGATTAGGGCCACATCTGCTGCAATTTAGCTGAGGGACATGGGGTAGATGGTGTCAAGAATCATGCTGCACTGGAGTCTAGTAAGAGAACAGGAGGCCACCACCCACGGAGGAACTGGGTTTACAAGGTTCTTATGGGACACCATTTAGTTAGGCTGGCTGAGTTCATTCAATAAGATGAAACACTACACACTTGCTCTGTGTAAACTCATTCATAATGTTTGCCTACACATGCCTCTAGAATCTACTTTAGATGTATTTTTAATACTTATAAGTTTGATTAAATCCATCTGTTGCAGTGTGTGGTAGTTATCAAAGTTTTCAGAGATACAGACACATTGCCATGGGTCATTATAGTCACAGTTGCATGGAGAACAGCCTGGGTTAAAGGACAGTAACATTTAGAATGGGTACAGGTGAATTACCAAGAGCTTCCAGAAGAGGGAATGAGGTGCTGTTCCCAAGTTCAATTAATAATACAGTAAAACTGTCATACTAGTTAGAAAAAGAGAACATTTTAAAGATTGAACATATTTGATAGCAACACAGCTATTTTCTTCAAGGAATATTAATCTAAACACAACAGCAATGGCATGAACATAATTATTATAAGCTGTTTTGTTATCCTACGTAATAGTTTTACATTTGCTTTTATGGAATAACCTTCTGAAACGTTTCTCAAATAGCCGTTGTTCTAATTCTTATTTTAGCTTCCCTGTTATTAGCCCTTGGCACTGTGATTTCCTCTATAATCTGGGGTTTTATTTTTCAAAACCTTTGCATCTCCTTGAAATCGGTTTAGAGTATAGAATTTTTTAGGCAGCATAAACCTGAATGTATTGAGATTTCCAATAGTGAGAAAGCTGGAGTCATCCCAGGTTTTATATTTTTGCCAAGATCTTTTTCCCTCCTTTAATTGTCATATATGTGGTTATAACTTTAGATGTTGCATCGCTCTTTTAGTTAACTAGTCTGCCATTTAGTGAGTCAAAGCTTTAGTGTCTTGTTTTCCTAGAATAGCAAATGGACCTCCCTGGAGTGGCTGGAGCATTCAAAGTCTCTGTCTTGTGAGTAATGATGATAGTTATCAGCAGCGATAAGTTTACTTTAGGGATGCTAACTTTTTTCATTTAGTCTCTATTTTCTACCCTGGAATTGCTTCTGATTATAAGTTTATAAGCAACTTATAAGCAACAATTGTGATGAGTTTTTCTGACTTTTTCTTAAAAAACCTCTAGGGTAATATTTTGGCTCAAAACTCTCCTACCTTAATTAGTTTGCTGAAACATTAATCTATGTATTTCTTTGCTAGAGGACTCAACTTCTATAATTGTTTATAGGCCTCCAAGCCATCTGTAGAATTGAGAGTTAATATACAGTATGGGCACTAGATTAATTTAAAGAATATGGTCTGTAATGAGAAAGCATCCAGTAAAATGGGAATTGTACTTTATGATTCAGGAAAGTAGCACACGGCTGTGCATTGCATTTACTACATTTAAGCAGTTGCTAGGACCAGTCATTTTATTCTTATTGTCCTCCAAATCTGTCCACTTCATCTCCTTTCTGTTACTACTGTTCCGTACCATTTCCAGGTATTACCGATCTGGACTATGTATGGTCTCTTACTTGGGATTTATAACTACTTTTCCTTCCGTGAAAAGTTATGAACAAGCCAATGAAAAGTATTTTTCTAGGACATTTCTTTAATGTCACACTACAGATGATAACATGTTACATGCCACTCAATCTAGCCTAATCCTCACTCTTCCATACGCATCCTGGCAACAAGATGACACCTTGTTCTGCACCAGTCCCTTGCGTGATTCCTGCTTCCTCCTATTGCACATGAAGGGCTTCCTGAACATGTATGTAGACAGCACACCCACCCATGAATGGCTTCCTATCCACCTGTGTAGACATCACACCATGAATGGCTTCCTATCCACCTGTGTAGACATCACACCATGAATGGCTTCCTATCCACCTGTGTAGACATCACACCATGAATGGCTTCCTATCCACCTGTGTAGACATCATACTATGAATGGCTTCCTATCTGCCTGTGTAGACATCAGACCATGAATGGCTTCCTGCACACCTGTATAGGCATCACACCCACTGAACAGCAGTAACAGTAGTAGTTCAATCTCATTTCTTTACCTTCTCCCCTGCACTGCAAATAGCAGTTACTAGGCTGCCCTTTGTCCTGGAGGTATGCACACCAGAGGCATGATTTCACCTTCTGGAATGGAAGGTGACCTGGGGGAAATCCTGAGAGCAGGCTCTGGGTCTCTTGTTATTTGGGCAGGGATTATCTGGATTCCATACACCATGGGCAGCGAAGAAAGAAGGGGTGGACAAGAGTGGAGCCCTCTGCATTACAAGAACCCTGGCCAGAACCAAGGTTGCTGGCCTCTAAGGCTGATGCTGATGCTGCTACGACCTGGAAGCATATATGCAGGGACCATGTGACATTTGAATTAAGACCAAAGAAAATAAGATTAGTCATATATAGGAGAGGTGGGGTTGCAAGCAGGAAAGAGAAAGATTTCCAAGTTGAAGGATTATGTGAGAAGTCCTTGAAATAGACAGAACTGGGTGGCTCAAGGATCAGAAAGAAAGGCAGCGTGGCTCATTTTGTTGGAAAGGTAGGGAGGAGCCAGATTTGAATTTTGATGTTGTCTGAAGTGCAGTAGAATCAATGGAAGGTTTAAGGCAGGGAATGGCATTATTAAAATCGTCTTTTTATAAGCTCTTCTTTTTTGGTGACTAGAGAATGTAGGCTGAACTAGGTTGTATGATAGAGATGGAGAGAAGTTGCAGGTTAGAGAGATATATAGGCTATAGACTTGATAAAAGTTGGTAACAAACTGAAGCAGAAGGGACAAGCAAAATTTCCTCAAAGTTTCTGGAATGTCAAACTGGGTTGACGGGGGATATTGAAGGGGAATCAGCATTCGGAAGAATATTAGAATTTCTGTTTTGTGAAGGATAAATTTGGTATGATTCGAGACCCAATAGAAATGTCACATAGGCAGCAGAGTAAACCGACATGGAGCTCTGCAGTTTGGGCTGGTCTGAATGCACAAAACGGTGTTTAAAGGAATACAGGAGATTTCCCAAAAGGTGGTCTACCAAGAAAAGACACTGGAGTTCAGGAACAATTCTAAGAAACGGTAACTTTCTAAGATCGAGAGGGGGAAAAAGAGCTGGCCAAAAAAACCCCAAGGAGCTATTTGAGAGATGGGAGGAATGCCAAGATCATACATCATGGGAGACAAAAGAAGAGAATGTTTCTCCAAATAGGAAGTGGGAAGCGCTTTATAATGCTGATGACAAGTAAAATGAGGAAGAAAAGTTGTTCATTAGATATAGCAACAGAGATATCACTGTTGACTTTAGATTTTGTTGAATGGTAGCACTAGAGAACTTATTCCAGTAAGTGGCTACGTGAATGAGAAATCAAGCATAGGTAGCATTTATAAAACAGACTTCAGAAACTTGGTTATGAAAGAAGGAAACAGAAGTTATGTCCAAACAGACATTTTTTTATTGTGGTTTTACGGAAAAAACCGGTACATATTTTCATGCTGATGAGAATAATTTAATCCTATTTGTAGGGGGAAGTTGAAAATACATGAGAAAACCTCCATAGTTGATACCATAGGATTTCTGAAAGGAGCCCTATGGAGAGAGTGGGCTTTAATAGGAAGAACACTTTCTCCCCTGGAGGAAAAAGCTGCATGTAAACCCTGGTAGTTTGTAGGTGTGGCAATGGACAGGTAAGAGTATCCTTAGCTTATGCTTGCAGTTTTCATACAAGATCACTTCCTGAAGAAGGGCTGGGTGAGAAGGTTGGAGGGTTGCTGAGATTGCAGTGGTATTGATTTCAGTCTGTGGAGAGGGGAGGGAGAACTGACCATCCAGAGTGAAATGCAGTTCTGAATGATGAACCTAAATTGACTGTGACACCAATCTTCTCAGTTGTATAATTTCCCATAAGGAGAACTGGGAGCTTGATAAGAGGATACAAAGAAAACACAAGAAACCAAAGAGTTTGGGATATTTACAAATGCATGATTTAAATGATGGGCTAACTGGGTGATAAAGAAGGAATGACAATATTTTCTTGCAAAGAAAGAAAGCAGAAGGGTTAAGAATGAAGTTCTCATTATGAGACTGAAGCTCAGTTCTGTGGAGGTCGTTGTATGTAGGATGGAATGATGGGAAGCTGTGGCTGAAAAGTGGAATATTTTGATTTATGATTTAGACCAGAAGCAGTCCAGGGTGGGACGGTAGGGGAGGGTGGTTGTGATAGAATAAAGAGAAGATAGTTTTAGTCTAGGAAGTCATTAAATCTGAAAGTAAGATTGTCAGGGCAACTTCATATGGATGCTGAGGCAGCCTGGAATTATAACCGGAGATGCAGAGGAAGCCTCCAGCCACGCGGAGGCCTCTTCATCAACTGAGGAATGTCTCGGAGGGCTGGAGATGACAGCGATGGGGAGGTTGAGAGGGGGCAGTGCAGGGTGGTCCTACGGTCAAAGAAACCAAACACTTTACAGAGAGAGCAATGGGATAAAAAGCACAGAAAATTCCAAAGCGAGAATTATGTTCCTACTTTCTGACCTTAGAAAAAAGAACAAAGGTGCTGAAGGGAAATGTTATCTTCAGAGATCCATAGGTTTTCTGTAAGACAAGGGAAATGGAGGGACTGTTGTGCAAAAGGGTTGAAGATGTTGAAGATGTAGCCAAATGGCTGTTGACTAAGAAGAAGGTCCAGAGGGCATGGAGTCAGGTTAGTGAGAGAGGGGAGAATGTAGGTTTGTTAAGGAAACACAGGGACGACAGTAAGGGATAGGCTACATGAGGTCTTTTCTCTCGGAAGGCCCTGGTATCCAGCCTAACACTTGCTCTCTGGCCTGGGAGGGGTTTCTGTCCTAGGGGTCCATGGCCTTTTCTGTGGGTCCAATGATGCTGACAGCTGCCATAGGTGCTGCCACAGTGATGGGGTCCAGTCCTGTGTTGGAGGGGTGTTGGCTGGGAGAGAGGCTTACTGATTGATGCTGTGTTTTTCTCACTTTTCATCCACCAGTCCACCTGTGTCCATGAGGCTCATGATCTTGACAGCCTTGTAGAGTTGGGAAGGGAGTGCTTGGTGTTTTGTTCACGAGCAAAGCCCACCTAAGATTTTCTCACCAGTAATGTTGACTTTTTTGTTTTGTTTTTCTGAGACAGAGCCTCACTCTGTCACCCAGGCTGGAGTGCAGTGGTGCGATCTCAGCTCAGTGCAATCTCTGCCCCCTGGGTTCAAGCGATTCTCTTGCCTCAGTCTCCCAAATAGCTGGGATCACAGGCACCCGCCACCACGCCTGGCTAATTTTCGTATTTTTAGTAGAGATGAGGTTTCACCATCTTGGCCAGGCTGTTCTTGAACTCCTAACCTCATGTTCCACCTGCCTTGGCCTCCCAAAGTGCTGGAATTATAGGCGTGAGCCACCGTGCCCAGCCAATGTTGACTTTTTAAAAGAATGAAATTCCCATTTTTTATAGTCATTCAAACTATTTCTTCAGCAAAGTCCTGGTAAATGGAGACTTTCCAGACTGTTTCAGGTAGCAACATTACAGAGCCTACATCACTGATGAACCATTCTCTGTGATGTAAAACACTGGATTTGGAAATAGGTGTTGACAAGAGTTTTAGAGATGGTTCTCCTGCACATTCCTTTTCTCTACTAAGTTATAGCCTATCATTCATGTCATTCATTTGACCTGCCTCGCCTCCAGAAAGCTTACCCTGACTTTTTTACTCTACTGTAGGGTTTCTATAAACTTTATCCACCTGAACACAGTTTTACACACGACCCAACACATTCTGGGGAAGGGTCACAGAACACATTCGTCTTAAATACATGTTTATTTTGACTTTCTGATCTCTTAAACTGAGAGTTCCTTGAATTCAGACTGTGCTCTGACATCATCCATTTTAGACAACTGCTGTAAAAATTGAATTAAATATTTGAAATTGCTGCGTTGTGGAAACTTTGGGTGTCATCAGGGTCTGGGTCAGTGCTCCATGCATTGTTTTAATTGCCCTGACTACAACTTGCTGATGTCCTAACATTAAGATTCCAACATGTGTTCCACAGGACCATGGCTTCTGTGCTGAAGAAAGCAAACACCAGACGCATCAGGCCATGGATACAGGTCTTTTAAGGAAGCAGTTTCTACTCTATGCATGAAACTTGTTTGGATTGAAACCCAGTTTCAAAGCATCCTCTGTGTAAACTGATGAGCACAGGGTTTTGGCACTGTCTCCCTGTGTGCTTGATATCCAGATTTACTGTCTGATCTTGGATATATTTCAATGAAATGAGACCTCTAATAGTAGAGGAATAGATATTTGTGAAACAGTATGACAGTGATAGCAATTATTATAAAAACAAGAAGCACTGCATAAATGCCTTATACAGTAATAATTGCGAGATTTAATTTGGAGTGGCTTTTCCTTATTTGCCCAATAAGTTCTATTTAATTATTTGCTGTGGCATTAAACTTCCAAGGGGAGCTAGGCATGGTCTCCACCTGTTTTAAATACTGTGTGTCTCAATCACAAACTTAACCTTGTGAAACATTAGAGTCTCAGTATCCATGTTAAAGCTAATGTTTAACTGGAAAATGCATCAGTTAAATTTATCTTTTAGATTTTATGTAACATGCTTGCATGCTGGCACTTTGCATACCATTAACAGAAACTAGAATCCTATTCTTCTTTTGAAAGTTCATTTTCTTTTTCAGTACCACGAAATACCAAACTGAACTTGACTCCAAACATGCGCTCAGTTTCAAACTGGATATGAAGACCATTTAAGAATCATGTGTGAGTGAATTTCATTGAAAGAGAAGAAACATTTAAAAACTTTTAAGTCCTTTCTGAATTGCTTATACATATATTCAGCAATTCAGTGATGCAGCCTGGATGTGCACAGACTTGGGTAATTGGTATAGCTTCAAGTGGACATTATTCTTCTTATAACAATACTGCATTTTCCTCCCTCAAACACTAACCTGCTATATTTACAATTACATTTGTTGCCAAATATATTAAGTGGACAAATGGGTCACTGTCTGCCTGCATTTTTCTGACCCAGTCACAATTCATCAAGAAAAACAAAGTTTGGCTGGGATTCTGAAACAAGCACACTAAGCTGTAAATGTATACTTATGTTTGCATGTTAGAATACATCTTAGTTACACGATAAAAAGGAGCAGGGGAGAGGTGGGTGCTTGGAAGTAAAAATGTGACCACAATGAAATTTTGACTGCAGCATTTGAGGAATGGTGGCAGAGCAGTTGGCATCAGCTCTTGTCTGCAGCAGTAATCAGGGCAAAGAAGCAATCTTCTGTGACCCCAAACTAAGAATGGAGTCTTGCTTTGAGAAACTCATGCTTACCAGTTCAGAAGTAACATGCTATAGAGATTTTCAGAATACTAATCTATCTCAGATTAGTGTATTATAAAATAAAAGTGGACAAATATAAATAAATAATTTTTTCAAGTCTTTATAAAAATAGTAGGCTATTGCCTCATTTTAGGGACATAATTTTTAATGCCAAGTGAAAACTATGTAGAAATTCTAATTACAAATTTGTGTACAGCTTTACAATTATTGTATGTGTTAGATGTGCATGTGTTGAACGTTACTATATATCATGCTTTGTGCTGCTCATCGAACATATGAAGTTGCATAAAACAGTCTTTGCTTTTGGGAGACTAAGTTCAGTGTGAGGGGCAGACACTAAAAGTAAATACTCCGATAACTGACGAGAGGGTGAATACCATAATAAAGATGCTGTTTTTCTCTCTCCTCTCTCGAGCTTCCTGTCTTTCTCTCTCTCTCCTCTCTCTCCCGTTCAGGATTTTTAGTTACAGAAAGGAGGTCATGGAAAGATCAACATTTTAGCCCATTGTAGCTGCTGTAACAGAGTATCATAGACTGAGTGGCTTATAAACAACAGAAAGCTATTTTTCAAAGTTCTGGAAGCCTGAAGTCCAAGTAAAGACACGAACAGATTTGATGTGTGGTAAGGGACTGCTTTCTCATAGATGGCTGGCTTCCTTTTGTATCCTTACATGATGGAGGGGTGAGGGGGGTGTCTTTGGAAGTCTCTTTTAGAAAAGCACTAATGTCATTCATAAAGACCCTGTCCTTATGATCTAGTCATCTCCCAAAGGCCACACGTCCTAGTACCATATTATCTTGAGATTAGGATTTTCACTTTTGAATTTTGAGGGGACATAAATATTCAGCCCTTATCATTCCACCTCTGATCTTTTGAAATTCATGTCCCACTTGCATGCCAAATACCACCCCAATAGCCCCCAAAGTCCTAACTTGTTCCATGGACAACTTGAAAGTCTAAAGTCCAAAGTCTCATCTAAATGTCATGTTAATTGTATATGAGTGAGTCTCGAGGTATCCTGAGGCAAATTCCTCTCCAGCTGTGAACCTGTGATCTCAGGCATGTTACGTGCTTCCAAAACACAATGGTGAAACAGGCACAGAATGGGCATTTCCATTTCAAAAGAAACACATAGGAAAGAATGGAGTGACTGGTCCCAAGCGTGGCCAAAACCTTAAGGCTTAAGAATAACCTCCTTTGGCTCAATGCTCTGCCCTCCACTGGCACAGGGGTCCTGTCTACTGCATACACTAAGGTGAAGGCTTCACCTTTGCAGCTTTGCTGTGCAGGAGTTGGGTCCCCAAGTATCTGAGTGCCCCTCCTCTAATGGCTTTGCTGGGAGCAGCCTGTGCTGCTGTTCTTACAAGTTGGAGGCTGTTCATGGCAATGTAGGATTTTACTAGCATGAACATCAAAATTCTTCGAGCCTCTACCCATTACCCAGTTCCAAAGCTCTTCTGCATTTTAAAGTATATGTGAAAACAGCAGCCTACTCCAGGTACCAATTTTCTGCCTTAGTCTGTTCAGGCTGCTATAACAAAAAACCGTAGACTGGGTGACTTGTAAACAATAGAAATTATTTCTACCACTTCTGAAGGCTGATGTATTAGTCCATTCTCATGTCGCTAATAAATACCTACCTAAGACTGGGGAGTTTATAAAGAAAAGAGGTTGAATTGACTCACAGATCAGCATGGCTGGGAAGGCCTCAGGAAACTTACAATCATGGTGGAAGGGGAAGCAAACACATCCCTCTACACATGGTAGCAGCAAGGAGAAATACTGAGCAAAGGGGGAAAAGCCCCTCATAAAACCAAAAGATCTTGTGAAAACTCCCTATCACAAGAACAGCATGAGGGTAACTGCCCCCCTGATTCAATTACCTCCCACTGGGTCCTTCCCACAACACATGGAGATTATGAGAACTACAATTCAAGATGATATTTGGGTGGGGACACAGCCAAACCATATTACTTCACCCTGACCCCTCCCAAGTCTCATGTCCTCACATTTCAAAACACAATCATGCTCTTCTAACAGTCCTCCAAAGTCTTAACTCATTCCAGCATTATCTCAAAAGTCCAAGTTCAAAGTCTCATCTGAGACAAGGCAAGTCTCTCTGCCTATGAGCCTGTAAAATCAAAAGCAAGTTAGTTACTTCCTAGGTACAGTGTGGGTACAGGCATTGGGTAAACACACCCATTCCAAATGGGAGAAATTGGCCAAAATAAAGGGGCTATGGGCCCCATGCCAGTCTGAAATCCAGTGGGTTAGTCAAATCTTAAAGCTCTGAAATGATCTCCTTTGACTCCCTGTCTCACATCCAGGTCACACTGATGCAAGGGGTGGAGTCCCACAGCCTTGGGCAGCTTTAAGCCCTGTGGCTATTTAGGGTACCCCTCCCCCGATCCCAGCTGCTTTCACAGGCTGGCGTTGACTGTGGCTTTTCCAGGCACATGGTGCAAGGCATAGGTGAATCTACCATTCTGGGGTCTAGAGGAGAGTGGCGCTCATCTCACAGCTCCACTAGGCAGTACCCCAGTGGGGACTCTGTGGGGGTACCAACCCCACAATTGCCTTCTGCACTGCCCTAGCAGAGGTTCTCCATGAGGGCTCTACCCCTGCAGAAAACTTCTGCCTAGACATCCAGGTATTTCCGTACATACTCTGAAATCTAGGCAGAAGTTCCCAAACCCCAATTCTTGACTTCTGTGCATCCGTAGGCTCAGCATCATGTGGAAGCCACCAAAGCTTGGGGCTGGCACCATCTAAAGCAACCACCTGAGCTCTATGTTGGCCTCTTTTAGCCATGGCTGGGACACAGGACCTCACGTCCTGAGGGTGCACAAAGCAGCAGGGCCTTGGGCCTGGCCCACAAAACCATTTTTCCCTTCTCGGCCTCCAGGCCTGTGATGGGAAGGGATGCTGTGAAGTCTCTGACATGCCCTGGAGACATTTTCCAAATTGTGTTGGTGATTAACATTTGGCTCCTTGTTACTTATGCAAATTTCTGCAGCCATCTTGAATTTCTCCTCCAAAAATGGGTTTTTCTTTTTTATTGCATCATTAGGCTGCAAATTTTCCAAACCTTTATGCTCTGCTTCTTTTTGAATGCTTTGCTGCTTAGAATATTCTTCCACCAGATACCCTAAATCCTCTTTCTCAAGTTCAAAGCTCATATAGCATATTTGTTTTGAGTGTCTTACTACTTTATTACCAAATTTAAATCAAATAAGATCTGTTTTATACCATTGTATATTCAGGCAGAATTAAGAGAATGCCAATATTGTTTAATGAGTATAGAGTTTTGAATTTGCAAGATGAAAATAGTTCTGGGGACATGGTCCAAATATCTATATGGAAAATTCTTCACAAGTATTTTTCCTTTTTGTCAAATTAAGAAGGCTAATATATATGTTTGGACTAAAGCATGCTGTGAGGCCTGCTGTAGTTTACTCTATAAAGCAAAACCCAAGTTTGTGATTCTAAGGGAAGATTGAACCTCACATGTACTTTAGCATTATAGGAAGTAACGCAAAGAAGAGGGTGACAGGGAAAGACAGACTGAAAATCTGTGGGCCATTGATATGAAAAAAGGGATTCTTTGTCACGTTGCCTAGACCTCAATCCTGCAAGCAAGGCCACAGACAGAGAGCAGGGAGGTTTGTTTTGCACTTCTACACTGCCAGCTTTAGCTACAGGCACACATTTACTTCTCAACCCTCTCTCATGATGTAGATTTCATTAGTCGTAGTTGACAATTAAGGAGAGTGAGATTAAAAATCTGCCCAAGGCCATTCAGATACAAATTTGCAGAACATTCAAATCATCATATATTTTTATTATAAAATTCATAATTTAACCCATATTTCTTTTTCTTTTTAGTAAGAAAGAACTTTATTTTTTTGTTGGCTTGCTTTTTGTTGTTTATGAAATCAAGCATTTTTTTTATTTTTTAAAATATATATACATTTTTATTATACTTTAAGTTCTAGGGTACAGGTACACAATGTGTAGGTTTGTTACATATGTGTACACATGCCATGTTGGTGTGCTGCACCCATTAACTCGTCATTTACATTAGGTATATCTCCTAATGCTATCCCTCCCACCTCCCCCTATCCCACAACAGGCCCCGGTGTGTGATGTTCCCCTTCCTGTGTCCAAGTGTTCACATTGTTCAATTCCCACCTATGAGTGAGAACATACGGTGTTTGGTTTTTTGTCCTTGTGATAGTTTGCTGAGAATGATGGTTTCCAGCTTCATCCATGTCCCTACAAAGGACATGAACTCATCATTTTTTATGGCCGCATAGTATTCTATGGTGTATATGTGTCACATTTTCTTTATCCAGTCTATCATTGTTGGACATTTGGGTTGGTTCCAAGTCTTTGCTATTGTGAGTAGTGCTGCAATAAACATACGTGTGCATGTGTCTTTATAGCAGCATGATTTATATTCCTTTGGGTATATACCCAGTAATGGGATGGCTGGGTCAAATGGTATTTCTAGTTCTAGATCCCTGAGGAGTTGCCACACTGACTTCCACAATGGTTGAACTAGTTAACAGTCCCACCAACAGTGTAAAAGTGTTCCTATTTCCCCACATCCTCTCCAGCACCTGTTGTTTCCTGACTTTTTAATGATCACCATTCTAACTGGTGTGAGATGATATCACATTGCGGTTTTGATTTGCATGATTGTATATCTAGAAAACCCCATAGTCTCAGCCCAAAATATCCTTAAGCTGATAAGCAACTTCAGCAAAGTCTCAGGATACAAAATCAATGTGCAAAAATCACAAGCATCCTTATACACCAATAACAGACAAGCAGAGAGCCAAATCATGAGTGAACTCCCATTCACAATGGCTTCAAAGAGAAGAAAATACCTAGGAATCCAACTTACAAGGGATGTGAAAGACCTCTTCAAGGAGAACTACAAACCACTGCTTGACGAAATAAAAGAGGACACAAACAAATGGAAGAACATTCCATGCTCAAGGATAGGAAGAATCAATATTGTGAAAATGGCCCTACTGCCAAAGGTAATTTATAGATTCAATGCCATCCCCATTAACGCACCAATGACTTTCTTCACAGAATTGGGAAAAACTACTTTAAAGTTCATGTGGAACCAAAAAAGAGCCCTCATTGCCAAGTCAATCCTAAGCCAAAAGACCAAAGCTGGAGGCATCACGCTACCTGACTTCAAACTATACTACAAGGCTACAGTAACCAAAATAGCATGGTACTGGTACCAAAACAGAGATATAGACCAATGGAACAGAACAGAGCCCTCAGAAATAATACCACCACACATCTACAGCTATCTGATCTTTGACAAACCTGACAAAAATAAGAAATGGGGAAAGGATTCCCTATTTAATAAATGGTGCTGGGAAAACTGGCTAGCCATATGTAGAAAGCTGAAACTGGATCCCTTCCTTACACCTTATACAAAAATTAATTCAAGATGGATTAAAGACTTAAATGTTAGACCTAAAACCATAAAAACCCTAGAATTTAACCCATATTTCTTGTGCTTGTGGGTGCATGAATGTGTATAAATTTTGATACCTGTATAAGACAAAAATGTAAAATATGTAAGCACATCTGTCTACTATCCAAAGAATATGCTTCTGATGTTTATTTCATTTGTTTATAAAATCATAATAGTAAAATTTTAGGGACAATATTCATTGGATCCTAATTTTGTCATCAAATGTTGCTTAACATATTGACATGTGCTTTATTGTCACCTTGTTTAGGTCTTTGTTGAAAATTATAGAAATGTTTAATTCACTAATTTATCATAGTTTCTATTTCCTAAGAACTGTGCCACTTGGTGAAAATATTTCCCTATTTAAAATAATTCCCCATACATTCCATATATATTTCCTTTAATTTTCATGTAAAGGTTGTTAAATATATTTATTAAATATATTATTTTATTAAAATATAGTATGTGGCATGGGATTTTAAAAATGTTTTTTTACAAAAGCACTAAAATTATAACTTTCAAATATGATAGACTTCTTTATGCACAATATTTATTCATAAGCAAATCCAAAATAATTGGCTATATACATTTTACTCTCAAAGGACAAGTTTGAGTGGGCGTCTTTACAAATTCAAGCAGTGGAATCTGCTAAGAATCTGATTTAATGTGTATAACTCTATTTAAAATTTAATCATTACCATAATAAAGACATCATTATAGAATGATAATCCAAATGGTAATTGACTTTTCAATTTTGTTGCTTCAAGGTCAACATGGTGGCAGAGCAGCCTGTTCCTTTCTTTGCTTTGTGACATCCCGTTTCACTGTGCTAAATAGTTCATAGTGTAGATTGATACGGCTTTTGGCCTCACTCTCTGAGCTGGATCAGAATATTGGTGGTTAGTGGCAGTGAAATTAATGAGCCCACCACTCTGCCTCATTCTCCTCTTCCCTCTTTAAATGGCAATTACAGTGACACCATTCATGTTACTGTGGTTAAGCATTTTCATGAGAAAAACCAGTCTTTTCCAAGAGTAATATTTCACCTATAAAACCAGCCTACAAATTTAAATTAGAAAGAAAAGATACAAACCAATAACACTGATATTGTAAGCTTGAGAGTATAATGAGAAACAGTAAAAACAGGGCAGCCATGTCGTGTAGTGCAGGTTGTGCACTGAACAATTCCAGAGAATGCGATTCACATGGAACTATACATCATCATTTTCATTTTACTAATTAGTTTAAGCAACTTACAAGTAACTCAGGAAATAAACTACAGTTGTGATAGGCTAAAATTCAGTTGATGAATAAATACTTCAGAAATAGGCTGGGTGTGGTGGCTCACACCTGTAATCCCAGCACTTCAGGAGGCTGAGGTGGGCAGATCATGAAGTCAAGAGATCGAGACCATCTTGATCAACCTGATGAAATCTCGTCTCTGCTAAAAATACAAAAATTAGCTGGGTATGATGGCACACGCCTGTAGTCCCAGCTACTCAGGAGCCTGAGGCAGGAGAATTGCTTGAACCCAGGAGGAGGAGGTTGCAGTGAACCATGATCACACCACTGCACTCCAGCATGGCAACAGAGTGAGATGCCATCTCAAAAAAAATAAAATAAAATAAAAAATAAAGTGCATTAAAATTATAGATGACAGGTAAAAAAGAAAACTCATCTGTTGTGTTGAACACTGGGTATGACAGTTCAAGCAGGGACAGCAGCTGCTAAAGGTGATATAAAAGTTGATGACTAATGCACTGAAGGTTTACCTTGCATAATATAGGAGTGAGAGTTCACAGGAGGATTATTTTTTTCTTCTACACTTTAATTCCTATTTTTGTAACCAGGAAGTAAAGATTTTCTTTATAGCTGAGGCTTGGGCAGCAGGCAAGGTGCGTCAATTGCTCTGAGCCATTGGAATTAACCAAAGGTGTTTATTTAGAGATTAATTCTTCCATCATGCCAGATGGTGCACCGAATATGGCATTGTCTGTTTTTTAGAGCATACTTTCTGGGCTTCAGGTTTTTATTTAGGCCGTGATATCAGGCGCTCTAAAATTTTACTCCTTAGTGGTAACAAATTAATTTTAAGCATCTTTCTTTTGTAATTGGAGGCAATTTCATTGAACCCCATACAAAGGCCATTATAATTAGGATCTATCAACTGAAAAGAATAATAACATTTTGCAGAGATTGCCTTTCCTCTACTACGTTCTTTTAAGTTCTTAAACATCCATTTGGGTTTATTTACTGGGTTTCCCCACTAAAGATATAAGTAAGTTTGCCTTTGTTTTACAGCTGAAAATAGTTCAGCCAAGAAGAAAGAGCTGCACCCCTAGGGAAGGAGAATGAAGAAAGAGTCTGGGGCATAGTGAGCTATGCTGGGGTGTTAGGGAATCTCAGAGACTGGTTTCCCTGAAAAAGGTACCTGGACATTCCAGACCAAAGGCCATCCCAAGGGTGAACACCTGAACTCCCACGGAGTGCTTGTTACTCTCTGAAATGCCTGGGGCTGCAGCAGTCACAGGAATGAACAGGGAAAGAGGATACAAATCAGGACTTTTTACACATTAGACCTTGAGGTCCCAAAGGTAGGACTGTGCCTCAGCCTTCTTTTTTACCACATGCCTGGGAATATTCCTTGCACCTGGTGGCTGCTTAAGGCAAGTTTGTTTAAATGAAAGAATAAATACATGATTGTGTTTCCACACACATTGTCTCATTTGATTCTCACAACAGGCTGCCTTGAATTTTGTTTTAATGAGTACTACTGAACACCAAGAAGGCTGACAAATATAATTAAGAGAGTGTGTCTGACATCAAGTAGGCATCTGAGTTGCCGGTATACTATGGACACATAAAGGTATGCTGAATCAAAACCATGGCTGAATCTAACTTTGTGGGGTGTAAGGGAGTAGTGGGGGGACAGGAGGAAGGATTTGCAGACTAACACTATGGATACCTGGAGTCTTGAAAGGTAAGCAAACATTCTTAATGAGTAAAGGAAATTATTTCAAGAAAGAGGCTTCATGTCAGTGCATACCTAATCACCTAGGGAGATTACATTAAAATGCAGATCATTCTGATTCAGCAGATCTGGGGTGGGATTTGCAATTTTGCATTTCTAATAGGTCTTAGGTGATGCAGATGCTGCTGGTCCATGAACCATACTTTGAGTGTCAAGACTCCAAAAAAGTCACATTTAAAGAAATATAAACAATCTATCACATGCAGATCATTGTTTCCAAAGTGATGGGCATGTGTCCCATGGGACATGCAAGGTGGGCCTGGGAAGGAGATATCACAGCTTCTTTTATTTTCATGTTAACGTCCAAAAGTTTCTATTTTTGTTTATGTTTAGCAAACACGACATATTTAAGTGACAAAACATGTAAAAGACTAACAAAATGATCTATCTATATTTGAGTATGTGTTCAACTTTTTACTTATGAGGAGGTTAATGCTAAAATAACAAAATGAGGAGTGTAGGCAGAACTGGTGTAGTGCCCAGGAAAAGGCAAGGCATAGATTGCTAGCTCATTTTTAAGATGAACACACTGAAGCTCTGAAAAGTCAACTGACCTGCCCAAGTTCGCAAAGCTGAGGCCTGAGTACAGACCTTTTGACTCCAAGTCTAGTGCTCTTTCCTCTCCTCTGTGCTTGGGCACTTGGCTAGAGAACAGAGCCATAAAACAAATTAAAGCACGAGGGGAAAATCTTCACCTACAAATGCACTTTTCTTCTGACCTCCAATGAAACACAAGCAGAAAAGGAAAGTTGCAAAAGCCAGATTGTCTTACATAAGCATCTCATTTGAGATAAAACCTTCCTTGCTGGTATCATTAATCACCTTACCTCTTCCCTTCCTCTAGGAATCCCTGGTGACAGAGCAACCCAAGCTGTTTTGTGTCTGTATTGCAGCTACCTCAAGATCAATTAGTATTTTTCACAAAGCTGTCATGTAGGAAGACGATAGGGGATGCAGACAAAGTCAACTGTTGAGAGGCCACAGTGTGTAGTTGAGTAGTTGGTGAGGACACTGACACGGCCTCCTGACATCTTATGGTGTCAGCCTGAGCTTTGAATATGGCCATTTATGATTTTATGGTAATGAAAGAACAAAGCCATAACCTAGGGAGCAGGGGTAGAGAGTGACATTAGCCATGGAGGTACTTGCTTCGTTAGCTGTCTTGCAAACAAGATGAATTCTATTTTAACATTGCAAAAGGCCCTTAGCAAGTCACCTCCTGAGAGTCAGCCCTTACGGATGTACTGGACTTGCCTGCCCAGCAAATGAAAAACAAAAGCCATGTGCAACATTAACAAACAATTAAAAAATATTTGGAATGTATGCATGCGCTCTCCTTTGCCTCTGTATCCAGAACTTTCTCTGTTGTTATTTTTGTTACTTTCTTAGGCCCTGCAGGCATTGGAGGTTTGAACTTTCAAGATATTCAACTCCTTCCAAGGGCTGACCTGACATCTCTGACTAGAGACTTCTTAGAGAATAGACTCTCATGGGTCCTTTATCATTTTGTGTTGAATCATTCTTTAATACCTCTCCAACATGATTATGAACCCCTGTAAGTAATTTACTCTTGATTGATTGATTGATTCACTCAGTTATTTGATTATTAACTTTAGCCAGCCAGCCATATCTAGCACCTACCAAGTGCTGGTCATGGTGAGAAATGCGGGAGAAATAGTGTAACTGCCACCCTTACCTGTGAAGAGTCCCATTCTAGTGGGGTGGCAGATAAGCAGGTAATCACAGTCTAGTGGGATGCCTGCTGGCATGGAATAGAACCAGTGATGGAAAGAAACTGGTTTTTGGTTTCAGGTCTTGCAATTGTTAGCAGTGGGAGATGGTACTTCCAAAGGGCTTTGTGATTTCTGGGGACACCAGCAAATGCAATAATAGAGGAGAGGAAAGTGGGATTTACTGAATATTGAGCTTCTTATAACTATATTATATATAAATAAACATATGCACACATAATACCCACCCATGTGTATACACACATATATGTATAGATATACTTACAGATATAAGGACACATAATACTTATATAAGAAATCTAAAATAGTTAAACTCATAGAAGCAGAGAGTAGGATGGGGGTTGCCAGACATGAAGGAGAGCCGGCTATGGCAAAGTGATGGTTAAGGATGCAAAGTTTCAGTTATGCAAGACAAATGAATTCTGGAGATCTGGTATTTAGCATAACACCTATAGCTAACAACATACATATATACATAGGTACATATGTACATACATGCATAGGTACATAGGTACATATATACATAGGCACATATGCACATATCTACACAAACACACATATACATAGACATGAAAAATAGACATAAATACACACATTAGTACATATATAAAAATGTATTTTTCTTTTTTATGGCAAGAACACTTAACATCCAGTCTCAGCAATTTTAAATATACACTACAGTATTTTTAGTTATCGGCGCTATGCTGGATAGCAGATACCTAAAACTTCTGTATCTTGAGTAATTGAAACTTTGTACCCTTAACCATCACCTCCTCATTTCCCCCTCTGCTTCATCGCTGGCAGCCTCCATTCTACTCTCTGCTTCTATCAGTTTGACTAGTTTCGATTTCACATGTTAAGTGAGATCATATAGTGTTTATTTTTCTGTGTCTGGTTTATTTCTCCTAGCATAACGTTCTCCAGGTTTTTCCATATTGTTGCAAGGATGTTTTAAAACAATTTTATTCACAGCTATCCTGAGGCATTAATATTTCCCTCTTACAAACAATTAGATTAAAATGTAGAAATTCTGAAAACTTGCCAAAGTTACTCTGAATCCATACAGTTTTGGCTCCAAAGCCAGCATTTCAGAAAGCATTTCCTTAGAATGAAGACACGAAGCCCGGTTCCTAGCACCTTCCCATAAATGTTTTAATTGAGTTTATAGAAAAGAAGCACTGTAGTTGCTCTTGCAAGTTTTCGTGGGTTACGGGAGCTACTTGCCTTCTCCCTTTTACACCCAGATTCTGAGATTCTGGGTCCCAGATCCTTTCTTAGATTCTGGGTCCCAGACTTTTTTCTTAGATTGTGGGTCACTGTAGAAAAACAGCACAGTTCTAACCCCTTTCCCGGGAGCTAATCTCTCAATGAAGGGACTACTTAACCAGGCCAAGGAGTGACTGCCCAGGTAGCAAATGTTTCTAAGTTAGTGATTCCTTTTTAGAGCATTTGGGTCTTAGACAATTCAGTTTCAAAGATTCAGAAATCACATTTTTAAATGTCAAGAGGGCATGCATTGTATTATGCCATGAATTGCTCAGTAGCCGTGAATCTGACATGTTGAAAAAGTATTTTCATGGGCAAGAATGGAAATGAGAAGGAGTTTCAACCTAATGACAGTTTCAGGGTTTTACATGCAAGATGTATGCACTCTCAGGTCTGAGGTTTGAGAAGCTCACTTACTGGAAGGAAAAGGAAAGGAGGGGCTCAGTGAGGCGTCAAAGCCCTTTTCATTTTCCCAGCCTATGGATAATAGTGTTTTTTTCCATAACTCTTAGACCACCAACTTGCCCCAGGGCATCTCAAGCTGTTTCAATCCAGCCTCCAATCCTCCTCTATTTGCTGAAAGTGTAAGTGTGGAAAAATAGTGTCTCCACAGAAGGCACCATGCGCACTTGGGTTTACAGTGTCTTAGATACTTGTGGTACATGATGCCCAAGTTGGAGAGCAGAACCATCCACACCAGAAAGTCATACTGTCTGAGAGAAAAGTCTTGGGGCCTGGACTGGTGTCACTTCTAGTGGGAAATTGTGGATGAGATGCTGGAAGCCCACAAAGGCAAAGGCAAGTCCTCACTTGCTGAGAAAACAAGGAATAGTGAGAGTTCTCTGGTCCCTGGGAGCTATGGTGGGAAAGCTCATAGGATGAATGCTAAGACTCAGCTCCTGTGGGCTGCGTGTGTTCTGACTGGTGGTCCTGGACTGGTCTCATGGGGACTACTCTTCCTTTTAAAGCACATTTCTCAGATTTATCCCCAACTCCTGCTCCATGTTCCCTCAGATCCCCACAGTTCATCATCCTTCCTCTCCCCTAGAGGTACTGCCTTCCTTTTTCCTGCATCTTCCCCATATGTTCTTTCATAATAGCACTTGATGGTCCAATTTTTCTACAATTATAATGAGTGAGTTTTTCTTAGACAGCAGGAAAGACTTTTTCTGTAAATACCACCAGGAATGTGGAGAATGGGAAAGAGGGAAACATTTTCATTTTCATTTCTTTTACATCTTTATTTGTATGATAAACAAAGAGAAAAAAATTCACATTGCCCTATTAAAGCATTATTCTTATCTCGTATTTGGAACCTAACTCTAAGGGAACCTACATAATAATACACCTTGACACAATGCGGTATGTTAGGAAAAATGTCTCCACATTTCTTAGAAAAGTCATTCAAATACATTAACATCATTGTTTCATCTGTGAAGGCATCTCCAACCCCTCTAGATGAAACTGAACATCCGTCCTGTCTGTGGCCACTGTGCCTATCACATCCTTCTCCTTCAACATCTATCTTATTATTTTGCATTTCACAATTTTGTGTTTTCTGTAGTAGTCTTCAAATTTCTCAAGGGTAGAAGTGCTGCAGCTTTCACCATAGTATACTGAGGGTTAAGCAAAATATCAGGGAAATGGACGTGCTTAATAAACATTCATTGAACAATTCTTTAAAGATCATAAAAATACTTCATTCAAAGGTTATTGGGCACTTAATATGTATGAAGTAGATGTATACGAAGTTACATAATTTCCCAAATTGACCAGGTTAGGGAATTTTTGGTGTCTAATCAACTGAAGCTTCAGCTTTGCCACTGAGTAAGACAAACTATTATGGGATTTATTTGAGTCCCTATGTGACATAAAAAAGGACCCAGATTCAAGTTACACTGTCACTAATTAAGTGAACTGTGGTAGTTCGTGTAATCTCTGGGTCCCATGTCTTCTTCCAAAAATTAGTGAAACAGAGAATTATTTCTTAGTTCACTTATAGCACCAAAATTCTGTGCTTTCATGTGTAAGAATGGTATGCAGATGCTCCAAGAAGTGGGAATATTTTACTATAAAGCTGCCCCATGCAGCTTTGTGCAAACAGCAATTGTGTGCACTTATACAATTAGTCATAATGCTATAAGATGAAAACTTTCCTCTCATTTTTTTTAAAGAAACTGTCTTAGTGACAATGCAGAATACTGTCGAAAGCAGTACCTAAATTGAGCAGACTCTCAGACTCAATACCTTTTGTAAGATTCAGTGAAATTTTTCTGCTCTTACTTTGGGGAGAAGAAATTGGAAAATTACTGTTAGCTGACAAAGAAGGAAAATAACAGTGTGTCTTAGCCATTAGCATACTACCAAATCAAGGTGTTTATTTCAAAAGAGTCAGAACATCTAGTTCTAAAAGTTAGGCTTTTTTGAAAAAAAGTAGAATCTTCAAAGACAATAATATATGTGTTCACAGCCTGCATCTTAGTGATGCATTTGTGGGCACGTTCCTATCATGTTAATGAGGCTTTTGCCACTGCATGGCCCCAGTGACAGTTGGATCCACGAACAGCAGTTCATCAATTGATTGCAGGTGTTTCCCCTTGGAAAATAAATACTGCGTGTTCATACCAGGAGGTGAGGGAAAATCGATTTTCAACAGCCACACAATCTGGTGAGTTCTGAAATATGGCTTTGGGAAGCAAATTCTCTTGCTGCTGGTTTCATACATAAATACATTCTATTTATGAAATTTAGAGCCAAAGACAGCAATAGTAATAAGGATTCATAAACTGAAAATTAACTGCAGTACACCTAGAAAGGGACAAAACCTTATTTCCTAATTAATAGATAATAAAATCTGAAAATATTAAATGTCAGTATCCATAATTATCCTTTTGGAAGTCATTTATATCCACATTGTATTAAGTTCCTCTCTAAAATATTCTTTATCATCAATAGAAGAACAATTCAATGAAAAAGATGCCTAATTTCAATTTAGGAGCCTGCCCAGTAATGTACGTAATCTTATATTCACTAAGTTTGAGATTTCATTGTATATGTTATTTGATCTCTCCAATAGATGCTTGTGTCAGTCATGCCTCATTGGGCCTCCTGACTTTGTCAAATGTGCTTTTCTTCTTGGTAAACCTCTTTAGACTTTGAGTGAAGACCTACTTTTTTCTCCTAGTTGACCTGCCTACCTTTATCCTTTCTCACTACAGTCTGCTGTAGATGATTCCACCAACACCATCTTTCATCAGCATTTTTCACACCTTGGGCCAGCTGTCTTAGGTTCTAAAGAAGAATACTGTTATACCCAGGAAACCTGATTTCCAAAGTTGAAATTTATTCCTTGGAAAATAACTACACATAATGGGCTGCTTATGGATGGTAGTTTGCACGCTCAGTGATAAATTTACACATGTATTCCTGCTCAAATACCTGTTGAAAACCCAGAACCCTAGGGCTAGTTTCCATGAATGTTTCCTAGTTTCTAATATGTTAAATGTAAGAACTATATGTTTATGAGATATCTTCATGTTCTCAAATATATCCATCTCAGCTTCAGCACGACTGACATTTGGGGACAAATAATTCCTTATTAAGGTGCTGTCCTATGCGTTGTAGAATGTATAGCAAATCATTGGCCTCTGCAAACCAGATGCCAGGAGCAACCCTTTCCACCACTCCCAGAGTTGTGTTTCCATATGTCTCTTTGGGGGCAAAATTATTCCCAGTTGAGAACCATTGTTCTAGAGCCTACATGGAAGAAAATATTGCACTTTCCTCACTCTGTGCATACATTATAACAAGTGGCAGTGGGAAATCAAGAAACAGAAACTCTTTTGCTCATTTCCTCTGCCAAATGTTGAGGACCATGCCAGTTTGAGAGAGAGTATTCTGAGTTACTTTTAGTTAGGACCAGGAGACATATCTTTTAGTGGCTTTTTTTTCCTCACTATTTCTGTGAATTTGAACAAGTTTCTAAAACTCTGAAGACTTTGGATTCCTCATTTACAAGTTAGAAGTATTGACAGAATAGAGTTTTCCATGTTCTTTATAATGCAGTGAATCTTTGCTACCTACTTTACTCATTTGTTTTAAGGATAAATGGTGATACATGCAAATAAAATCAAAAGTTTACAGTCAAAATGCCTGTAGAAATGTAAGCACTACCTGTTCAGGTCATTCCTAATATCGTCCAATCTGTTACCTTTCCATCCCTTCATAAGTCCAACTTAAAACTCATTCTTTCTAGGAGCACTTTCTCAGTTAAGTTGTCCCTAATTCCAAACTGTGTAACTCTTGTTTTGGAATTTTCTTCAGAGCCAGTTTATGAGTCATTCAAGGAAATAAGTCTCATTACTTTGGAATCACACCTCGTTTGGGACCCCAAATAGAATTACATGGCTTGATAACTTGCTTAATTCACTAGGTTTGGTTTAAAAAGACTTCCAGTATTTCCAACACGAAAATCACTGTTCAAAAGATGAAGATTTGTCACCTTTGCCTAAGGTGGAAAGATTGTGCCATAGGCTGTGAGGAGAATGGCAAAGGGGAGACTTCATATGGTTTTGAGGCACAGAACCTTGAGAGACTGAGTATACTGGTAGTGAAAATAATCACTTTGAAGGTGGATTATTATTATTCGAGTTTAGTTTGAGTTTGAACAACTTATTGCACAAATTTTTCTGAGTCATGTGTGTGTATGAGGTTATTTATCCTTACGTATCTGTTTTGCCTGTTAATTTGTGGCTCCTGTCCTCAACTTTCTTGCTTCTCCTGTTCTGTGTGCTCTCTTGGCTTAGCCACCACCTTAGCTAAACCTGACTCTGTTTTTAACCTGTGCTTTCTCTTATGCAGTTCAATGTGGCCAAAGTAAAACACAGATCCTCTTGATAGTCTCACTTTAAATCCATAACCAGGAACCCCAAGTGAGCTTTCAATACTGCCTGACAACCTTCTTCTATTTCCCTATTTCATGGATGTATCTTTCTTCCAACCTAGACTATTCTTTCTTGCCCCCTTTCCTTTTTTTAAACCTCTCCTACCTTCTCTCTCACCATTACTCTGAACTGATGACCTTGATTTCTACCATACTGAGACAAATGAAGTAATCAAGAGAATGTCCACAGACTCTATCATGTCTTGAGCCTCCCTGCCAGTTGTGGTACCTCTTGTATGCTTTCTTTTCTGTTAATAGCTGAGCTACCCCTACTCCTATCCAGAATCAATTCCTCCACCGTGCATGAGCGCCCACCTCCCCTGGCCTTTGAAGAGGCTGCTCCAGGGCATCTACCTTCTCCAATCGACATCGTTCTTTTCCCCTTTACTGGATCATTCTCATTAGCATAGAAATATGTCTTAAAAACACCAGTCTGTTGATCCTAGTCGCCTTTGCCATTAACTTCTCAGACCTCTGTCTCTCAGGTTAGCAAACCTTTCTGAAAAAGTACTTTACACTCTTCCCACCATCTCTGACATTCACTCCAGCCAGGCATATGCCTTCACCATAACACCAAAACTGCTCTTGTTGAAGGCACTAATTGGCCTTATTGTGGCTACATGCAATAGGAACTCTTCAGTCTTTATGTTACTCAGCCAAGTGACAGAATATATAGCTGTTCATCACTTCCTCCTCTCTGAAATACTTACTTTGCTTGGTTTCCTGATTCCCCTTCCTTTTGGTTTTTCTCCTTTACTGGTTGCTGCTTCTCATTCTGGTTTGTTCCTTCTCTTCTTCTTGGCTTTTCAATGTTAGCGTGCCCAGGGCTTATGCTACATCATCTTTCTCTTCCATAGCTGTTGATGTGGTTTGGATCTGTGTCCTCACCAAAATCTCACGTCAGATTCTATTCACAATTTGGAGTGGGGCCTGGTGGGAGGTGATGGATCATATGCGTGGAGTTCTTATGAGTGGATTAGCAACACTCCTTTAGTGCTGTTCTCTTGAGAGTGAGTGAGTGGTCATGAGATCTGCTTGTTTAAAAGTGTGTCACCTCCCCCTGCTCTCTCTCTCCCTCCTGCTCCAGCCATGTAAGATGTGCCTGCGTCCTCTTCACCTTCTACCGTGATTGTAAGTTTCCCAAGGCCTCCCCAGAGACAGAAGCCACTATGCTTCCTGTGTAGCTTGCAGGACCATGAGCCAATTAAACCTCTTTTGTTATACATTACCCAGTCTCGGGTATTTGTTTATAGCAGTGCAAGAATGAACTAATACAGCTATCCTAACTTCCTTGAGGGTTTTATTCATTATTATTTCCTGTGACACCATCTGCATGATAAGAATTCCCAAACATATATCAAAAACCCAGAATCAGCTCTGAATCCCAGCCTTGTATATCATGCTCTTCTTATACATTCTCCACTTGAGTACCAAATGGGCAGGACAAACTCAGCAAGGCAAAACTGAACTCTTGATCCTCCCTATTATACCAGCTCCACCCCTGTTTCTTCTTATCTGTGTTAATAGCAACTTCATCTTTCCAATTTTTCTGGTCAACATCCTTGATTCCTTTCTCTCACACCCCTTGTTCAATCCCCAGGGAATCTTGTCAATTCTATCTGCAAAATATGTCCAGAATCTGGACCACTTCTCACCACTTCGACTGCTACCACCCTGGACCAAACAGCATCACTTATTTTTCTGGAATATTTCAGCAACCGAGTAACTGGAATTCATAATTTTACTCTTGTTCCTTGATGTTCTGTTGTTAACACAGTATCCACAGTGATCCCTTTAAGAATCTTGTTCAGTAGTGTACCTCTGCTGCTCAAACGATTTTCTTCCCCCGCAGAATAAAAGCATTCATTTTTTCAGTGGCTTGTAAAGACCTACATGATCTGGCCTCACCTCTGCTTTCTACCTACTTCATCATCTGTAATCCCAATTTACCCCTGCAGTTCAAAACACTGGCCTTCATAATGTTCATTAAACACTCCAGGAACACAGCTTCCCTTGGACATTGCGTCATCTGTCCCCTTCGCCTGGAATCTCTTTTGTGACATTTGCACGGCTAACTCTCGTAGCTCCTTCAGGTAGTTCCTGAACTCTGCCTTCCTGCTGAGGGTGACCCTCACCACTCTGAAACTGTAACCCACGCCCATTGCTTCTCCCTCTCTTGTCTGTACTCCCAATCATCAACTCTTTCCCCGTATTTTTATAGTACTGATTTTCTTCTCATGTATCATCTACATATTATTATCATCTAGTTGTTTCTCATTGCCTACATCCCCCAGGAAAATATGAGCTTCAATGAAGGAAGGGAGTTATTTATTTCTTCCTGTTTTATTCCAGGACTCACAATCATATCCAACCCATAGTAAGAGTCCAGTGAATATTTTCAAAGCAAACAATAATTAAATGTCTATAAAGAGTTGCCTCTTAGATATGAGTAATCAGTGTCTTTCAGTGAATTCAAACTTGTTTGATGTCAGGGATTTCACTTTTTTGCCCATAACCTTTATCAGAATAATTATAGCATATGTATTCCTGCAGAAGGTGCTCAATAAATGCTTCCCAGATGACGCACATTTACAAATATAATGCTTCCAAAGCTAATTTCAGTGCGGAGTTTTCTATAAGTCGTGTTTTCTACACAATTTTCAGAACATTGAATACAAATGAAGTAGACTTATACACATGGCAAAGTCATCTTGGAGGACGCAATGTTTCTGTCTCTTACTGACTAGCAATTATAACAATGGAAATGTCACTGTGACAATATGCACTGTTGGTAGATAGAAACAATCGTGCAAAGAGCTTGAAATTATAAACAGTTTGCATCGAATTATTCGACAACTTTCTCAATGCAGGCATTGATAACTAAATTACATTAATAAGAAAGTAGTGAAAATTAGGAAATTGCTGAAACAAAACTTGATTATTTTTAGAAAAGCAGTAGAGAAATAGGTCACAGTTGTGTCAAATTTGTATAATCCTAGAAACCCACGAGGCAGCTGGGACATGGGAACTATGCACAAACACTCCTGATTGATTGAATCCCAAGCGAGGTGAGTGGGCAAGGTAACTGTTAGCTGTGAAAACTGAGAAGATCAAAAGCACAATTTCTTAGACCCAGTGAGGATGAGCAGGAACAGACCCTTTGTCAACAGCCCGGTTTTGAAGGCTTTTACTTTTCATTGAAAAGAAATCTTACAATGAATCACTCCAGCAGTACATAAACAATCCTCCTTAATCCTCTCTCCACTTTGTCTCTCATCCCTCTCTGGAATCTCTCTCCCTTATGCAGAGGTAACCACTTTGTATTATTTAGGGTGGCTCTCCTAATCAGTTTTATATACATTTACATCTACATATATGTATGTGTACATAAAGGTATGTACTCCACACAAATGCACATGCATATGTTTTATATATAGTAAGTATAATACATAGTATGTATTGGTTTAGATGTATTATTTTTCCTAATTCTATGTTTTAGAGATATGTATTTGTCATTACCTATGAATCTATCTCATTCTATTTTAAGGCTTCTTAATTTTTAATTTTTGTGGGTACATAGAAGGTGTATACACTTATATCTCATTCTTAACAATGGCTATATAATATTCCACAGAAGAAATATACCACAGTTGATTGGTTCTTGTAGTATTGGCTGATATTTGAGTTCTTCCAGTTTTTAGAGTTTAGATATGATGCAGAAGTGAATATTTTGTGTGCATATGCCAGTGCTTCCATAGGCCAGAGCTTTGAGAAGCAGAACTACTGAGTCCACAGAATGTGGATTTTACATTTGATACTTGCTGCTAAATCGCCTCCATGAATGTTTCACCACTTTATGTTTCAATCTCCTATGTTTGAGTTTCTATTTCCCCATTCTGTCCCCAAGGCTAGATATTACCCATTCTTTTTAATGTTCTCAATCTGCTGGGGAGTGAAAAACAACTTCTGGTTATGTCAGGGTACTTTATTTTAAATTCTTTGACATTAGAGGAATTTACAGGTTTAAAAACATACATACCTATTAGTAGATGCCACTGTTTTTTCCTTTAGCATTTACTACTTTTCTTCATCTTACTTTTTTTTCCACTTGCTCAACTGTTTACCCTAAGGCAGGGAATCATTTAGGCTCAGAGAAAAGTGAGAGAGAAGGAAGAAAAATCAACACTTTCTACTCCTCCCCTGCTTTCACTTTTTTGGAAAATAGAAGGAAGAACTTAATATTTTAGAAATCCTAGACTAATGATTATTAGATTTGGTCCCATATTATAATTACTAGGCCCTTCTGGTTCTGTTTAGCTTTGTTTTAGTAGTGATATTAATCTACCCCACCAGAGATGTTAATTTAATTGTTCTAAGGCGGAGCTAGAGAAATTTCTTTTTTCTTACTTCTTACGTGTTAGTATTGAGAACTCTTATTTTTGGGAAGTCCATATATTTTTCTGGTCTCTGCTCAAAACCACAAACAGTCAATTTGTTAGAACCGGGGACTGGGCGGATTCGCATAGACCTACTGTAGACACCTAGGTAGGTTGGTGGCTTTTCAAAGTGTGTTTCAGGTTACCTTACTTGCCTGGGTTATCTGGTTTATGCCATATACAGTCTACATTTACTTTTTAAGCAGAAAACAGTATTTTGGAATCTCTTTCACTCAATTCTAATATGTATGCATACACATTAGTTACATATATATATAGCATACATACAGTAGTATATATATGGTAGTGTGCATATATATGTGTATGTGTGTATGCATATGCATATATATATATAATCAAATCATGTGTTTTGGCTTCAGAATCAGGGTTTTCAGGTTCCACCATGGGACCATGGATATTTACATGGGTAGAATACATGACAAAGGTAATAATTTTCCTTGTTCTTGACCACAAAACTGTAAGCATTGCCTTTCTCTTGAAAATAACTCCTTAGTGTATCTGTTGGTTTTACAAATATTCTTCTTAATCTGCCATTGCACAACAAACTATCGCGAGACTCATGTTTAAAATAACAACATTAATTTATGTTGCTGCCGAATCTGCATCTTTGTCAGCTCTTGGTGGGGACAGCTCATGTGCATTCTACAGGATGTTGGCAAGGGCAGGCGGCTCACATGGATGAAGGATCCACAGCCAGGATGACTCCTTCACATGGCTACAAGTTGGTGCTGTACTTGTGATCCTCCACATGTGGGCCTCTACCCAAGCCTTCCTTATTTTCAAGAGAAAGGCAGTGCTTACAGTGTTGTGGCCAAGAATGAGGGAATTTATTACCTTTGTCATCTCTTCTGCCCCTGTAAATATCCAGAGTCCCATGGTAGAACCTGAAAACCTTGATTCTGAACCTGAAACAAATACTTGATTTTATAATTTATGTGTATATTTAACATATAGACTTGTATATGAGAATTGGGAGAGAGAGAGAGTTCCAAAATATGTTTATGTTCCCTTTTGTGCTTTAAAAATTCAACCATTGTGGAAGACAGTGTGGCGATTCCTCAAGAATCTAGAATTAGAAATACCATTTGACCCAGCCATCCCATTACTGGGTATATACCCAAAGGATTATAAATTATGCTGCTATAAAGACACATGCACATATATGTTTATTGCAGCACTATTTACAATAGCAAAGACTTGTGAACCAACCCAAATATCCAACAATGATAGACTGGATTAAGAAAATGTGGCACATACACACCATGGAATACTACGCAGCCATAAAAAGGGATGAGTTCATGTCATTTGTAGGGACATGGATGAAGCTGGAAACCATCATTCTCAGCAAACTATCGCAAAAACCTCATGTTCTCACTCGTAGGTGGGAATTGAACAATGAGAACACTTGGACACAGGGTGGGGAACATCACACACTGGGGCCTGTCATGGGGTGGGGGGAGGGGGAGGGATAGCATTTGGAGATATACTTAATGTAAATGATGAGTTAATGAGTGCAGCACACCAACATGGCACATGTATACATATGTAACAAACCTGCACGTCGTGCACATGTGCCCTAGAACTTAAAGTATATATATAAAAAAAAGACTGTATGTGACACAGGCTGGGTAATCTAGCAAAGTGAGGTAACCTGAACTACACCTTGAAAAGCCACCAACGTGCTGGTCGTTCTGTTCAAGAGCTGCCAGTGTCTTAAGATCTGGGTACAAAACCCAACACAGCCTCACTTCTGCTGTACTCCATGTCCAGTCTCAGACTCCAGGTTCAAAGGATGGGAGCATAGATTCACTTCTAGATGGGAAGAAATTCAAACAAACTAGGGTCACATTTCTAGAATACTGCATGAAACAAAAATCCCTATTTATACATTTATTCATTCATTCACATAAAATAAATCTTGGGTGTGTTTTGTAAAACTTTTCATCCCAAACATGATCTTTAGTTTGTAAAAAATAAGAGCAGATACTTAGGATAAGCTACAGCCAGCAACACTGCAGGCACATAGATATTGTTATTGAAATTTATCTGCACCTTCCAAAACAATCTTTACTCCTATTGAGTGCTCATCGCCCATCTGAGTAGATGAAAATAAAATTCACTTGATGCATTTTTTAAGAAACCACACTCTCAGTTCATGCACTTGGTATGATTTATTTTACTGATCTGTTAAAGATTTCAGAGCTGATGAAGTGACATATTCTTGGTCAGTTAGTGACATCCTCTTAAAATAATGAGGACAAGATTTTATTAGTTACTTACATCTTGAATCATTTTTATGTGTTCGGTGTACATTAGGGAGATTTCACCAAGGGATCTGGGTGACAAATTTATGAAACAAATATGAACATTAAAGGGTATCAGTCTAAAAGCAGTTCATTGTACAAACCACTTATAAGGATATGTTACATTTTAGCTGAGTTACAAAGCCTCAGTTGGTTCTAATTTTTTTTTTTACTTTTTTATTAGTTGAGCCTATGTAATAAATATCATAAAGTGCAAATATATGTGTGAGCTAATATTAAAACTTGCTCCATTCCATCCCAGGAAATTCATCTCAGGAGCTGCTGCATGCTTCTCAAGTTGTTTTAATATAACAAAGCAAATGTCACTTTTCTTTTGGTGGCATGGCTCATTTCAAAAGTACCCTGAGCGTCTACACGAAACCATGCTCAGAGAATAGGACTAGGGATTGCAAATGGCATTTTCAACGAATTCTCTGAGTACATTAATATCTTTTTCCTGGATTGTGAATTCAGGCAACTTTAAAAAATTAAAACTACTCTTTCACTTTGGGGCCATTATTAAGTAAAATAGGGATGGCGTGACCACAAGCATGGAGATGTTGGACAGTCAATTGGGTAATCGAGACAGCTAAGTGACTCGCGGGCAGGGAACATCCACAGTGGGGACCCTCTGGAAGAGGGGAGGATTCATGCTCCAGGCATAACGGGACTGAGCACTGTGAGATTTCATCACACTACATAGAACAGCATGCAGTTTAAAACTTATGAATTGTTTATTTCTGAAATTTTCCATTTAATATTTTCAGACTGCAGTTAATCTTGAGTAAATTAAACTTTCAAAAGCAAAGCTGAGGATAAGGGGGACTGCTGTATCTATAAAATGGGCAGGTATTTTGTATAAGATAATGGTGTCATAAATTTTTCTACAATCCAACAAAACTGTATTAACATTAAGGAGTCTGCCCCAACCACACAAAAAATTCATCACTTTGGTACTTTGACCCCTTAACTGTTTCATTTCTAGAAATGTTTTGGATTTCAGAAACTTGCATTCTCCTTTTTTAGTTTTGTAATTATTGACAATAATACTTCTGAAATCTTTTTTTTTTTTTTTTTTTTTGAGGTGGAGTCTCGCTCTGTCGCCCAGGCTGGAGTGAAGTGGCACGACTCGGCTCACTTCAACCTCCACCTCACGTGTTCACACCATTCTCCTGCCTCAGCCTCCAGAGTAGCTGGGACTACAGGCACCAGCCACCACGCCCAGCTAATTTTTTGTGTTTTTAGTAGAGACGGGGTTTCACCGTGTTAGCCAGGATGGCCTCGATCTCCTGACCTTGTGACCTGTCTGCCTCAGCCTCCCACTGAAACCTTTTTAAAATAGAATTTAATCTCCATAAATAGGCTAATATCTCAAGCCAACTGATGAAATAATCATAACGATACAGCTACTTCCCTTAGGATGATAACATTTGTGAGGATACCTATTGCTTTTTCTTACCTGCTAAAATTCAGTATTCTCTCTGTGTAGTGTCAGCAAGAGCTGGACATAAAGAACAGTTCTGGGCCGGGCGCGGTGGCTCACGCCTGTAATCCCAGCACTTTGGGAGGCCGAGGCGGGCGGATCACGAGGTCAGGAGATCGAGACCATCCCGGCTAAAACGGTGAAACCCCGTCTCTACTAAAAATACAAAAAATTAGCCGGGCGTAGTGGCGGGCGCCTGTAGTCCCAGCTACTTGGGAGGCTGAGGCAGGAGAATGGCGTGAACCCGGGAGGCGGAGCTTGCAGTGAGCCGAGATCCCGCCACTGCACTCCAGCCTGGGCGACAGAGCGAGACTCCGTCTCAAAAAAAAAAAAGAACAGTTCTGTAGCTGTCAGGGCCGGGGTGTACCGGGGCAGCCCATGGTGGTAGATAAAAACAGCTGTTCTGGAGTCAGAGTGACTTCTGTGCTGGTTCTTATTCCGTTAGTTACTTGCCGCGTGCTGTCAAGTAAGTTACAACACCCCTCTGATGCTCTTCCGTAAAATGAAGCTAACCGTGTATTATGGAGAGGATTACCACCTCACCATAGACTGTCCTTGCAGAAGAAGCTTCTGCAGTGCCTGGTGTGTAGTAGGCACTAAATGTACATTTCCTTCCCTTCTCCTTACTTTCCTAACACATTTTTCTTTTATTTTCCTTTTCTATTGTTTCTTAACTTTCAAGCAACACCATTAATTCAATGTTTCTTAAGCATTAGTATTTTTTTTGTCTTAGAGCTACCTCCAAGCCCATATCAGTAGAAAGTAAATTCAAAAACAAAACTACAGCTTTATAATTTGTTTAGTTTTATGCCTAAGTGAGACATAGAAAATCACACTGGAGGAAGGGTTATTTGCCTAGATCTGTCTGATTCTAAAATTCATGTTCTTAAACGTTAGCTTACACTACCTCTTAATAACTAAGGCTAAGAAGAATTATTACACTAATTATAAATTCCTGAAATTATAAGGGCTGTGTGGGAGAATTTGACTCTGTTTATCTAAAATAATTTGATCCATGATAAAAAGAGAAATTTTCCCTGCAAACATCATTGCAAAAAATATTTTTGAACTACTTTTTGAATCATGTTTTGTTAATAACAAACCAATTATTCAATACTCACTATGTGCTAGTATCTTTGCTGGCCTTTTTTTTGGTTAAGATTATTATTTATTTAGTTTTTAACTGGCATATAAAAATATATGTGTATAGTGTACAACATGTTTTGCTGCATGAATACATTGTGGAATAGTTAACTCAAGCAAATAAACATTTGCATTAAATTGCATACTCATTTTTGTGTGTATGGTGAAAACACTTAGAATCTATTATCTTTGCAATTTTAAATTATAAAATACAATGTTATTAACTACAGTCACCATAATGTACAATAGATCTCTTGAACATATTCTTCCTAACTGAATTTTTTGCTCTTTGATCAATATCTTCCCCTGACCCTCAGTCCACCAGCCCTGGTAACTACCAGTCTGTTCTCTGCTTCTGTGAGTTTGACTTTTTAGGTTGCACATATGAGTGAGACTATGCGGCATTTGTGTGTCTCTTCCTGGCCTATTTTACTTAGCATGACGCCCTCCAGGCTCATCCATCTGTGTAGTTCATTGGTCCTTCTCATGTTTTAGCTCCCTTGATTGGGACCCCAACCTTATGAGAGGATTATTAGTATTATTCATTTTTATGGTAGAAAATTGAGGAATAAAAACGTGAAGGGCGGCCGGGCGCGCTCACTCACGTCTGTAATCCCAGCACTTTGGGAGGCTGAGGCAGGAGGATCACAAGGTCAGGAGTTCGAGACCAGCTCGGCCAATATGGTGAAATCCTGTCTCTCCTAAAAATACAAAAAGTAGCAGGGCATGGTGGTGCACACCAGCTACTCGGGAGGCTGAGATGGGAGAATTGCTTGAACCTGGAAGGCGGAGGTTGCAGTGAGCCGTGATAGTGCCACTGCACTCCTGCCTGTGCAACAGAGACTCCGTCTCAAAAAAAAAAAAAAAAAAAAGTGAAGGGCCTGGCCTAAGAGCTTATAGAGACTGAGAAGATTTGTTAGGTCAACCCAGGCCCTGCTTCTTTCTACCCTTTGGGTTGCTATTTCTCTGGGACCATCTAGCACACCATTATAGGCATATCTTTCCCGTTTTTTGTTTGTTTGTTTGTTTGTTTTTACTAAGTGCTGTACTATCATTGAGTGGTTTAAATAATGACAAATGGCACATTCCCGACTTCGAACACTAGGATACTAGAGCAGTGGCCCAACTGGGGGCAATGCCTGGAAACGTTTTTGGTTGTTGTAACTGGGAGGGGTGTGCTCCTGGCGTCGAGTAGGCGGAAGCAGGGCCAAGATGCTGCTCAGCCTCCTACAATGCACAGGACAGCTCCCCAGGACAAAGAACCTTCTCATCCCGTATGTCAGTAGTACTGAGGGGGAGAAACTCCGTTCTTCAAAATAACAGTTTTTCAGTTCCCTAGTACAGCATTCTTACACTGTAATAGTAAACAGAACGGATGTCCTAAACAATAGACTACAAAAATAATTTGGTTGCTAAAAGCGTTTTTGTTTGTTTGTTTGTTTATTGGTTGGGAAAATAATATAAGTTGGATCTTGGCTCCACTAGCTTTCACAGTCAGTGGCTATTTGTACATGTAAATAATTTTCATCAATTAAATTATAAGGAAACTAATTAAGATATCATAAATTATAACTAAATGTTGATTACTAGGCATCCAAATTACCTACTCACCTTCTAATTGTGTTTGCATATCTTAAAAAACATATTTGATTAAGTAAGAATGTAAGTACAACTTGGGATGTGGCCTTTTTTTTATAGATATAAAAACCAAAAGTTTCTAAGGCCCAGGATGTCTAATTTCTAATTTCTTAGATAGTCGCTAATTCATGTTCCATCTCAAGAAATTCAAAATGAGAAGGTGGCATTCCAAGGACTACCATGGTTTGGTTCTTTCTTATAATAATTTTAATTCTAATAAATTCAATTTTTCTAATTCCTTTTTTATGGTACTAAATACCCATGCATTTAATCTCTTTCTAATCTTTCTTTCCGCTTCCCCAGTAAATTGGAAGTAGGCATTGCAGAGACACTTGACATTTTAAAACCGGGCTTTGACTTCTGGGATAATAAAGAGGTCTGTTACTGAGTGTCCCCATAGTCAGTGAAATATCCTGGCACGTCTCAACCTATACCATGTTATAATTTCATGATGAATAGCTTTACAAAAGGAGACAGATAGTTGTCTTTCAGAAGCACAGGAAGAAAATTAGAAAGTACCAAAGTGGCATGAACTATCTCTTCACAGAAGTAAAGCAAAAAGCCCGAGAACCAAATAGAGATTTAGATAGAAAGCTTAAAAATCAACCTTTTTATTTTTTTAAAGCAAACGACTTATAGTACAAATAGACAGTGTACATTATGACATATGTTTGTAGCCTAGGAAAATATACAACATAGGCTTTATTGCAGAACATAATCCATTTAAAAAATAAGAGCCATCTTTTTCTAAGGGCATAGGGTCTAAAAAACCACTTCTTATTTTCAATGCTGACTTGTATGTAATTTTGGTAAAGGATTCACTGTTTGCGTTTATATGGATTTCTAGTTTTGATTAGAAAACAAGTTATTGAATTTCTACTTATGATTACAAAATGACTGAATTTGCCCCAAACACTGGAAAGTAAAAATGTGGATGGAATTCTTGTTACCACCTCAATATCGTTCAGTTAAGGAGTGGGTTGTCCTCACTAAATATTCACTCCAAAGATGAAAGAGCTAAAGCTATCCAATCGGGGTGAATAATTTCCCCAAGACCTCACTGGAGCAACGGCAACACAACTGTAATATTGATATCTAAGACATCTTCCTTTGCCATCTCTTCGTTCATTCTTTGAGCAATATTTATAAAGCATGAAATTTCTATGGCCCTGGTGTTACATTATATACTCAGGATTCAGTAATAAATGATGATTAAAAAGACAGAATTCCCGCTCTTAAGGAGCTTTTAAGATAGAGGGAGATGGTATATAAAAGTAAGCCCCCTTTGCAATAAATTCTTTAAGGAGCACACAGGATTCACAGTGCCCTGCTGGAGATACAGTCACAAGTTTTCTACGGTCACAGGTTTTCTGCAAGAACTGACTTCTACAAGAAACTGAGAAAGAACTGAAGCAGGGGAAGGAGTCGAAGCTCCAGGCATAGGGAAAATGACAAGAGGGTAAAGAAATCATGGCTGGTGCAGGGACCTGTGAGTAGCCGAATACTGGGGCTCAAGGTTAGCTAAGGAAGTGACAAATGAGGCTGGAGAGGTTTGCTAGGACAAGCCATGAAGGGTTTGTTCATTATTCCATGTCATTTGGATTTTATGCAGAGTCTTTGTAAAAGTGACGTGAAGAGATTTTCATGTTGGAAAGATGACTAACTGCATCGTAGAATTAATGTGAAAGGGTGGCCCAAGGAAGCAAGTTTCTTCACAGCTATTGCAATAAACAGGTGAGGAATGACTGAGGTCTGAATTGGATGGTGTTGGCACATGAAAAAGATGGACAGATACAAGATATATGGAAGAAAGAAAATTTGAAAAAAAAAAAGGTGATTAGTTAAGTGTTACCATAGAAAAAGAGAAGGAAGAAAAGGACCTAGGCTATGAATTGAGCAACTGGATAATGATACAATTTTTTAAGGTAGTAAACATAGAAAGTGGAGCATGTTTGTGGACCATTGTCTTTCTGTTTAGTGATGTGAATATGTACTTATATTTTAGCCAGATAAACTTGAAGTAAAAAATCCAGTCTATAGTAAAGCATGAATTGGAGAGAGAGACTTGAGGTCTAAACTTCACTTTAAGTGCTTGATCTATAATGATGGGAAGGAGGGGAGGTGTAGCAGTCTGGCTACCTTCCTTTCTAGCTCTTTTTGCTTCAATGTTTCTAGAAGTAAAGATGGGATTTCTGAAAGTACTTAAGTAGAATGAGGTGGGAAAGTAGGCGTGAATTCAGCCTTAAGTTAATTTGACTGACGGTTCTCTATGTGCAATTGTGCTAATGATCAAAATCAGCCAAAATAACAGCGAGTTATACAAGTTTAGAGAAAGCCAAAATTGTTGCCTACCAGATAGTTTGTCACAAAAAAAGGATTCCCAAATTGCCAAGTGCTGTTTTCATTTGCTGCCTGCTGCCATTCTAACTTACCCCCTATCTATTGGAAATTTCCAGAAGGCATCTTAACTGACTTCTATGGTGCTAATTGCAGAAAACTCTCCGAATTTCCTTCTTCTTTTAAAGACATTATATCCTCTTCTTTTCTGAATTAAAAATAAAATCTCAGTCCAAGTCAACATTCTGACAGAAGTTTAAACAAACCTGGGGCATTAAAATGCAGTTAAAAAAAAAGAAGAAAAAGGGAGAACTAACTGTAAAATGCCCTGTCTATATAAAGAATTGGAAATGCATGCAGTATTGTGTTGTTGAGTTTGGGGTGGTATGTTTATGCGCTTGAGTGATTTTTGACCTAAATATTTATCAATTGATGTGAATTCAAACCAACTACTTAAAAGTTGGGCAGCTGGGGCCAACTACTGTCAGTAGCCAGTGGCTGGCACCCAATGATGGCAACGATTTTACTGAGGATTACCCATGCGCTTGAGTACATAGGTCCTTATGCACAGAGCTGCTAGAATTCTATTTCTGCTCTCCCTTGAGCCTAGGATGACAATCATGATAAATGGTATCATACTGTGAGGTGGTTTGTGATGAAAACAAATTTCCACTCGGGATCATAACACAACCTCTACACTGAGGCTCTGATAAAACACTTAGAAATGTGCAATTGTCTTTTCTCTCCTCTTTCTCTTTTGTCTTTGTTAAAAATAAAAACCAAAACCAATACATTCCCACCCAAAGAATAAACCCACAAAAAAAACAAACATTTAAGATAACTGAAATGTGTACTGGGAACAATACTCTTTATCTAGCTAGAGATTGGGATTTTTATTATTTTATCTATGGATATCTGTCTATCTAGATATCATGTATGTATGTATCTATCTACTTTCCTAATTATTCAGTTTTCAAGTGGAAACGAGATAGTGGAAAATGAATAGGTGGGGATTTGAAAATTATAGATGGGATAAACTGTGGAGGTAGGGAAGCTACAGGTGTTTAAAAAACTAGATAACAGCTTTCTCTATGGAATTGGACAATTTTGAACTTAGGCAAGGTTCTCTTTGCAGATATGCCACAGTGGTTAGCATTTTGATAAGATCTTTTTTTTAAACAGAAGGGCTAATTTAGTTTATTATTTGAATATATTGATATTTTGGTATAAACTGGATCACCTCCCTGTTTTAAAATTAAGCCTGCTCTTGGTCAAAGTAAACAGAATTCGTCATTTTAGCAGGAAAATGCAATGCCTTATCACTTTTCACTGTTAAATTTCTTGCTTTAATCATTTAAATGGTGTGATGTTCTTGTCTCCATTCTCCCTAGGGTCTACTGGAGACCTTGGCTTTTTATTTCCCTGACACAACTTCACACTGCTGGAGCAATGCTTGGATTGCTCTGGAAACACTGGCAAATCTCAAGATGCAGTTCAGGCTTCTCCATGATGAGTGTGAGTCCCTAGGCTGTCTCTCAAACTAAAGATTCCCCAGCCAGGCAACTCTAAAGAGTCTTCGACAAGGCAACACAATTACTCTGTGTGCTTAGAAGAAGAGGGGTCATAAATGTCAGCTGTTGCTCTTTGAGTCCTGCTAATTCATTCATTGATTCACTCATCTTTCCCACAGGCATGTGCTGTGCGTTTACTGTACTGCATGACACTGTGGAGGTTATAAAGAAATAAAATATTTGGGGCTTACTCTCTATGAAATAAAATTCTAATTCTTTCTACCATATATTCTTATGTGAGATCCCAGCCTGCTCTACCTGGTGCCTGCTCTACCTGTTACCTGGACTAGGGCATTTCTGTATCAGATTAAATTTAAAGGTGTTTCAATAGTTAATAATGATCAAACGTTATAAATATTGGGAAACTATAATGGATGAGGTGAAAAAGAAAAGGCCACTAAGTAGAAAATTAGATAAAATAGACATATATAAAATTAAGTCATGTGTTATGGGCTAAACTGTGTCCCCCACAAAATTCATGTTGGGGTCAGTACCTCAGAATGTGTCTGTATTTGGAGACAGGGCCTTTATAGAAATAATTAAATTAAAATGAGGTCACTAGGGTCAGCTCTAATCCAACAAGATGGGCATCCTGATAGGAAGAGGGAATTTGGATACAGAGGGAAGATTATATAAAGACACGGGGAGAGGATGACCATCTACAAGACCAAGAGAGAGGCCTGTCCGTAAGAAACCAACCCTCAAGGAGAGAGGCCTTTCTGTAAGAAACCAACCCTGCCAGCACCCAGCTTTTGGAGCTCTAGTCTCCAGAAATGTGAAATAAATTTCTTTTGTTTAAGCCACTCAGTCTATGGTACTTTGTTATAGCAGCCCTGGCAAACTAATACAGCATCAAACTTGGGAAGGCATTCAAATGCATTTACTGAGCAAATCATTTGTACATATCATTATCATAAATGTTGCATCATAGAAATTAATTTATCTAGGCCCAGAGCTCCTTGAAATTCACTTCTCTGACAAGTAAAATCACACTTTGGATATCTGAGGAACACACACATATCCAGGAACCTAAAGTCAAGTGATGTGGGGCTTTTATTATTGGTAAATGGGAATTTAAAAAATTGGAAAAATCACAATAATAGTAACAATAATAATGACAATAGAAGCTGCCTACATTGAGTGTCTTCTCTGTGCCAGATATGGCAGTAAGTATCACAACACCTCTCTTTAGTAGAGATTTTTATTCCTCTCAAATAAAGGAACTCTGTCTATCTATCTATCTTTCTATCTATATCAATCATCTATCAATCAATCTGTATATTGGGGACCTGAAGCTTCGATAAGTTTTCTTGTTTGCCCAAGCTTTCATAGCTAGGATTTGAAATATAAATTGATCTGAGTTCTAACCCAAAGCTCTCATGGTGGAAGGGACATGGTATAGGCACGTGTTGTTCTTTCAAGGAGTGTCAGACACTTTCAAAGGATTCATCTGCCCCAAGAAAGGTCAGCTCTGTTCCCCAGGTTCCATCAATGATCCTGGGTAGGCACTGGGTTTTAATGTTTACTGAGAGCTCTGAATTCCATACTAGCCCATCAGGATGGAAATATCCTGGGAAACTTTTGAGTATTTAGGCCTAAATATATTACTCTGGTCTAAATACTCCTAAGTATTTCAGAACTTCAGATCATTAGAAAGTTACCCTTCTTCCTCCCCAAACCTCACCCAGTTACTTGAAGAGGAGCTCACAATAGACCTCTCCTTGCCTAACAGTTCTAAAGCAGTAGGAAGGAATTGTTGCTAAGGTCTTTACAAGGTCACAGCCAAATATATGAAATAAACAAGAAGACCACATATAAATTTACATAAAAATATGCCTTGAATTTGCATTGAAATGCACTTTAATCTACATACAAGTCTATTCTTGTAGAGTATAAATTTTATAATTGTTCTTCTTTAAAGCTGTCATTTATTTTTCATGCCTTGTCCACCCCCCATCCCACTTTCAGTTCTCCCCATGATGTCTGCATGCTTGGGGATGACTCCTTTCATGACCCAATCAAGATGTCATGGAGGTGCTGGCACTTTCACATAAAAAGCTCACACTAAGGCAGCCTCCATTTTTTTTTTATCTCATCAGAAAATCCACTACATAATTTTCTTTCCTCTTCCTGCCTAGTTTCTGCTCTCTCAAGTGAATGTAAAATCCACCACTGTCAAAGAAACTTGCACCAGACAGAGTTAAACAGGCAGGGAAGACTTTATTCAAGACTATTGCAATTGGGAGAGAGACTAAACTCCACACCCTTAAAATGAAAGGTGGGCGAGGTTTTAAACACTGGAGTGAACTAGTGGAAAAGTACTGAATGACATGACGGGAGGTTGGTCAGTGGGATCAGGCCACCTGTGTTTCCCAACTGGTGCTGATGGAAGTTTGGCTCACGCCCTTTCACAGAGACTGGGAGATAGGGACTCCTTCTTGATGATGCCATTTCAATGATGGCTCCCAGGTCCTTGAAAAAGACATTCCTTAGTTGTAAAACTTGCAAGAGGTTGGGAGAAGATTTATATCTTAAAGAGGCAGAGAGAGAGTTTCCAATTGCAAGTGTTCTAAAGTTTTTCTATGAAAAAGGAGGTCAGGGGCATAGAGTCAGGAAGAAACCTGACTAAAGTTGAATTAAACTGAGGGAAATGTTAAGGCTGTCTTTGTCTCTGCAGAAATAAATATAGTCAATTAATAATTATATATGCAGCTATCCAGCCCCTTCCCCATATCTGGACTTACTGCCTTCTGTCTAATATGTAGAAACTTCTTGGTTTATTTGATGAATGTGGAGGAAAGGAAAAGTCACAGTGGGAGGTTACAGCAGGAAGGTGTGGAACTCAGGACAAGTAGCTGCTTTTCCATACAATGTAAACAGAAGATGGCTTTACAAGAGTCCCCAGCTTTCAGTCAGCTGTAATCAAGAGGGTTTCCTAATTTTAGGCATTTAAGAAGGTTATTGTTTCTCTCTCTGTTTCAAGTGCTTGATAATCTTTAATGATGGTCATAAAGATGTCAGCAGCATTGAGTCACTGTTTTATAGAAGGCAATGGTTTTGATGTTATCCCATAACACGCTTGTGAGTAGGGCATGAGATTCATTCATACTGTACAGAAAAGCATAGTGCGATGCCAAGAAGAGTAGTGACTTTTGTAGTCATCCAGATAGGGACATTTTGGAGGAAGTGAGATACTTTATAGTTTACCTCCGCCACTTACCAACTCCGTGACCTTAGCCAAGTTACTTAACATGGCTGTGGCAGATTTTCCTCATCTATATAATGAGGATAACAAAAATATGAAACCTTAGGGTGGCTAGGAGAATTTTGTGAGAAAACAATCCATGTGCAGCCCACCAAAAACTTCCTGAGCATGTAGGAACCACTTGAAAAACATTGACAACTATGACTTACGGGATAGACCTGGGTTCTTCCTGATTCTGAGACTCACGCTTTAGGATATCATCTATGTCACTGTAATCTCGTCAGTCACCTAGAGTGTTTGAATTAAAATTTTCTATTAAACATGGAATTCCAGGAGCAGAAGGGGATGCATGATACTTACAGATGCCACCTCTTTTTTCCCTGTCTCAATTTTCCAGATAGATTTTAATTTTTTAATATCAAATACTTACAGAATCTAGTCTTTTGTAACTGTTCTGCAGGTAGTAAAATAGTCTCTGCAGCTACCTGACACTGGCTGGATTGTTCTTTGCTCTATGATATTCTCAATAACAAGAAACAATAAATATCATTTCTTTTACACAATGCATTGTTCTCTTTTTGATTCCTTTAAGTCATTCTTTGGAGTTTTATCTTCTATAATGGTGCACTCGCAATTATAGTATTTACACTTGTTTGCTCATACTTTCCGAAAAGATGTTAAGGCCATATGCAGTACAAATGAAGAGTCATCCATCACACGCCACGGACCACTGCTGACTCCTCAGCAGGGTTTCTTTGTACTTGACTTCTAGGACATCCTCTTGTTCATTTGCCTTCTATCTTTGTCATTCCTATAGCTTCTCCTTCATAGAGAGAGAGGTTATTATTTCTGCATTATTTTATATTCTACTTGCTTTTTGCAGAGTCACACACAGATGTATTCTGTATACACGAGTGGTTTGTAAATGTAACTCGCTTTCTGAATTCATAATCCTCATTCATGCCCATAGAGCATAAGATTGACAGGATGTTTCTCTATCCCTGATCTTCTGGACATTGTGGTGCCGATTTTCTAACTGTAATAATCAAACCTGGATTTTATTTCATGGACAGCTTGAACAATATATATCTATTCTATTACTTCTCTTCCAAAAAAGTGTGCTTCCTTTAGATGGTGGTCTCTCAGGAATGAAGTGACTCGGTATTTGCTAATCTTGAATACAGGCAGTTTAAAGTCTCTAAAAGAAAACAGATTTCCACGTATATTGTTGGAATAATTCTGAAATGTTTTGTTTATTCTTGAATATGTGACACCGTTAATGCATTTTAGTGAAGTGAAATGAAAATTTAAATGAGGTTATCAGAGGCTAAATGCTGTCACTCAGTGGCAGTGTTGATATTTTGGGCATTGTTCCAGCAGATCATAATCTGAGAGATAATGACTCTAGTTCTGTTTTTCCCAGCTGTTCTTACTAGTGGGAACAGCTGCCATTGTTACACTTGTAAACTCTATGCTTGGCAGCACTCTTGATGGAGTCTGAAAATGTATTTTTGTTTGTGAGTTTATTTTCCTGCATGGTAAAGTTATGTTCAGATTTAAAGCAGGAGCAACACAGCATTATCTGGTTGACAATAACGGTGCCTAGGAGAAATTAGAGGAATTCAGTTGCATTGAGCACGCATTACCTTGCATTTTCCCTTTATCCTGGTTGAATGAATCATTTGTGATATACTTACTTGAATAATATTGTCTTACATTAAAAAAGAAACCCTCAAGGACAAATGTAGATGACTGAGCCCACAGCCTGTCATGTTGTGAGATGTAAGATTAACTAAGAAATTTCTGCTACTTTTTGTGGATGATGATTCCTCATCAGGAATTCACCTTCTCTCACCTGGGTCCCTTTGTGCCCAGTGTCAAAATTGGAAGACAGCTGGACTTGATTAGAGGTGCATACAAAAAAAGCTTCTCCCTCTGTGGCGCCTGTCTGCAGTGTACGGATTGAACCAGCAACTGTGGCCTCATTAGCATCGTGCTCTACCAGATGTTTCTTGGAAGAATTAATATTCGACATGAAATAATTTCTCTGAATGATCAAAAATAAAAGTAAATGGATTTGAATCAAAGTGTCTTTTTTACATGAATCATACCGTATCCAAAGGATCTTCAGATTTCCTGTATCATAAATCATAAAATGGTACTAGACATCTCACCAGATGTCAGATATACAGCTTCAGCAATATCATATCATAGACTATCTTACTGTGAGTTTTTAAAGTTATTATCATTTTAAAGAGATAGATGTTTTGACAGAGACTGTTATGAGTTTTAAGCCTTTTGTTTAGTTGTATATGAAAAATACTTCAATCCTATGTTTATTGAGGCTACTTTTTCAGGGCAGAATCTTGAATGGAAACTTCAATGAAAGGAAAAATGTCCTAAGCCCAATGCATGTGGACATTGGCTAGGATTTCCTATGAATTCCCTTCTCTTTTTGCTTTCTCTTCTATATTTTCAGCCTCAAAATAACACTCAAAATCCAGTTTTGGAGTCCTTTATAAATGCCAGTCTTGTATCCACTAACTGATGGAATTTTCAATTTGCATAAATCCTTCATTTCATCAAATTGTAGAATATCTCCTATCAGCTATATTATTTCTTAAGGTGGCTTTCCCTTTTGACTTTTCTGTTTCTACTGGTGCAGTTTCCTTTGCTCAATCATTCAAGTTTTAAATCTAGGTCATTATTGCTTGTCAGTTTCTTTCACTAGACTGTATGCTCCTTAAATACTGGAATTGTCATCTTTCATTCTTCATTGCCTGGTTCAGCTCTTGCTACACCGTGGTTGTTGAATAAACATTTTTGAAATAAATGAATATATATATTTTAACCTTTGCTTGCTCTGGTATTCTTCTTATGATTATAGAAACTGAATAGATGATCAAAAAATTTGAATGCAGAATCAAGTTATAAAAATGTGTAGAATAAAAGGTCTTGCCTTCATTTTCATCCCTCATCTGCACATCTCTTACTGCTCCCCCCCTGTGGGTAACCATGGTCATTAGTTTCTTATGTTTTCTTCCAGGGTTTCATTTTGCAGGTACACATATACACACATGTGCACTCTTATTTCCTTTTTTATATCCAGAAGGTGTGTGTATCATATCACACACATTACTGTATATCTTGGTCTTTATTTGAAGTATTTTGGAAGGAAATATTTCTATGTTTGGATACAGTTCTTTCATTCCTTTCCTTTAAGTAGTATCACATTGCATTGTGAGAAGTTGTCATCATTTATTAACTATCTGAGTTGTTTCCTATTGGTAGCCATAAAAGATGCTTCAGTAAGGAGCCTTACATCATGTCATATTTGTGCAGTTAAATTCCAAGGATGTAATTTCTGGGTCCATTTTCATAATGATGACATTGCCAACTTGCCCTCGGAAAGGATGGTGCTAATTTAGCCCAGCAGTATATGAAAGCACCTGTTTCCCTATAACCTCATAAGAGGGTGTCTGAGTCTGCTGTTATAACAAAATACCTGAGACCAGGTACTTTATACAGAGCAGAAACTTATTTATCACAGTTCTGGAGGCTGCAAAGGCTGAGATCAAGGTGCCAGCAGGTTTGATGTGTGGTGAGGGCCTGCTCCGTAGATAGCACCTTCTCTTGTGACATCCTCATGAGGCAGAAGAGTGGAAGGGCAAAAAGGGGTTAACTTTCTCTATCAAGTCCTTTGATGAGAACAGCTAATCCCAGTGTGAGGCCAGTACCCTCCTGACTCAGTAAACTCCCAAAAGCCAAACCTCCTAATAATGTGGCATTGGGGGTCAAGTTTCATGAATTTTGGAGCAATCAACATCATTCAAATGATAGCCCAGAGTCAGTTATCAAAACTTAGATTTTTAAAAAATATCTGGAGAAAAATGTATTTGAATTCAATTTTAGTTAGCATTTCACTCATTATATGTAAATATGAACATTGTTTCATGCGTTTTGGCATCATTTCCATTTTCTTTTTTGTGAACTGTCTTTTCATTTCCTTCCTATTGGGATTTGGGTTGGTTTCTCATTAATTTAATTAGCCAGGCTTGACCCTAGTGGGAAATTTGAGCACTCCTCAGTCCCTTTCCCTGTTCCCTGACAGTTAGCTGCACTTAGCTTGATTTTGTTTTGCATAAACTCTCTACCTGAAGGAAATTTTGATTCTCATGTGGTTAAATTTATCAGATTTATGGCTTTTGAGTTTTGAGTCTGAATAAAGAAGACTTTTCTTATTTCAATATTATGAAGAATTTAGCCATGTTTTCTTCTAGTAGTTTCACAGCTTAATTAATTCACGTATAGATTTTTGATCATTGGAAATTTATCATGGTGTAGAGTGTGGCATATGAATTTAGCTTTATGTTTTTCCAAATGTCTACTTAGTTATTCTTGCCAATTTTAGTAGTCCCCTTTTCCCTACTGATTTCAAAAGGTAGAAACAACTTTTACCATATACTAAATTCCCTTTTTTTAAAAGGAATTTTGTTTTGAATTGGGATTTTGCTAGGTTTTCTAGATTCTGAATTATGTTTGATGGCCTATTTATGCATCAATACCATATTATTTTTTATTATTAATGCTTTATAATATTTTGATATCTAGTAAAACCAGTGATTCTTCATTGCTCTTCTGTTTCAAATATTTCTTCACTACATTGTTTATTCATCTGTATTAATGTTATAATCACTGTCCTAATTCTAAATAATATGATTGTGGTATTTTGTTGGGTGCATTTCAAAGAAGCAAATAAACTTAACAGAGAAATAATTATTGTACGATGTTAAATCTTCCTCTCCATGAACACATACTGTGTCTTTTGTTCAATTCTTAAGTTTTGTTTTTCAGTTGCATTTTAAAATTGTTTTCATATAGATTTACACAGGTCTTATTAAATTTATTCCTACGGGCTTTATAATTTATAGTATAGGACCTTTCCTTCTATTATACTTTCTAACTGGCTATTGTTTGCAAGTGTAAAAACAATGGATTTTTTAATAGTATTACTCTTGTTTTCTGCAATTTTTATGAACTTACTGTTTGCCATATTTTTTATTACCATTTGTGATTTTCAGGCATAATCAGATCAGGTAAAATTAAGTCTTTTTACTTTGAATTTTTATTACTGTAATTCTTTTCATTTTGTTTTGTTTTATTTTTGCTTAGTTCTTCATTTACAACATTACATGATGGCTTTTATAGTAGTTACGCTTGTTTTGTTCCTGACTTTAGTGAGATTATTCCTGTTTTTTTTGTTTGTTTGTTTCAAGCATTTTGCTTACTTTGGGGCTTAGACATCCCTCTCTCTCGCTGTAAATGTATGTGTATGAGTGTGTATATTTATAAATTGATGCGCTTTTAGCATCTACAAATATTAAGTTCAACTTAATATTTGCATCAATTTAAGTCCTCCAGAAATAAATGTTCAAAAAGGATTAGACAAGCAAGAGATTTATTGAGATAAATACATAAGAATAAAAGAGCAGGGGTTGGTAGGCCTGCGCACAGCATTGCAGGCCTGAGACCGACAATGTTAAATGAGAGACAGGAGAGAGACCTGACAAGAAGGCTCTCAGACCCTAGTGCTGTTCTCAGAACGTTTGGTCCCAGTGATGTGGAGTTCCTGAGCCAAAGATTCCCATCAGAGGGTTCTGTAGATCTGCAGGATTGGACTTCCTTCGTGTCCCTTCTGTGTCTGCCTGGGAGAATCCTGAGGGAAGTGTGGTCTCCATGTGCCTGCAGCGGAGATCCCGACGGGGGTCGGCTGGGGCTGCCTGTTAGCCATGCTTGCTGTGCTCCCCGCAGGAAGGAAGGAATCTATTGAATCAGAGCTGAGAACTGCATTTCTGTGGCTTCCACAAAATTACACTTGTAGTTAACTGCTGGTTGTGTTTATTGTCATGTAGAATGCTTGCATTTCTACTCTTAGGGCACACTCACATTTTCCTGAGTGAAAGATGAGGGTCCAAGCCTTTTGGGTCTTAGGTAACCCTCATTTAATATTTGATACAAACACTGGTGGATTTGTTCCCCTTCTAGAATGCACACTTAAAAGATCAAAAGCGAAGTAGACACTTGGAATAGAAATTTTTACATCTAAGAATATTGAATTTAGGAGTCACTTATTATGGCTTCTTCAGTAACAGGATGAACGGGAGAAAATGTACAACAAATTTTGAGCCGTAGTGTGGTAGAAACATAAGTCTTAAAATCTGATAGGCAGCTTATGATCACAGAAACAACATGAACTTTGGAGTTAGATAAGCCTGGGTCCAAAACCTGGTCATTACCACAAATTATTTATTTAACACTATGAGCCTAAGGTACTGTTTCTTTGGATGTAGGTAGAAAACATTTCCCAGCATCCCTTGTACTGGGTATGGACATGTGACTAATTCTGTCCTACATAATGGGAGTGGAAGGGCTGTGTGTCACTTCTAAACCTGGCCATAAAACCTTCAACATGACATTCTCCCTTCTTCTAACTGGATTCAAACAATAATGAGGCAGTAGGGGATGGCAGAGCCATCAGATGAAAGGAACTCACCCTAAATGATGGCCTGGACAAGAGCTATAATCATGAAAACCCACCCAGTAGCTTACGTAAGCAAGAAATGAGCATGCGTTATGTTTGAGCCATTCAATTACTGGGTCTATCTATAACTTAGAATACTGATATGTGATCTAGTGAGAATTCAATGCTAATACATAAAGAATATTTAATTCACAGTAGATGCTCAATAAATATTAAATCCTACCCTCATTGGTAGCTTAGCCAAAGGGTACTTGGAAATGCATAGGTTTTAAATAATAGAAATAAAGTTTAAATAATCTAAATTCAGGCTGTTTCCAAGATCCATACCAATCGTAATCAAATTCTTAATAATCTTATTTTATAGCATATCACTATCTGTAGAAACGTAGCAGTACAGGAGGGATAGAGTTGGAACATTTTGCACAGCTTGTTCAGATGTGGGAGGATCATTATTCACTCATATATGCATGAGTTAAAAGAAACTCTCATGCCACACATGAATTCTCCAGATGTAGAAATAATATTTTGTAGCTGATCTCTTACTGAGTGAGTTCTAGAGAAAAGCTATGACGTGTAATTTTTGGCACTAGAGAATATCTTCACAGCAGGAAATTCAGTAACATTAAAAACAATATTTTTTAAACAACTTAGTTGTGTTGGTCACTGTTGCTAGGCATGTAAGCCATATGACACTCACAAAAGAAATAAAGTAATTGTGCATTCTAATTATTAAGAGAAGAAAACAAAGATCTCTAAATCCTTAATGTTGACCCTAACTCTGTTTCTAATGCTAACACTCTAACCCTAAGTATGTCTGCATGGGCTTGAGGTCTTGTGCATAACTACACAAAATAACAGAATGGCACTCCTGGAGGGGCTGGTAGAAAGCAGTTTACACAGGCAATCTCCTTTGAGCCTCAGACTAGCCCTTTGAAACTGGCACTTCCCACCATTTATAGATGGCGTAACTGAGGTTCAGTGAAAGCAAATAATAAATAGAGCAGTGCACCCAAGAGTGAGGAGTTAAGCCTGGATTTGATTATGAATCTGACTGCACTCAAACCTATGTTCCCTCCACTAGACAACACTAATTTACCTGGGATTAGCTGTGTAGGCTTGAGTCTTTTTTCCCAAACAACTGAATTTTTCATTTGAAAACGTAAACTTTTTTTTTATGATTCGGCAACCTTTCCAAAACCCAGCCTTGGCTTAGGATGAGTTGTTGTTATGCATGTTATCTCTTGATATGTCGATATGTTGTTATCTCTTTTGTTGTCACACATGCAGGGCAGTGCTATCATCAAGGGATACCAAAGCACTTCTGCCGGCTGTTCTAGGAAAAGGCAGGGCTAGATGAGCCCCCTTTTCCAGTTAGTTTGTCCTGTTCCCACATTTGCTGTTTTTAAGAAAGGCATGAAAGGGCCCCGTTTTTTCCAAAGTATTATTTTAAATCACTATTCTTTACCGCCAAAGAAGTGCTCACTAGACACAAAGAAATGACTAATATCTTAAATCAGAACACCTAAATTGATTTCTGATACTGTCATTTACAAACTGTGCAGTTTTTGTTAAATTACATATTCTCTGACCTTCAGTTTTCATGTATGACAAATGTGAATATTAATACCTGTGTCATATGATTATTGTGTCAACTTAATGAAATATGTAAAAAAGTGTTTCAAAATCGGCCAGGCATGGTGACTCACACCTGTAATCCCAGCACTTTGGGAGGCCGAGGCAGGTGGATCACGAGGTCAGGAGATCAAGACCATCCTGGCTAACACGGTGAAACCCCTTCTCTACTAAAAATACAAAAAATTAGCTAGGCGTGATGGCGGGCGCCTGTTGTCCCAGCTACTTGGGAGGCTGAGGCAGGAGAATGGCGTGAACCTGGGAGGTGGAGGTTGCAGTGAGCCGAGATCGCGCCACTGCACTCCAGCATGGGCAACAGAGCGAGACTCTGTCTCAAAAAAAGAAAAAAGAAAAGTGTTTCAAAATCTAAAATATTTGCTAATTGCTAATATTTTCACCACTAAAAAGTAAAGATTTCAATGCTTAAGTTCTTCAGATAGAACAACAGCTCACATCCTTGGGTATTTACTAATTTATTTTGCGTTTGGCTCAACTTACAGCATAATTCCTTTCCACTTTTTGTCTTGATTTGGGTATGTATTGCTGTTATATGTGATTATGATTGTGATTTTGTGTGTGTGTGTGTGTGTGTGTGTGTGTGTGTGTGTGTGTGTATGTGGTGTGGTGGGTAGTGGCAAAGACATCCTTATACTCTATTTTCAACTACATATTTGTAATTGGAAGATACTCTTTTGCCTTCTCTTTCAACACAAAAAATAACCCCTTTTCTGAGAATATTTTCTTTAGCTATCTTTCCAATCTATCTATTTCTCCTCTGTGCAGTTAGGAGAATGCATTGATCCGAGTATCCCTTCCAGTTCTGAAACTCTGATTCCATTGCTATCTGTTGAACTGCCTCCAAGCTGTCCCTGTGCCTTTGAAGTTTATGGCCACAGTTATGGCATCAAATCACAGAAATGATGAAGGCTGACCCAGCATTCTATGCTATTTTCAAAGAGTGGATCATGGCTGTTTTATAATGAACGTTAAGCCTACCTTCTATTCTGAAGTTAAATGACATTCTTCATTTAAAATTTGAAAGTTGCTTCCAAAATCAATAATCACCTGGCAACTGTGGTAATAGGTCTTTTGGACATGTAGAAGATAATTATATAATCTCTTTTTTTAAAATACAACATGAAATATTAAGAAAGAAGGGTTTGGGGGACAGTTTTTGAACACAAATGCGATGTGAGTTATGTTATGGTCAGATGCTCATGTTTATGAAAGTTCTCCTTATGACCAGATGGATAAACCATTTGTTGTAAATAAATGGCAAAATATGGGATAATAAAACAGCAGCTGATGAGGGTTTGGCTGGAATGTGCATACGTACACAAAAATACACACACAACACACACACACATACATATACTCAACAACATACATATTAGAAAGAGATAAATGTTATTCATTAATTTCATTTTCTAAACATGAAAAATACAAATAAAAATATATATCTAGGCAGTGTTTTGTGCACCAAATAATGTTCTGGTTGCATTCTAACTTTTGGAGACCTCACAAGGAAATAGCCTCTTCTTTTTTTTTTTTTTTAATTATAGTTTAAGTTCTAGGGTACATGTGCACAATGTGCAGGTTTGTTACATATGTATACATGTGCCATGTTGGTGTGCTGCACCCATTAACTCATCATTTACATTAGGTGTACCTCCTAATGCTATCCCTCCCCCCTCCCCCCACCCCATGACAGGCCCCAATGTGTGATGTTCCCCTTCCTGTGTCCAAGTGTTCTCATTGTTCAATTCCCACCTATGAGTGAGAACATACAGTATTTGGTTTTCTGTCCTTCTGATAGTTTGCTGAGAATGATGGTTTCCAGCTTCATCCATGTCCCTACAAAGGACATGAACTCATCCTTTTTATGGCTGCATAGTATTTCATGGTGTATATGTGCCACATTGTCTTAATCCAATCTATCATTGATGGACATTTGGGTTGGTTCCAAGTCTTTGCTATTGTGAATAGTGCCACAATAAACATACGTGTTCATGTGTCTTTATAGCAGCGTGATTTATAATCATTTGGGTATATACCCAGTAATGGGATGGCTGGGTCAAATGGAAATAGCCTCTTCTTATAGAAGGTTCTATTTAGACAGAAAAGAGCTGGCTGGCCAAATTCAGGGTGTCAAGGGCAGCACTTCAGTCTCTTCAGGTTGGTATGCCTGCTGCGATATCTTCTGTTACCCTAAAAACACTGCTCTGAGAGCCACCTGTGTTGGTGCCTACTCCTCCATGGGAGTTTGGGTCAGAGGGCACATTCTGCTTATTCATGTGCCAACATAATGAAACCTCAATAGGAACCCTAATATTCATGTCCCAAAGACTGAACTGAATCTACAGTGGTATCCCCACAATCCAGCAAGTGAGATTCAGAGAGAAAAAGTCATGTATTAGTTGGGTGCAAAAGTAATTGTGCTTCTTGCCATTACTTTTAATGAGGTAACTAAATTACATAGCCATCGTCAAGGTATGCTTGCAGAAGATGTTGAAAATTAGTGTAACTTGGCCTTTTAATGGGAAGGAGGCACTTTTCTCATTAAGAGAGTTCAAGTCCCCAGTAGTGAATATTGTAAATGGGCTCTGATTAGGTCACAAATTATGAATTTTAGGTTATGAGAACCTTAGGAAGATTTAGGAGGGTACACAGGGCTGGCTGGCCACAGAATGGTCCCATACACAGGCATGTCTGCGTTTTCAGAAGAGGAGAAATATACTGTGTTTCTCTAGTTCTCCTTCTGACGAATATGACAATGAGGACCTACATGGAAAACAAACTTCTCATTAGTTTTCTTTTCTGGAACAATTTAGAATTATGAATCCACTTTTCTCTGAGAACTGGACTCACAAGACCTGCAATTCAGTTGCCATCTCACTCCATGAGGACACTTGGTGCTGTTCTTGTCCGAGCATACTTCATGAGTCTACTCAGTGTTGCTAGCTATGCACTCATCTGAATGGGCTTTTACTTGAAGTTGGGCTGGGAAATGTTTTGTTCAGTGAGTATTCTGTGTGTTTTAAGCATTTGTTTTTATATTTTTCTTCTGTCTGGAAAAAAGAGGTCAGAAGGGTTCAAGAGCTCTTTTCCTAACTTTCTCAAGCTTTTACTTGAAGTTGGGCTGGGAAATGTTTTGTTCAGTGAGTATTCTGTGTGTTTTAAGCATTTGTTTTTATATTTTTCTTCTGTCTGGAAAAAAGAGGTCAGAAGGGTTCAAGAGCTCTTTTCCTAACTTTCTCTAATGGTAATGTCCTCAAAACCCAAACACAACAGATTTTTAATGCTCTCTGTTCTAATCACTGCTTTTGACAGCGTCTAATTATAACAGGTGTGCTCTTCTAAAAGATCACCATGTTTTATGCTAATCCCTTGAGCTGTTTTGAGATCCTTTGAACCTGCACAACGTTTGTAATTTCTTACTTGTAAACCATTAATATATGCTGAGTATTCACAATGCTAATTAATCCACAAGAAGGTTGAATTGGTGAGTGCTGTGCATCATAGAGCCTGTGGTTGTATATATTATAAACCTACCTGATTTCCTTTTTCATTTTGATTACTAGAGAATCAGTCATTTCCTGGCAGTTAATCAGATGCCACAGAAATTCTCATCTCAGTTCCAGCTATCCTGCTTATATCACTTATTTTTTGATTTATAAAAAATTATTATTACCATTACAATCTTTGAGATTTGGTTGCTGGTGAACTTAACAAACTCATTTTCTCTCTCGCAACTTTTCCTTCTAACTGGGCTGTTAGCTATTGGTTAGGTAAAATGTATGGAGAGCATTATGACAAATAGCTAATGCATGAGGGGCTTAAAACCTAGATGACGGATTAATAGGTGCAGCAAACCACCGTGGCACATGTATACCTATGTAACAAACCTACACGTTCTGCACTTTATCCTTTTAAAAATAAAAAGATAAATAAAATGTTGTGTCATTAAGATTATCATACTTTCATATAGGCTTCAATTTACCATCATTCAAGAATTTTGCATGTAAATCTCATTAAACAACTACGTGTGTTAATTACAACATCAAAAAATATAGCTGCCTCCTTTTCATTCAGAGAGGTAACACCATGCACCTCAGAAAAGTAATGTTGCGTCTCTGATTTTTAATATGACTCAGATCAATAGGCATTTATCCAGATTCTTTCTCTCTTTGGTTTTAAGGCTGATTTCTTTTTCTTCCACTTCTACTTCTCTGATTACTTTCTTCTTAGTTCCTTTGATGGACTTTATATCTGACTACTTTTTCCCTTTTTAAATTGTGACAAAATACACATAAAATCTGCCATCTTAGTGATTTTTAAGTGTGCAATTCAGCAGTATCAAATACATTTGTAATGTCTGCAACCATCACCAGCATTCATCTGCAGCACTCTTTTCATCATGTGAAAGTGAAACTGTATACCCATTAAACAACTCCTATTTCTTCTTCCCCCCAGCCCCCGTAACCACTATTCTATTTTCTGTCTCTATGATTCTGACCACTCTAGGGACCTCATATAAGTGGAATCATACAGTCATTTTTGTGTGTGAATATGGCTTATTTCACTTGGCATAATGCTGTCAAGTTTCCTCCACATTCTAGCCTATATCAGAGTTTTCTTCCTTTTTAAGGCCGCATTATATTCCATTGTATGTGTATACCACATTTGTTATTTATTCATCTGTCAATGGACACTTGGGTTGTTTCCATGTTTTAGCTACTGTAAATAATGCTGCTGTGAACATAGGCGTACATATATCTGTTCCAGACTCTGCGTTCACTTCTTTTGGGTACATATATCTGAAAGTGGAACTGCTGGATTACATGGTAATTCTGTGTTTAACTTTTAAGGAGCCACCACACTGTTCTCCACGGCACCTATAATACTTCACATTCCCGCCAACAGTGCAGAAGGGTTCCAAATACTTCACATTCTTGCCATTACCTGCTATTTCCTGCTATTTTGATAGTAGCCACCCTAATGTTGTGAAGTGGTATGTTGTAGTTTTTATTTGCAGTTCCCAAGTGACTAGAGATGTTGAACATCATTTTATGTTCTTATTAGCCATTTGTATTTTTTAAAGATATGTCTATTAAAGTCTTTGTCCATTTTTTGCATGACAAAAAGTCTTCACTTTTAAGTGATTATTGGTACACCAACTAATAACATGTAACAAATTCTTGAATTCTGTCATCTGGTAATTTTGATTAAGATAAACTAAAAGGAACCCAAACAATTATACTAGTATTCATTTTTCTAATCATCAGCAGGAATGAACTACTTGAAGGCTGGCTGCCATTTCACATATGTTACAAATAACCACTAGTTTTTCAGCGATAAAGCCCTTGACCTTCAAGAGAGCATCAGGGGGAAAAATATTTAACATCTTTCTTCCTTCAAATAAATTTTTTACTAGATATGCCTTTTGGCTCAAGAAACATTGCCATATATGTTGCTTGAACCAAAAGGCATAGGAAACAGACAATATACCCGTTAAATTTCTAAGGCATATGAGGTTAGAAGATGAAAGCTTTAGATAACTTCTAAGTCGGTACAAAGAAGCTAGATTTGTTACTTTCCGAAGTGTGAAGGGACCTACTGCATAATGTACAGAAATAATTTAATGACTTTTCATAAGAATGTAATTCAAGCTTTGCTAAAGCTTCATATTTTATGAGCGCATGTAAAATGCCAATCCATGAAACAGGCACTTCTTTCTTCTCCTATCTATTTATGCAGTAGTTTTATAGATTTATGGCCAGATGTTGCAGACAAAGGCCAAGAGGTTAATCAAGACTTCATATATGCCCAGTGGGAAGTAGATCTGGAGTAAAGTCTTTTTTCCTGGGTCGCCCTCTCCACTTCATTGCTGCAGCTGCCATGGGATACTAGTGCCATGGCTTCCTTGGCCTTGAACTCTTCCTCCCTCTGTAGGCAGAACTGTTCAGTCTCAGCCCGAGCTGCTGCTTTGGTCAGCTTCAGCTTCTGGTTCTCTAGCTTGTGGGCATCTGACACCTCACCTGTCATTGATGAGCACTTAGGTTGATTCCACATCTTTGCTATTGTGAATACTGATGCAATGAACATTTACATGCATGTGTCTTTATGGTAGAATGAAAACTGGCACAAGACAAGGATGCCCTCTGTCACCACTTCCATTCAAAATAGTATTGGAAGCCCTAGCCAGAGCAATCAGCCAAGATAAAGAAATAAAGGCATCGAAATAGGAAGAGAAGAAGTCAAACTATCTCTGTTTGCAGATGACATGAATGTATATCTAGAAAACCTCATAGTCTTGGCCCAAAATCTCCTCCAGCTGACAAACAACTTCAGCAAAGCTTCATGATACAAAATCAATGTGCAAAAATCACTAGCATTCCTATACATCAACAACAGTCAAACCAAGAGCCAAATCAGAAAGGCAATCTCATTCACAAATGCCACAAAAAGAATAAAATACCTAGAAATACAGCTAACCGGGGAGGTGAAAGATATCTGCAATAAGAATTACAAAACACTGCTCAAAGCAATCAGAGAAGACACAAACAAATAGAAAACATCCCATGCTCATGGTTAGGAAAAATCAATATAATTAAAATGGCTATATTGCCCAAGGCAATTTACAAATTCAACACTGTTCCCATGAAACTACCAATGTCATTCTGCACAGAACTAGAAAGAACTATTTAAAATTCATATGGAACCCGAAAAGTGACTGAATAGCCAAGGTAATCCTAAGCAAAAAGAACAAAGCTGGAGGCATCATGTTACCCAACTTCAAACTATACTACAAGGCTACAGAAAACCAAAATAGCATTGTACTGGTATAAACACAGGCACATAGACTAAGGGAACAGAATAGAGAACCAAGAAATAAGGCTGCACATCTACGACCATCTGATCTTCAACAAAACTGACAAAAACTAGCAATAAGGAAATGACTCCCTATTCAATAAATTGTGCTGGGATAACTGGCTAGCCATATGCAGAAGAATGAAGCTGGACCTCTTCCTTACACCATATACAGAAATCAACTTAAGATGGATTAAAGATTTAAATCTAAAACCCCAAACTATAAAAACCCTGAAAGACAACCTAGGCACTACCATCCTGGACATAGGAACAGGCAAAGATTTCATGACAAAGGCACCAAAGCAATCGCGGCAAAAGCAAAAATTGACAAATAAGATCTAATTAAACTTAAGAGTTTCTGCACAGCAAAATAAACTATTAACAGAGTAAACAGACAACGTATAGAATGGGGGAAATATTTGCAAACTATGCCTCTGACAAAGGTCTAATATCCAGCATCTTTAAGGAACTTAAACTTGCAAGAGAAAAACAACCCCATTACGAAGTGGGCAAAGGAAATGAATAGAGACTTCTCAAAAAGAAGACATACATGTGGCTAACAATCATATGGAAAAAAGCTCATTACCACTGATTATTAGAGAAATGCAAATCAAAACCACAATGAGATACCATCTCACACCAGTCAGAATGGCTATTATTAAAATGTAAAAAAATAACAGATGCTGGTGAGGTTGCAGACAAAAGGGACCACTTATATGCTGTTGGTGGGAGTGTAAATTAGTTCAGCCACTGTGGAAAATGGTATGGTGAATTCTCAGAGAACTAAAAGCAGAATTACCGTTCGATCCGGCAATCCCAGTACTGGGTATTATACTTTTGTCCATTTTTTACATCTTTTCTTTTTTTGAAATTTGAGGTGTTCTCTATATATTCTGGATATTAATCCTTTATCAGATATATGATTTGCAAAAATGTTCTTCCATTTTGTGGGCTGCTTTTTTATTGTATCCATACTACATTGTGATGCACAATTAAAAACAAATTTTCACTAACTCCAGTTTGTCTATATTTTGTTTTGTTGCCTGTGCTTTTGGTGTCATATCGGACTGCTATTCAACTACACAATTACCTGCTAAACAACTTAAGAACATGTCTTTCATACATCTCAGACATCTCAAAATAATCCTCTAAATTAGACATATTTGCCCCCAAGTCTAAGGAGGCAAGTAAACAGAGCAATAATCCTCTGTTTAATCTCAATCTGAGTTAATGGCCTTATTATCTATTGGCTACTCAAGAGAAAAACTTCAGGTATAAATAGTTTCCCACCACCTCTAGCCAGCCCTTATCTGATGAGAAAACCAAACCAAACCAAACCAAACCTTTTGGTACTTCACTTGTACCACAATAGTACTATTACAAGGTAGAATAATTAGGACAAAATTTCCCCTTTTTCATTTGATGGCACTTATGACAGGTGACTTTGAATGGTTAAATATTGTTTCTAATCCTCCAGGCTAATTGATTTGATACATCTGTTGGATCAATGTGCCTCCTAATTCAGCAACTCTTGTGAAAAATGTTTTAGATCAAATATAAATTTAGATGTTTACAGTTTGAAAGGGGGAGAGAAAGATGTCTAGAATGGATAGACCCTGAATATCTTCAAAACTCAAGAGCTAACAAGCATAAAAAATGTTAAATGTTAAAGTTGCAGCAGAAAATTGACTTGTTAGATGAGATCCCCATATGCCTCTATCTTTCTTTTTATTAATCCCCTCAATATACTATGGATTTTTATGAGAATAAACTTGGTAAGATATTTTAAATACCCATACAACATTTGCCAAGCACATGTCTTTGTGTTAGCTGGATCGATAATTAAATTTACCTTCCTCAGTTTGTTTGATAATGCAAGAAAAATAAACCCTCTAATTAATAGCTATTTTTTCCGAAGTGTATCCCAAATCTCTTGGGGGTCTCCTGTTCTCAATGTCATCTACTATTTTAAGTCATAGTCTCTTTCATCTAGATTTTTGTAATTATCTGTGTAAATTACTTTTAGTTATCTTTTCTCTTCTTTACCATCTTTTCCTCATGCTCAGACTGATTTTTCTAAAACAAAAATCTCAGCATTTTTCTTCTTGATATAAAATCATTAAAGTTTTACCACATTTCCTATATAATCTAGTGCTAACTCTTTAGCCTGACATCTGGCATAAACCTGCATGGCCCCTCCTACCATAGTGTTTTAACAATTACACTTTTCAAGCCAGGCAATCCATATCTGTTACTGTTCTTATAAGGGTCCAAGGTCTTTATGTTTCCGCATGTTTACAATTGAGTTCTCTCCACTTGGACCCCATTTGCCATTTTCTTTACCTGTCAACCTCCAACTCTGTCTTGAAAATCCAACTCAGAAGATGTGCTCTTTGTGAAGTCTTCTACTGCTCTACTGTGAAGAGTGAGATACTCTCTTTCTTGTAAGCCAATAGCATGTATAACACTAACGTCACACTTTGTCCATTGGATTTCATCTATATATTTATTTTTGAATTCCTTAACAGATTGTGGGAAACCCTCAAGGTCAAGCACTTATTGACATCTTTATTTATACCAGAATATAGCACAGTGGGAAGCACCAAAACAGATGGTCAAGAAACATCATGTGTACAGAGAAATAAATGAAGTGCAAGGTTTATAAATCATCTATACTTACAAAGAAACAATAAAATGAACACAAGACTTCCTCTTCTAACAAAATATAATTTTGTGCACTATTTAATTCCTGCTGAAATCAGTATCATTGACAATGAAAATGTTTCTTATTTCAATTGTCTGTTGCTGACATGAGTGCTGAAAGAAACTAAAACACTTTGAAAGATAAAGTAAAACAATTCCTTTGGAAATGAAGTATTTGTAAAATCAAAAACACTGAGAATCTAATGATTATGAGTTAAAATAGAAAATATGACTTTAGGCTTAGTGTTAAACAGTAACTTTATAAAAGGAACAGAAGCAGAAAAATAAAAATAGCAATAGAACTCACATATACTATTTTCAAATCTATACAAATTCGCCCTCCCAACCGTTTTAATAAAGCTCAATTCTTTGAAATAGTTTATGGAAGTGAAGTTCAAATGAAGTTTGTTTCATTAGTGCTATTATCTCATCTAGATCACAGATTTCCAAAGGACAATCTTTAGATATATAGGAATACTGTTAAGTGATTTGTGATATTCATGTCTATGAAATATATAAATAAAACTTTGGTATGTGATATGGTTTCGCTGTGCCCCTACCCAAATCTCAACTTGAATTGTAGCTCCCAGAATTCCCAAGTGTCATTGGAGAGACCCAGTGGGAGGTAATTAAATCAAGGGGGTGGGTTTTTCCCGTGTTATTTTTGTGATAGTGAATAAGTCTCATGAGATCTGATGGTTTTATAAAGGGCAGTTCCCCTGCACACGCTGTCTTGCCTGCCCCCATGTAAGACGTGCCTTTGCTCCTCCTTTGCCTTCTGCCATGATTGGGAGGCTTCCCCAGCCATGTGGAACTGTGAGTCCATTAAACCTCTTTTTCTTTATAAATTACCCAATATCAGGTATTTCTTCACAGCAGTATAAAAATGGACTAATACAGTATATAAGGTTAGATTTTCTATACACAAGTATAAAGATTGAATTAAGAAATATCAGTATCATTTATTATATAATGTGATAAAGAATGCTATAATTTATTTATTGTCTCTATTTATTAAGTAGACATAGTGCATAGCAATTGGGGTGTTCTAAGCAAAGGCACTTCTGTTATATACTCTTAACCAGAAACAAACTTTTCTCAAAAAGGTGAAGCCAATTTGTGGAGATTCAAGTAAAATGTATATTTTCTGGTGAGCTCATGCCCAGTATTGAAATACAGCAAATTTTTTTTCTCCCTGAAGATTTTTCAAAATAAATAAAGTAGAGGCATAAAATCATATTCAAAATTATTCAAAATAAGATATACAGCCAGCCAGTATAAATTTAGCCCAACATATTATAACATATATATCTATAGAGCTATTAATATAATTGGTATTCAGAGTGATGACTTTGGAATACTTTAGAATATTAAAATGACTTTTGAATTATGTGATTTTTAGTGTTAATTTTATTTTAATTCTATAGTTTGTTACTTTTGTGATTTTCTTATACTGGACATGGCTTATGTATTAATGTTTGGATAATCAATATATTCAATTCATCAGATTAAAGAAAAATGATGAATTCTAGACATTGGACTTTAACATTCTGTGATTTAGGGTTTATTACAGAACAATGAAAGAAATGATGTAAAAATTTCATTGCTTCTAATAAATGGAGCCAGACCTTTCAGAAAGATATTAAGAAAAATGAATTGTAATACTAACAGCTGAGAATCCCCATATTAAATTCAAATTTTATAAAACTAAGTCATCAATAAGAAACATAGAAACTAGATAAAGTTCACTGTACAACTCCATAACTGTGCTAGTGTTTATATTTTAGCCATGGTGGTAAACTAGACACTTATTTCCTTAGGTATATCTGTTATGAAAAAAAAAATTTTTTTTTTTTTGAAATGGAGTCTTACTCTGTCGCCTAGGCTGGAGTGCAGTGGTGCAATCTTGGCTCACTGCAACCTCCGCCTCCTGGGTTCAAGCAATTCTCCTGCCTCAGCCTCCTGAGTAGCTGGAATTACAGGTGTGTTCCACCACGCCCTGCTAATTTTTGTATTTTTAGTAGAGAGGAGGTTTCACCATGTTGGTCAGGCTGGTCTCGAACTCCTGACCTCATGATCCACCTGCCTTGGCCTCCCAAAGTGCTTGGATTACAGGCAGGAGCCACCGCACCCTGTGGAAAATCATTTCATTTTTGGGAAATTGTACCCACATTTATTTTTGTTTAAAACTTTTCTTTTGTTTACTTTTTAAGTATATACATTTATGGTTGTGTGTGAATAAAGGTTACAATTTTAATAACAGTAAACAAAAGTTCTTCACAAGCTAAAAATAAGGAAGGTGATCTATCAATTTTATATGATGTAAAGATGTATTATATATTCATAATGCACAGAATAATTAGAGGCATTGGTAGTGTAAAATTTTGGCTCTTTTCATGTTTGCTGAATACAATTAAATGCAGTTCAAAATCATGCTGTATCATAAACGTTTCAAGATATTTTTAGATTAGTTTCAAAAAAATAGATTTAGTTAACAAAAAAATGGAAAATGTCTATTTTTTCTAATGTTTGCTTTTCATAAAATAATGGTCTTTATCAGCATGTTTGTTCTTAAAGATGTTTTCTTTCAGAATTTATAGGCTTATTTATCATATTTTCTATTAGAATAAAAAATCACCAGAATTATAGAATCTTACCCCCCAAAAAAGAGCTACATGTTTTAAGCTGTAGAATTTTATAAAGCAACAAGGGAAGATAGCTTGAAGCAATACATTTTACTGAATTTTCTTCACACAGATAATTTATTTATGGAGGTTGGCAGATAACCATTCTTTCCGTTCAAACTAAAACCATATTTATGATGATAATTTTAAACATCCTATGCATAAATATTTATTTATTAAGTGGTTATAGGTATTTGGGAAACAGCTGCAGAAATAATTACCACAGAAAAAACTTAAGTCAGAGAGATTATTTTTTACCTTATATAAATACCAGGAAAATACATTTAGTTTAAAGGTAAATGTGCTGCTGTAACCAATGTATTAGAGGGAAGACTGCAAAATGTCTGAATTCCGGAATTCTTGGAGGGCAGCATAACAATAAAACTCACTGAACCATTGGTTGAAATTTCAGGAGAAGCTATGCAGAATTAAAAAATTGAAGGGATATGTACATTTCTTTAAATGCTTTTCAGAAATTCCTGAGCAAAAATAATTTCCTTTTTTAGTTGAAAAACCATTAGGAAGCTTTAAAAGTGGCAAGCCTAGTGAGAAAGTTTTGAGAGGATATATAGCTTCTGCAAGTGGTTATATGAGAAGGAGACAGAAATACCTTCATTTGCAGTTAAAATAAATTTATCTCTCTAAATGCCAATTAGCAGGCCCCCATTGACTCTTGGTGATTCATTCTATAATGAAATCATAAATGTTTCTGTAGAGTGATCCTACATGTCTCCCCAGAGGGCAGCAAAAGTATCATGAGACAGATATTGGAAGTCAGCCATGGCCCACCTGCAGCAGTGGGGTTCTGATTTCCTTAGCAGCGGTGGACAGGTGCAGGCAGGAACGCATAGGGCATCTGGCTTACACATCAGGTATTATGTACATCTGGAGCAATGTCAAAGCCATAATTAATACAAAGGCATATTCTTCACTATATTTTGGAGTCCCTAAATCCCCAGAGTAGAACACATCATCGTTTTCTTCTGAAACTTAGCTGTTTGATACCACAAATAATGCTGAATTAAAAGAGAAGTGACACAATTGTTACTTCCCAAAAACTTGCAAAAATACTGTTGGATATAAACCCAGGCAATTACGTTCAGGCTTTCTAAAACAAATTCAGTGAGACAGAAAAAATAAATCATGTAGATTTCAGGGAAATATCTAAGATAAATATGGTAAAATAAAAGAAATTTAAAATGAACAGAATCTATCAAAGGTGTTCCTTCTTAACAATTATATTTTCATTATAAAATATGTAATAGTCTTTATGTCTTTATCTTTAAGGAGGCTTTACAATTGTAGCTAAGGGATCTAAAAATTCAAAGAGCTTGTTTTTTTCTGGCATCCTGGTTATAACTCCTCTGGTGATAAATGCAAAATGATAAATCAAAAAAGGAAATCATTTTAAAGTAGAGTCTTTCCATAAGAATTAGTTTATCCACACAAATCTATTTTATTTTCATTATTGTATTTAAACATTAAGATGTCACATATTATCTTCACGTAGTCAGGATCTTTGTATATCAGTTATTCTTTATTTTATGGTTTTTGGTACTTATAATAATTCAGGTAAATTTTAGTAGATGCTACGGGAAAATTCAGATAAATTTCAGCAGATACTACAGGAAATAAAGATTGGAGAGAAGTGAACTCTCTTTAAAACTGAGGTAAATGTTAGTAGATGCTACAGGAAATGAAGATTGAAGGAAAGTGAGCTCTCTTTAAAATAGTTTTTGGAAGTCTATAATAGAAATACATTTCCTTCATATATTTAACTTCTCAATACTTTCAGGGAATGTTTGAGGTATTTAATGTTCTTAAAACGTTATTGACATTTTTTTTTCTTTTGTAGAGATGGGGTCTCAGCTACTCAGGCTGGAGGGCAGTGGCCCGATCATGGCTCACTGCAGCCTCAAACTCCTGGGCTTAAACGATCCTCCCACCTTAGGCTCCCAAGTAGCTAAAACTAAGGCCTGAGCCACCATGCCAGGCTAATTAAAAAAAAAAATGCAGAGATAAAGTCTTGCTGTGTTGCGCAGACTGGTCTTGATCTCCTGTCCTCAATCCATCCTCCACCTCAGCCTCCTGAGTTGCTAGGATCACAGTCATGAGCCACCATGCCTAGCCTTAGAAACATTGAAATGAAAAGGCATAACAAGAAAAGGCACATGGATATGAGCAATAAATACAAATTCTAAACCATGCAATTACAGATCTAATATGTGAATTTGAATCAACAGAAATAGAACAGCAACAATGGAAATGTGAATCAGTGGCAAAGAACAATGCAAAGTTCAAAAGAAATGACGCAAAGAAGAAAGATAAAGTGAAGAAGTGCATATGATCGTTGGAAAGTCACAGTAGATATCATGAACACACAAATGCACAGAAATCAACATGGAAATGTATCCAGCTCAAAGTAATGAACTGCAGCAATACAGAAAGAATTCCTAGGACTAGAGGATAAAACAACATTTGGAACAGAAGGCATCAGGCTGGCCAAAAGACAATACAGAAAAGCTTATATTATTTAGAGGGAAAGGCATGTGACCCTGAAATCTTATACCACAGAAAGCTGTCGTTTGAATATCAAGTATGAAAGCATTTTCAAACAGGATTAAATAATACTGTTTATATGTCAACTAAATAAGCAACCCTATAATAAAAATTTAGTCAATCAGTAAAGGAGTAAGACATTTTAAAAAGTCATGAAATTAGATGTGGTGAAGTGACCGGTGTTGAGAATTCAACTCATCCAGATAAAGAAACAAAATCATATATCCGAACAGAATATAAATGCAACAAAACATGACAGAGAGAAAATAATCCAAGCAATAAAATAGGCAACTGGAGACAGGTAGGTAGGAGGAAATATGTGACTACTAAAAATCTCATTTTCATAATATCAATATTATAGTAGTTAAAATCTATGAGTTAAAACCATAACGACTTCAAACTCAATACAGATATTAGAATCTCTTTTCTCAATCTTAAACAGATTTTTAAGGAAATAATATCTCCTGTGGTAAAGAAATATTTATATCGAACTATAGAATCCCTTCAATATCAATTGAGTTTGTATTTCTTTTCTTAAATTCAATTAAAATTGAATTTAATATATTTTAAGTATGTTTAATGTAATCTTTTTATTTTAAAATTATTTCTTGCTCTTGCTCACAGCCTCCTCATTCATTATCAATATGTGTGTCTATTCACACATGTGCTTATTTATGGGATCATAGATGTCAGGTCATCATTGAAGCTGTTTCTAGGTGGTAAGGTTTCATTGCTTTCATTTTTGTCTCCCTTTTTATATCCTGACTTTTTTAAAGAGTATATGTTATTTTCATAAATCAATACGTTTTTTCCCAAAATGTATTAAAAACACACCACAGTAGATAAACTAAACAGATAATGGAAAAATTAGAATCACAAATACTTAATGAAAATAAGAGGGTGGTTTAACCTCACTGATAACAAAATAAAGACATCAAAAATTACTTTAAAAAGTAGGGGGAGATAACTATTTTCCCATTTCAACAATCTTTAAAAGAAGAACTAAAATAATAAATGCCTATAAAGACAAGGTCAGATGGGTGCTGGGAGTGTAAACTCATTATATTTCTGATAACAGTGTGGAATTTAAAATTCTGAAATGTGGGGTCAGTTTATGACTTTTATCTCTGCACTTCACTTTAGGAAACAATCTACAGAAATAAAGTGAAATATAGAAAAGAATTGAGGCTTGTAGAGACTCTTCCTTGCGTTACACATAATACAAAAAGTAGATGCAATCTATTATTCCCCAAAGAAACATTTTAAATAAATTATGTTATGCATTTAGGTTATATCAGTATACAGACATTAGAATTAACATTTCAATAATATTTAAAGAATTGAAAAATACCTGCAATGTTAGGTTACCATGTGTATTCCAAACTGCATGTTCATCATGATTGCAAAATATACTCTTTGTAAAATATGGACTGAAATATGTGTGTGGATGTCGACTTGGAATTTAACATGCCAATATTAACAATAATTTATTTTGAATTGTTTAATAATGGAAAATCATTTTTATACTTTTTGTAATTATAACATTCTTTTTGTAGTTTTTTAGTGTTTTTCAAAATGTTCACCATGAACTTTACTATTTCAATAATCAACAAGAAAATGCACAGCTAGAAGTGATCTGATATAGTTTATTACTTTGGCAACTGTATGAACGTTTATCTCATTTATTTTGAGATGAAAAATTATGTATGTAGTAATTATTTGATCTATTTGGGGTTATTTTAAGGTAAAAGCTGTGTATAGGGATATTCTTTTCTTTCTTTCTTTTTTTTTTTTTTTGAGGTAGGGTCTCCCCCTGTTGCCCAGGCTGGAATGCAATCATGCGATCTTGGCTCACTGCAATCTCCACCTTCCAGATTCAAGCCATTCTCCCACCTCAGCTTCCCGAGTAGCTGGGATTACAGGCACCCACCATCATGCCCGGCTAATTTTTGTATTTTTGTAGATATAGGGTTTCACTATGTTGGCCAGGCTGGTCTTGAACTCCTGAGGTGATCTGCCCGCCTCAGCCCCGCAAAATGCTGGGATTGCAGGAGTGAGCCTCCGCACTCCATCAGGAATATTCTTTTCTTACATTCATTTTTGACGTTCTATTGTGTACGTGATGTACTATTTCATCCTTTTAGGTCTTGTTAATTTTTCACAGTTTTAGTAAACAATCTTACAATTACAATTTAAATATTCTAGTTAAATATAATAACTACTGAAACCTTATAAACTTAGGGAAATATAGATTTTTTTTAAGTGAGGCATTGTTTAATGAGTTTAACTATTTCAAAAGAAAACCATGCTCAAAGTTAATAAAGCAGCAGTCCGCAAGCTAAACTGCCATACTCCAAGTCAAAAGGTACCACTCTTTTTTCATTTATATGAAACTAAAATTTCCCACTATTTTCATTTATAAAGTGGTTATTGTAGCTCTTTTCACCTGCCTCCCTTGCAGGGATGCTGTTAGGATTAATGAGATCATTCCTATAAAGAATTTGAGTTCCTTGGAGATGGGAGATATAAAAAATGTTATTATTATCCCGTCATTCATATATTAGCTTGCTCACTGTTTCAGGACCTGAAGGTAGAATCAAAAAGAAACAAATTCTGATCCACTGTGAGAAATATTTAATGAGATTTTTTTCCATGTTCAATACCTGAGCTTCTCAGAACTTGATATATTAAATTCATTTCAAAGGCCTTTTTTGCATACCAGTTTGATGTCTTTTATGTGTAAATTTGAGCTGCTTTAGGTTAAGTTTAAAGTGAAATCATATGTGCATTATTTTCCTTTGTTTGAAATGAAGTCCACTACTTTGGGCTGAATTAATTTACATTCAAATTTATAAAATTGAGGTCTAACATTATATTGTCCCTAAACGAAAAAAGGGCCATACAGATGCCAGTCGTTTCATTAAATTATGAGTTCAATTCTTTGTTTTCTAGCACTGTCACTACATGTTTTTCAAAGTTTCCTTTAATTTTATGTGTTCAAGCACTCTTAACAGCAGTTGAATTATCTCTCGGCTTTAAGAACTGAAGCATGTCTTTCTTATAAAGCCAAATAAAGTATTAAAACCTCTATTACTGATCATTTATTGAGATGGAACTATAACTTTTTCCAAATGTTTATTATTTTACAATTTTTGAAAAAATAATATATATCCAAACTCTGACACTACAGGCTGCTCATCTAGCAAATACTCTTTCAAATGTATCACTTCAATTACCAGCTCATCAGCGATTTTATTTAATTATCTGATTGACTTTTCTTTTCTTTTTTTTTTTTTTTTTGACAGAGTCTTGCTCTATCCCCCAGGCTGAAATGCGGTGGCGCAATCTGAGTTCACTGCAACCACCGCCTCCCAGGTTCAAGGGATTCTCATGCCTCAGCCTCCCGAGTAGCTGGAATTACAGGCACGTGCCACCATGCCTGGCTAATTTTTGTATTTTTAGTAGAGACCGGGTTTCGCCATGTTGGCCAGGCTGGTCTCAAACTCCTGACCTCAGGTGATCGGCCCGCCTCGGCCTCCCAAAATATCGGGATTACAGCCGTGAGCCACCGCGCCCGGCCGACTTTTGATGTGTAAAAACAAATATTAAATTCATCAAGAAAATATTGGCAGAGGTTTAGATTTTTTTATTTGTTATTGCCTTCTAAGAGAGAGTTACATATAGTGATTAAAGATATTGCTAAATAAAACATCCAGATTTTTTTAAAATGTTGACTGAAACTTCAGACTTTTTCAATAAACAGCAAAATTTAGAAAATTCATGGTTTTATAGCAATATTTTTTATTAAAATTATTTTCAAGTGCTAATAAAGTTTCATATATTATTTCAGATATTTTCCTGCTCCTTTAGTTTAATTAGAAAAAAAACACTTTAAAGTATACTCAAACTTAGAGTTTTGTTTAAAATTTTTATGTAAAAAAGTTAGATTTTCATATATAATACACTTTATTGCACTATTTGCTTTCTGAGAATTTGTTTTTGAGTTTGTGTAGATATGCTTTGCTACCAGTGTAACCATAACTTCATATGGCAATAATGGAACTATATTAATATTATAATTTTTTTTTTTTTTTTTTTTTTTTTTTGAGACGGAGTCTCGCTCTGTCGCCCAGGCTGGAGTGCAGTGGCGCTATCTCGGCTCACTGCAAGCTCCGCCTCCCGGGTTCACGCCATTCTCCTGCCTCAACCTCCTGAGTAGCTGGGACTACAGGCGCCCGCCACCACGCCCGGCTAATTTTTTGTATTTTTAGTAGAGACGGGGTTTCACCGTGTTAGCCAGGATGATCTCGATCTCCTGACCTCGTGATCCGCCCACCTCGGCCTCCCAAAGTGCTGGGATTACAGGCGTGATATTAATATTATTTTTAAGTTACTTCAAATATTTTATGTCTTGATTTATACTTTAAAATATAGTGCTACAATAGCATTCTGATAACATTGTGTCTTCTTTGTGTTATCTACATAGTTTATTTATTTAAAAACTTTGGCCGGGCGCGGCGGCTCACGCCTGTAATCCCAGCACTTTGGGAGGCCGAGGAAGGCGGATCACAAGGTCAGGAGATCGAGACCATCCTGGCTAACACGGTGAAACCCCGTCTCTACTAAAAAAATACAAAAAAATTAGCTGGGCTTTGTGGCGGGTGCCTGCAGTCTCAGCTACTCGGGAGGCTGAGGCAGGAGAATGGCGTGAGCCCAGGAGGCGGAGCTTGCAGTGAGCTGAGATCCAGCCACTGCACTCCAGCCTGGGTGACTGAGCGAGACTCTGTCTCAAAAAAAAAAAAAAAAAAATTTGTAGTGTTCCATCATATATATATGTGTATATATATATGATATATATGTATATATGATATATATGTATATATGTATATATGATATATATGCATATATGATATATGTATATATAGGATATATATGTATGTGTATATATATGACATGTGTATATGATAGATATATGTGTATATATGATATATATGTGTATATATGATATATATGTGTGTATATATATATCACAATTTATCTACTCATTGATTGATGGGCATTTGGGCTGTTTCCATATTTTTGCAATTGAGAATTGTGCTGCTATAAACGTGTGTGCAAGTATCTTTTTCGTATAATGACTTCTTTTCCTCTGGGTAGATGCGAGTAGTGGGATTGCTGCATCAAATGGGGGTTCTACTTTTAGTTCCTTAAGGAATCTCCACACTGTTTTCCACAGTGGTTGTACTACTTTACATTCCCACCAGCAGTGTAGAAGTGTTCCCTTTTCACTGCGGCCATGCCAACATTGTTATTTTTTGATTTTTTGATTATGTCTATTCTTCCAGGAGTAAGGTGGTGGTACATTATGACTTTGATTTACATTTCCCTAATCATTAGTGATGTTGAACATTTTTTCATATGTTTGTTGGCCGTTTGTATATCTTCTTTTGAGGATTTTCTATTCACGTCCTTAGCCTGCTTTTTGATGGGACTGTTTTTTTCTTGCTAATTTGTTTGATTTCCTTGTAGATTCTGGATGTTATTCCTTTGTCAGATTAATAGATTGTGAAGATTTTCTCCCTATCCATAGGTTGTCTGTTTACTCTGCTGACTGTTTCTTTTCCTGTGCAGAATCTCTTTAGTTTAATTAAGTCCTACCTATTTATCTTTGTTTTTACTACATTAGCTTTTGGGTTCTTGGCCATGAAGTTTTTGCTTAAGCCAATGTCTAGAAGGGTTTTTCCGATCAGCCATAAAAAGGAATGAATTAATGGCATTTGCAGCAACCTGGATGGAACTGGAGATTATTATTCTAAGTAAAGTAACTCGGGAACAGAAAACCAAACATTGTTTGTTCTCACTCATAAGTGGGAGCTAAGCTATGAGGATGCAAAGGCATACAAATCATACAATGGAATCTGGGGACTCAGGAGAAATGGTGGAATTGGGGAGAGGGATAAAAGACTACAAATTGGGTTCAGTGTATACTGCTGAAGTGATGGGTGCACCAAATCTCACAAATCACCACTAAAGAACTTGCTCAGGAAAACTTTTACACTGTTGGTGGGACTGTAAACTAGTTCAACCATTGTGGAAGTCAGTGTGGGATTCCTCAGGGATCTAGAAGTAGGAATACCATTTGACCCAGCCATCCCATTACTGGGTATATACCCAAATGACTATAAATCATGCTGCTATAAAGACACATGCACGCGTATGTTTATTGCGGCATTATTCACAGTAGCAAAGACTTGGAACCAACCCAAATGTCCAACAATGATAGACTGGATTAAGAAAATGTGGCACATATACACCATGGAATACTATGCAGCCATAAAAAATGATGAGTTCATGTCCTTTGTAGGGACATGGATGAAATTGGAAATCATCATTCTCAGTAAACTATCGCAAGAACAAAAAACCAAACACCGCATATTCTCACTCATAGGTGGGAATTGAACAGTGAGATCACATGGACACAGGAAGGGGAATATCACACTCTGGGGACTGTTGTGGGGTCGGGGGAGAGGGGCGGGATAGCATTGGGAGATATACCTAATGCTAGATGACGAGTTGGTGGGTGCAGCACACCAGCATGGCACATGTATACATATGTAACTAACCTGCACAATGTGCACATGTACCCTAAAACTTAAAGTATAATAACAAACAAACAAACAAAAGAACTTGCTCATGTAACCAATACCACTTGTTCCCCCAAAAACTATGGAAATAAAATAAATAAATAAATAAATAAATAAATAAATAAATACACACACACGCACACACACACACACACACGCATACATACATAAAAGGAAATTGGCTTTAAAAAGACACATGCACTAATATGTTCATCACAGCACTATTCACAATAGCAAATACACAGAATCAACCTAGATGCTCATCAGTGGTGGACTGGATGAAGAAAATGTGGTACACCATGATATTTACAGCAACCTGGAATATTTGCAGCACCATGGAATGTACACCATAGAATACTACATAGCCATAAAAAAGAATGAAATCATGTCCTTTGCAGCAATGTGGATGCAGCTGGAGACCATTATCCTAAGCAGATTAAAGCGGCAACAGAAACCAAATATCCTCATTTATAAGCAGGAGCCACACACATTGAATACATATGAATATAAAGATGGCAACAATAGACAATGGGGGCTGCTAGAGGGAGGAGGGTTGGAAAACTACCTATTAGGTACTATTCTCACTACCTAGGTAATGGGATCATTTGTACACCAAACCTCAATGACATGCAATTTACCCATGTAACAAACCTGCATATGTACCCCCAGAATCTAAACTAAAAGTTGAAAAAACTTTTACTTTTGAAAAAATTCAAACTTAAGGAATGTAGAAAAATGAATATAAAAGGCTTCAGTCACAATTTGTTAAACTTTGTTATGTTTTCTCTTATACACGTATAAATACACACATGCACACACACACACACACACACACCCAGAGCTTTCAATTATTTGTGTCTCCTAAGAGTAATCACATTCTCCTACATAGCCAGAATAGCATTATTATATCTAAGACTATTAACATTAATTTAAAAATATCATATAATTTGTAGTTCATGTCCAAATCCTCCAATTATCTCAAAATATATATGTAATTTTTTCTTTATCCAGATTTAATCCAGGTTTACATACATATTTGATTGTTAGTCTCTTTATTTACTTTGGACTATGAATAGTCCTACTTTTTTCATTTTTCTTAGACTGAATTTTTGAAAGACCAGTCAACTTGTCTGCAATATATCCCTATAAAATTTAAGTCTCTGCATTCTGAATTTATCTGAGTATTTCTTTGTGATAGAAACATGTTAAAGATTAGTTGCAAAATAAAAATGTAAATGTTATTGTATCATTTTAGTGGTTGCACTTATTAGTGATGTAAAATTTGATCACTAGGTTAAGATGGCCATCATCGATCTATTTATTGGAAGATTGAATTTCCTTCTTTATGCATTTCAATTCATGAGTTATTTCTGCGATGTTAATTTCAGGGTGGCGATCATGGATCTATTTATCGTAAGATTGAATTTCCTTCTTTATGCATTTCAATTCATGAGTTATTTATGCGATGTTAATTTCAGACCATGTGAATATTCTGCAACTGTATTTCCCCCAATGACTTTAGCACCAATGGATAATCCTTATCTGAATCAATTATTAAATTTGAGTTTGTAATAGAATGATATTCCAACTTTAATTTTCCTTACATATTAGCTTGCATTCTGTTTTTCCTGTTTTTGTTTTTTTGTATAAACATTACTATATATGATATATACATGGTTTTGTTTTTTAATTCACTGTGACGTAACCATTGTCATAAGTGTTAGTAATATATGCTCAAACTGTTTAGCTTCTGTTTTTTTTTTTTCGTGATTTGGGAGGTGAATTTTGATATGCCGTGTGATTTTTTATACAATTAGTTTATGACATTTATTAACATTTTTTCACATTGATTATTGTCATTAACTGAACAATACAACTAACAAATAACTACCAGTTTTTTTTAAATGTGTTTTTCAGATTTTCAACTTTTCGTGTTACAACCTTTGAATATTTCTATGCAACATTTACATCATTAACAATAATAAGCACCTCCCACTTTTGAGTTATCACGATTTCTAGTCCAGAAAAATATTGTTTTTCAGCATTTTTTTTTTTTTTTTTTTTTTTTTGAGACGGAGTCTCGCTCAGTCACCCAGGCCGGAGTGCAGTGGCGCAATCGTGATCTCGGCTCACTGCAAGCTCCGCCTCCCGGGTTCATGCCATTCTCCTGCCTCAGCCTCCCGAGTAGCAGGTGCCTGCCACGACGCCCGGCCTAGTTTTTGTATTTTTAGTAGAGACGGGGTTTCACCGTGTTAGCCAGGATGGTCTCGATTTCCTGACCTCGTGATCCGCCTGCCTCGGCCTCCCAAAGTGCTGGGATTACAGGCGTGAGCCACTGCACCCGGCCGTTTTTCAGCAGTTCTAAGAGATTTTTTTTTTTTTTTTCTGAAGAAGCTTGTTAGATGTACCCTTCATTTTATTTTTAAATTAAAAAAATTAAGCACATAATAATCGTACATGTTTATGGGGACTTAGTAATGTTTCAATACATATAAGGTATAGTGATCAGATCATGGTAGTCAGTATATCCATCATCTCAAACATTTATCATTTCTTTGTGTTGAGAACATTCAGAAGAGTTAGGAGGAATACATTCCAGTATTCTATAGCACCTTAGGGCAACTGTAGTTAACAATAATATATCATATAAATTTGAATAGCTAGAAGGAGGATATTGAATGTTCCTAACACAAAGTTTTAAAAGATTTTTTTAAGCTTTTTTATTTTTTGTGCGGTATGTTATTTAGCTTGAGGGATGTTTTTCACACAATTAAAATTTTAATTCAATAATTTCAAAGGTTTATATTTTCGATATAGGGAATGCTAAGAAACAAACTTTACTGTCTATGCAGTCTGCATGCCTATTACTTCTTTTTTAAAAAATATTTAATGGGGGTACAATTTACACACAACCGAATGCATCTGTTTTAGAAGAATAGCTTGAGTAATTTTGACAAATGAATATACTCAGATAACCAGCACTAATCATGTTGTAGAATATTTCCATCACCCCAAATCATTTCCTCATGTCACTTTGCAATTAATCTTACCTTAAAACTGGAAACTTCTATTCTGCTTTCTGTCACTAAAGCTTAGTTTGTCTTTTCTAGAATTCACATGAACATAACCATACAACATGTACTTCTTTCTGTCAGCATATTTTTGTTGATGTATATGTTGATAAAAGTATCAGTAGCTTATTCCTTTTTTATTGATGAATAGTATTCCAATGTAGGTACATACCGTAAGTCTTTATCCATGAACACATTAGTGGAGATTTAATTTGTATCCAGTGTTTGGATACTTTTTATAGAAAGTATTAATGGATAGATGAAGCTGTGGATATTGGAATATCAGTCTGGGTGAATATACATGTTCATTCTTTTGGGAAAATAGCTAGAATGAGAATTACTGGGTTGTATGGTAAGTGAATGTTTAACTTAATAAGAAACAGTTTTCTAAAACACTTGTACAATTTTACACTCTTAAGAGGGTGCCAGTTGCTAGACATACTCACCAAAATTTGGTGTTATCAATATTTACAATTCTAGGCAATCAATGAATATGGAAAGTATCTCATTGTGAATTTAATTTGCATTTATATGATGACTAATGGCATTTTCATGAGCTTGTGGTCATTTATATCTTATTAAAATTGCCATTCAAATCTTCTGGTTAAGTTTAATTGTGTTATTTGCCTTCTTGTTATTGAGATACAGTGTTTTATTTCAATACGTTGTGGACATCAGTCCTTTGCTAGCTATATGAATTGCAAATATTTTCTCTAGAATAGCTATTGTTTTCATTCTGTCAGCAGTGTCTTTTGGAGTGCAGAAGTTTTCAATTTGATAAATTCCAGTTTGCCGAGTCTTTTTATGTTTTCTGCTCTTGGTGTTCTATATGAGAACTCTTTGCCTTCTTCAGGTTCAAAATGATTTTCTTCTGTTTGTTGTTGGAAGTTATAGCATTTATGTTTAGGTTTATGATCCTTTTAATTTTTCTATATGGTACAAAAGATTTTTCTATGTGGTACAGGTTTATTTTATTTCATTCTTTCTTACGTGTGGGGCCAGCAGCCTTTGGCATTCCTTGCTGTGTCTTTTTTTTTTTTTTTTTGAGACGGAGTCTCGCTCTGTCGCCCGAGCTGGAGTGCAGTGGCGCCATCTCGGCTCACTGCAAGCTCCGCCTCCCGGGTTCACGCCATTCTCCTGCCTCAGCCTCCCGAGTAGCTGGGACTACAGGCGCCCGCCATCATGCCCGGCTAATTTTTGGTATTTTTAGTAGAGACGGGGTTTCACCGTGTTAGCCAGGATGGTCTCGATTTCCTGACCTCGTGATCCGCCCGCCTCGGCCTCCCGAAGTGCTGGGATTACAGGCGTGAGCCACCGCGCCCGGCCCTTGCAGTGTCTTTTGATGTGAGCTGGCATGATGGGGGTCCAGGCCTCAGTGTTCCTGGCCTGCTGCTCTGGGGGCAGGGGCTGGGAGGAAGGAAGGAGCTTGCTGAACTCCTAGCGACTGTCATCTGGAATATCATCTCTGAAACACAGAGTTGGGGGCATAAGAAATGCTGGTGGTCTACTCCTGGGGAGACACTGAAGCATTTGGTTGGCAGCTGGAGTGAGAGTAAGTCACGTATTTTTGGCCAAACGTGTGACCAGAATGGAGCTTTTATCATGCTGTGTCGAGGGGGTGGGGAAGGAGTGGATGGTGGCTCAGGTGCCAGAGACTCCCTTATTGTTTTTATCAAGATTTAGTAGATTTTCCTGATTATGTTTTTAAAAACTTGTTGTATAGGTTAATTTTCAGAAACTTTATTTTACTTTTTAAGTAGTCGTAACCAATTATGGTTGTTTCAGTGGGGAGAAGGCCCGTGGAGATCCTCATTCCTTCATTCCAGACATTGTCTTCCATATGTATTTCTTTGCAAGTTATTATTACTAATTTGTTGGAGGTTATTTTGTTGCTTCGGTTGCAAATATTTTCTATTCAGTGGTTTGTCATTCACATCTTCTTGTGGTCTCTCTTTTATTAAAATAAAAAATACAACTTAGTTTTAATGTGCTTTGCAAATAGCCTTAAAAAATTATTCCCCTTCTCAAAATCTTAATTATGCTTTCATATTTATATATTTAATCTCTCTATATTTGAAATTTTTATGTCATAGATGAATTGAATTTTATCTTTTTCCATACATAAAACAATGGCCACATCAACATTTATTAAATAGTCTTTTATTCTCCCATGGATTTGCAACTGTCTCTGTATCCTAAATTAAGTTTCTACATATGTTTGATCAATCTCTAGACCCCCTTTTATTCCATTTTAGTAATTTATTTGTCCATTTTCAGTGCCAATTCCACTTTATCTAAAATGTTTTAATTTTATGATGTCTTAATATTGGAAGGGCAAATTCTAACAAATTATTGTTTTTCTCTTCATTTAAAAAAGGAAGAAAAAAACATTATCATGCCATCATCTCTTTTTATCATATTGCTTCTTTCCTCCTCCTCTAACTTCTTCTTTTAACTTTTTCTTCTTTCTTCCTCACTTTCCTCCTCCTCCTTCTTTCTCCCAGTTCTTCTCCTTCCTTTTCTTAAAGTGTCATTCATAACATTACTTATTCATCTCTTTGGCTCTTTTAAAATATATATTTTATTAGCCTTCCATAGGGTTGCTTTTTTTTTTTTTTTTTTTTTTTTTTTTTTTGAGATGGAGTTTCGCTCTGTTGTCCAGGATGGAGTGCGGTGGGGTGATCTCAGTTCACTGCAACCTCTGCCTCCTGGGTTCAAGTTATTCTCCTAGTAGCTGAGATTATAGGTATGCGCTATCACACCTGGCTGATTTTTGTATTTTTAGTAGAGATGAGGTTTCACCATGTTGTCCAGGCTGGTCTCAAACTCCTGACCTCAGAAGATCCACCCACCTTGGCCTCCCAAACCATAGGATTGCATTTCAAAGAACCGATGTTTAGCTTTACTGAAGCAACATTATTTTTGATTTCATTCAAAATTTATTTTATTCTAAAATGTTCAATAATTTCTGCTTTTTATTTTCTTTCTTTTCCACTTAGTTCAGGTTTTATATAGTCTTTTTCTAGCTTTATATTTTGGATGCATAGCTTGTTAATTATGAGCCTTTTTCTTTTTAAAGTAAGTTATTAATCTCTTTATAAGAACTGTTTTAGCTGTATTCTGAAGTCTTGATGTATGTTATTTCCATTATCTGTCCATTCTAAATATTTCAAATTGTCCATTATAATTCCTGCTCTGACTCATAAGCATTTTCAATTTTTTAAAAATTTCCAAATCATAAAACTTTTATAATTATATTTGCAGAAATATTCCATGAAAGAGTGAAAATGAAGTGCAGTTTTCTTTATGTCTTCATTAGATCAGGCTTGTTGTGTTAGTTACAAAAATATTGCCTCTATACTCCAAATCCATGCTCCATAGCCCCCTTAGAACATTCTTTTTATTATCAGATGGTGTTAAGCTACGTTGGGAGCTACATTTGCTCGGTAGTAAGCTATGTTAGCAGAGGTCTGAGGGACATGGAAGGAGGAAGGGCTCTTCCTTCTGGTCCTGGTGAGCACCTCTCAGCAGGCTCCTGCAGTATGTGGAGCTGTGTGTGGGGCACGTGCTCATGGGACAGCTCACCCAGCTCACCACCTCCTTATGCAGCTTCGCAACAAGATCAGTACCGTGACACCTCCTGAAAGTTGGCTTTTCTTGGCCACCCAGATGGAGACTTCCCAGTGGGTTCTGCCAGCACCCAGTGACCTTTGCTATTCTGTGACTCTGTTTATGCCCTCTCAGACAAGGTCTCAATCTTAGCCCTCTGAATTTTTCCTTCTTTAGTTATTCTAGCTCAGTCATAGAAGTAGGGGGTGCTCCTGTATCTGCTGTTCCTATAATCTTTAAAGTTAACTTTATCCATCATAATCCTTCAGTTATAGTTAATAATTAGTAATATTAGATATCCCTGTTCGCGTTGCCTGTTATTTCTGTCTCTTGATTGGACTCTAATACAATATTGCTGTTCTATTGCGTCTTTTTTTATGGTTTGCTTCCACTACTTAGAAAGGGAAATTACAATTTTCCACTCTAATGATAGATTTGTACCATCTTTTTACCTCTTTCAATTTCTGCTAAATATACTTTGTGGCAATAATATTACAAGTGTATAAGTTAAATATTTTTTTCTTTTTCTGATTAATGGATTTTTTTATCATTATATAGTTATACCACATCACCTCTACTAAAGTCTATTTTATATGATGTTATTACAGCTGTATCAACTGACTCTTGTTTAGCATTTACCTGGAATAGATTTTTTCCATCCTTTATTCTTAGACGTCTCTATTCTCTATTCCTTGATACTTCAGAGGATATTGTTTGTTAAATCAAGTATAACTATCTTTATCTTTCTTTCCTCTACTTGTTTGGAAATTTTCCTCATAAAAGTGAGACAGATATAGAAACTAAAATGTCCTTGAAAAGTTTATTTCAGCAGAAAAATTATTTTAGGTGATCAGGGAAAGAAAAAAATTTTACTCATGATCTCCACAGGTAGTGGATCCCTTAGATAGTATAATACGTAATTAATAATTTCATTCTGTTTTAAAACATAAAACCTCTTTGTTTTAATTTCAATGATTTTCCTCACATTATATACTATTGCCAAGTAGTTTGGGTTTATACTATTTTTTGTGTTATATGCACAAGTTAGGCAACATTGTTTTATATAATTATTGTCTATATTATTTATGTGTTTATAAATGACATACATATAAAGTCTTCTAGGTATTTGTCATTGACTTTACCTTCAATATTGTGGTAATTGGGGGCCACTGCAGGGGTTTTAGCCATAAGTGCCATAATCAGACAATTTTTAAAGTTGGACAACATTGAAGCCACTGTGGGAATGTAAAAGGGAACATGACAGCAGGAAGACTAATTTACAGGCTATTTACTTGGGTAAGAAATTATAAGACTGCAAGTTAATGGAGTGATCTAGGTTTTAAATAGCATAAGATAAATGTGACAGATATATGGGAACTTTTTGGGTGAGTGAATTATTTTAGGTGATCAGGGAAAAAGAATTCAAGATGACTTCCAAGTTAACTATAAATTTACCTGGACAGGAATTGGTACAGAGATTAAATTTGCATGTAATACATAACTAGTTAATTTCTATACTTGTGTTTGCGGTGTTTCTGAAACTTCCAACTGGAGATGTATGAGTAGGGCATTGGAAATACAAGTTGGAGGAGCATAGTGGATTGTTGTCATAGATGTGGAATCATTTGTACAAAAGTGGATATGATCACAGGTCAGCGGCATAAAGCCTGAGAGATTGACTTTGTTGTGTGCAGGGATCTGCTCCCCTTAGCTCTGAATTAGTGCAAGGATTTGAGGGAAATTTGTCTTCAGGTGGACCTTCCAATACTGGCATTAGGATATTACCATAGCCATTCTGCTTTAAAGTTTTGAAACTTACAGAAATGTAGCTTGGGAAACATACGCTCCTGTGAATGCCTGATTTTTCATATGCTCTCATTTTTCCCTCCTTTTTGGTCTTGACTCTCAATATTTTCCAAATTGTAAGGTACAAGTTTTTCTGTGTATTTAATAGCATTCTTATAAAGAAATAGTCTTTCATTTCTGAGGAAAATGTTTCCTAAGAGTTTTTGAAAATAAATATAAAATCATAGTGATTTTAGTCTCATTTAAGTTTCCAAGTGCTGTAAAGAAAACTGTAAAACTCAAAATGAAGAAATAAGATATTCAGATCTTCTGACTGTAGTAATTTCTCACCTTTCACTTACTCAAAAAGCTTCCTGTAATTTTAAGTTTTTGCCAAGTACATGTCTTTCAACCATAAACTTTCACACCTACAATATAATCCAGATGGAGAATTTATGCTTGTTGAATACTGAGGCAGATCTATACCATGTTACACAGTGAAGGCATTCAAGACAGCATTTAGTTTGATATGAAGCTGAAACGTTTAACAGAATTCTTTTCCCCCCACATGCTTTCATCCTGAAGCAAAACTAGCCAGGATCAGAGCTACTTAATTTGCTATCTGGGGAATTTATATCATCCCAGTTTTTTTTTTTTTTTTTCAATCCTGTTTAGAAGTGATGCTTTCTTCAACAGGGACCATTATAGAAAAAAATTGCAGAAGTTTACAAGCTATGACTGTAAAAGGATTTATAAATTAGATGGATCCCAGAGTAGTAGCAGGAGTTGTTGTTTCTAGAATGGAAAACATTTTCTACAATTAAGGACAAAGTTCGAATATGCCTTTCTCTTTTTTGTTGCACTGATAGTATTATATCTAGAGAGATTTTTAGTATTATAATTTATAGGTTGAAAAACAAGTTTTCAAATTATGTTTTTTTCCACAAAATAGATTCCTATTGAGACATATATACATTTAATTTTACTTTCATTAACAACTTTTGTTTATAGAGCCTTTTTGTTGATAGAATATTGTTTATTTTTCTAAATATATTAGAAATGAAATTGAAAGATGAAATGAAGTTTAACTAGATGGTGCTCAAAGAATCACAGTCAGGAACATGGATAACCATCAACCCAAATGTATTTACAATGAGTCACTACCTACCTGTTGAACAAGGTAATGGTGTAATTAAAATGATGTTTTATGAAGACTATTTCAGCAGTTGTATGTAGGACAGATGGATGGGATCGCATAATTTCAGACAGCTACATCCAAAAGATTACTTGCCACTTTGGCATGGAATTCTGCTTTTGTATGGAAGTCTTGGCTCTAGGAAAAACTGAAGGTCTGGCTCTGAGAAAAGCTATTCTCAAATTCCCAAAGAAAAAGATACGGGTGAAATAAATCAATTAATAAGCAGGCAGTATTAGAAAGGAAAGCAGCAGCATTTAAATTATATAAAAGAGTAACACATTGATTTATTTCAGAAAAAGCCAAAGGACAAAGACATGGAAATGATAAAAGAAAAAAATAGAATATTAGGGTAACTTTAGAATAGCTAATACCTAAATAATGAAAATTCCATGACTAGAAAAAGGAATAGCTAACAGAAATATCTATAATTAAATAAATAGAGAAAATCGTACTGAGCTAAAAATAAAAAGACTTACATTTTGGTGTAAAAGATTTCAAAAGGACAAGTCAGTAATACAGAGTGTTAGATAGAGATAGACAAGTATTGAGAATCACTATTTTTTCTTTGGAAATTTAAAATTACCCCATGCACCTGTGAGTTTACTTCAGCCTGCCAGGCCCCTTGGCATACAGTTTGGAAACTATGAACTTAAATGACTGCAGGTCAGGTCATCTGAGCTAATATTTAGGTTGTGAGTATGCTTTCTAAGTACACTACCCATATGAGCTTATCACTTGTGGACCAGTTAGATAATAAGGCATAAGTGTATTAGGGTTCTCTCGAGGGACAGAACTAATAGGATATATGTATATATGAAAGCGAGTTTATAAAGGAGAATTGATTCACATGATCACAAGGTAAAATTCACAATAGGCCGTCTGCAAGTTGAGGAGCAAGGAAGCCAGTGGTGGATCAGTCCGAGTCCCAAAACCTCAAAAGTAGGGAAGCTGACAGTGCAGCCTTCAGTCTGTGGCCAAAGGTCCGAGAGCCCCTGGGAAACCACTGGTATAAGTCCAAGAGTCCAAAAGCTGAAGAACTTGGAGTCTGACTTTCGAGGGCAGGAAGCATCCAGCATGGGAGAAAGAAGAAGGCTCGAAAACTCAGGAAGTCTGCTCTTCCACCTTCTACTGCCTGCTTTATTCTTATTGCACTGGCAGCTGATTAGATGGTGCCCACCCAGATTGAGGGTAGGTCTGCCTCTCCCAATCCACTGACTCAAATGTTAATCTCCTTTGGCAACACCCTCACAGACACACCTAGGAATAATACTTTGCATCCTTCAATCCAATGAAGTTGACACTCAATATTAACCATCAAAAGGCTACCCCTTGTCAACTTGAACCCATACACATCTCCGGAAATCATACCTAATCTGTAAATAAAGACAATAACATAATATAGCTATCTCTATATTATGTTAGGTATGGTTATACCTAACATAATATAAAGGTATGATTATACCTAACATAATATAGCTATCTTTACTACAACCAGAAGTGTACTAATCCTTAACCTAAATGCTATTACATGGAGTTAACAACACTTAAATGCTGATATGAAGTCAAATCTTATGTCACATGATAAAGGACAAAGAAAGGAAATAAAATGAAGATATTTTCTTAGTACAAGTGTATACATGCACAACCATATTCTTAACAAAATAAGGAGATACTCATGACAATTACCGGCCTCATTTCTGCAACTGGTCACATGATTATAGCTGGTAGTAATGACTACCTTCTTCTACTAACCCTTCAGTATTCCCTTTGCCTTCAGCAAGCACCTCAGCAAGTCGTGGTTTTCACGTGGTGGAGTGACTTCATTCCTGAAGGTCTGGGCCATTTGTAGTTCTCCCTGGATTGGGCTGTTGTAGTTTCCCATTGACCTTAATCACAGGGCATGGTAATACTAAGAGACGCCCTAAGGGATCTCCTGTATTCCATGCATACTCTTCCTTACCTCCACTGTGGTGTAGTAGACTGATTTCATCTTGATATTTCAGGTCAATCACCCCAGCCAACACTGTAACTCCCTTCCGAGCCTGTTGCCTTAGAGGCAGGAGGAGCACAAAGTGGCCAGGTGGCAATCTTACATTCCAGTGTAATGGAATCATTGTTGTGTCTCCTGGTGGCAGCATTCCTCCTTCTGGAACTAAAACGGTCTAGGCCAGCAGAATGTTGTGTCATGGGAACAGGAAGCAAACATTTTGCTAGTAGGTCACTAGGGGTGATGGTGAGTGGTCCCACTTCTACTTCCACCCCTTGATTCCTGGACCCGTGCATCCTGGCTGTGGGGGAAACACTACCATATACGCTAAGCATTACTCAATGCAGACACATTGCAACTCTGCGGTGATGCCTAGTCCCCTAATGTGTCGTGTGTTATCTTCATGTTACAAATAACACTCAGGTATAATAAACATTTCAGGATGACCAGCGACTTCTGCAACGACATATTTCCCCTGGATTTTCTGACCATAAGGCAAAACTAAAATAATCTAATAATAAAGATCAAACTAGAATCAGTCCTCCAAGATCTAACCACTTAGACTTAAAAATTAACTATTTATTTATTTATTAATTTACTTATTTATTTTGAGATGGAATATCACTCTGTCACCCAGGCTGGAATGCAGTGGCATGATCTCGGTTCACTGCAACCTCTGCCTCCCAGGTTCAACAGATTCTCCTGCCTCAGCTTCTCGAGTAGCTAGGAGTACAGGTGTATACCCGCAAACCTGGCCAATTTTTTTGTATTTTTAGTAGAGATGGGGTTTCCCCTTTGACCAGGCTGGTGTGAAACTTCTGGCCTCAAGTGATCTGCCCACCTCAGCCTCCCAAATTGTTGGGATTACAGGTGTGAGCCACCACACCCAGCCAAAATTACACATTTAAAGAAGTCACTTGGATGAGACAGCTCTCAAGCATCATTTTCTTCAATAATGAGTAAGTCAAACTTAAGTTGTCAACCCAAGAAGCTTGTTGGAAAATATGGAAGTTAACAGACATGTGAATTTTCCTCATTCCTTTCCCATAGAGGAAGGTGAGAGCATAGGAGTACACCCCACACGAAAGCAGAGGAGGACAAACTGTTTCTTGGGCAAAATTCAACCCTTTGCCCACTTTATAAATAAAATTTTGTTGGAACCCAGCCCTGTTCATCTTTTAAATATTTCACAGGGCTCCTTTTGAGCTGCAGCAGTAGACTTGAGTAATTGCAACAGAAACATACAGCCCTTAGCATTCACCATCTGAAACTTTACAGGAAAAATTTGCTGACTCTGCACAAAAGTGTGTGCTCTTTCATGAACTATGCACTATAGGAGCCTATTTATCAATCATATTGGACCTGGAAGAAAGACAAGTGAACTAGGAAAGTATCAGAAACTAAAAAGACAGAAGCACCCATATTCATCATAGTACCAATGAGTAACGCTAACATTGTTTTGTCTTTAGAATGTAACCTCTACTGCTATTCAGATAGAGGTATGACCAATTCTCTGTAAATTCACTTCAAACAAATTATTAAAGCCCCATGGTAAAAATATGTTAGGGAGAGATTAAAAAAAAAAAGTACAGTTCTGCAGTATAACCCAACTTCTGCCACACATTTCTGAGCTACGTCTCTTCCCCTGAAGCTGGGAATAGACGATTGAGTTGCAGCTTCATTATCAGCATCAACACAGCAAGTTTCTGTTTTGAGTCCTCCATGGCCAGCCTATAGACCATCTATAATTTCAAGCAGAGTAGGTATATAAAGGCAAGGTTGCATCCCAAAAAGATGAAGCTTGTTTGAGAAGACACCAATATTTAGAGAGGGATAATAATTTTGGAGACTTATGGTTGATATTAATGTTCTTAACATGTAGTGGCTACCTTTGGGTGTCAAAGTAATCAGCTTGTGAACTGGTTTTAAGAAAATATTTCCAGTGTAGCTGATACAAGATTAATACCTTCTTTCCTGACCCACCACTCCTGTTATGATTTTGAGTAGAAGTTTCCATATTGTGAAAGAATTTTGCCTCAGCCTTCGAGAGAATATCTTATCATGAGAAATCTATTTTTTAAAATTCTTATGCAGTGGTTTTGAACCTCAGCACTCTAAATTGGGTTAACAAGAAATATTATTTCTTTTTCTTAACTCAAGTTAATTTCCAGTTTGTAGGCCCTGTGAATTGTTCACTGACTGCTCCAGCAGAATATTTTATAATAGACATTCTAGGGGGTGCTCCTCTTGAGGGACCCTCTCTTCTCCAGGATTTTACAGTAGTTTCTGTGTCTTAGATAAGCAAAACACTTACTTGTGGAAGGCACTTTCTGGATTCTGGTTATCTTCTTGACATCGTACAAATAAATTGACCTCTGTTTTAAATAAAATGATTTCAAATAAAAGGTCCTCCATTATTTTTCCTCTTGATATTTTCATGTCTGGCTTAAAACCAACATTCTAAAATCAATAGAAAATCATTAGTTAAAAATGTAACCCTCAGTTAGTATTTAATGGGGACAGAGTTTCATTTGGGGAAGATGAAAACTTCTGGACATGGATGCTGGTGATGTTTACACGGTGTGAATGTACCTGATAGCACTGAGATTAAAAATGTTTAATGAATTTTATCACAACTAAACAAATAATATTCAAAGTAAAAAAAAAGGACAGGTATTTTTACAGTAAGTTATTACATACATTAAAATAGGTAGTTTCTAACAAATACGGTTTCCCACTTTTTGTGACTTTTTATGGGAAACTGTCTCAAATTTATTTCATGAAGCTACTAGATACCTGATACCCAAATCAGATGAGGTGTTTTTTTAAAAAAGGAATAATAAAGGATTCTCGTTCACTGTCATAAATGTGAATACCAGGACAAATATTAGCAATCGAAATCTGACAGTGTATGAAACAAATAATCCTTCATGAATAAATTTAATTTTGCTCCATAGGTTCAATAATGTATTCATATTAGATAGACATTAATATATTTTGCCATAAAAATAAAAACATTTGATGAGGTCATTAGATTCTGTGAAATCAGTCACACGTTTACGATTTCATAAAAATCAAGTTTTAACCAACTCGGAATTGCAAAAATATTTCTTAATGTGATAACCAGTTCCTATGCAGATCTTCCAGCTAATGTGTTAAAGTTGAAGCATTGGAAGTATTCTGGTTAAAATTTGGATCAAGACCAGGATGCTTGGCAACATTGCTTCTCTTGAATGCTGTTGTGCAGATCCTAGCAAGAGGAAAAATAAATAAATAAAATATATATGAATTGACAACAAAGGGAAAATAGCCCATCTTCACAGACAATATAATTTTGTCCTAGGAGGGAAATCTAATAAAATATTCAATGTGATCAATTAAGTTAATGTAATTAATATACTTAATAAGGTGATCAAGTTTGCTAGATATATGATCAATATAAAAACATCGATTGATCTCTATATCTTAAATATGAAACTTTATATAATGTAATTTTATATAAAGATGTTAAAGAGCAACAAAAATTATGTCACTTAGGACATGCTTGATTTAACCAACTTGTGTACAATATTTGAAAGAAAACTATAGCATTTTATATTAGACTATATTAAGAAATACTGAATCTTAATATTGTAAAAAAGTCAATTCTCTTGAATTTAATATGTAATCAATATAATTCTAATAAAATATTTAGTATTTATTGCATGATAGGGAAAAATTGTAAGAATATCTACTTCTTCAGAATACCAATTCTATGTACATATTATAGGCCAGAGAAACTTTTACATATGTATCCAAGGAAAACAGGCAAGTTTTTTTTATTTTTTTGAGACAGGGTCTTGTTCTGATAACCAGGCTGGAGTGCAGCGGAGTGATCACAGCTTACTGTAGCCCCTACCTCCTGGGCTCCAGTAATCTTCCCACCTCGGTCTCTGAGTAGCTGGGACTACAGGCATGTACCACCACACCCAGCTGATTTTTCTGTATTTAGTAGAGATGGGTTTTCACTTTGTTGTGTAGGCTGGTCTCAAACTCCTGGGCTCAAGCAATTCTCCTGCCTTGGCCTCTCAAAGTGCTGGGATTACAGACATGAGCCACCACACCCAGCCACAAGAATATTCTTAAAAGAATATTTGCAAACAATGAAAACTAAAAATATGTTAATCAAAATAAGAATAAAGTATGATATGTAACATAAGTTATGTCTTACATGACAATAAGAATAAACGAGCTACCCATGTGAATATGAATGAACACAATATTCAACAAGACAGTTGATAGAAGACATGCTATATGATAAGATTTATACATAAATGAACAAATAACATATTCAAACATAAGTTATATAATTTTATAGTAATGATCACTAAAGTTAGGATGGTGATTAGTTGTAGACAGAAGGGAGAATAGGTCTAGATCAGGTAAGGGATTTCATTTAAACTGGGAATGCTATTGAGAGGCTGGGGTTGAGCACTTTCTTCATAGGCTGGGTTGAGTACTTATTGTGTCATTTTTGGAATCTTACTGTGCCTTAACTCTTTTATAATGAAGTAAAAATGAGCATAATACAAAGAGAAAATTACGCCAATAAACAAAAGGAAAGTCAGGTGACCACAAGAGGTAAACCAGGAAGACTACGGCTTGGACAAAGCTTCCTGAGCCTACTCTGGCTCAGAATGATTGGAAAGGGTCTTGGGGAGTAAGGAAGAGCCAGCAGATTTCAAAATAGAAAAGAAAAGTTAAGGGCAGGGAGATAAAGTATATCAGGGAAGACAAAGAGACTAACATGTAAAATGTAGTTTTAAGAGAGATGGCAATCCCTTTCCTGGAACACTGATAGGCATAGGTGTTCAGTGAAACCCAACTCTTTGTTGTTTGCTGGATATTAATGATGGATAAGACAGAGACTTGGTCTTAAAGAGCTTATTATAATTTAATGGAGAGACTGACATATAAAAATGATGAAACACATATATGTATGTTGTGTGGTACTGCACATGATGTGACAAGTAATTTTGCTAGGATCTTTGAGCAAGAGTGGGAGCCCATCCTCCTCACAGGGCATTTCAGTTAATTGCAATAATACTGAGTTTTGCATGGACAGAACTAAGATGTCATTTCACTTGGCTAGAGTTTAAATTACACAGGATAGGCATTGGGGATGTTTGGGGAAATTGGAATGGAGGAACTTTCCACTGGAATGGAGAAGAGACTGCAGAGTTGGTTGAGGTCTGGTTATGAAGTGCCTCAAACTCATTTTGGAATTTTGGCAATGGAAAAGCTGAGGCATGATAATCATATTTGGCTGTGGGATGGGAGAAGATGACTGTAATGGTAATGCACAGGATAAATTAGAGGAGGGAGAGACAAAGGACAAAATTGGTTGGGAGGGCATTGAAATGAGATGCCGCTGGGATTATGTAAGTTTGGCCCATCAGAGCAGGCTGGCATTGGGCAGTGTGTCTGAGTCAAAAGACATTTCAGAGGCACAAGGGAAAATAGAACTGAGAAAAGGTACATGCAGAAGGCAAAGTGGTTTTCAAACTTCTGACTTGGACAACTGGGAAGATGCTTGGTAGATCAAGAGAGAGCCAGATTATAAATGTTTTAAATTTGATGCATTTTGTTATAAGTGCACAGCACAGTGAGTTACCACAAAGTGAATGTAATGCTATCACCATCTCCCAAATAACCCTTGGTTTTTAGTGTGTTCTTTTTGGGTGGACAGATGCACTCCCAAGAAAGCCTATTACATGGGTGAACTTCATGATAGTCTGTCAGGATGTCTAGAAGATTCTTAGTTAAGAATAAAGACCCAATGGGACTCTAAGGTACTCCTATTTGGGAAGTCGATTTGATTTTGGAACACTAGTGGCTGGTGTATGTGTGTGTGTGTGTGTGTGTGTGTGTGTGTGTGCATATGCAAATACAGATAGAAAACAAGAGAACAGAAAGCACAAAGCGTAGGAATACAGCTGCAAAACTGAACTGAAGGGGTTATTTCTAAGATATTTAGCCTGAATAGAAAAGATTGCAGAATACTGCATCAGATATTTGTTTTTTTCTAAAAGAGGTAGAAGAAAGGAAGGAGGAAGATATGATGGGAGGAAGGAGAGAGGAAGGGAGGGAAAAGAAAGTTTCTTCAGCAGGGACATAGACTGTAAACCATCTTACAGAAAATAGGTGTGAAAAACTGGTTTAAAAAGCTATTTTAAAGATTAGAGAACTGAAGCTTATTGAGGTAAGGTCCATTTCCAAACAATCAGGCAAGAGAGGATATATTTGAATCCAGAATATCTTAACATAGGACACATATTCTTTTTTAAAGATTATAGATTCAAGGGGTGCAGGAGGTACATGTACAGGTTTGCTACATGGGTATATTGCATAATGCTGGGGTTTGGGCTTCTATCCATCCCATCATCCAGACAGTGAACACAGTACCCAATAGGTAGTTTTTCAACCCTTAATCCCTCCCTCTCCTTCCCTTTTGGAATCTCCAGCATCTGTTGTTTCCATCTGAATGCCCATGAGTACATTTTGTTTTGCTCCCACTTATAAGTGAGAATATGTAATATTTTATGTTCTGTCTCTGTGTATAGTCATTTAGGTTAATGACTTCTGGCTGCATCCATGTTGCAGAAAAGGGCATGATTTCATTCTTTTAATGGCTGCATAGTATTCCATGGTGTATATGTGTCACATTTGCCTTATCCAATCTGCTGTTGATGGACACTTAGGTTTATTCCATGAATTTGCTATTGTGAATAGTGCTGCAATAAACATACAAGTGCAGGTGTCTTTTTGATAAAACAATGTCTTTTCCTTTGGGTAAGTACCCAGTAGTGGGATTGTTGGGAAAAAGGGTAGCTCCATTTTTAGAAATACATATTCTTTTTTTGTGTGTGTGTCGCCAGGCTGGAGTGCAGTGGCGCGATCTCGGCTCACTGCAAGCTCCGCCTCCTGGGCTCACACCATTCTCCTGCCTCAGCCTTCTGAGTAGCTGGGACTACAGGCCCCTGCCACCACGAGAAATACATATTCTTTATTATTGCATTATATCACCCTCCCTAGGTGGAATATGTCCCCAAGAAAGACATTTAATCATATTCTTTTTGGACATTAGATCATTATTTTATGTCTGTATGCTTGTCTTTTCAATTACAAAATTTAAGTTCATTGTATATTTACTTAAACAGCAAAACAATAGTAATACAAATTAAAATAATTATGAAATACTATACTCCTATATGAGTGGCTAAACTCTAGAACACTGCCAACACCAAATGCTGACAAGGACATAGAGCAACAAGAAGTCGGTTCACTGTTGGTTGGGATGCAAAATGGTACCACCACTTTGGAATACAATTGGAAGTTTCTTTAAAAACCAAATATATTCAGATCACGGGGACAGGAGATCGAGACCATCCTGGCTAACACGGTGAAACCCTGTCTCTACTAAGAATACAAAAAATTAGCCGGGCGTGGTGGTGGGCGCCTGTAGTCCCAGCTACTTGAGGCTGAGGCAGGAGAATGGTGTGAACCCGGGAGGTGGAGCTTGCAGTGAGCCGAGATCATGCCACTGCACTCCAGCCTGGGCGACTGAGTGAAACTCCATCTCAAAAAAAAAACAAAACAAAACAAAAAAAAAAACAGATATATTCTAACCATATGATCTAGCAATTTTACTCTTTGTCGTTTACCCAAAGGAGTTGAAATTTGTGTCTACAGAAAAACCTGCACATGAAGATTTATAGCAGCTTTTTATGTAATTGCTAAAATTTGGAAGCAACCAAGATGTCCTTCCATGGGTGAGTGAATAAGTTGCACTATATCCAGGAAATGGAATATTATTTAAGGCTAAAAAGAAATAAGCTATTAAGCCTTAGAAAGACAGGGAGAAAACTTAAAAGGATAATACTAAGTGAAAGAAGTTAATCTGAAAAGACTAGTATCATTCCATATATATGAAAGATATATTTTAGAAGAGGCTAAACTATGGAGGTAATAAAAAGATCCATGGTTTATAGGGGTTGGTGGGAGGAAAGAATGAATAGGTAAAGAACAGAAGATTTTTAGGGCAGTAAATGTGCAGACTATGATACTGTAATGGTAGATACATGTCATTATATATTTGTCAAAACCCATAGAATGTACAACACCAAGGGTGAACCCTAACATAAGCTATGGAATGTGGGTGATAATGATGTGTCAATATAGTTTCATCAGTTGTCATAAATGTACCACTCTGGTGGGGGATGTTGATAGTTGGGGAGGTAGCAATGGGGATAGGGGCGGGGTTGCATGGGAAATCTCTACAGCATATGCTCAATTTTGCTGTGAACCTAAATCTGCTCTAAATAATATACTCTATTATTGTTTTAAAGCAGCTAGCGAAACCTACATTACAGATTTTCAGCATATCCTTGGTAGGATGAATTAATATTACCTGATATATATGATTTGTAATTTCACTTATTACTCGAGAAGCTAAGATACCATCTATCTCGGTTACATTAAGATAATTTGTCATTGCGAGAGAATATCCAAGTTCTGAAACTTTCTTTTTCAACATTGAAGGATTAACATCTTAGACCTTCAATCTTTTATTTGGAATGTCTGTCATTTTTGAAAAGATGAAGAACCTTACACCTCAATGCAGAGCTACTTTTTCTTTCGGGACACGACTATGAAGGATACATGACATTTATTATCAGCTGGTGAAAGGAAAGGTCTGAGTAACAGCAGACGAAGTTCAGTGATAAATCTAAATATCTTTTCATCACATTTTGGACTATTTTTCTTTAGTTATTTTTGTTAGACCTGCAGCTCACAAAACAAAATTATTTCTAACACCATTAAAATGTTCTTCACACTTCAAGTGTAAATTCTTATTTGTTCTTAGTGTTTCTCTGAACAGAACAATTGTCTGAAAATAATGTCTAGCATGACTTTTCAGAGAAAGGTTAACAGAGAATAGACTCAAAGCACAGCACAAAATTCTACTCTTTGCATTCTTCACTTTAGAAAACAGTTTAAAGTAGTTGAGTTACTTATAAAAGTGCATAGCAACGACAGCTTCCTTTTAATGTACCTAGCTTCTTGAAGTTTGTTTAACCAGTGGTGGCACTACTGACTGATGGTCTATTTTCTTTAAAACACCAAAGAGAAGTGTAATCTTCCAGAACAAACTACTATGTAACTTTTAAACTTTTTATTCTTCAGTAGCTGTCATAGTTTGGGTGAAGGCCACAAGTGATTTCTTCCTCTATTACACCTGAAAAGTTGCATTCACATTGAGCTAAACTTCTCCAGAGTTTTCAGGAAGCTGAGCTAATGTTATTGAAAAAGTATTACTTAATAAAAAGGTTTTTTCCTTCGACTGAATGCCTGGAGACTAACATTAAGAGATAATCAGTATTTATCACTTAATCTCCAACAGTCAGGGTCTGGCTGGATGAGTACAAAGACAGAGAAACTGTACCTGATACATATTATTATAATTCATTTAAAATGCAATAGGATGATATGCATCTTCTAGTGTATGACAATTAATTGTTAAAATTTTATATAACATGAGAAAAAGCGTAAAGCTAAAAGCTTCTAGTGTTTGATGTGTGTAATGATTTGAGCCCCTTTCTCATTTTTTGAACAGTAATTAATGGGCAATTTCGAGAAGATCTGGATATATGTTTACCACCGTTGTCTTATTGAAAAATCTCTCTATATTATGAAGTATAGGTATTTTGATACCTTTAAAGCAGCACTCATTTACATATTTTGAAGCTGCCTTCAATTAGTGGTTCTAACTTTTAAAATATATGAAATAATATTTATTTGAAAGTTTTATATTTTAAAACATTTATGTCTTTTGTTTTACAACGTAAACAGCCTGGAGACTTGGCCTTGTATCAAATGCATGACAATCTCAAACTTATCTCAATGTATTGGATCATAATTCTGAAAACTGAATGGCTCTTCATATCATTTTTTAACTTTTAACAGTGTTATTCTTCAGAGTCATCCACTCTAGACTGTTTTTATTCAACAATGCCAACTTTTAAGAAGAAACTTTACATTGATCAGGAATAAATTCTCAAGTCCAAGTAACACAAAAAACTTAAGTTACAGTGACTTGATAATAGGGGTTTGTTTTTCTCACATAACAAGGAGTTTTCACATAACAAGGTTTTTGGTGGTATTGGTGGAGCAGTTAAACACTCTTAGGGCCAATGACCCAGTAATTTTGTTGGTATTTTTCTTATGGGAACAAAATGGCTGCTGAAGCTCCAGGCATCACATCTTGAGCAAGATATGTATGTTTCATATACTCATGTTTACAACTCTCTCTCTCTCTTTTCTGGGTTTCGCAGGAATATCCTTTGAAGTCTTCGTTTTACATCTATTTATATTTCAGGTGTTAGAATCAGTCACATTTATACTAAAAAGAAAGGGAACCTAGGTAGGCAGACTTTTGTTTATAAGCCCCTTTAGTAAGAAGGTGAAATATGACAAGGGTTTAGGAATGGTTTTCTGGTTGCTGGTTATATGCCTGCCACTATTGTATTCCTCCTTTGAAATTATCTGAAGGGAAAATTTATTAACCTCATGAAGAATTAGTCACATTTTCCTGAAGTAAGTGTAGAAGATTACTCCCAAAGATTAAATATTTTCATTTTCTTTCTTCTATTACTCTTTTTTTCAACCTCATGAAACTTGTGCTAATTAGGAATAGAGGAAACATGAATAATCATTGTATAATATGGTAGAGAGAGGCAATTTGGTGACTGAGACTCAAACTCGAGATTCTGTTACATAAATTTGTGTGCCTTTGATTGCCATGGTTGGATGGTGTGTATTTTTCCGACTTCCTAAAGTCTCAGTAGCAGAATTAGATGTTATAAGTACTGACTACCTTAAATAGTGTTTAAAATGACTACTTACCTATTAGCAAAATCAAAAATTGTCTACTTACCTATTAACAAAATCAAAAGTTATCAGTCTGATGTTCAAAGTTACTCATTGTCTCTACCCACTCACATTTATAGCTGTAACAATTCCCTTTCCCATCCAGTATACCATGATAGACTGGCATGGAGTCCATTCATGCTGAATTTTGGCCCTCTGACTAGGATTGCACACAGTTTTTTTCTTCTTAAATGTCTAAACATTCAATTCTTCCTCTCTGTTTCTCTCTCTCTTTCGCATATACATATATGTGTGTGTGTGTGAGTGTGTGTGTGCATTTTTAAATAGTTTTAAATATCCTGAGTGATAACATTTGAGAAGTATTTAGATTCTTATTTTTTACATATTCTAAAACAAAGGATTTTCATAGTTATGTCAAGTTATTTGTATTGATTTATCATGTCAATGAATTTATGAAAATAATCATTTTTAATATTAATATTTTATTTATTTATTTATTTATTTATTTATTTATTTATTTATTTTTAAGATGGAGTCTCACTCTGTCACCCAGGCTGGAGTGCAGTGGCGCGATCTCGGCTCACTGCAACCTCTGCCTCCCAGGTTCAGTGATTATCCTGCCTCAGTCTCTTGATTAGCTGGGATTACAGGCACTTGCCACCACATCTGGCTAATTTTTTGTATTTTTAGTAGAGACGGCGTTTCACTGTGTTAGCCAGGATGGTCTCCATCTCCTGACCTCGTGATCTACCCACCTTGGCCTCCCAAAGTGCTGGGATTACAGGTGTGAGCCACTGTGCCTGACTGAATATTGATATTCTATGACTTATTTCTAGGCTCTCCATTGCATTCTGTCGGTCTATATGACTATCTTTATGCCAGTCCCATATTATTTGATTACTGTAGCTTTGTAGTATGTTTCAAAATTAGGATGTGTGAAGTCTCCATTTTTGTTCTTTCTCAACATTGTTACAACTATTGAGGCTTCTTTGTGATTCCATATACATTTTAGGATTGTTTTCTTATTTCTATAAAGAATGTCAATGCAATTTTGATAGGAATTTTATTGAATCTATAGATTACTTTGTGTAGTATGAACATTTTAACACTATTAAATTTTCTATTCTATCAACATTATATTGATAGAATATAAATAGAATAGAACATTCTATTCTATTCTATCTAGTCATGTCTTCTTGACTATTATGACACTGATCACTTTTAGTGCCTTCTCTTTCATTTCTGATTTTATTTGCATCTTTTCTCTTCTTAGTCTACTTAAATGTTTGCCAACTTGATAGTTTTTAAAAAGAACACTTATTTTCATATATTTTGTCTACTGTTTTTCTTTTCTCTATTAAATTTCTGCTCTAATCTTTATTTTTCTGCTATCTTTGGGCTTAATTTGTTATCTTTTTTTAGTTACTGCATGATTTAGTTCCTGAGTGCTTAAAGTTACATTATTTATTTGATGTCTTTCTTATTTTTTAAGGTAGGTGTTCATCACTATATGCTTCCTTCCTAATACTACTTCTGCTATATCCTGTAAGTTTTGGTATGTTGTATTTTGTTTTCATATATATGAAGATATTTTCTAATCTTTTTTTGATTTTTTTCTTAAACCCATTGGTTATTCAATAGTACGTTAATTTCCACATACTTGTGAATTTCCAGTTTTTCTTGATTTCCAATTGATTTTTAGTTTTAATGCATTGCAGTCAGTAAAGACACTTGATGTGATTTCAGTCTTCTTACAATTTACTATTATTTTTGTGACTTAATATGTGATCTTCCTGGAATATGTTTCATGTGTACTTGAAAAAATGATTATTCTGCTGTTGTTGGGTGGAATGTCATGTATATGCCTGCTAGGTTTGTTTGATCTCTAATGTTATTCGAGTCTTGTTTCTTTATTGTTTTTTTGTCTGGGTGTCATATCCATTACTGAAATTGGGGTATTGAAATTCCTATTTTTGTGTTCTGTTTCTCTTGTTAGTTTTATCAATGTTTGCTTCATAAATTTGGGTGCTTAGGAGCTATTCTTGATGTCTGGTGTGTTATCTGGTTGTACAAATGCCAGGCTTTATATATCATTCACTGCATGGAATGGGATTTAGGATACATTTTTCTAGATATTAAATTTATTCATGGGGAAAGCCAACTTCTATGAAGTTAGAGGTGCTATCAGCACACTGTTACACATAGAAGAGAACAAAGGCATTTTTCTTTCCTCTTATGACTGACATAATCTGGGAACTGAGTGGAGATGAAAGTATGTGGTGGAGAAGGGGTGCTCCCAGGCTTGCTGTGCTGTTTGTTTCATTGATGAGTTCAGGTTATATGACCAGGCATACTGCAGCTGCTTCTTAGGAGCATAGCTTTGATTTGGGACATCTGATGATTTTTGTCACGGTTTGACTGTGGTGATTGTATTCAGAGTTTATAATTCTTATCAGAGACAATTTTTTTTTAATTTTTTTCTTTTGAGTTTGAAACATCAAAGGCTTGTTTTACATACTAGACAGTGAACCAAAGTAATAGTCACTTCTTCTTTCCTCTTTTTATTCCAATTTTCTTGAAAATTCAAGTTTGTTTTGATCCTAAAATCAAGTGTCCTTCTTTCTTTACCAGAAGTAGATTTAGAGTTTATTAGAGAGTAAGAAATAGTGACTAATATGAGGGCAGGTTATACTCCCACAATCAACTCTTAGTGTACCCAGGAACATGTGTTTATATATGGGTTTTTAATAACTTGATTCAAATTTTATGTCTTTAGTTCTTTCCCACTTACATTTTACTAGGGATGTCCCATGGACATTTTATTTTTGCTCTTTACTAAAAATAATTCATCAGGCTGGGCATGGTGGCTCATGCCTGTAATCTTAGCACTTTGGGAGGCAGAGGTGGGTGGATTACCCGAGCCCAGAAGTGTGAGACCAGCCTAGGTAACATAGTGAGACTCTGTCTCTATAAAAAATACAATAAATTAGCTGGGTGTGGTCTTGTACACCTATAGTCCTAGCTACTTGGAAAGCTGAGGTGAGAGGATTATCTGAATCCAGGAAGTCAAGGATATAGTGAGCCATTATTGTGCCACTACACTCCGGTCTGGGCAATAGGATGAGACTCTGTCTGAAAATAATAATAATAATAATAATGATTTATCATTTATTTTGATTTCATAACATGAAAATCACATGCCAAGTTTTAATGTTTGATATAAACAAACAACTCCATATGCAACCAGAGAAATGAGGGCTTTGCTAGTATCTGTTTTACTGAAACCCTTTATTATCAGTTGGTGGGATCACTAGATGATAATGTGCTTTCACAACTGCTGGCTGTGATGACCACCACTGTAGGGAAATAACATTGCACACATTTTATATGGTATATAGTATAAAAATATTATTTCTTTCAATCATATATTGAGCAAAGTCCAGTGCAACAGATTCTTTGAAAAAATGTTTAGAATGATATCTTCTAAAATAATTTTTTTAAAGCCTGAACATAAGCACATCCTGGCACATATTACACCTTATAAATCCCTAACAATAGATTGTTTCAGAAGAGCTATGAAGATGATAACTGAGATTCAGTGAAATACCAGTACAAGATCAAAATAAGAGAAGACAAGGAAAATAGGTATATTTAATTTTGCTTTACCTTCAAATTGATGATCTTTTAAGACCCCAGTTAGGGAAGGTTTTTCTCAGTAACCAAATCACTCTTATCTTAAATGCTTTTTTTTTTTTTTTCCCGTAAATTAAGGTAGGATTGTAGCAGACATCATTTTAAAATTAATCTATTAATTCAAAATAGTTGTCTTTCTTACTCTCCAATACAAATTTATTAATCATAGAGTGAAGCATTTAAAACCTAAACAAAATGATAAACTATAAATGAAGTATTTAAATGCTTCTAATGTGCAAATGTGTGTGTGTGTGTGTGCGTGTATAGTTAATGTGCTGGGATGGATCAGTGAAGAAGTGTAGAATTCAACAATAACATTCCTCTTCTTGTGATATATGTTAACTGGAAAGAAAGCAGAGAAATGCATAAATGGAAGAAGAGTATTATATGAGTTGGTCTTTGAAAGGGAAAGACGCTTATGAGGAGCTCCATTGAATATATCCACCGTAATCAGATCAACCACAAGTGTCATTGAGTACTTGTGTTTGCTAGCGTGCTACACACTGAACAAAATAAAATGAAGTGAGACATTGAATTTCTTTCTGCAAGAATCTTACAACCAGCTATCAGATAACTTATTTATATTAAAGCACACAAGAAACAAGAGGATGAGAATATATAAAACAAAGTGGTAAAATATGAGAAATAAATGACTAGGACACTAAGAGTTGAAAAATTGGAGAGATCAATATTCTAGATATTATTAAATCTTTATCAACTTTTTAGAAAGTAATGAGTGTATCTATGTGTAATTTGTTTCTCTGTTTTTCAATAATCCATGTACTTTACCATATGATTTTAGTTGTTTTACAGTAATAGACTCGAGACATTGAGGGAGAAGATAAAAAATGGATTTTTAGAAGTCAGATGAAAGTAAGTAGTATACAGTGGCTTGATTTGGCCCAACAAAAGCAAACATGCAAGAAGATGCATGCTGTATGGTTCTATACAATTGTTAAATTCGGGCTGCAACAGTGGCTGGCTGATTAAGAAGCTGTTCTTGCATGGTTACATGAAAACACATCAACAGTATCAGTGGGGTTTTCATATTTTTATTATACATTAAGAAGAATTCTCTGTTTCTAAACTCATATAAAATAAATAAAACTGTAAGAAGACAGTGTTTCAAGCCCTTCAACCTTGCACATTGGTCATTTGATGTATGCATACTTCCTCCTGTGAATTAGTCTGTGGATATAAGGCGAGGTGTATGCACTGTGGTGTATGAAGATTTCTCTGCTTCACACTTAAAAAACAAAGTTCACAAAAAATGAAATGGAACCTTTCCAAGGTGACAAGTTGTCAGATCCTTTTTTTTTTTTGCAAGTAGGAACCATTTTCTTTTACTCCTGAGATTTTCTTGAAGTGCTTACACATCATTTTGTGGTTTGGGACAAATAGCGTGCCAAAAGTTTGAGAAATTCTGCTGTCACACATCCTCTATAGCTATTAATTCCTCTTTTCAAAGTTGGAGGTCTTGGAAACAGTCATATCATTCCAAGTTCCTACCCCTGCTCCTCTGGGCCGGCATAGCTCTGACCACCACTATTTCCTTCTGTATATCTTCTGGGATTTAAGACATCATTAAGTAAATGTTTGTGTGTGTGTGGATATGCACTTATGCCACACACTTTCACAGTCTTTGTAATTCTATAAAATAAACAGAATTCAAATTCCACCTCAGTTTCAAACTGGTTTAGTTTTTTAATCGTATAGTTAGGCTGTCTACTGGTTTGTGCTTTACAGTTTGTAGCCGTGCAATTTGTGTGCAAAATAAAAATACCTAGATGTGTTTAAATCCTCTAAGAAAAGAAAAACTCTCACTAATTAATGATGTCATATGCTTTTGGTCTTTCTCCTCCTGTGTGGACCTTTGAATTTACAGAATATTTTAGGATCATTGTTTTAACATAGTTATGATTTCTAGTAGTGCATTTGTAGGACAGTCTGTGGAAATATTTAGATCTCTACGTTAGTGTTATGGAGAAGTTTTTGACTTTGAAACTACCTTGGAGCATTTGCATTTCCATAGTTTATTTTCTTAACAAACAGCTAATAATAGGGCCCATGTTTGCTTATGGTATTAACAAATGAAATTAAAAGTTTTTTTAAAAAAGCTTAGAAGTCTTAGACAAATGTCTTTCATTTCAAAACAGCTACATTTTTTTCTCAAAATGTATTGTTTTTCCAAGTTGTAACACATTCATTATTATTTTCTGCTTGTATTGACTTTTTTGCATAAGTCAAACATCTTACCAAATCTTAAAATTTTTTATGTGATCGGATGAAAGAGACTGAAAATAAAGTTAATAAATGGTAACTTTAACCAAATGCTTCTCTGATTCTTGGTTCTTGAATAAATCTATGACATGTTGTTTCATGTATTTATGCCTGTGATTATATGTGACTCAAATTTCTAGCTCATCTTTTGAGGTAAAGTTGAATTTATCTTATTTATTTTTAATTTAGCATTACTATCATGTTTTATTCTTTTAATGTAATTGTAGGTAATTTTATTCTTTTTTTTAAATTGTCAAGAAAAATTCTAACAGAAACAGCACATCTGTTTACCAATATCAGTTTTACTAATGAAAGCATTGAGAACATTAGTAGTGCAATTTAATGTCACAATTCTGGGGAGATACAATTAGAGATTGGGCATAATGATGTAAATTAGCAAGCTAAAAATTGTAATTTTAATCTGTTCTTTGAACATGGAAAATCACGAATAGGTGACAAAAGGGGATGGTGTGTCTTATGTACCAAGTCTGAAACACACTAACTGTATGGAGGATTCATCACATTTGGCTTCGCTCTGCCAGCAGGATCCAGTTGACACTTTTATCTCATTTCCAGCTGGCCCCACTGCTACGTGTCAGGTAGCAAAAGGTAAATAATTGAAACAGTGGTATTACTGAGAACTTGTGCATGGGAACAAGCTAAGCATCATCCCAAACCTGCGAGATTAATTTTCATCTTTTATCTGGTGCTGTGGAGGCTTATCTTAATTAGCCGCAGATGCATGTTTAGACAATACCTATATATGTTTCCAAACACAAGTTTCTTCACAGAGCATGGCATGGCACCAAGAGGATTCTATGAGCTACTTGGTAAAAATAATTCTTCTTAATGACAACTCACAATCAGTGATAGTTCCATTATTTGGAACTTGAGAAAATCTTGCTGAAGACACTTTTGAAGGACACAGGTATTCTAAGCAAACGTATTTGTGAGGTTACTCAAATTGGACAATTCTGAGGGCAAATTATGTTTGAATGTTTACAAGTTTCCACAAAACAGTAAAAAATGTAACAGCTCAGGGAATTATTAATGCATTCCTTCCACTGATATTTCAAAGATGCAGGTGCAAGAACTGAATACATGACATAAACAAGTGTTTGTGAACATGATTCCTTAAATAAATAACATTGTTTAAGACATTAAAGAAGAAAACAAATCATTTCTTGATACAGAAGATTGAGGGTCTCAGTTATCACTAAGATACTGTCCAATTTTAGTTTTTATCTTCATGCGTTGAAGAGCAAACTCATGTTTGAAAGGATTCAAGTTTAAACACAAGTGGCAATGTCTAAGGGTCATTTCCAAAATGGTCTAATTTTACATATAAACTTGTCAGAAGAATTCTGAGGTTTGCCGATGGAGCTCACATTAGGTGAATCCTAATTATGTAAAGTACTCAGAGAGGAAATGGAAGGGTACCATGTTTTCCTAGTCTGACCTATGAAAAGATATTTATAATTTCCTTACTGAGTTTAGGTGATTTTTTGTAGTTTCTCAACAATTTTTAAAGCTAAAGAGTGAGATAGTTTTATTTTGGGGTATGCTTGAGAAATCAGAATAAAGTCCAAAGCCTTTAGATGAAATTAATGGTTATTTTTATTTGGTTAGTAAATATTTATTGACTACCTCTTTTTACCTGCCACACATTTTGCAAGATATTAAAGATATAAAATTCAATGAGTCATAAGCCCTAAAAAGACACAATTTAGTGGGAAAAGTTTGAAAACAAAAGTTATACATAATAGTGATTCGACAGTGATGGCATTGATATTAATTATGCTAACTGATAACTCCAGGCCACACCATTCTCTAGATGTTCTCTGTATTTGCCATGTCAGCCTCTTAATTGCCATGAAGCCTATGCAGGAACTTTATAATACTTGAGTTAGGTTCATAAGAAAAAATATCTGCCCTACCACTGGATTAAAAGCCCAGGAGCCCTGGGATAAAAGATTAAACTCTGATCAAAATAGAGATGTGGAAATAGTCAAACTTACTGAACTTTTTTCCTGGCATTTAAAGGGGAGCCAACTGGAGTGAGAACATAGGATTTATGAAGTACAAAGGAGGCCACCTTGTGTGATTAAGTCTGGTCTTTTGGGCCAGAGCAAAAGGCAAATCTGCACAGTGGGAAGAAGTGATGTTTCTGGCTAGGCTCTCCACTCCTCTCTCCACCCTCCACCCTCGTGCAGACCAACACACACACAGGCACACACACATGCACTTACACATGCACACACACACACCTAGGTTACTCAGTGTCTCTGTGTCCTTGGAAGGAGTAGAGTGTAGCCATAGGGAAGAATTGTGTCATCAGAGAGCAACCCCTTGTCCCTTGGAAAACATCTTTGAAAATGCCATCAGAAGAGGCAAAGTGAGCTTCTTAAGTGGAGATGCACAGCACACACAGAGAGTGGTCCAGAGGAAGCTGAGATCCATCTGTCTTTACATACTGCAGTACAAAAGCACAGGACTGCTTTGTGCATTGGCTGTTTGGCTGACTGCAGTTTCTGTGGATCCCAATACACGGATTAGTTCATAGTAAGCAGATACTTAATAGTTGTTTGTGGAATTAATAAACACATGCCTGAAAGGTGCCATGTTGTGCATGCTTCTGAAACATGGCTTTGATGAAGAATATTATTTTCCCCCTTCAGAAATGGTTTTGATTTATTTATTTAAGATTTTCAATATAATTACATTTTAATATTATGGATTATATGTCCTTTACTAAAAGTAATCTTTGTTTTAAATTTATTAGGCTGGAGATTTTTTAAAATGTATTTCTTAAATTTTGAAAATAGAGCTGTGTTTTTTTATTAAAATACCTAGTAAATATATATTATGTATATATAATATGTACAATATACAGAGTATATATTTGTGTATTTTCATTTTATTAATTACTATGACTTATTTTAGTTTTTTGCTTACCTTGGATTTAGTTTACCTTTCTTTTTTGTTTCTTAAGGGGGAAGCCGAGATTATTCAATGTTTCTTCTTCCTAATATTGTTGTTTAGTGCTATAAATTTTTCTGTAATAACTGCTTAAGCTGTACTGCTCACATTTTAATATGTTGTCATTTCATCTTTGGTTCAAAATATTTTTAAATTTCCACTTCCATTCCTTTTTTTTTTTTTTTTTTTTTTTTTTTTTTTTTTTTTTTTTGAGACGGAGTCTCGCTCTGTCGCCCAGGCTGGAGTGCAGTGGCGGGATCTCGGCTCACTGCAAGCTCCGCCTCCCGGGTTCACGCCATTCTCCTGCCTCAGCCTCCCAAGTAGCTGGGACTACAGGCGCCCGCCACTACGCCCGGCTAATTTTTTGTATTTTCAGTAGAGACGGGGTTTCACCGTTTTAGCCGGGATGGTCTCGATCTCCTGACCTCGTGATCCGCCCGCCTCGGCCATTCCTTTTTTGTTTTGTAATTATAGTGCTTGCTTTGGAGCTTATAGTACACAGTCTAGCTTCAAAGGATATTATGCCACTTCACATAACTTTGTGATGTTTTTGTTACACATTTTACTTTTAGGTATACTATAAACCCCATAGTACTTTGTTATTATATGTCTTTTAAAGATATTTATTTTTTAATTTAATTTAATTGTATTTTATTTTAAGTTCTGGAGTACATGTGCAGGATGTGTAGGTTTGCTACATAGGTAAATGTGTGCCATGGTAGTTTGCTGCACCTATCAACCTATTACCTACCCATTAAACCTGTTGAAGATATTTAAATAAGAAAAAAACCCTCTTATTTGCCAATGTAATTACATTCCTGGGCTTATGTTTTTCTTTCATAGATCCAGGTGATCATATCGTATCAATTTCCTTCTGCTTAAAGGGCTTCCTTTAATATTTCTTATATTGTAGACCTGCTGGTGATGAACTCTTTCAGCTTTTGTATTTCTGAATAAGGATTTTTTCCCTCTTATTTCATTAAGATATTTTTGCATTTGAAAAAAAAAACTGTTACTTTTTTGTCTTTCAGTACTTTAAAAATGTTTTCCCACTGTCTTTTAACTTAAATGTTTCCAATTAGAAATTTGCTGTCATTATCTTTGTTCCTCTATATGTTACGTATCTTTTGTTTCTGGCTTATTTTAAGCATTTTTCTTTGTGACTGGATGGAAGTAATTTAGTTATGATGTGCCTTGGTGTCACTCTTTTCATGTTTCTTGTGCTTTGAGTTTTTTTGTGATTCCCTGATCCATAAGATTACAATTTTTATCAAAGTTGGAAAGATTTCAGCCAGTATTTATTTGAATACTATCTTGCCCTACGCTACCTTGGAGACTCCAATTATACATATATTTGATCACTTGAAGTTATAACACAGCTCACTAATGGTCAGTTCATTTATTTCAATCTTTTGTTTTTTGTGTGTTCCATTTTGCATGGATTATATTGCTATGTCATTGTGGTGGGTAAAATAATGGCACCTCAAGGATGTTTGCATCCTAAACACAGAATTTTTGAATATATTATGTTACATGGCAGAGGAATTAAAGGTGACAACATAATTAATATTGCTGCTCAGGTGATATTGAAACAGGGAGATTATCCTGGTTTATCTTGATAAGACCAATCTAATCACATGAGGTTTTTTTTTTTTTTTTTGAGATGGAGTCTTGCTCTTGTCGCCCAGGCTGGAGTGCAATGGCACAATGTGGACTCACTACAACTTCTGCCTCCCAGGTTCAAGCAATTCTCCTGCCTCAGCCTCCTGAGTAGCTGGGATTACAGCCACCCACCACCATGCCCCGCTAATTTTTGTAGTTTTGGTAGAGACAGGGTTTCACCATGTTGGCCAGGCTGGTCTCGAACTCCTGACCTCAAGTGATCTGCCTGCCTTGGCCTCCCAAAGTGCTGGGATTACAGGCATGAGCCACCATGCCCGGCCATCACAGTGAAAACAAAGCAGAAAAACAGAGCAAAGATGTGCAGTGTGAGATGAACTTGATCCAGCGTTTCTGGCTTTGGAGGTTGAAGAAGGGGACCATGATCCAAGCAGTGAGGGCAACTTTTAGAAGCTGGAAAGAGCCAGGGAACAGATTATTACCAAAAAGCTCCAGAAGGAATGTAACCTTCTAATACCTTTATTTTAATACAATGAATAAGACCCCTGTTGAATTTCTAACCTGGTGAAGCATAAATAATATTCATGCGTATGTGTGTTTTTATACTATTTAGTTTTTAGTAATTTTTCACAACAGCAATGAAAAGCTAAGCAAAGCTAGTCACTAAGTTAGTTTACTAGTCTCTTCCCCTTCCATGTCTAAGTTATCTGCCTTCATTCCCATCTGGTGTGGTTTTTAGTTCAGACATCATGGTTTTTAGCTCAGAAGTTCAATTTGTATCTTTTAATACCATCATATCTCTATTTAAATAAACATTTTCCTCTATTTTCTTCAAGATATAAGATACAGTGATGAACATTATTGTAATATACTGGCCTATTAATTATATCATCTCTATCATTTCTGAATCTATTTCAATTAACTGATTTTATGCTAATTACAGGTGATATATATATATATATATATATATATATATATATATATATATACCTTGTAAATTTTAAGTGGTTGCCGAACAATGTCAGTGTATTGTGATGCTGTCTATATTTTTGTATTTCCATCATTCTAGAGCTTCATTCTAAACATGATTATGTTATGTGGAAACAGTTTGTTTTTCACATGTTCCTTTAAATCTTTTTAGATGGGACTAGATCTTCATTTTCTATAGGGATAATTGTTCCTTCCACTCAGGTAAGACCTTTCATATTAATCTCATATCAGAGCCTTCTGAATAATGGTTTTTACTCTGGCTGTTGGGTAAAGGCTCTATTCCTAGTGCTGTTTAATCTCCAGGAACTGTTCCCTTTAATCTTTTGAGGTGTTTCCTTCCCTGGTCTCAGGTTGTTTCCTCATGTGAAGGCACAGATGACTAGTAGTCAACTATGCTCTTGAGACAGATTCTCTGGAGATCTGTGGTGTTCTTTCCCTAAGCTGCTTTGTCTCTAGACACTGCCCTCAGAACTTTCTTCACCTTGACTTTACTGGAATCCAAGTTTTGTCGCCTCAATTCCTGGATTTGACTGAATTTCCTTTCCCGGCATTGTGGTCTGAAACTTTTCTCAAGCAGTAGTCAAGAGAAGTTTTAGGGCTCATCTTCTTCATTTCCCATTTGTCAGAAATTACTCTCTTTCCTTTCCTTGTTATCTAAGTCCTGAGGGCTGTTGTTTCACACATTTTGTTTTCATATTTAGTCATTTCAAGTGGGAGGATAAATCTGTTCTGTTACGCCATCTTGCCTGGAAGCAGAAATCTCACATGATATTCTGGTGCATGTCTCCTCAGTGTTTTTTCTAGATATTTATACTTAACACATTTGTCTTTTTCAAATTGCTCTTTACTCATAAAAGATGAGCATGTTTTGTTCTTTTCAAAAAGTTTTTCCTGTTATTCTATCTTCTGGAGATGAAAACTTTTGATCACAACTCTTTTAGCACATCTCTGATTATTCCCTTAGGTTAAATTGTGAAAATTGAGTTAACATTTTTTACGAAGTTGGTACATGTAGTCAAATTAGCACCACCAACAAAGAAACTCTCTTTTTTCCTAAGCTAGTGGTAAAAAGTTAGGGCTTAATTTTGTGTTCTGAGGAAAAATTAACTTTTGTCTTACTTAGTGTTTCTTAGATATTGCTGAGATGGAATTTATCATAAGTATGCTCATGTATAGTTCTTTTTGAACTGCATATGTGTTTCTTCACTTGTTTATTAGCTGAATCATCTTTTTCATGATAGTTAGTGAAATATTTAATTTTTTTTTCACTCTTGTCACCCAAGCTAGAGTGCAATGGCACAATCTCAACTCACTGCAACCTCCACACCCCACCCCCAGGTTCAAGTGATTCTCCTGCCTCAGCCTCCCGAGTAGCTGCGATTACAGGTGCCTGCCATCAGGTCCAGTTAATCTTTGTGTTTTTAGTAGAGACTGGGTTTCCCCATGTGGGCCAGGCTGGTCTCGGCCTTCTGACCTCAGGTGATCCAACTGCCTCAGCCTCCCAAAATGTTGGGATTACAGGGGAGAGCCACCATGCCCAGCCTAGATTTTTAAATTTTAAACATAATATCTTATATTTATTAAAATGATGTGCCCAATTTGATTTTTATATTTTAAACAAATATTTCTATATTTTATGTTTATACAAATAAATATTGATATTATTTACATATTTTTATATTGTTAGCGCTATCAACTTTCTATCTTAAGGTTTTCACTCAGAATGCCATTTGATATTTTCCATCGGATAAGTAGATATGTATAGGCTACTCTGGTTTTTAGTTGAACTTGTATGCTTGCTGCTATATTCCATTAGATTTTTTTTTATATATACGGTGTAGGGTGAGGACCTAATTTTACTTTTTCTGCATAGTTAATCAACTGTTACTCTACATTTTAACATGATCATATTACATGTACAGTATGTATGTCTAATCCGAGTAATGAGGCATGCTCATTTATAAGTTTTTCTAATTGCATATAATGTCAATATGAAAAAATAAATCTGAAATTGGCAAATGAATAGAATGACTAGTGCATGTAGAAAAGCATACAGAGTTAATCTCAATCCATGTAGATGTGTTGTTCTATATATGTGTTACACTAAAACATCATGTAAGATATAAGCCAGTATTTGTGTATTTTGTTTGGTTGTTTATAACTGAAAATAGTATGCTACTTTTTTTTTTTTTTTTTTTTTTTTTTTTTTTTTTACAATCTCTAGAATTAGTGGTTTTGTTATGCCTTGGACCGATGTAATCTCTGGAACTATAATCAGGTGCCTGGAGGCATCAAAAGATAAGTTTTTTTTTTTTTAGCAGGGTGAGGGTCTAAGACTCAACTGGAGGAAGACAGGCCTCTGGACTGGCAGATTTAATACATGCAAGCAAGGTGTTTCAGACACTGTCATTATTCATTATTTTAATATAGAATCCACAGACAGATTAAGCAGATAAGCAAAATACTTCCTTTGTACCCTTCATATTCTTATTAATAAAATAAAATCTTTGACTCAAAGGATTAGGTTGGTCTTCATTTAAATAATTTCTACCTTGTATTAAAGGTACATAAATTAGGGTACAAACAGTATCACAATTTAATGGGCTTCTGTTCCCATGGATGTTATTTTATGTGTTAAAAATATTCTGAGATGGGATTCATAGATTCATAGATCTCACCAGACTGTTAAAGGAATTATGGCATAAAATATAGTAACACTTGGTAGATATGGATCAGTTTCAGATATTTTATTTTCAAGTATTTTAATGCCACATAGTTTATTCATTAACAAATACATGAACCTTTAATTTTTATTCCAATAAGTGGTTCATTTTTTCAGTGCCTGTTGTATTAGTTTTGTATTGCTACTATAACTTATCACAACCATGCTAATGGCCTAACATAACAAAAATTTATTATTTTAGAATTCTGGAGATCAGAAGATAAAGTTCAGTGGCAGTGGGCTAATACCAAGGTGTGAATAGGACTGGTTTCTGCCACAGGCTCTGGGGGAAAATCCATTCCCTGCTTTTTCCAGTTCCTAAGAAGTTGTTAAACTCCTTGGCCAGTGGCTCCTTCTCCACTGTGACAGCCAGAAGCTTATTGTCTTCCAATCTCTCCCACTGCTTCCGTCATCATGTCACCTCTATCTTATCTTCCCTTCCACCTCCCTCTTATAAAGGACCCCTGTGATTGCATCAGGCTCACCTGAGTAATCCAGGATAATCTCCCCATCCCCAAACCCTTTATTTAATCACACAGGCAAAGCCCCTTTTACTGTGTAGGGTAACATATGCACAGGTTCTGAGGATTAGGACATAGACATCTTTGGGGGCCATTATTCAGTCTACCACACTAGTCATACAAATTCCAGCTGTAAAACTGAGGAAATAAGAAAGAAACAACCCTCTGAGTGAAGCAAGCACCAAAGCCTTTCCTAAAATACCTTACTGATGCCATGTTCTCTTCTTGAAAGTGTCCCAGGGCTCGTGGAGACACCGAGTACCTGGATGGCAGCTCTGCCGTTTGTCTCATTTGCATCCAGTCACCTTTGCTCTCACATTTCCACAGAATTCCAATTTTCTTCAGGTGCTTAACCCCCAGCTACATATTCAGAAGCATTGGCCCATTTCTAGAATAAAACAGAATAAGCCCATCATATCAATAGTATTACAAAATCCAGTTTGACTTCTACTTTTTCCTATTAGTGTTTTACATCATTGAAATGGGGCTTAAATTTGTGCAACTTCTCCCTGAGAGCAGATTTTAAAGCTTGATAAAATCACTTTGAAGAGCTTGTTAACAATGCAGAGATTCTAATTTGGTGGATCTGCGGTGAGGTTAAGTATCTGTAGTTTTGACAAGTGACCTATGGTGACTTTGGTGCAAGAATTTGAAACTGATTATGTATGATATATTTCTGCAGTCTGTGAAACTCACAAGTGATGGTTACGAGGCCTTAAACAATAAGATGTCCTGCCTTTGATTGGCAGGATTGATTCCTGAAGATCTGAGAATAAGTTGAAAAATATCTGACTATGCTTCTACATATCATCAGAGTATACAATTATAAAGTTAATATAAATTATACAAAATTCTATGAGATATAAAAAAAATGGAGAAGTCCTGATAAAAAGTCAAAATAAAAGATACAGAACAATGCAGATTAGAGGAGGGGTTTAAAGCTGAATTTTACTCAATACAAATTGGAGGATGCTTTCTCAGGGTGGAAAGGAGCCTGGAAGCCTAGCACTTGATTATTGTTAGAAGTAAAGTTGCTGGTACAAGTTCTTGTTTTTTTGGTCTTCTATTTCTGCATTGTTTAAAAGAGTGAAAACTACAACTTACATACGGGGCAGACATATATCACTTTTCTCCTACAGACAGTTCTCCTACCAGAAAAAAAAATAAAAACCCAAGAAAAGAATCCTTCGTTTCTTTCTTGATACCTCCTTCCTTCCCTTCCGCCTTCCTTCTCTTCCTCTTCCTCACCTCTCCTTCTATTCATCTATCTCTTTCTCCTTTTTTTTCCTTCTGCTTCCCTCTTTTCCTTTCCTCTTTCCTTGGTGCCTTTCACACCTAATGACACCTGAATGAAGAGAATCACACAGCAACACCAGTGTTTCATTTGACAATTACGTGTCAGTGGATGATTTACTCCTTTTCCTAATTTGTATCAAATTCTTTGGGTTTTTGTATGGATGCATATCTGGTGTTTGGTTTTTTTTTTTACTGCTGCTTGACGACTGAGATCGAACTGTTTCCTATTTTCCCCACTCTAAAAACATGTCAAATATGACAAAATGTAGTAAAGTCATCATGATAAATTGCATAATTACACTGTTCTAAACACATACTGTTATAGCTATTTTTCTTATGGTAGAGAATATCACTTTTCAAATAGGCTATATTTTTATGCTTTTACTTTCTACTCAATTTTTGTCTTCTGTTTAAAAATTTTAGAGTAACTTAGGTATTCATTTATTTTCCTCAAAACATATCTGGTATTGCCTGGCATAAACCAAACACTCTAACAGATTGTGTATATAATGTCTTACTGAGGAGATGAACAAGCAACTATGTGATTACAACACAGTATTATTGTTTATGTCATGGTATAAACAGGCACAGGATTGTGTGGACTACTCAGTACGGGTACTTAGTCCTTTCTGATGGGGTTATTTAAGGCTTGTATGAAGAGATGACATCTAAGTTGATTTCCGAATACAGTAAACAGCCAGGTGAATGTAGACTGGTCAGCATTCAGAAAAGTTATTCCAAAGTGAGAAAGGCACACAGTGTGTGTGTACAAAGACACACAGTGCGTGTGTACAAAGACACACAGTGCGTGTGTACAAAGACACACAGGTGAGACAAGGCCGTACCCCAAGGGTATTGCAAAGATTGCTGGTGACCCAGTGAGTAGATAAAGAAGGCAAATGATTAATGAGTTAAGTAGGGAGCAAGATCGTGAAGCACTTTGCAAACCATTTCAGGGGATTTTTGCTTTATTCTGATAGCAGTGAATGTTAAGAGCTGATCATTTGTAGAGAACAATATGGATAGAAGTGAACTAGGTATGCTGTGGTAATAACCAAGGAAAGAAAGGATGGCAGATTAAATTTAGTGGAGTAGCAAAAGAAATGGAGAGAAATGGGGATATGGAGATATTGAAGAGGGCTTGGAGACTGCGCAGGTCTTCAGGGAGTTGCTGCAGAGAGTAGCAGACAAGTGTAGGGTGAGTCCTGGGTCCCTTGCCTGGGCTTCTGGGTGGATAATGCTGCCCTTTACCAATGTTGGGGACATAGGAGAGTGGGGAGAAATGGGGATGAGCTGAGCGTGATGGTGATTTTGGACTCTTGAATTCACTGTTGAAAGATATTTATTCTGCTGTTTTAATATATTTACCTTTATAAATACAACCTTATTAACATAAAACGTGAATGAAATTCCCAATGAACAGTTTTCCTGTAATTTGAGATTTTTAAAATGTCCTTTGCATAAGAATTAACTTTTATGATCAACATATATTAAGTAGTAAAAATTTAATAGTCTACATAAGTGTTTCTTCCATTTGGTTTGTAATAAAATAAATAAAATTTGTAATCTTTCCTGCAAGGTAGCAAAAACACTCCAGGAGATACTAAGAAATATTTAGAGTAATGGATGCTCAGGTCTGAATGGGACTGTAGAGATCATCTAGTCCAACTATTTATTTTATAGGTAATGTTATCTGTGAGGAAAATCCAGGAGTTCTGACATCGAACAGCTATAATTTCATGTATGTGGTCTCAATTCATTTTAAGGAAAATGATGGATATGTTACAATTATTTTGTTTGCATGGTGCAAGTGTTTGTCATTTCCTGCAATCTAGCTTTTTCCTAATTTTACATCCCACTTCCTACACTGGGCTTTGGCTGGGATTTTCCTACTCCCCTGCAAGATCTTGCTTCTTCCATTTCTGTAACTTGGAGGCCAAGAGGCTTTATTCTGTAAAGAAGAGATAGTAAATATAGTTTCTTTGCAGGTCGCATGATATTGGTCCCTAAAACTAAACTCTACCACTGTAGGGCATAATAAGCTATTGGCAATAGATAAATGAATGAGTGTGGCTATGTCCAACACAAGTTAATTTACAGAAACAGGAGCAGGGTGAATTTGGCCCATGGGCTATATTTTGCCACCCCATGTGCTAACTCAACAGAAGCAATAAAATGTTATATCATTTCCATTATATATTTTTTTAACCTCCTTTAATCTCACCATGGTCTGTTCACACATACATAAACTTCACTTTGCTGTTTAAAGTTAGCTGGTTTTGCTTTAAAAATCACCTTTTTCGTGTGAGTTTGTCTTGAGTAGTTACCTTGTTCTCAATGTGGTGATAAGTGCTTTGCAGCATGTATAAACTCATTTAAAAGTTACAACAAATCTAAGCGGTATATACTATTAATATTATCATTCCCATTGTAAAGATAAGGAAAATGACATCAGAAGGCTAAGCAACCTGCCCAAGTTTACCTAAAGAGTAAGTGCCTAAGAGAGGGATACACCACAGGCATTCACGCCGCACTGACTAATCTCTCAGCAATTATATTGTCTCTCAAGCTTTTTTGCATCCCTGCAATTTTCATCCCAACTGTATTTATTCAAAATTAACTATTTTGTAAATTCCAGATTAAATGCCTCCACAATCCATGTCTATTTTTGTTCGTTTTGCTGCTCTGTCTTTTGACTCACAACACAGTGCCAGGCTCATCAAAGGAACTTGATATATATTGATTGAACAAATAATTGATGTCCACTGCAGTAAGTCCTTCCCTGATACCTCAGACAGAGCTGGTGTCTGTGTCCTTGGTGTCCCCAGATGACTTTGTCCTTATCTTATAATGTACCTGCCACATTTCATTATAATCTATTCTTCCTCACACTTTGATTTTGGTAAAGGCAGGGATAAAATCTCATTCATCTTTGTATATGCAAGAACACAATAAGTACTTAATAGTATGAACTAAATGTATGCAGTTAATGAATGTAAATTTATTGTATCAGAAAATTTTAGAAAATTCTATTAAAATGTAACATTATATAGATTTATATTACTGTTCACTTGAATATCATTTTTTTCTGTTATTTTATTGTTCTATGCAGTCTTGAACTTTGCCCAGTAGTATTGTTATTTATTTCAGTTGGTATGTCTGTCTGTCTGACTTGACTGAATTCTTGAGGGCAAGCCTCATGTCTTATTATTGTATATCTAGCACCTAACCTTTCAGTGCCTGAAACATAGCTGAAACTTTATATCTATTTACTAAAGGAACAAATGCATTGGTTTTCATCTTCTAAATATATATATTATTCAGTTTCACACCTCAAAGAAGTGATAATTTAGCTGTGAGACCGTGCATATACAGTAAGACTTAAATTGCAATACAGGTATTATATACGCAAATACTAGAAATGTAGCAAGAAAAATAAGCTGTTTATTGTAAAAAATCAGAGCTGAAGAAAAGCAGATAACCGTGGATTAAATGATCAAATGGATTTTCATATAGACGGTAATATTAGTGCTCAACAATGAAGGAGAGATGAAATTTGTGCACAGAAAGAAAGAAAGATAAGATTATAGAAGGGAATTTAATTTTCTTGTGTTCCGAGTCTGCTGGAAAATTTTTAGCCTTAAATATGCATTTATTTTTGTCAAATATTTTTACTAAATTTGAAGTGATTATGATTTTTTAATTCTGTTAACCTAAATTGATATATCCCAACTTTGCTTTTCTGAAATAAAATTCACTTACTTATAATGGGCTTTACTCTTAATATTATATTTAGGATTTTTGTGTCCGACTAATTAAAAAGATTGCCTTTCAATTTTCTTTTCCAGTAATGTTTTTGGCAAGTTTTAGTTATTGAGCTTATGTTGGCCACCTTGAATGAATTGGTAAGACTTCCATCTTTTATATTGTTCTCTAGAAAAGTTTATGTAAAATCAGAATTATTTCTTCCTTAAATGCTAAGATAAATTCTTCAGGAAAGTTATCTTGTCCTGAAATATTTTCACATGATGCTTTTTTTTTTAAATTATTCTTTAAGTTTTAGGGTACATGTGCACAACGTGCAGGTTTGTTACATATGTATACATGTGCCACGTTGGTGTGCTGCACCCGTTAACTCGTCATTTAACATTAGGTATATCTCCTAATGCTATCCCTCCCCACACCCCCCACCCCACAACAGGCCCCAGTGTGTGATGTCCCCCTTCCTGTGTCCAAGTGTTCTCATTGTTCAATTCCCACTTATGAGTGAAAACATGCGGTGTTTGGTTTTTTGTCCTTGCGATAGTTTGCTGAGAATGATGGTTTCCAGCTTCATCCGTGTCCCTACAAAGGACATGAACTCATCATTTTTTATGGCTGCATAGTATTCCATGCTGTATATGTGCCACATTTTCTTAATCCAGTCTATCATTGTTAGACATTTGGGTTGGTTCACAAGTCTTTGCTATTGTGAATAGTGCCGCAATAAACATACATGTGCATGTGTCTTTATAGCAGCATGATTTGTAATCGTTTGGGTATATACCCAGTAATGGGATGGCTGGGTCGAATGGTATTTCTAGTTCTAGATCCCTGAGGAATTGCCACACTGACTTCCACAATGGTTGAACTAGTTTACAGTCCCACCAACAGTATAAAAGTGTTCTTATTTCTCCACATCCTCTCCAGCACCTGTTGTTTCCTGACTTTTTAATGATTGCCATTCTAACTGGTGCGAGCTGGTACCTCCTTGTGGTTTTGATTTGCATTTCTCTGATGGCCAGTGATAATGAGCATTTTTTCATGTGTCTTTTGGCTGCGTAAATGTCTTCTTTTGAGAAGTGTGTGTTCATATCCTTTGCCCACTTGTTGATGGGGTTGTTTTTTTCCTGTAAATTTGTTTGAGTTCATTGTAGATTCTGGATATTAGCCCTTAGTCAGATGAGTAGATTGCAAAAATTTTCTCCCATTCTGTAGGTTTCCTGTTCACTCTGATGGTAGTTTCTTTTGCTGTGCGGAAGCTCTTTACTTTAATTAGATCCCATTTGTCAATTTTGTCTTTTGTTGCCATTGCTTTTGGTGTGTTAGACATGAAGTCCTCGCCCATGCCTATGTCCTGAATGGTATTGCTTAGGTTTTCTTCTAGGGTTTTTATGGTTTTAGGTCTAATATTTAAGTCTTTAATCCATCTTGAATTAATTTTTGTATAAGGTGTAAGGAAGGGATCCAGTTTCAGCTTTCTACATGTGGCTAGCCAGTTTTCTCAGCACCATTTATTAAATAGGGAATCCTTTCCCTATTTCTTCTTTTTGTCAGGTTTGTCAAAGATCAGATAGTTGTAGATATGTGGCATTATTTCTGAGGGCTCTGTTCTGTTCCATTGGTCTACGTCTCTGTTTTGGTACCAGTACCATGCTGTTTTGGTTACTGTAGCCTTGTAGTATAGTTTGAAGTCAGGTAGTGTGATGCCTCCAACTTTGTTCTTTTGGCTTAGGATTGACTTGGCAATGCGGGCTCTTTTTTGGTTCCATATGAACTTTAAAGTAGTTTTTTCCAATTCTGTGAAGAAAGTCATTGGTAGCTTGATGGGGATGGCATTGAATCTATAAATTACCTTGGGTAGTATGGCCATTTTCACGATATTGATTCTTCCTATCCATGAGCATGGAATGTTCTTCCATTTGTTTGTGTCCTCTTTTATTTCATTGAGCAGTGGTTTGTAGTTCTCCTTGAAGAGGTCCTTCACATCTCTTGTACGTTGGATTCCTAGGTATTTTATTCTCTTTGAAGCAATCGTGAATGGGAGTTCACTTATGATTTGGCTCTCTGTTTGTCTGTTATTGGTGTATAAGAATGCTTGTGATTTTTGCACATTGATTTTGTATCCTGAGACTTTGCTGAAGTTGTCTATCAGCTTAAGGAGATTTTGGGCTGAGACGATGGGGTTTTCTAGATATACAATCATGTCATCTGCAAACAGGGACAATTTGACTTCCTCTTTTCCTAATTGAATACCCTTTATTTCCTTCTCCTGCCTAATTGCCCTGGCCAGAACTTCCAACACTATGTTGAATAGGAGTGGTGAGAGAGGGCCTCCCTGTCTTGTGCCAGTTTTCAAAGGGAATGCTTCCAGTTTTTGCACATTCAGTTTTTGCCACAATTTCAGAGCCTGTTATTGGTCTATTGAGAGATCCAACTTCTTCCTGCTTTAGTCTTGGGAAGGTGTATGTGTCGAGGAATTTATCCATTTCTTCTAGATTTTCTAGTTTATTTGCGTAGAGGTGTTTATAGTATTCTCTGATGGTAGTTTGTATTTCTGTGGGATTGGTGGTGATATCCCCTTTATCATTTTTTATTGCGTCTATTTGATTCTTCTCTCCTGTCTTCTTTATTAGTCTTGCTAGCGTTCTATCAATTTTGTTGATCGTTTCAAAAAACTAGCTCCTGGAATCATTGATTTTTTGAAGGGTTTTTTTGTGTCTCTATTTCCTTGAGTTCTGCTCTGATCTTAAGTTATTTCTTGCCTTCTGCTAGCTTTTGAATGTGTTTGCTCTTGCTTCTCTAGTTCTTTTAATCATGATGTTAGGGTGTCAATTTTAGATCTTTCCTCCTTTCTCTTGTGAGCATTTAGTGCTATAAATTTCCCTCTACACACTGCTTTGAATGTGTCCCAGAGATTCTGGTATGTTGTGTCTTTGTTCTTATTGGTTTCAAAGAACATCTTTATTTCTGCCTTCATTTCGTTATGTACCCAGTAGTCATTCAGGAGCAGGTTGTTCAGTTTCCATGTAGTTGAGCGGTTTTGAGTGAGTGTCTTAATCCTGAGTTCTAGTTTGATTGCACTGTGGTCTGAGAGACAGTTTGTTAATATTTCTGTTCTTTTACATTTGCTGAGGAGTGCTTTACTTCCAACTATATGGTCAATTTTGGAATAGGTGTGGTGTGGTGCTGAAAAGAATGTATATTTTGTTGAATTGGGGTGGAGAGTTCTGTAGATGTCTATTAGGTCCTCTTGGTGCAGAGCTGAGTTTAATTCCTGGATATCCTTGTTAACTTTCTGTCTCATTGATCTGTCTAATGTTGACTGTGGGGTGTTAAAGTCTCCCATTATTATTGTGTGGGAGTCTAAGTCTCTTTGTAAGTCTCTAAGGACTTGCTTTATGAATCTGGGTGCTCCTGTATTGGGTGCATATATATTTAGGATAGTTAGCTCTTCTTGTTGAATTGAACCCTTTACTATTATGTAATGACCTTCTTTGTCTCTTTGATCTTTGTTGGTTTAAAGTCTATTTTATCAGAGCCTAGGATTGCAACTCCTGCCTTTTTTTTGTTTTCCATTTGCTTGGTAGATCTTCCTCCATCCCTTTATTTTGAGCCTATGTGTGTCTCTGCACATGAGATGGGTTTCCTGAATACAGCACACTGATGGGTCTTGACTCTTTATTCAATTTCCCAGTGTTTGTCTTTCAATTGGAGCATTTAGCCCATTTACATTTAAGATTAATATTGTTATGTGTGAATTTGATCCTTTCATTATGATGTTAGCTGGTTATTTTGCTCGTTAGTTGATGCAGTTTCTTCCTTGCTTCGATGGTCTTTACAATTTGGCATGTTTTTGCAGTGGCTGGTACCGGTTGTTCCTTTCCATGTTTAGTGCTTCCTTCAGGAGCTCTTTTAGGGCAGGCCTGGTGGTGACAAAATCTCTCAGCATTTGCTTATCTGTAAAGGATTTTATTTCTCCTTCACTTATGAAGTTTAGTTTGGCTGGATATGAAATTCTGGGTTGATAATTCTTTTCTTTAAGAATGTTGAATATTGGCCCCCACTCTCTTCTGGCTTGTAGAGTTTCTGCCGAGAGATCAGCTGTTAGTCTGATGAGCTTCCCTTTGTGGGTAACCCGACCTTTCTCTCTGGCTGGCCTTAACATTTTTTCCTTCATTTCAACTTTGGTGAATCTGACAATTATGTGTCTTGGAGTTGCTCTTCTCGAGGAGTATCTTTGTGGCGTTCTCTGTATTTCCTGAATCTGAATGTTGGCCTGCCTTGCTAGATTGGGGAAGTTCTCCTGGATAATATCCTGCAGAGTGTTTTCCAACTTGGTTCCATTCTCCCCGTCACTTTCAGGTACACCAATCAGACGTAGATTTGGTCTTTTCACATAGTCCCATATTTCTTGGAGGCTTTGTTTCCTTCTATTCTTTTTTCTCTAAACTTCTCTTTTCGCTTCATTTCATTCATTTCATCTTCCATCACTGATACCCTTTCTTCCAGTTGATTGAATCGGCTACTGAGACTTGTGCATTTGTCACGTAGTTCTCGTGCCGTGGTTTTCACCTCTATCAAGTCCTTTAAGGACTTCTCTGTATTGATTATTCTAGTTAGCCATTTGTCTAATCTTTTTTCAAGGTTTTTAACTTCTTTGCCATGGGTTCGAACTTCCTCCTAAGCTCGGAGTAGTTTGATTGTCTGAAGCCTTCTTCTCTCAACTCATCAAAGTCATTCTCCATCCAGCTTTGTTCCATTGCTGGTGAGGAGCTGCATTCCTTTGGAGGAGGAGAAGCTCTCTGATTTTTAGAATTTTCAGTTTTTCTGCTCTGTTTTTTCCCCATCTTTGTGGTTTTTATCTACCTTTGGTCTTTGATGATGGTGACGTACAGATGGGTTTTTGGTGTAGATGTCCTTTCTGTTTGTTAGTTTTCCTTCTAACAGTCAGGACCATCAGCTGCAGGGCTGTTGGAGTTTGCTAGAGGTCCACTCCAGACCCTTTTTGCCTGGGTGTCAGCAGCGGAGGCTGCAGAACAGTGGATATTGGTGAACAGCAAATGTTGCTGCCTGATCATTCCTCTGGAAGTTTTGTCTCAGAGGAGTACCCGGCTGTGTGAGATGTCAGTGTGTCCCTACTGGGGGGTGCCTCCCATTTAGGGTACTCGGGGGTCAGGGACCCACTTGAGGAGGCAGTCTGTCTGTTCTCAGGTCTCCAGCTGTGTGCTGGGAGAACCACTACTCTCTTCAAAGCTGTCAGACAGGGACATTTAAGTCTGCAGAGGTTTCTGCTGCCTTTTGTTTGGCTATGCCCTGCCCCAGAGATGGAGTCTACAGAGGCAGGCAGGCCTCCTTGAGCTGCGGTGGGCTCCACCCAGTTTGAGCTTCCTGGCTGCTTTGTTTACCTACTCAAGCCATGGCAATGGCGGGCACCCCTCCCCCAGCCTCACTGCCACCTTGCAATTTGATCTCAGACTGCTCTGCTCTCCATGAGCGAGAGAGACTCCGTGGGTGTAGGACCCTCCGAGCCAGGTGCAGGATACAATCTCTTGATGTGCCATTTGCTAAGACCATTGGAAAAGCACAGTATTAGGGTGGGAGTGACCTGATTTTCCAGGTGCCATCTGTCACCCCTTTCCTTGACTAGGAAAGGGAATTCCCTGACTCCTTGTGCTTCCTGGGTGACATGATGCCTCGCCCTGCTTTGGCTCACGCTCGGTGCGCTGCATCCACTGTCCTGCATCCACTGTCCGACAATCCCTAGTGAGACGAACCTGGTACCTCAGTTGGAAATGCAGAAATCAGTCGTCTTCTGTGTTGCTCATGCTGGGAGCTGTAGACTGGAGCTGTTGCTATTCGGACATCTTGGCTCCACCCCACATGATGCTTTTAGTTAAAGATTCAAACTTTGAACAGATATAAGAGGTTTTAGGGTTTCTGTTTCTTATTATTTTGATTTTAGTAAATTTCATTTGTAAGGATATTTTCCTATTTTGTTTAAACTTGCAAATGTATTGACATAAAATTGTTCACTATATTTGTATTATATTTGTAATATTTTAGGGATCTGTAATTTTTTCTTCTTTTATTTTTTATTTATAGTATTGTAATTTGTTTTTTCTTTTTTCTCAAATAATCTTGCTATGCTTGTATAAATTTTATTATTATTTAAAGAACCATACTTTTGCCTTTTAATATTTTTTGATTGAATATTTTTCTATTTCATTGATTTCTAATCTTATTTTTATTGAGTAGTTTATACACCTAGTAATACCATACTTCAGATACATGGGCAAAGTTTAAAAGGGCCAATGAACCAATATGGTTTTGATAGCCCAATGATTATTATGCTAGATGTAATGAAGTAAATAAATTCAAAGTTAGGCTGTTTGGTTCAGAGTTTTATTACATAAATGGTGGAATTGTGGGGATGACAAGGTCTCTGTTGTGGTAACCTGAGTGTGGATGACATAATTGAATAAAATAGAATAAGAGGTGAGGCGAGGTGGGCAAGTGAGAGAAGTTTGCAGGAGTGGAGAGGAGAAGTCAAGTGAGAGGAGGAGTTTGCAGGAGAGGAGAGGAGAAGTCAAGTGAGAGGAGAAGTTTGCCGGGACTGCTGATGATAAACTATGTTGGTCAGCATTCATCTGTGACTCTCATATTAAGTTAAACTTCTTGTGTGCAGGGACTGAATCACACTTGTCATTGTATTTTTTACACATTTCACAGAGTTTCTCATAAAGAAGCAGCTCAATACATGTTTAAAGAATAATGTAGTAAAAACATTTACCACAACTCCTTTATTTCACTATGTCCTAAGGAAGTTAAGTGCCTTCCCCAGTGTTGTCGACCTGGTCCATAGAAAACCCAGAACTAGGACTACAGTCATCTGAGAAACAACATGTGCCCACGTTGAAAATACCATGGTAGGAGATTGGGGATGTGAATTTGACAATGACCGTGACAATGCAAAGTCACATTTTGAAAAACCAAGTTGGCATATATTCATATTGTATTGATGGAAAAGCAGTGGAAAAAATTATGAGTAAGCCATAGAAATGCAATCTAATAATACAGATTGTGTGTGTGTGTGAGAGAGAGAGAGAATGTGTGTGGTTGTTTACATTTATCGAATTTGTTGCTACCAAATCTTGGGCTTAACCATATTTATCTACAAAGGCCTTAATTGCTTTAAAAACTATCAGTGAAAAACAACCACTGATTAGTTTTTCACAAGCTGTGTTCTTCTTTCTGAATATACAACTGGAGTTTTTATAGTTCTTTAAACAACAAAATGAGGTGACCTGTGTGGAAAAAAAAATATGGCACAAGGAGCCAAGAAAGAAAAGAGTAGCAGAGCATTTTGTTCTTATAAATTAAACCAAAGCGCGGTGCGCCCTGGCTGCTGACCCACGTGCGTGGAGGTCTCTGGTGGACGAAGTGTGCAGGTGCACTGTCAATCATGTAGCCCGTTTTGGCCTCTTTTCCCTTTGTCTGGCTTTACATGCAAACTTTATCTTTTAATGAGATCTCGGCCATTAGAAATCCTTTCAGGTTGTGCTAAGGTTTAAGTTCTTTAGGTATTTTCCTTTTTCAATTACTTTGGCCTCTATCAGCATATTGAATTTTAGGCGTTACGTGGGGTAACTCACAGTTAGCAGTGAATTACGACGGCCACTCTGCTCCTCCATGAATGAATTATGCAGGCTTGTGGAACCAGAGTACCACGAGTGCTCTAAGAAACTGCTTGGCAGTCCACTTAGTTTGGGTTGGCAAAAGAAAGGAAAGGGAGAGAAATTGGAACAAAGTGTCAGTGAAAGTAATAATAGAAATGAGAGAATGGTATGTTTTCAGTCATTTAACAAAGAATACACAATGGACAAAAATATTGCCATATTTACATTAATATACATAGGGATTTGATTTTTTTACTTGTATAATGTAGAGAGCTCAAACATGGCACAGACTCAGCATAATTTTATATCAAAAATATGTACTGGCTTATTGTTCCTGTTTATATTAGCATTATTAAGTACTTAAATCTATGAAGTCCTTTATAACCATGCTAAGGTGATGAGAATCTCATAAAACTGAATGAGCAGTTTCTAGCTTTTCCTTTTGGATGCCTGGGACCTAAAATAAACCAGAGTCACATAATCATAAGGACAAATCAAAAGGACAGAAACCAATACTGGAAGATATTATTAGAGTAGTGCTAAAACAAAGACATGCACATTTATTTAATGTGTATAGAATTCATGCCATGGAAAATCAGTCATTAGTTAAAACTGGGGAGTTGGGGAAAGACGAGTCTGTAAGAGAAATTTTGTAACATTTCTGAAAAAAGCAAACAAAGTGGGATAAGAAGGCCTGGGAAAAGGACTGGAAATAAGATGAGAAGGGGCATTTGTCATATTAATGAAAAATGAACATTTATTTTTACATAGATTTTTTTCGTCTTTAAGAAGATTTGTTTTCATGTATGATTTAAAATTAAGTTCCAAAATTGTGTAAATTGACATTTTAAGGGAAGTTCTTTTCTATACATATTTGCCAGAGACATAAGTTGTCTAAACTTCCTTTTCCAGGTAGGGTAAATTTAGGGAGGAGCCCATGTGTCCAAGTACGTGGTTACTAGGCAGTTCTGCAGCCTCCGGAGTTGGGAACTACAATTTAAATTGTTTTGACCCAAACAGATCTTATGGATCTTGAATGTCATAGCAACTCAATGAGATGAATTAATAAAAGAAAAGAAAAATATAAGAATAGACTCAAAATAATGAACAGGTCTTGAGTGATCGTGTAAGAACATTATGGGAAATATGGCGCAAGGGGTTTCAGTGTTTGGTAGCATGAAGAAACGTCAATAATTTGAATTTTATTGTATATGAGCTGCCATATTAGAGGGCTTTTGTTTTCAAAGAATTTTTAGTTCGTAAGGAAACATTGGGCCTAATATATAATATCTGGCTAGAATTGAAATTGAAAGGGAAGTATTATATTTTCTCTTAAGAAGTTTTCTAGAAAGAAAAATGGTTTCTTATTCTGCTCAACTTCTTCGTATTTGGAAATATGAATCAGGCTAGGAATGAAGAGTGACATTATTAAGAAGACCCCACCCAGAAGGAGGAAAGTCCCACGTGGTTGTTCGGAAGGAGAACAAATACATAAACATTGTGTAACAGACCGACTGGAGAAGCCAGCCCTAGTTCTTGTGCCTGGCCATGCTGCGAGGTACTGAAGAACAGGGAGGAAGGATTTTCTGAATCTAAGCAGAAAGAGGAGGGGGTGGCTTAACAAGACCATAAAGATTCTAGCAGTTGCACAACTTAGGTGGAGCATTTTATAGGGTCCTAGCATTTTTGTCTGAAAATAAGAGGGTCAGTGGGAGAGAGAGTATGAGACAAAGAATGAGAATAGAGGAGGATTGGAGGAAGGAGGGAAGGAGAGGAAAGAGGAGAGACAGCCCCTGCCTTTGAACTTTTAGAGACCTGTTACTATTACTAGTTAGGGCTTTCTATGTTTACAGAGAAGTCTAGAGATTTTACACACTGCCTAAGAACCATGCTGTGGGGCCACAGGCGGTGGCTCACGCCTGAATCCCAGCGCATTGGGAGGTTAAGGTGGGAGAATCATTTGAGCCCAGGAGGTCGAGGATGCAGTGAGCTATGATTGTGCCACTGCATGCCAGCCTGGATGACAGAGTGAGACTCTATCTCAAAGCCAACAAAACAAAAACAAAAAAAAACCCCACATACTGTGTATTTATGTATTCCAGGTTTCTAGGAAAGTCTATTAAGTCAGGAAAATAAAGATAAGTAAATAAATTGAGTAGTCCACAAAACACCTGACTGTTAAAATAAGACATTCCTTAATCGTATTGTAAAATTTATGTTTGTTGCTACATATATCTTATGGATATATTAATTAAAGTGCATTTTTTAAAAAGTTTACTTCTCGTTGCAACAGACCGACATGAGCTGTGTCTCAAATCCTTAATATTCACTTGGAGAAATACTGACCATGAATTCAACGAATCCATAAAAGTTTTCCTGCCTAATGAAAGTTATTCTGATTGTATGACAAAGATCTAAAGCCGTGATCTGAGACTCTGGGTAGTGTTGAATCACCCTGAAAACTTGCTCAAGTGACTGGTGCCCAGAGCCCAGTCCACTGTTGCCACTTCCATGGTGGGGCAGGACCTCAGAGGTTTGAATAAGCACCCCAGGTAACTCCAAACCACATCACAATTTGAGTACCCCTTTATCAGAGAAAATAATAATAATAACAAGAAGTAAATAGACCAGTGTTCTGGCCGCATACTTAGAGATTCTAAATCAGCACGTCTGGAGCTTGGACCAGGAATTGGGGCAAGGTTTGGTGGCCACAGTCTTCTAGCCAGGTAGTTCATGGCCTAGGGACAAAATGTTCAGAAATGATGACCTAAAAATGCGATATATTAGGATTGATGTTGGTTATAGGTACCTGCTAAATATGAAGCTTATTTATCTAAAGTTTTATAAAGATTCCTTTTTGAGAAAGAGAGAGAAAGAAGATCTCACTTTGTTACCCAGGTTGGAGTACAGTGGCCCAGTCATAGCTCACTGCAGCCTCCACCTCCTGAGCTCAAGTGATCCTCCTTGGATGAGCCTCCTGGGTAGCTGGGACTACAGGTGCACATCACCAGGCCTGGCTAATTCTTAAATTTATGGTAGAGATAGGGTCCTGCTGTATTTCTCAGGCTGGTCTCAAACTCAGCGGGATTACAGGCATGAGCTACTGCAGCTGGCCTAGTTTTGTGAAGATTGTTTTTATTGTATTAGTAATTTTAACTGAGCCAGGATCAACACTGGGAGGCATAAGAAATTAAGAAGAGCTCTTCTGTATTTTATGTGAATGAAATCAATTCCGGAGTCTACCTCTTGTTTTTATTTTTGTTTTGCCTTTTATTTGTGACTGTGGAACTGAGGGGAGGAGAAAAGGTTAGAATTGAAATATAAGTCAATAGCCGGGAGGACTAGGACAAGGAACCAGGAGGACCAGGACAAGGAAGAAGAGGGAGATAGCCTCGATTGTTTCCAGAGAGCTTTTATGTTTTTAAGCATTTCTCATTAAAATTAACTGTATTAGACTTAAGTATTTAACCAGGGAGGAAGCTCCCTGCTTTACTATAGGTGCTTTATGTGCCTTACATTTCAGAGCTTCTTATTCTCTTCTGTTCTAAGCAGCCCAGGAAGTGATTTGCCAATGGAGAGCTAATTTGCCAATGGACAGCTACCATCTTTTTTTTTTTTTTTTGCCTATGCCAATCAGACACAGTCTTAATTGCAGATATACATGTTTTTCTACATGATTTCTCATTGTTGAAAGGTAGTATAGAAATTAGTCTCTTTTTATGCTGAGTGGAAATGAACAGTTTGGAAAAAGATTGTGGTTTGCTGACCTTTAAATCATCAAAATTCTGTAGGTTATATATTACAAATAAAAAATATTGAAAAATCTTACATTTCATTTTTTGAGGCAGAAATCTCCAGCCTCTCTCCCTGCCTATCCCCCGCCCATGCCCTCCACACACAAAAGTGTGAGTTTTGGTTTCTGTGGTTGTCCAGTAATGAGAAAGTGCTACTGAGATCATTACTGAGTTTTAAATGTTTGGATGGTGGTGGTAAGGTAATTAGGTGTTTCTGAATCCAATTTATTATGAGGGCAAAATCATTTTTCATTCAAGGGGGTTTGTTCTGTTATTCACACTTCATGATGAATTTGATTATTATTAAAATGTCAAATAATACCCTTAGAAAATGCCTTACACGAGAATAAACAACTACAAAAATACCATTCAGATGCTACCTACCTCCCTTGCCAATCCTTTACTGTAAAAGATTTGATCAATCTTTTGCATATAATACCCTATATGAGATATGTTCCATCACTGAATATCTTTCTCTGTCACCTATCCCTGGTGCATTAGGCTTTTAAACTCTGCCTTCAGGTTGATTGGGAATTGCATGCCTCATTTGGCACCTTTGCAAAACGGCCTATGATTTATTACACATCCTAGGTGGAGTTTACTGAACACAGTCATCAACCCCCAGAAGGCTCTGGAATCTCTTATCATCCTTAGCATTTTTTAGACGGCCAGATTTGGAGTTTAATACTAGTTTCCAGACATTTTATAATTTTCTGCATTTCTCAATAAATATAAGTACACTAGATCCATTTATTCAACCTGGCTCCATGACTTGGATGAACGGAGAAAACTAATAAGTTGCTACTATCCAGGCCAAGATCAAAACTCCGCTATGAATTATAAGATCCCAAGCACCCAAATTTGCTTAAGAGTTCCCTAAGGTCACTTTTATTGATAATGCAATACAGTGTGTTTAAAATAGTGTGCCATAAAATGTGGGCTACGGAGGGGAATAGGATTCTAAGTCAAATGGGTTTGAGAAATGTTGTGTAAAATACAAGTGTAACATATATCATAGCATGTGCCACTACTGCCCAGAGATGTACTTGCATTTTAGTATATTGAAGACCATAACAAGTACTCTTATAAATTTAAAATCCATTATATTCTATTTAACTCTTGCTTGTTTAAACTTATTCAATTACATAATTTCTTTTTTCCTATGTAATCTCTTTATATCTGGCTGAACTCTTATCACTAGGACAGAATTTGGGAAATGCTGGCATAAAACTATTTTAAAGTTTGATATATCACGTGTACAATTTTCAATATTGTTTCCTGCAATTGTTCTACTATCTTAGAGATTGTGTTTACTGATGTAGTGGGTATACTGTACTCTGTGATCTCACAATGCATTATTTAATAATAGTCAAAATGGAAAATTAAATTAAGACTGCTAGACTGTTTCACCTAGTGGTTTCTGTGTTTCGTCCATTATCAGTCTTTCTCCCCCCACTCCCACCACCTGTGGATTGGAAGAACAACTGCAGAGTTTCTCTATTCTGGGACCTTCACGATCATCTTGATGTTGTGATCTGCTGACCTTCCTAATTGTTGCTGATCCGCTGATCACCTCTCCTTCCCATCCTGTGGACTTCAGGCTTTAATTCAAGCTCTCCAGTTTCCAGCCTGCCTGTGGTCTTTCCTTCCTGGACACTGGCCCTGTGGACTTTCCGCTTGCTCAGCCAGTCCTTACAATTGTATAATTTATTGTAATAGGTAAATAAATAATCTATATCTACATATCTGTGCATTTCTATATCCATAGCTCTGTGTCTGCACATATCTCTCTATCTCCTTATGTAAAGTCTTCTACTGGTTCTGCTTCCTTGGTTGAAGCTCTTTTAGGGACTTCTCAAAATAGAGGCTTGAGGACAAAGGCAGCTCCTTTAATCTGAGTTTACTGTTGGGCTGCCTCCCATTGTCCAGCATAGACCTCTCACTGGAAGACACTCGAAAAAGCACTGGACCTCAGTCTCCCACTGAGGCTGCTATTTAAGAGCCATGAAAGACAACTTCTCTGGTTTCAGAAAGAGAAGTATTTCCCTTCAGATCTGCAAGGTCGCAGTTTATAAGACTCTCACTCTGTTGACATTGAAAGTGCCTTACTGTGCACTCCCATCCCTGAATGCAGACTGGAGAACACAGACAATGCTCATCTCTTCTCAGGGTTTTTTAAAAGGGGCAAGAAGCGGCCAGCAAAAATCAATAATCTGAGTTTTCTTAGTATTCTTCCTAATGTTGCTGCACAGGTTGAAATGTGATCTGCCTTCTAAGAAACAGCAGGGACTTCTTTTGTCAAGGTTTTGTTAAGGTATGAGAAGCTTTCAGGTTACGCTAGCCCACACTGTGAAATACCCCTCCCTACTAATTCCACCAAACAAATGCTATTAGTTTAAGTCCTGCTACTTGTAAGCCCCCTACTTCCTGGTACCTACATCTATACTAGTTGGGGCCTGGCATGGTGGCTTACGCCTGTAATTCCAGCACTTTGGGAGGCCGAGGTGGGCAGATCAACTGAGGTTAGGAGTTCAAGCTCTGCCTGGCCAACATCGTGAAACCCCGTCTCTGCTAAAAATACAAAAATTAGCTGGGCATGGTGGCGAATGCCTATAGTCCTAGCTACTGGGGAGGCTGAGGCAGGAGAATCACTTGAACCCAGGAGGTGGAGGTTGCAGTGAGCTGAGATTGAGCCACTGCACTCCAGCCTGGGCAACAGAGCAAGACTATCTCAAAATAAATAAATAAATAAAATAAAAATTAAATAAATAAATACTAGTTGGGAGTAGGTTTGCCTGTGAGTATTAGTGATGGCAACAGCACACAACAAATTAAGAGGGGCTTAAACAAGACCTGTGTTTTTGTTCTTATGTTCAAAACGTCTGGTAATAATCTGGGTCATGGCTGGTATATTTCACCCTGCAGTCAGAAACTTAAGTACCATGTGTGAAGTGATGAGCTGGGAAACAAGCAAACAAAACTGTAGATTCCATAAGCAGCTATTGCAGCTGCAGAGCAGATACTGCCTTTTACTTTCAATAGGAGTTCTTCTCTAGCTACACCTGTGTCAGCATGGACATACGAAAATGACAAGAACACAAAATGTGTTAGGGGTTTATATTCAACTCTAGGTAATTTCTTTTATATTTATATTACAAAATTGATGATGTTTAAGAAAACAAAGTTGTAAATGGCTTTCACTTTATGTGTAGACATCATCATTACTTCTGTTGCTTAAGCCCATTTGGAGATTAAAAAAATAAATAAAGAGGAAATCTGGATTTCAACATCAGTGTGAGGCTCAGTTGTGAGAAACAAAGGTCATTTATAGAAAGCACTGTTTACATTTGATTGCCCATGGGAAACCTCTGAGCCAAACAAGGTAATGATTACACCAAATTGGATGTAATGATTACACCAAATGTTAATGCTTCTCGTTAGAATGGAAGGTTTCAGTTCAGGGTATCTGGAGGCCACTGAGAATTCTTTCTAAGTATGGCTACACAGTCTTTTCTGAAAGGACAAATTTGGAAGCAGCACTTTCAGACTTCCCTAGCATCAGTAAGTAGACACAAGCAGAGTTCAGCTTGAAGATGGAGATTAGTTAAGCGACACTAAAGGACAGACTAGGGAACAGAGAACCAAACAACAATGGAATGGGGAAAAGATTAGGTTTATACTGCTTGCTGAATTAGTACAGCCTAGCATGCTTGCCATGTTTTTTAACTATCATGTATTACCAGAACAGAAAATAAATTCAGAATATTAACTTTCGTTTTATCTGGTGGATTTAAAATCCAGAAATTCCATCTAGTGCAAAACACCAAGATAATACTAGATAAAATATAAAACTGCAAGAATATACAGGAAGTCTTCAAATTTCTCAAAATGAGAAAGCACTAATCCACAGAATTAAACTAGAGCTGAGGCTGGTGATGGTATGAGAAGTGAGCAAACTTGGCATCATTGTAGGAGATTTTTAACACTGTAATTTTTGTTTCAGTTAAATAAACTGGGTGTAGCACAGATTTAAATAACAGAATTAGTGCACTCTAGTGTTAGCAAATATTTGTTTCAAAGTACGCACAGAACCTCATGAAAATTGACCAAATTTTAGTAAAGATCAAAGAATAATTTTCGTATAAATCATTCATTCATTAACTAGAAATTGGTTCCAGAAGGCCTAGTTTAAAATCCTATATATTTAGACATTAGAAATAAGATACAACTGAACAAAAACTGTTCAAATATTGAAGTAAAAATATAGAACGCATCGTTATTTAACTTTATATGTGCACGTTTAGAGGTATACATATTTATTATCATTAGAAGACAATTTTCATGTGAGTTATTTTCTCATGTTCCCATCAAACCCTTCTGAATCTATATCATTACTTCCCTTTTGAAGATGAATAACCAGAAGTTCTTCAAAAAGTTAAGCCCTTCATCTAAGTTGACGCAACATTTAATATTGGGAAGAGGGTTTAAACCTTTCGGTTTTCCACCATTTTTTCTCTATTTTATACATGTCTTCTTACTTTCTCTCGTACTCAGAATCCCATTGTGTCTTTTTCTTTATCAATCTCAACTAGGCTTTGCTTTTGCAAATCTAAGCATTAAATTAGTTTGCTTGAAATATGCCTCCACATTCACATTCCCCCATCAGCAGCTGGTCATAGTAGGGAGAGTATTAGTCCCGAGACAAGGAGATCAAGTTCCAGTCCAGGCTCTGCTGGCTCTGTGACCAGGGACAAGTAATTCACATATAATTTCTTAATTATACAAGAGAAACATGGACACTAACTTTGCTGGTTTGTTGCAGATTAAAATTCTGTACATAAAGCACCTGATTCATAGTAGGACCCTGTTAACTATTTTGCGGCACAAAAAGTTTAAGAATCACAAATGAGACTTAGTTTTAAATTCTGAGGCCATTCCTGATTGGCCCTGTCTTCTCTGGCACTTACCTAAATTCCAAATTTTTTTTTTTTTTTGCTTTTAAAATAAGAATGTTACTCTTATTGTTGTGAGAATTGATAAATGAGATATTATTCTTAACATTAATTGTAGCTAGTATTGCCATTGTGTTGCTTTTGTAGCTAAAAAAATGACTTGATGGCCGGGCGTGGTGGCTCACGCCTGTAATCCTAGCACTTTGGGAGGTTGAGGCGGGCAGATGACTTGAGTTCAGGCATTCAAGACGAGGTCAGGTATTCAAGATGAGCCCAGCCAACATGGTGAAACCCCATCTTTACTAAAAATACAAAAATTACCTGGGTGCGGTGATGCACACCTTTAATCCCAGCTACTCAGAAGGCTGAGGCAGGAGAATCTCTTGAACCCAGTGGGCAGAGGTTGCAGTGAGCTGAGATGGTGCCACTGTACTCCAGCCTGGGTGACAGAGTGAGACTCCATCTCAAAAAAAAAAAAAAAAAAAAAAAAAAAGACTTGACAACCAAACTGATGAAAATTTGTAATGACAGAATTTCACTATATTTAATTACTTATAAATAGCATATACCTATTGGTGGTTAGGAAAACAGACATAAAAAGTAGCTCATTCTGCATGCGTCTATTGGAATACATTAATGGGAGGGAAAAAAAATCTATCCTTTTAAAAATGAACTTGAACTTGGGTAAATTCAAGTGTTGCTCACCCTCCCTGCTCTGTACATTCACTGAGTTGAATTGATAATTTTCAAACATGAGATATTGGAACAGCAATATTAATTAATGTGTTATTAATTTATCAATGCCAGTGCTTCTAAACTTCCTAAATTAACTGCTTTGGACACAGGACTGCAACTCTAAATGACCTCAGAATAATATTTAGAGATTTGATAGAAAAGAATATCTTGAAATATGCCCAGTTATCTTTCTGATCAATCCTAAATGAATTTTATTTGGTTGAAGAGACTATTTGGATAGCAGAGTTTCTTTGAAAAATAACAGTCTCTGAAAGTTCCTCCAGAATAAATGTTCAGCAAATGATGGCCCTTGAGCCAAATATGTCTATCTGCCTGTTTCTGCAGATGAAGTTGTACTGACACATTCTCAGTGGCTGTTTTGTGCTAAAACAGCTGAGTTGAGCAGTAGCAACAGAGACTGTACGACTCACCAGACACTTCACAGCGTCGGCCCACCCCAGCTCTATGCTTAAAATTCATGAGAAGATACATCATTATCATGTTTGACAAAAGACCATTTTTTAATCTTTTCCTTCTTTTACTCTGTTCTGTGCCTAGAAGTATATTTGAAATGAATTTCATTGTTTTGTCATCTGTTTGTATGATTTAACTTATAATTTTTATTACCAAGGCACTATACTTTTCTACCGTGTATAATAGAATTCTTCTTGGGAAAAAAATAATAATTTTCAAAAATGTCACACTTCCTCTTCATTGAAGAGTGTACTGTGAAATTTTTCTCAGTCATATACTATCATACATTGTTTTCAACTTGCTTGCAGTGGTCAAGTATCTCTTCCAGTAGTTAGCAGGATGAGTGTGCACTGCACGCTGCTAGCTATTGAAGGTTAAGAGCATATATATTGAAAAACACTTTATGGTTACAGTATAATTTTGAAACACTTATTTTTGCAGTTGCAAAATATTGCTAAAACCAAACAAATGATGATTTAAAATGATTAATTCCATTCTGTCCTGATAGGATTAGTAAATGAAATAATGAAAGCATGCCAATTTGTTGCCTATACCTGCTCCCTTAGGGCATGAACGTGCTATAAGATTAAACACTATAGTCAATTATTTTTAATTGTTTATTTTTGTCACAATCCTATTGTTTATACCATGGTTATATACTATACAAGCATACCTTGTTTTATTGTACTTCATTTTCTTATGCCTCTCAGATACTGCCTTTTTTTTTTTTTTTTAAGAAATTGAATGACTGTGGCAATCCTGCTTTCAGCAAGGTGATAGGTGCCATCCTTCCAATAGCATGTGCTCACTTCATGTCTCTACGTCTCATTTTGGTAAACCTCATAATATTTCAAACTTTTTTCATTATTAGTATATCTCTAATGGTAATCTGTAATCCGTGATCTTTGTTTGACATTACTATTGTAATTGTTTTGAGGCACCATGAACCATGCCCATAGAAGATGGCAAAGACTACATGTTATGTGTGTTCCGACTGCTCCACTGACTGGCCATTTCTCCATCTCTCTCACTTTCCTTGAGCCTTTCTATTCACTGATATACAATAATAGTGAAATTAGTCCAAATAATAACCTACAATGGCTTCTAAGTACAAGTAAAAGGAAGAGTCACATGTTTCTCATTTTAAATCAAAATTTTAGTGAGGAAGACATGTCAAAAGCTAAGACAGGCTAAAAGCTAGACTGATAGCAGCAAGTTATCCAGAAGATTTAGCTAAGATCATGGATGAAGCTGGTTTTACTAAACAACAGATTCTCAATGTGGGTGAAATAGCCTTATACTGGAACAAGATGCCATCTAGGACTTTGACAGCTGGAAAGGAAAAGTCAATACTTGGCTTCAGAGCTTCAAGGGACAGGCTGACTTTCCTGTTAGGGGCTAATGCAGCTGGTGATTTTAAGTCGAAGCCAATGCTCATTTACCATTCTAAAAATTTTAGGGCCCTTAAGAATTGTGTTGCATTTGCTCTATAAATGGAACCACAAAGCCTGGATGACAACATATCTGTTAACAGCATGATTTACTAAATATTATAAGCCCACTGTTGAGAATTACTGCTCAAAAAAAAGATTCCTTTCAAAATATTACCCATTGACAATGCACCTGGTCCCCTAAGAGCTCTGATAGAGATGTATAAGAATATTAATATTGTTTTCATGCCTGCTAGCACCACATCCTTTCTGCAGCCCACGGATCAAGGAGTTATTTTGACTTTTGAGTCATTGGTTAAGAAATACATTTTCTAAGGCTTATAGCTGCTATAAACAGTAATTCCTTCCTAACGGATCTGGGCAAAATACATTTAAAACGCTCAATGAGATACCATCTCATGCCAGTTAGAATGGCAATCATTAAAAAATCAGGAAACAACAGATGCTGGCAAGGCTGTGGAGAAACAGGAACGCTTTTCCACTTTAGATGGGAATGTGAAGTAGTTCAACCATTGTGGAAGACAGTGTGGCGATTCCTTAAGGATCTAGAACCAGAAATATCATTTGATCCAGCAATCTCATTACTGGGTATATACCTGAAGGATTATAAACCATTCTACTATAAAGACACATGCACACATATATTTATTGCAGCACTATTTACAATAGCAAAGACTTGGAACCAACCGAAATGCCCATCAATGATAGACTGGATAAAGAAAATGTGGCACATACACACCGTGGAATACTATGCAGCCATAAAAGAAGAATGAGTTCATGTCCTTTGCAGGGACATGGGTGAAGCTGGAAACCATTATCCACAGCAAACTAACACAGGAACAGAAAACCAAACACCGCATGTTCTCACTCATAAGTGGGAGTTGAACAATGAGAACACATGGACACAGGGAGGGGAACATCACACACCAGGGCCTGTCAGGGTAGGGGGAAAGGTGAGGGAGAGCATTAAGACAAATACCTAATGCATGCGGGACTTAAAACCTAGATAATGGGTTGATGGGTGCAGCAAATCACCATGGCACCTGTATACCTATGTAACAAACTGCATGTTCAGCACATGTATCCCAGAACTTAAAGTAAAATAAACAATACAAAAAAAAAAAAACCCTCTGGAAAGGATCCACCATTCTAGATGCCATAAGGAACATTTGTGATCATGGAAGAAGGTCAAAATACCAACATTAGTAGGAGTTTGGAAGAACTGGGTTTCAACCCTCATGAATGACTTTAAGGGGTTCAAGATTTCAGTGGAGGAAGTCACTGCAGATGGGGTGCATAGTAAGAGAACTAGAATTAGAAAAAGAGCTTGAAGATGTGACTGAATTGCTGCCCTCTCATGATACAACTTGAATGGATGAGAAGTTGTTTCTTATGGATGAGCAAAGAAAGTAGTTTCTTGAGATGGAAACTGCTCCTGGTGAAGATGCTGTGAATGAATATTGTTGAAATAACAACAAAATATTTAGAATATTTTATAAACTTAGTGATTAAAGCAGTGTCAGGGTTTGAGAGGATTGACTCTAATTTTGAAAGAAGTTTCACTGAGGGCAAAATGTTATCAAACAGCATTGCATGTTACAGAGAAAGCTTTCAGGAAAAGAAGAGTCAATCAATGCAGCAAACTTTGTTGTTTTCATAAGAAATGGCCACAGCCCACCCAAACTTTCAGCAACCACCACCCTGACCATCAGCAGCCACCAACATGGAAGCAAGATCCTCCACCAGAAAAAAGATTATGACTTGAAGTCTCAGGTGATCATTAGCATTTTTAGCAATATAGTATTTTAAAATTAAGGTATGTACATTGATATTGCACATTTAATAGACTATAGTGTAAACATAAGTTTTATATGCATTGGGAAACCAAGCAATGTATATGACTCCCTTTATTATGATATTCATTTTATTACGGTGGTCTGAAGCGAACTCACAATTTCTCTGAAGAATGACTCTTTTTGAACATAGAAAAATCACAAAAATAAAACAATTTTGTACTTTAACAGGGAAATTATTAAAACTTGTTTAAAATTTGTTTGTTTTAGAATTCAGCTTAAGTATACAATATCAGTTTAAATGGTGAGGGTTAAATGATGAAATTACGCAACCCGTGTATTAGGAAAGGCAGGTTACAGCTTCACAGGTCCTTTAGTCTGTGCTACTAATGAAGCAATTCCCTGCGTCCAGTCCCATTTCACTAGCTGTCATCCACGATTAACGAATGCCGTAGAAGGGTCACTCCAGATTAGCACCCTTTCTTTGCAGAGATGCCCATTTAAAGGAGAAGGGTTTTTTGTTGTTGTTGTTTTCTGCTGTGGGTGATGCCACAGGTCAAAGTCATTCCATGGGAGATTTTTCTAAATGTTTTCGTTAGGTATCATTGAAAAAGACAAACCTCCCCAGCTAAAACAACCTATGTTTATGGCTAAGAGCTTATTTAACACAGGACTAGGCTACCTCTACACAACCTCCAGAGAAGAAGAAAGAAATCAAGCAAACAATCAGAAAACAACAACAATAAAAAACAAGCAAACCTGGGAGTTTTAGAGGAGCACTTAATACTTCAGGAAAAGAACAGCGGTTTATTGACTCAGATTTCCTCCAGAGCTCCTTGCTTGAAGGGAAACATTGTACTGCCTACAGGCTTTTCCAGAAAAGTTCTTAATTAAGATTGAAGCACGAGCAAAACTCTTACATCTCTCCTTCTCCTTCTTATACTTTCTTATTCTTTTTTATATAACCGATATCTATTCTGTAAGTCTCTTTTGGAAAAAGATAGGAAACAAAATGCAACACATCACACAATATGGCAACCACCTTGTAAAATGGAACATTACCAACAAATGTAAGAAAGTATGGGATTTTTTTAAAGGAAAGATCTATTTAGTCATACAAGTAATTTACATCTTCTGTAAAATAAATGTAGTATTGTGTATACTCGATCTGTGTAGTCTCATTAACAGAAGTGCATACATATCACTATTTGTTTTTAAAAATTAAATAAAAATATGCATAATGGTACTCGGTGCATAAGAAATCATAAATGATTAAAAATAGTCAGCTCAGTTCATAGAATAAAATCCCCACTATATACAGGATTGTAGTTTTATATAATAAATATTTATTGACCACCTAATATATGTAAAACATTGCTTATGAATTAAAAGAGTTCACATTTATTCAGCAGTTAATTTAACCAAAGACTTTTCTACTACAAAATGATGATTTTTTTTTTAAAAATGACAAAGCAAGTCTGTTTTATTTTTCATTTAAAATTATTTATCAACATTATGGACATCTTTTGGAGGAACCAAATGTAATTTTTAAAATAGAAGTTGTTGAGTTGAATGGCCTAGTTTATTTGGGAAATGTCACATAAATTTTTGGGCCACTGTAACAGCCTAAGGGAGCAGAGAGATATTGGCACTGCTGTTTGTGGAAACAATTTGCAGAGGTTCATAAAACCATTAGAAAATGTTTATTGCTGTAGAATCCTAAGCAGTAAGGCATAAGTGAAGCGACTGAGACAAACAGAGGGTTGTAACATACTAACTAATGTTTACTGAGCACTTGCTAGAGAGTCAGCACTGATCTAAGCCCTCTCCATGACTATCTCATTTAACCTTTAAACAATTACATATGGTAGGCTCCATTAATTTTACCAAGTTGCAGAGAAAGAACAAGGATCAGCTTAGTTTCAGACCTAGGAATTAAATCTCAACTCCAAAGCTCATGCTTTTTACCTCATGTCAAATATGGCAAGCAACTGAAACAAAAAGACTTGCTTTTTGGAACAAACATTTGCAGCTGACCTCTAATCTAGGAGGCAGATTTGCAATCAATTTCATGTTCTTTGGAGAGCAGCTGCAGCCACTAATCAAAGGGCATGTATTTGCAACTGTAGGAAGTGAGTAGCACATTTGGTTTTTAGCAGCAGGTGCGCAAATAAAAATTAGCATTAGCAATTTCAGTTTTGAAAATTAAGAGCATATATATGGTGATCTTTTCATTCTTATGTCTCTTTGACTTACACTAAAAAGCATGATGCTTTAGTTTATGTTATAGACCCTTAGCAATTGAAAAGCTCCTAATAGAAATATTCTATGCCCATGAATAGAAATATTTCTCTGTTAAAAACATTTGAGAAAGCCATTGGAAAAGACTCAATTCATTATTAAAGTTGGAAATATCTCAAAGAAATTAATGTGTGTTTATAGAATAAATTATAATAGAAATATTTAACAACCAATAACAGTTCTGGCTCTGGTTAATCAGAGTGGATTTTGGCTTAAACAACATGTGTGAATGTGTGAATTGGACAAATTCTTAAACAATTAGAGATATGTGGGTATTATGGAATGAATTGTGTCTCTCCCACCACACACACACACACACACACACACACACACACACACACACACACAATTCATATATTAAAGCCCTAAATCCCAATGTGACTATATTTGGAGATAGAGACTTTAAGGAGGTAACTAAGGTTAAGTGAGTTTGTAGCAGGGGGACCTAATCCAATTGGATTGGTATCCTTATAAGAAGAGAAGGACAGCAGAGGGATCAGTATATGAAGGAAGACTGTGTGAAGACACTGTAACCAGGCAGCTGTCTACAAGCTAAAAAGAGAGACCTCACCAGAAACCAACACTGCTGGCAGCTTGATCTTGGAATTCCAGCCTCTCAACCTGTGAGAAAATAAAGTCATTTTGTTTGTTTAAGCCACCTAATCCCTGGTCTTCTGTTACTGTAGTCCTAGAAAATAAATATAGTGGGAGTAACTATTTATGTTTAAATGTAATGTTTACTTTAATTTTTTAAATCAATAATACATAAAATGAGGTGATATGGTGAAACAGTTACATGATTTTCTTAAATAACAGTAAGACAATAGCATTAAAAAATAGTCCTGGATTCTCACTTTCTAGGAAACATTTTCTACCATTTAAAATATTTATCCTGGCATACACCTTTATACTTGTAAGTAAGCCATGTTTGTCTTTTAAAAAGTATGCTTTGCATATTAACTACTAAATTCAAACTCAAAGATTTTACTCTCCTCTCTTACACTGAGATCAAACACGCACATAGACTTCCCTCTCCCTTTGATGGTATTGAAATAGCCATGTCATAATTTTAACTTAAATCAACACTAAGCATTTATATTATTATGGCTATTGAATAATATGTCATTAAATCACACTAGTGGCCTATGAATATCTATTCTTCTTTTAAAATGTACTTTCTCTAGCATTAGCAATAGGCCTGTTGTTTTCATTTTGCTTAATTATAATTATCTAGTATATATCAATCATCCATTCCCCAAATCTCTTTCCAATATGTATCTCAATTTGCAATATTTTCAAATCATCATCTTTTTTCCCCATTGGAATTATTCTTCTGGATTTAACAGTCTGCTCACTCTCCAGGACTGCTACCGGGCTAATGTCTTAGTATATCCCTTCACATCCTTCTGATAATATCTTTTAATTTTCTCCCAGTGGAATCTTCTGTTTCTGAATTCTATGTTATCCCTTCCCTTTCTCTCATTTGTTCCTTCATTTTGGTAGACTAAATCTTACAGCAGTTTCTTGCGAAAGGGTGCATAGAGGGTAAATTTGAGACTTTTAACGTCTGAACACATCTTTATTATTCAAAAGTTTCATTTTGTTGATAATTTCATCAAATACGATAAAATTATGGAATGCCTAATCCACTAGTGTAATCTAGTGGATTACACTAGACCCTACTAGAACCTACTAGGCCAGACCATATAAAAATGGAGTCACTCAGGCTAAATGCCACATAACCAAACTAAAACTTTAAGGAAGTAGGTAGATCCCAAACACACCAGTTTTTCCTGAAAACAAGAAATTCCAGTCTACTTGAGCCTGCACAATAAGAAATTCCTCTCCATTTTAATGTTAAAAAAAAAAAAAGTAACCTGATGTTAACCAATCAGCTTTTCTACCAATGCTCTGCTTTCTTGTTCCCACCTTACAAGACCCACTGTTCTGGCACTGTCCAGTGGGAGCCCTGGTGACCTTTTGTAGAGTGGAGGCTGCACTGATTTGTGATTTGCAAATAAAAAATCAATCAGATCTTTAACTAATTTGTTGTAATTTTGTCCTTTGACAAGTATAAAAAGCTTCTCTGGAAGTCTTTTTTAATTTATATTTTAAAAACATTTCTCTACATGTTTCATAGTTACTGATGAATCCAAAAATATCCTGAATTTTAATCCTTTGCATGTAACTGATTTATTTGGTAATTTAAAAATATTCTTTATCCCTAAGATTCTGAAATTTTATGAGGATAAAATGTTGTTTTGGTCAATTTTCACTTTGTTGAGGACCATGGCATTTACACCTGTGAAGTCATGTCTTTAGTGGGATATTTAACTTTCCTTTTTCTTTTTTCTTTTGCTTCCTTCTCTTTATTCTTCAGTTTTTATTCATTCTTTTTACTTCTGTGGTTTATAAACCTTATTAAGTAAATGTTGGGCTTCCTGGGATGCTCTTGATATTTCTTTAACTTTTTTTTCTTCTTTTTTTTTTTTTGTCCTCCTGTTATGGAAATTATCTCATTTTTCTTACTTAAATATGCTATTGATTTGTAAAACTTTGTTATCCAATTATTTAACTATCAGGATTTTTTTTCTCCCGAATATTACCTCTGTTCTTAGTTTCAGGATGCAATATATTAACAATTAGAGATGTTTAATGTTTTCTTGGCTCCCTTCGTTATCTTTGGTTTCCTCTCAGTTCCTCTGTTTCTGTTTTGGTTTACATGTGTCTTTATCTTTCTGGACACAGGCTTTTCTTAAATGTCTACTAGTTATTATCTGTGTTTTAGTATTTAAGGTTAAGCACTAAATATTTTATCACAATCTTGGACAGAGATTTGATTTCTTCTTTACTTCAGGGATCATATTAAGGTTTTTACTGCCTCCAGTTTTTGATATCCCCATGTCATGTCATACGTCGTTAGGCATATCAGCTTCTCCAGAGTAGAATTTAAATATGTTGCCAGTAATTAAGCATTTCTTAGACTACTGGTTAAGTTTCTACATTAAAGATACATAAGAATGCATTATCTCTAACAAGATAAAAGTTTTGGTCCTCTCTCATGAAATAGACTCAATGTAAGCAGGTAGTACAGGGCAGGTATAAACCCCTGTTCCACAAAACTTATTTATTTCTCGATGAGAGGAAAGAAGGAAAGAGTGCAGAGTAAGCAGCTGTCTCATAAAAATGTGATATGCAAATCGTGCACATCATTTTCGCTTGTATCCCATTATTGAAAATGGAGGCACATGGCTTTACCAACTGCAATGGAAACTTTGAAGAATCATGTTTAGCTGGGTGACCATGTGCTCAGATAAAGCTTAGAGCAATGAGCATTTCTATTACTGAAAGGAAGAAAAAGAAAATAGATATTGATTAAAAATTAGCAATGATGCCCACAGGAGCCAAATGCTGGGAGTTGGAGATCTCACAATTCGGCATGTAGATTTTCATTTAATTTTGCTTATTTCAGTACCACGTGTCTGACATCAGCTGTGTCCGATGTCATAGTCAAGAATTTCTCTTTTTTCTTTCTTGTTTGCTTCTTAGTTGGCTCGCTCTTTTGATTTTTAAAGTTCCAGATTTCTGCCTCAGAGTCGGGGGTTGGTTGTCTGGCTCAGTAACTTGGGAAAGAAGTACAATTGCTTAACTCTCAACTATAATTGAGAAGACTCAATTGAGTCTCCTCTTTCTAGCCCTGTGGGAAACTCCAGAGCAACCTAGAGCTTCCAATTCTTGAGCCATCCTCAGATTCCATGGTGTAAACAGGCTCTTTTTCTGCATTTCCATCGGAAATTTCTGGCCAACCCCTAGGTACAGCTTAGGTTTAACTTTCTCTAGCTCACTAAGTTGCTCATCCAAACTTTGCAGCAGTTGCTTTCTCTCCTATTCCCCTTGTCTTTGTAAATATATGACTTTAAAAAACCTTTATTCTATTTTTAGCAGAGTTTTTAACATCTGACAGAGTATCATTATGTTATCTATCTTGGTAGAAGGTAGAAATAATAGAATGCAACAAAATGTGACATACATTCTTCTCTGGACTCTTTTCCAGTAAAATCAGACAAGAGAAAATGGAGGAATTGGGACCTAAGGAAAATATATTCATTTCTGTCTGACAAAAAGATTGCATTTTTGACCCTAAACACTTTTCGTATTAGTTGTGTCTATGTAATTTAGTTGCAAAACGATGTAGACTTGAGAGATTGCTAAATGATTCTAAATGCTGATCTAAGTTGAATGGAAAAGGCAGAAACTTCTAACTTTCACAATGCTGAGGCTATACAAGCTTAGGGGAGGAGCCCCATAGGTACTTGTAAGGGAACATATGGCTGCTGGGGGTAGACTATTGGCGAAGATCACAGTAAGAAGTCAGGAAGTCTAGTGGGGACTGGTGAAATGGAGGAGGTGGTTTTCAGAAGGCTGGGGTATAGAATCCTGGATCCAGAAGTGGTTAAAGGTAGATCCATATCTTGGATCCATAATTTAAAATCTGCAATTAAGACAACATTGCTATGGACTAGAAGCAAATGCTAGGAACACAACCATTTGCAAATCTGACATTAGGGAACCACTCTCATTCCCAATATATATAAAAAGGTAAGACACATTCCAGTACCGAAGAAATTTGGGTATTTGCAGATTGACCCAAAGGGACCAGAGTAATCAGTTCAGGCATCCAGAATCTAAGGATGCTTCAGAATTAGATTGAGAAAGCAAGGGAAGTACCCAGTGACCAGCACATGTGTTCGTTTTGGGACCCGTGGTGAAATCTATTTGATGTTAAATCATCAGACTACTGAGGTAAGCTTATTAAAAATAAGGTTGATACCAGGTTTAAGAGGCTTAGTTTATAGATAGATATTATGTGGATTTGGAAGTAGAAATTACAGGAAGACAGATGGTTAAAGTCAAGGAAATTATACATTTTCCATTTACCTGGAAACACTCCTTATTATCTGTGCCTTAAGCTATAATGTATCATGTCAATCTTTATTACATTAAGTCCTAGAAGTAAAGGATCCTGTACTCTACTCTTTAATCACACTGTTCTTTGTCCCTTTCTGTAAAATGTAAGGCGGTAGGACCTCTGGGTCAGCAGGAGATGCCCCAAGCTGGGACTGTCTCCATTTTTAGAGAGCAAATAACTATCAAAGTGACTAGAAGTTTTGTGATAAGACCCAATAAACACCAAAGGGCCAAAAAGGGGTTTTATTCTAATATATTTTTAAGAAGAATAAAACAGACACAGCACTTTTTCCTTCTTTTCTACATATCAAACTTGTCACCAAATTTGTTTGTTTTTATCTTTAAAACTTTCTTAATTATACCCCTTCATCTCCATTTCTATAGCCACTTTCTTAGTAAAGACTCTCATCATCTTTCTTTGTGTTGCTTCAGATGACTTCTGCCTTATCTCACTATTTCTAATTCATCCTCTGGTAAGAGAGCTATCTATCTGAAATCTAAATATAGCTATGTTGTCATTGCAGTGCTGAAGATATTTTAGTGGCTTACTGCACAATAAGTCTAAATTCCACCACATGTCATATGGTCTATTTCACAATCCGTTCCATATTTACCTTTCTAAACTTCCTCAGTCAACTCTAGTCTTTACAATATTTTGGAAGTCCATGAATATCCATTGCTCTTGAAAACCTTCAGGCCTTTTCATCTTCTAGCCTGTCTGTTTCATGCTTTTACAATCACTTGTCCATCCCAAGAATTGGGGTGCAAAGGGAAAGATCTGGGAATAGGGAAAAGAGCACCCTTTCTACTCAATACTTCCTAGTGAGAAATAGTATTTGAATTGTTGGTTGTTCTCACTGATTTTGTTTGTGTGCGTGTGTATGTGTGTGTGTGTGTGTTTGCCATCAGAATTCTTGGAAAGATAAAGATGATTCCAAACTCTAGAAAAAAATACCTTTCAAACCTGTCTCCCCTTAAAGGAAGGAAGTCATTGAATGTTTTTACAAGGTTCCTCCACTTGAAACTCTAAACTTCTTTATCATATGTATATAAAATAAATTATTGGCTAAAATATGGTATATATCCAATCGAGCACAGAATGTTTTCCAGCCCCTAAGTTTCCTACATCCCAGCCGGATAGATTGAATGTGAATTTTAGTAAAAGAAAACAATTGCTGCAGTGAATAGATCTAAAGTAAAAACAGTGACTTAAACGTATATTGAGTTAATTAGTAATCTCTGAAGAAAGAAGAGAATAGTGTTGAAGTAGAAGTGTGAGATACGCATTGACCGATTGTTAGGCAGAGAATGACCTTTGAAATTGAGCTACATGTTAAGAAGGGTGTAATATACTCTAAACTCCATGCAGTTTATAAAGAAGCAGCTCCTGGAAAGAGATACATGTAACAGGCGCAATCTACAGCCAGGCTTTTCAGTCAAATTACGTTGATTGGTAAAATCTCATAATTAATTTCATTGTGTATTTCTTTTACTTCGCCTGTGAAGATATAACTTCCTGGAAATAGGAATACAGTCCCTGGATCACACCTGTAGCTATAAGAATTGGAGACCCCTGAAAGCCCAGCTTACCCCTTGGTCAGGGCAAAAGGAACAGACTGGTCTTACCAAAGCCCATGCTGGGGTGTGGTCCCCAGGGAAATCTCTGCCTTATTCCCCTTTCTTAGGCATCCTTCAGAAAAGAGAACTTGTTAGTGCCTCACCCTCTGAAATGTCATTCTCACATTTTCCAGGAGGCTGTTTCTAAGGGGGTACAGGATGCAGGGCAACTCAACCAGAGAAAGGCCCACTCAGAATCATCTGTTTTGCAAAGAAGCCTCATCATGGACATCTTTCACTGGCCCATTGGGATGCTGTTAAAGAAAAATTATTTAAAATTAAATTTTATGATGTTTTTTAAAGTTCTTGCCCACATATAGCTATACAGTGACATAGACCTTTTTTTCCTCCCTAGTAAAATATTTGTCCTTGAATAATTTGAGTAACTGTATACTTTGTGCATTGTAATTGACAATAAATAAAAATAGAAAAATAATGGTGACTAAGAGATCAGCCTTGAATATTCTGTATACCTGAGTTCTAGGTACAGCTAAAAAGCTTACTAGCTATATCACTTGGAACACTAGATTATGTAAACCTTTAAACCCATGTATGTAATAGAAAATTTCTATTCTATGCAACAGAAATGGAATCCAGTTAACTTCCAGAAAATGAGAATTTATTAGATGGATGCCAAGAATCCCTCAGGAAGGAACAGAAGGCTGATGAGCAGCCTTGTAGCAAGCACGACCTAGGTGTCTCCAAAAGAGTCTTAGTCACGAACATCTCACCTGGGCACTGTCTCTAAGATTAGTGAACTCTGAATCTGTGCTTATGTCAAAAATCATGCTTTGGGCATACTGAGGCAGGGACAGGAAGGATCAGAGGAGTGGAAACTCTAAGAGCCATCCTTCCTCTGTAGAGTAGATGAGACTCTTGAATTTAGCCTCTCTCCAAGGCTGGGGTTAGGCAGAGAAAATAGAAGCTGGAAACCAAAGCAAACAATACCAGAAGGCACTAAATAATAGCTACATGAAAGGTTTATTTAGGAAGATTAAATGGAGTTTTGCATGCACACTGAAATAGAATGGTATATCTATAGTTTCTCGAGAATTAACGAGTAGAGTCAAGAGCTGAGGTGCAACGGAAGATAATACCCCCACATTCTAAGAAGATCCCTTCTCTGTGCTTTACATAGAGATTAAGCCAACTCCCATATAGTGGATGCTGTCAATTACCTGCAATCAACTGAGGAAGTGAGCAACCCCAGCCCTCAGTTGTGAGTTAGCTGCTGTTGGCTCGCAGATGTCCCCTTCTCCAGAGAATTGCCCTCAAATCATTGAGGTTGGCTGCCTGGGAGATTATGGCCAACCCTACTGCCTACTCCACCCCCATTTACCCCTGCTTCTGGAGTAACTTACAGACAAGGATGAATGGACTGATCCAGGGTTCCAATGTCCAACTCCTTTTCTTCCAGATGGGAACAACACTGCAGTGTGACACATCCTTAGAGCTCCCTGTGGATCAGGCCCATCCCTTACATCTTTAATAAATCTTGAGCCCTCAAATCCCTGTCTCAGGATCTGCTTTGTAAAGATCCTGAGACATATTTACCTCCCAGCCTAGGTAGCTGGCTAGACAGATGAAGATATAGAGAGAGGGAGAGGAGAAAGAGAAGCGGGGAGGCATCAACCATGTCTTTGGTCTTGTGGAACATTGAGGATACATTTATTTCCAACTTCTCACATTTCTGATCTGAAAACAGTTTCAGTTAACAACAAAAAATACAGAACTAGCTAGGCAAATTTGTAATGAAGGAGAAGCTGGATATATATCAAGAGACTTGAGATTTTAGAAGTAATTCTAGATCTATATGAAATGATAACACAATTAGACCTCAAAATACAGACTACAGTTTAACAGCATCAAACAAAGTATTTAAACACGGGGAGATATTACAACTGTTACTATATCAGCAAGAATGTCTGGGGCCTTAAGTCATCTCTGTATCTCAGAAAGCAGTTAGGAATGAGTCCCCGAAAAGCAGCCTAGAATCTATGGAGAAGCACCTTTTTTGAAGCCACATATAGCAATTAGAGATGTTTCTTGAAGACTTGGGCAGTCATACTAAGAAATTGGTAAAAATGTAAGTGAATTTCACAGGGAATGCCAGAAAGATGAAGTGCAATACTCACAGAATTATTCGATGAGTTTTAAGACGACCCAGTTCATGTAAGCAAGTGTTGCCTGTTCCTCTAAAGAACATGCCTAAGAGATTTATGGGATTAGGGCTTCTGAGGGAAGGTACAAGGAAGAAAAGACACATTTAAAAAGGAAGCTGCCACCTACATTAAACATTTTTCTGCCAACAGTGTTTGTTTAATCTGTAGCTAACCATGAGGAAACTAATAGGGAAAAAATCATTCTATAAAAAACAAAAAAAGGCTGGAAATCCTACTAGATTAAAAGAGCCTGAAGAGATATGACAATTCAATGGAAGGTATAATTCTTGATTGAATCTGGATTGACAAAACAAATAAATAACAGCCCTAAAGGACAATGTTGGAACATTGGAGAACATTGAATATGATCTGTATGTTAGGTAACATTATAAAATTAATGTTAGATGTCCCAAATGTGACCATTCTAATGTGGATATTTAGACATTCCTTATTTCTAAGGTATACTTGTTGAAATATTTAGATGTAAAGTGTCATTGTGCCTGCCAATAATTCTCAAATATATCATTAAAAACAACAAAAATATACATACAGAAAGAAAAAACAGCAGTGTAGAAAAATGCTAGAAATTGCTCAACCCAGAAGAAAAGTAATGAGTTTTTAATGTGCTATTCTTTTAACACCTTGTAGTGTTCACATTTAGCAATATTAAATGTGAGAAAATTCACTGGTTAATTTGGAGAAATTTTTTTTTGTCCATTTATTGCATTTAAAAAAATAAAGCTTTAAGGAGAGCAGAAGTTGAGTCCCAGGTGGGAGGTGATCTGATGAAATAATAACTCCAGGCTGCAGTTCTCCCATGCAGAAGAGAAAGATGGAAAAAGATGGGTATGAATCTTGGAATTCATAATTCCATACATTTTACTGTAGGAGATGTTTAAAAATACATCAGCAAAAGAAATGTCTGGGCCAGAAAACAAAGAAAACATAATAACCCAGTTGGATACCCAAATACAATAAATGGTGCCAGCACTATTAGAGGTACAAAAGGGAAAGCACAAATGAAAAAAGCATGAACATGGCTAATCTCTCTCTTTTTTTTTTTTTTTTTTTTTTTTGAGGACAGGGTCTCACTCTGTCTCCCAGGCTGAAGTGCAATGGCACAATCGTAGTGCACTGCAGCCTTGACCTCCTGGGTTCAAGCTGTCCTCCCAACTCAGCCTGCCTCCCAAGTAGATGGGACCACAGTCACATGCCACCATGCCCAGCCAATTTTTGTATTTTTTGTAGAGATAGGGTTTCCCCATGTTGCCCAGGCTGGTCTGGAACTCTTGGGCTGAAGCGATCCACATGCCTTGGCCTTCCAAAATGCTGGGATTACAGGTGGAAACCACTGCACACGGCCCATCTCTTCTAAAAGCAGTAGAAAAATTCAGAAGCAGTTGGAAATAGGCCCCAGTGCCACAGGAAATGCTGCGTACAGACACAATTCTTTGGCAGAGTCAGACTTGTTTATGAGCCCTCAATAGGCCCTTCGTGTTCCAGCTTTCAGGAGACTGGAGAGCAGCTCTAGTTCTTAAAGAAGGGTGATTCCTCAGTTTTGTGGACATGAGTTTAACAGGTACCTCAGGGCTATGGGGCAATGGCCATAGTTGACAAAGCAAAGAACTGAAATGTCATTGCCCCAAAGGAAATGCAGGCTTTCGCTACACATTTCTGAGGGAGATTGAGCAAGATAAGAAAGTTGGAACTGATATTTGACTTTTAACTTCTTTAGACCTTAAAGTTAGAATTTTAAACTTTCTTTGGAATTTGACTTATAAAGGCAATAGGAATTAATCTAATGAGCTGAAATTTCTCCTTCATAATTTGCTAGGTTAAGCTTTATTTTTAATTTGCGACATCCTATGCTACATTATTATTTAGCCTAACCGGGTAAAATATATTGGATGAACAGATTGGGCATACTTTGGGGCAGAAATTAGACTAGAGGGTAAATCTTCAACCTTGGAGTAAAATATGATCCTGGAATAAATTAATGTGCTGCTCTGACCAATTTCATGGCTTCAAGAGCAAATGGTAGCAGGCCACTGCCAGTCCCATGAGCATACCCACGGCAGGATGTTAAATTGAAAGAGCAAGTCTTTTTTCCTTCAGAAAAGTCTCTATTTTAACATTTAAAAGAAAGACTCAAATTCATTCCAACAGCTTTATCAGGCTTTGCCACAAAATACAGTCACACATACTCGGGTACTTGGAAGGTTACTGCAGAGCTCTTTAACTGATCAAGTCAGGGTGAAGTGACCACCTTCCCCACAACCATACTCTGTGCTTGTCATCTGAAAGGATGTCTTACCCTGGCTCAGGCTGTGGGGGTAGCTGCAGTAGAAGCTTGCCTTGGGATTATGAGAACAGTAAAATTAGCATGATGCTTGCAGCCAGCTTCACCATAGAACATCCTACTTATTGAATTGGAGTGTTCTGAATGGGCAGGCTGAGCTTGGTTAGGATAGACAGAGAGACAGAGAGAGAGAGAGAGAAGAGAGAAGAGAGAGATTGAGATTCTGTAGTGCTCCAGATTGAAAGCAGGTAGTCAAAGGTAAAATAAATTTCAGTAGCCTGTTCCTTCCTGAGTATTCAGCAGCCCTGGTTCAGGGATTTTTCCATTTGCAAGGCTCTTGAAATATTTTTCTGGCTAAATTCTTTTTCTTTTTCTTTTATTTTTATTTATTTATTTTATTTTTGGCTACTAGGTGGTTTTGATGAATTTGCTGCGATCCAGGAGTGTTCAAGTATTTCTTTTAGAGTTGGCTTTGGCTCAGATTATGGTTCAACAGCCTTGAAATGAGATCAGGGAATATAAACCTGGGCTATTCTTTTGTAGGTCTTTTGCTGGTGGAAGGGAGACTTCCCTTTCAGGTCATCAGTCTTCTGCCCTGAGGATGAGTGTAGTATATGGCTGGTTTAGCACAGTCTTTATAGTTGATTTTAGCGGGTAGAGAATGAAAAGCTTAAGAAGACTACGCAAATTTTTGGCTTTCTCCTCTGCCCTCCACTTGACCACAGAAAAAGAAGAGCAATCAATTTATTTATCTGACTGGCAAGTCTGGGAGAAGAAACTCAGATATGCTTCTTCTTAATCTGATTTTGGATAAGCTTGCTGCAGAGAGAGTGCTTTTTTATCTGCTGGTCACCATGTTGTTAGTTCATTGGGGTGTGGAGTAGGTGTGTGTGTTTAGAGAGGGAGAGATTAAAGCTGTTTTCACCGTAATTATTCTTTTTAATATCTTTGGTATAACTTCATATCTTTGATATAATAGAGGAGCTCTTCCAGACCAGGTTCTTGAAAACCCCTCAAAATGTTTTATCGTGGGATTGGACCTCATTATGGAATGGAAATACCAATATTCATAAATCCTTGACCAAAATGAGTCTAACCTTCTGTTGTCATTGTTATTATTACTCAAATAACTGACATTCACAAAGTGTAAAGTTATATAATATTATATGATCCTAATACTCTAAAGAGTTACTTGGGTTGATGCATTTTCTGTATTGTATTATAACTTTCTTGAGAGGATTACCTGAACTCCTAGTGCAAATTTTTGCATATAACAAGTTTCAAAATTTGTAGGCATTACATTTGAATTTACTCAGAAGGTTAAATATTTTCTCTTTCTTTCACTTAGTAATATATTTATAATCTTGGATCTTTTAGTTGTCACTCCAGCTAGTCTTCCAAATGGGTATTATAAAGAATAGACATCAATGCATCCAAACCCTTCACTTTTGGCTTCGGCTTGGCTTCTCTTTTCTGTGCACAATGCAAACATCTGAGGCACTTTTTCCTGTGTTTTCCTTTAAAGCTTAGGTTAATCCTAGAACTAATCAGCCATATGTTTTCTCATTGCAGATATCCAAAAACAGCCTTAGAATGTCCATGGATAATTTCAAAGTAAAGGAATAGCTGATTATTCCTTTTATTTAAAAAAAAATTCAGGAGGAAAGCAAAGATCTGTATCCATATTTACATCTATATCTATCTATTTAATTCTATTGATTGTTGTTGTTTGTTTCTTCTCAGACCACAGTCTCAACTCACAGCCCCAAACAAGTGGAAGTACAGGGGTCTTCATTCTAGGAGCCTTGACTCATGGATGAGCTCCTCTGGTGAAACCGGAATGAGGAGGTCATTTGGAAGTTGTTGAGTAGCTGAAAATATATCAGCATAGAATACTTCAATGTTATAATAACTGCCTCTTGAGCTAACAAATTATAATGTTGAAAACAATAGGCTCTGTCTAAATTTTATGTTTTCCCTAATATTTTGTGGAAACCAATACTCAACAAAGACTTTGTGACCATTAGCAAACTGGCCTCAGAAATTTCCCTGAATTTTTGTGTTTTTATTTTGTTCTTGTTTACAGTTTGCAAAATTTCACCAGGTGATCTCTGGTGCTATAAAAACACTTCAGTTTGAAAAAAAGAAAAAAAAAAAAAAAAGGACATGAGCCTTAAAAAGCAGCGTGGTACAGAAAATACCATGCAGCCCTGGTGAGAGACTCACTTTTTATGAGAAAGTCTTTTTATTCAGTTTTTTCTTCAAAATTAAAATTTTGATACACTCATATCTCATGCAGATAATAGATTTTCATTCTGTCTAGAGTGAGAAAGTAAAGGCGATGGAAAAAAACAACAGGGTTCAGATTAATAGGAGATGACAACTTGACCAAACAGGAGGTGGCAGCCCTGCTGGCTCCACGGCTCAGTGGCTGTGACAGGCAATTAACAATCAGAGTGGCCAGATGTAATGGAAGGCAGCAGCAACTCACTGAGCACTTCCCGGCTTCTCTGCTGCTTCTACCATTTGTATTGTTTGCAGAGACAAATAAACACTAATGCATGCTTTGCTAAGAAATGTAGTTAGGTTAGACAGAAAGGGGAGGGGGTGGAAAGAGTCATGAGACCAGAAAAAACCCAGTTTAATGACAAATGGGGACAGTCTCCCCAACTCACAGCATAATAAAGGAAGTGAAGATTATCAAACTATTTAACAGCAGATTCTACTTTTTTGTATGACATTATAGAATTCAAAACAATTTTTAAGCATCATCTGGCATGTCTCGCACATACAATATTGATTTCTCCTCTATATCTGCAGTAATTAGGCATTTTTCCTTCTTAAATTTCATCTTTTACACTTCTGCTTTGATATATAAAGCAGGATAAATAAATAATATTTATTTTATATTAATTTATAATTTTTAAATATTTAAATTATTTTGTTTAATAATAAAATTATAGAATATGTAAACAGAAATAAATCTTTATTTACAAATAAACCCATTCAATTAAAACTCAAATGCTTCGTCTCTCTAGATAGATGAACTAGGTACTGTAGCTATTATTGTAATCTCCTGCATAAATTTGACTGTTTAGCAAGTTAATGTTATTCCTGCATGCCGCAGTTTTGTCCACAATGTCTATGATACAGTATCCTCAGGGAGGTACTCACTTCGGCAAAATGGGGAATAAAATTAACAATACAGTTAGCTAGCAGCCTATTCCCCAAATAATTTACATTTTTATACCCCTATACACATGAACACATCATATCCACCTACCACATATTTTCAAATTCAAACTTAATTCTACATATTTAAATTAAATAATGAATGCTTCAGTAATCTTTGTAAGTTTAAATATTGTTAACACATTAAAATTTGAATATAGAAATGGAAAATATCAGCTGTCAGGCAGAACCAGTAGCTGGCATTGTTGATGTATTTATTATGCGGTCACCTCAAATTGAATACAAGAAAATAAATCTCAAAATGACAGACTCATATTTACCATTAGTGCAATGTGGAAGGCAGAAAGTGTTAAGATACTAATGCATCAACATATGCATTCAGAGCTGATTCACTAACATGTGATACTATCTGAAGTTTCCATGACTTTGAGGCAGATGTTTCTGAACACTCATTTATTTAGACATCAAGTATAATGAAATGAAAATATAGAAACATTTACTCAAATGCATCAATCTGCAAACATGCAAGTGGTAAAGAGACATTTAAATAAATCTACCCAAATTTATTTCCCTAAATGAGTATTATCATGAGATTATGGAATTTAAGATTTTAGTCTAAGTCAATTTAGGAATCATGCTTTAAAGCTCATCTTATTACTCTACAATCACATGTATTTTCCTAATTAAAACTTCTTTATTTAGCAATTTGGTAACTCTTCTTATCACTAAACAGGTTCTAACCTGTATTTAAGTGTTTCCAACAAATAAAAAATTTTCTTCCAGATAATGAATATATAGCACTTGAATTTCACAAAAATGAATATTCAGGCTTTCAGAATAATTTTAAAAGTGAAAATCCACATAAGTTATTTTGAATTACGATGATAATATTGGTGTAATAAGTTTCTGAAGGTTCTAACACAAATTCAAACGCACACATTTCTATTCAACAAATGTTTGAGTTTCTCTTATGTTTCAGTGATAATTATCCTGAAATAAACAAGAGACAAAAGATTCTTTAAAAGGCATGATCTCTGTCCACTTGGAGCTCACAGTTTAATATAATAAATAAAACCTAACCAAATATCTGATAAAATAGAGGAGTATTTATAGCACACACAAAAAAAAGAAAAACGGGGTCTTGTTGAAAACAAAATCCAGAAAGCCAGTTCATTTTTGCAAATATGCTAGTCTGTGTTATTTAAGGCAACTATCTTTTAAAACACAATTTAAATTGCTGGGTAAAACATCGAATACATGTTTTTAAAGTGTTGGCAAAGAGATAATATTGACAAAAACTATCTTGCAAGATTAAATGGCACAGGAATCTAGAGGGAGACCACTGTAGCTGCTTTTGTCCTGAGGAATTTTCCAGGCCTTGATGAAATTGATTCTCAGTTTTGAAAGTTTCATGCACTATGGAAAACAGTTGAAAGCTTGTAGTCTGTCCCGGAGAGGGAGAGTCTTTGGAGAATCTCTTGACATTAATTCAGTAATGCAAAAGGCACATCACTAGGATGAGAATTAAAAACAAACAAACAAACAAAAAACCCTGAAAGTAGGAACTGCAAAGGAAGTTGTTTAGAGGCTGGATAAAGCAGTAGGAAGATGCAAAGGCAAGCTGAGAGTAAAACCATAAAACAGTCTTTAGATTTGGAGCCCCAAGTCATAATAATTGGAAATTTTAAAATAACTTAAGCCATGAATTTATTCTGTACTAGAAGGGACCAGGTACTCAGCAAAGGAAATGCAGATATTCCCTTGAGGAATTTATCCCAACATACTTTTCAAATGTTTACACAAATAATTATCCAAGGATTAAAACATCTATCTATCTATCTATCTATCTATCTATCTATCTATCTATCTATATGTTTTATATATATAAAGTTTATATATAATAAGATTTTATAAAGTTTATATATAGTAAGAGTTCTATAAATCTAAACTTTATGTGAAGTAAGATTTCTAAGAAACTTATTTCAGAAAGAAGAAAAATGCTCCCAATAAATCCAAGAAATTTCTCTTACGTTTCAGCGATAATTATCCTGAAATAAATAAGAGACAAAAGATTCTTTAAAAGGCATGATCTCTGTCCACTGGAGCTCATGGTTTAATATAATAAATAAAACCTAAGCAAATATCTGAAAAAATAGAGGAGTATTTATAGCACAAAAAAAGAAAGAAAAATGGGTTCTAAATCCAAGAAGAAACTAAAAGCAAATATGGTAGAAATATACAGATTTATACAAATAATTAACTGAATAAATGTGTGTGTCTGTGTGTGTGTGTGTGTGTGTGTGTGTCTCAGAAACCAAAGAAATAATACTCCTGTGAGTGTGTACCAGCAGGAAAAACAGATCTGCAAACACTTCAGGTACTGAAAATATGGTGAAAAGATTCTGAAATAAATATTAATGTTATGCTGAAAAATGATAAAAAAGACAAAGTTGTAAAACCTTTCAGGGGAAAATTATTCAAAAGTAAAAAATACTTAGCAGATTGAAAAAATAACCAAGTGAATTATGTGGCAATTAAAAATATAATGATTTAATTTTTAAAATTTCAAACATTGGTTTTACAATCAGATTAGATATAGCTAAAGAGAAAATTAGTAAACTAGAAGCCTGGTCAAGAGACATTGTCCAGAATATATCACAGGAGAAATACAACTATGGAGAGTATGAAAGAGAGATTAGAAAGCTAGAGCAACAGAAATAGAATGTCATATACATTGACATTGAGACTTGGAAGTAGATAGGAGGAGATCTGAGAGGTAATGTTTGAAGAGAAAAAGGCCGAGTTTCTTTTACTGATTAAAAACAGCAACTTGCTGACTTAAGAAATGCAATGAAGCCCCAAAATTATAAAGAAAAATAAACACAACCCTAGACATACTTTTAGTGAAACTCTAGAAGACCATAGTCAAAGAATACATTATACAGAGAGAAGGAAAAAGATTATTTTCAAAGACACTGCGATTCAACTGACATAGAAAACAAAGAAGAGTGAAATGATATTGTTAGTATGCTGAAAAAAAATGATGACCAACCTAGAATTTATAACTAAAACTATATATTTCAAGAAGAGTGAAAAAGATATTTCCAGGTAACCAAAAGTTTCATCATAGATAACACCTGAAAATAAATGTTTTATAAATAACTCATAAGTAAACAAATCATAAATAACACATGAATAAATATATCATAAATTACTCATAATTATGTATAATTATAATAATATCACACACATATATACAATGTATTTTAAAGTTTCCAATTATTATGACTTGGCGCTCCAAATCTAAAGACTGTTTTATGGTTTTACTCTCAGCTTGCCTTTGCATCTTCCTACTGCTTTATTCAGCCTCTAAACAACTTCCTTTGCAGTTCCTACTTTCAGGGTTTTTTGTTTGTTTGTTTGTTTGCTTTTAATTCTCATCCTAGTGATGTGCCTTTTGCATTACTGAATTAATGTCAAGAGATTCTCCAAAGACTCTTCCTCTCCTGGACAGACTACAAGCTTTCAACTCTGTTTTCCATAGTGCATGTAAACTTCATGGTGGTTATTTTATTGTTTTGCATAATTAGTCCATTATCAGGTGAACATTTTATTTAGTGAGAGAAGGAAGGATTTTTTTTTTCTAGAATGTCTTAATTCTTTTACTGCCAAACAGTTTCACTAGTCTAGGATCCACTTCAGGTGGGTTTCTTCCTTATCACTTTGTGGACACAGATATTAGGGATTTAAAATGGCCCTTTTGTAACTTTGTAACTAAATTAAATGGACACTCTTTAGTTCTCATTATTATTGTTTTATCGGTAACATTTGATGCAATGGGGCACCTCTTTTTTTTTTTTTTAACCTATTTTCTTTCCATGGCCTATATGAGGCCATGCTCTTATCAGACTCAGAATCTGTGGTCTTCTTTGCTATTTCTCTCTTTCTGAGAGTCTGATGAATCTAGTCTTATTTAGGATTTTGTCTTGGGTCTTTTCGTCTTATAAATTTACAAACCCTCCTTATACAATTGCAGCTATTTCAAATACCATCAGGTAGTAATATATGACCTGTATACAACTAGAATAATAGCTCGGGGATCTTAAACTGGGATATTCTTATTCCTAAAATTCCTGATTCCTGGTTTCAGTGCTGTTTCTACATTGAGTCAAGTCTTCAGGACGCATGTAATAAAGTAATGTGACTCAGTTCCCAACCCTAATGCATGTGGAATGGGCACACTTCAGAAAACCTCACACCACTTTAGGAGATGCAATGTAAACATAGCCTCATTATAATTCCTCACCTTATTAATCCTCCCATAGGACATAATCCATTGTTCAAAATGTACATTTTAGGTGGGGGTGGGGGCAGGGAGTGATAAAATTTAAACATGACAATGATTTTGAACTAGCCCATTTGTCTCATAGAACTGATGTTTATAGTTTCTTTTGAATAAACCTAGAAAGTGATTCCCCCCTCCAATCTTAAAACTTGAGAAAGTTATATTTGTCTTATCTGAGTTCCTTTCTTAGGAAACAAATCATTAGCTCTCCCAGATAGTATGAAGGATCTGAAACTCACCAGAACACTGCACCTGGACAATGAGATGCCAGACCCTTCACCCACCGTGATTGCCTGATGGCAACCTGCTGCCTGTTGACCAACTCCTCTTCTTTACCTCTCCCTAATTCCTGCTTTTTCACACATGATTACAATTCTTCGGTGCTATATAAACCCCCTAATTCTAGTCAGTCAGGGAGATGGTTTGAGAAAGATCTCCTATCTTTTTGGCTGCAGCACACAATTAAAGCCTCTTTTCTGGCAATGCTCCTTGTCTCAGTGATTGGCTTTCTTTGTGGTGAGCAGTAGACCCTAAAGCAAATCTCTAATGTTTCAGTAATAATGTATAGGTATATCCAAAATTTTTGCTTTAAACTTTCTTTCTTGGAGGTCTCCTTTTATTTTAGCAAATACTGGTTTGTTGTTTTTTCTTCAGATTTTCGCTCTGCGTTGTATCTCCTATGTAGTCTTACTGACCTCATGGTGAGGAGGATGGGAAGCTGTAGGTACATCCAGTGTTCTATAGAATTTTGCTGTTCTCTCCTGTAGTGGGGTACTTGTGGTCTGCCCTGTGGACTCATGATAACTGAGGTATTACTCAATACATATGGCATTTCAGGCAATATGCTGGTACCATACCTGTATTTCATGGTCTGAAATACTTTGCACCAGATCTCAGTTAGACATAAGCTTCTTTGCAAAATCACAGGACTTCAATGCTTCTTTAGTCTTCTCTTTTTTTTTTTTTTTTTTTTTGGAGACAGGGTCTCACTCTGTCACCCAGGTTGGAGTGCAGTGGCGTGGTATGATCTTAGACTCATTGCACCCTCTGCCTCCTAGGCTCAAGCAGTCCTCCAACGTCAGCCCCCCAAGTAGCTGGGACTACAGGCATGAGCGACTATGGCATGCTAATTTTTGTATTTTTTGTAGAGACAGGGTTTCACCAGATTGCCTAGGCTGTTCTTGAACTCCTGAGCTCAAGCGATCCACTTGCCTCAGCCTCCTAAAGTGCTGGGATTACAGGCTTGAGCCACTGCTCCTGGCCTCCTCTAGTCTTCTTAGTACCTCTGTGGGCCATCACAGGGGCTTGTAGAAACTTGCACATTCCCAGGATTCCAATCTTTGCGATGAGACTGGTAATGTGTAGGGCTCTAGAGTCCTTAGCTTCCTCCTAGTTTATAATTCCTATGCGATGATGTCCCATTCCCCACAGTCAAGCCATGAAGGTCCTCCTACCCCTTGTACCCTCCCCATGGTGTTTCTGCTATGAGGATGTGCACGTTCTGACCCAGCCCTTCTTCTCTATCTTCATTTTCCCTCATCCCCTAGAGCACAAAGATCAGGTTTTTCACTATCTCTTCTTTGCTATAAGATCTGATCCTCTTCTTCACTGAATCTATATTCTTAGAGTTCTGGTGGCAGAATTCTGTGATCAAAAGTTACCTATTGCCTCTCAAGATACAAATCTACTCTTTTATAACTGTTCTGTGACATTGCTGCTGGGAGTCTAAAAGTTGCATTTCAGACTGCCTTAATAAGAGAAAGTAACAGTTGATGTGAAGACAGGAGGAGGAAAAGGGAAATAAATTTTCTTCATTTTTTTCTGGCTGTTCTGCTCAGTATTGTCCCAGCAGTGGCATTTTACCCAGGCAGTTTGTTTTAGCCTCCAGATTTTTTTTGGCATTTCCGGGACAAAGCTTCACTGCATCCCTTTAGAAGCACCAACACCACCCAGATAGTTCCTCTTTCCTCAGATGTCTGAACCTCACTACTTTCAGACTCCTCTTCTAAGATGCCACTTTCTGCCAATGCCAAATTCTTTCCTTTTGTTCCCCAAGCACTAAGACTGGTAGCTGCTTCCTATAGTTAATACCTCTAGGTTCTTCAGTGATACCTTTCTGTTCTCTGAGCTTGCCAACCCTGTGTAGTTAGTTCTCCAAAGAACTCCCCTCTGCTAAAATATCCACTGTGATTTCTCTTTTCCTGGCTAGAGTCCAATTTTGTCGTTGTTCTTGTTGCATGATAAGTAGAATAGTGGTCCTGAAAGATGCCCACGTCCTAATCCCCAGGACTTGTGATTAAGTTATGTTACATGGCAAAGGGGAGTTAAGTCTGTAGATGAAATTAAGGTTGCTTATCTGCTGACCTTGATATGGGGAGGTTATCTTGGATTATGCAGGTGGGTACAAATTTATTACAAGGGTCCTTAAAAGTGAAAGGGGAGCATGAAGAAAAAGAAGAGGAGAGGGAGAGAGATAATTGACTACAGAAGAAAGGCAGGCTTAGGGAAATGCAATGTTGCTAGGGTTAAAGATGGCAGAATGAATCCATGAGCCAAGGGATGAGGGCAGACTCTAGAAGCTGGAAAGGCTGAGGATACTGTTCTCTCCGGTAGCTTCCATAAGGGAACACAGCCCTGCGGACCCCTTGATTTTAGTTCTGCAAGGCATGTGTTGAACTTCTAGACCATAACACTGTGAGATAGTAAATTTGTATGGTTGTCAGCCACTAAACTTGTGGCAATTTGTTGCAGCAGCAATAGAAAATTGAGATAATTTATTGCATAGAAGAATGATAAAATTATATTGGTTTATTGACTACCAAATTTTTATTATAACATTTTCTTCTGGAATTTAGATGATTATATGTAATTTTCTATTAGATATTTGTCCCTTAGTATTCAGGGATAGGCATTTCAAAGTCAGCATCTACCAAAAGAATGTATCATATTTGCTTCTAAGCCTGGTCCATTCCCATATCACTAATCTTTTCTTTTTTTTACATTTTATTTTATTTTTTATTTTATTTTTTATTATTATACTTTAAGTTTTAGGGTACACATGCACAATGTGCAGGCAAATGTCCAACAATGATAGACTGGATTAAGAAAGTGTGGCACATATACACCATGGAATACTATGCAGCCATAAAAAATGATGAGTTTATGTCCTTTGTAGGGACATGGATGAAATTGGAAATCATCATTCTCAGTAAACTATCACAAGAACAAAAAACCAAACACCGCATATTCTCCCTCATAGGTGGGAATTGAACAATGAGAACACATGGATACAGGAAGGGGAACATCCCATACCCCTAATCTTATCCATTTGTTCATGGCAGAACCCAGACCTCACCTTGAGTCTTTTTTCTCCATTTTTTACTCCCTTTTCCATCCAGCGAATCACCAATCCAACTGAGTTTTCCTCTGTATAACTGCTTATTTCTGCCTTTAGTGCAATTTCTGTAACATAGGTCACTATGATATTGGCCAGATTTAAAGCAACAGAGCCTGCATGTACTTTCCTCTCCTCCAGCCTCCTGTTTCCTGTCCACAACACTGCTAGGGAACTTTCTAAACAGCAAGCCCAGACATGTTAGACTACTGCTCAAAATGTTTCCATGGCTTCTCATTGCCTTAGGATTTAAGTTCTTTATGATCCCTATGATCTTTTCCATTTCGTATTTGAATGGATCACAATATTTGCACTGTGTGCTATTGTTATTTTCAGCATCAAATCTGCTAACGCACCATGCTCCCTCTTGCCTCTGAGCATCATTATGCCTTTCCAAGGCCAGGGACATTTTTCCATCAGCCACTCCCTCTTCTCTGCTGGCCTAATTTCTGCTAATCCATTAGGTCTCAAATTATAAATCATTTTCTCTGTGAAGAGTTTCTTGACCTCCCAAGACTGACACAGGTATCCCTTTGAATGTTTCTAGGGCAACTTTTTAATCCCTTTTACCTAATGCACTGTGCTGTCATTCTTTATAGTGAGCTTTTTCATGCATTGCCATCATCTTTGTATCTTTAACATTTATGCAATGGCACATAAGAGGCACTAATAGATATTTGTTGAATGGATCAATGAGTGCCTTATAGTGTATATAATTAAACTCAACTATTGGAATGGAGAAGAACTGCCTTCCGTCATTAATGGTTATATTAATAAATGATACCATCTGTCTTCTTGCCTCTGTAAAGTTGAAAAACAAAATGTTTATCAGTCAAGGTATGGTAGTTATGTACAGCATTGACTTTCAATTATTGTTTAATTGATAATCGTTTTTTATTTTGTCACAGGGTGAATTATGAATTGTGCAGAGAAATTCCTGTTTTTAAAACCATCAGATCTTGTGAGGCTCATTCACTGTCACGAGAACAGTGCAGGAAAGACCCACCCCCATAATTCAATCATCTTCCACTGGGTTCTGCCCATGATATGTGGAAATTGTGGGAGTTACAATTTGAGATGAGATTTCGTTGGGGACACAGTCAAACCATATCATATGCTAAATAAGGGGTGGATTATTCATAAGTTTTCTGCAGGAAGGGGCGGGGAATTCCAGAACTGAGGGTTTCTCCCTCTATCAGACCCCATATAGGGTAACTTCCAGGTATTGCCATGGCATTTGCAAACAGTCATGGTGCTGGCAAGAGTGTCTTTTAGCATGTTATATAATATATTATAATTAGCATAGACTGAGCAGTGATGACAACCAGAGGTCACTTTTGTTGCTACCTTGGATTTGACAGGGTTTCGCCAGCTTCTTTACAGCATCCTATTTTATTATTAGCGGGCTCTTTGTGACCTGTACTTTGTAAAACCAGTCCTGCTGAACTCCTATCTCAATTTCAAATAGCAGTGAAACAGCACTAACATTGGGCTAAATGTACAAATGAAGATCATATTGTCAATAAGGCCAATTAACATTCAAAATGTTACTTAGATTCTTAAAAATTGCAATAAAACAACCTTGGATTGTGCTAATGAAAGAAATAAAATTGTTAAATGAGCAATTTTAAGTAGTCATAAATTTCAAAGCATATGGAATTGTGTTAGTTTCTTATGACTGCCATGACAAATTATTGCAAATTCATTGGTTTAAACAACATAAATTGCTATTCTCTAACAGTTCAGGAGGCAAGAAATCTGAACTCTAATTGTCAGTAGGGTTGGTTGTTTCTGAAAGTTCTGAGGGAGAAATCAGCCCATACCTCTCTCTTAGCTAATGGTGGTTATAGTAAATCCCTGGCTTCTCTTGGCTTGTAGATGCGTCCTCCAATTTCTGTCTTCATCTTCACATCTTTTCTCTGTCTCTCTTTTTCTTAGAAGAACACAACTCATTGGTTTAGAGCTTATGCTAAATCCAGAAGGATTTCATCTCTAGATCCTTAATTAATTATATTAGCAAAGTTCTGTTTCCAAATAAGGGCACATTCTGATGTTCCAGGTGGATATGAATTTTGGGGGGACAATAGTCAATGCACTACAGCAATAATTTCTAATTCTTCACAATTCCGAAATTTTGGTATATAAAATTTCTGAATGACCTGAAGTGATATTATGCCGGGTCCATCCTGCTGACTCTGGCCGAGCGATAGATGAAAGAAGTACACTGACGCAGGTATTTTGCCTAACAGCAAGGCAAAGGGACCACATCACTTAGTGCCGCTGGTGAGAGTGCAGCCCCCCACCTAAGCCAGCAATGCTAGCATTTACTTAGCACAGATTTAATGACAAAGGCTTGGAGCAAACACAGTTTATGGGTAATAAACATTGTCGGCCCCCCAAGCAGAGAGCAGTCCTGCTCCTGAATGATCAAAGGTTGGTTTCCAGAGACATAAGTAAATCAATTTATCTGGATAAATTCCTTTACATTCCCTTGTTATCTACCCTTTGCCCTTACGAGTATTTAGCTGCCTTCGGCTAAATTCCCGAAGCTTTGCTAAACCTCCTGGCCTTCCAAGAAGGTTTACGTCTTTCCTTATAACTTTTACTTATAACTTGGACCACCTGACCTAAATCCTACAACGTTAGAAATAATCAGGTTTTAAAATGAAGTTCAAATAGTATGTATGTTTTGGTCAAGATAACCTATTCAGGACTTTATCTTCTGATAGATAAAAATAATAAAATAGATTACCCCTAAATATTCTTGTGACTCTTTTTGTTTCATCATATATTCTAGCTAGAGGAATTAAATTTAAAGTCAAATCTTTACAATAATGCACATATTCTTTCTAGTAACATTAGGAAGATTATTGACCACATACAAAGTCTGCAATTAGCAACATCCAATTAAATAAAACTTATAGATGTGCAATTATAGAAACAGTTTCACATTCAAGCTGAATATAAGAGCCCTTACAGGAATAATATTAGAATCATGGCTGATTTATAAAAAAATATATCATTTTATTCATATAATAGGGTATTTTCTGTTGAGGTAGGTGTTTAAAGATATGCATACTTTATTTCCAAAGGGGTAGATACTCCATCACCAACTTTTAAAATTGCATCAGTAGATAGCGTGTAATCTATTTCCTAATCCATGTTTATCTGTGCAACTCCAGACATAGGGGTGAACACAGATAAATCTTTATGTGAGTAGAAGTTATACAAATGCTAAGTAAGTCATTTCTTCTAGAAATTATAGAACTGAGAAAACGTTTGTCTGTCTTTGAATAAGACAGACTGCTTCTGTTGTAAATCTCACATCTCATGTTTGTGCACTTATCAAAATCACTGAGAATGTTCTCCTATTTATTAATATTGGAATGGAGTGCTAGGAAATATCGTCTCCAATATTTTCAAAACAGCCTTCTTCACACATCAAACCTTTACATCATTTGAAAAAAAACCCACTAAATTTTGGCTCTAATAACAACAAATTGGGGCAGATAGAAAAAATATAAGGAAACAATTTCTTTTGATTTGTAAATGCCATAGCTAAGCTTATTAAAATATTATAAGCTAATACTATAAATATTGCTTATTACTCTGATAGGTATCTAAGTTAATTATATTAATTCAAACTTAATTATTTTTAATTGTCTTATTTTACTACAAATGGGAGATAATTCGTAAAAATACACTGGAAGTGGGTTGGTACTGAGTTTGAAAGTCAAGTTGGCATTGTAGGATGTATCTACCCTATCATCACCTTCTTGAACAATGTGAACATAAGTCTGGGACCCAGCCCCAAAAGATGATTAATGGTCCGTTTATCTGCTATTTACCAATAAATGATTGCAGCATAAGGACTATTGTAAAAAAAGAAAAACTGTGAAGCTGTCATTGTACTTATGCCAGCAGGTGGGAAGTCTTGCACTTTTGGTGAAATATCATTTTATCTCATACTGAAAATGCAGCTTTTTTTTCCGCATAAGATTGCTGCAAGAAAGGCATACCTATAGACTCTAACACGTTCTCAGAAAAAAAATGAAATCATTATATGACAACTTGAAGAAAGGACGGTGAAGGATCTAAAAAAGTTGGAGAGTTTCAGAGAATGTTAATGCTCTCAAAGATGGCTTGATAATTTTAGAAAGAGGTTTGGCTTAAAACAAAATGGGAAGATTACAGGATAAGGAGCTTCTGCTGACCAAGAGGCAGTGGGTGAGTTCCCAGATGCCATTGAGGAGAAAGGATATTTGCGTGAACAGGTTTTTTAATGCAAACAAAAGTGCACTATTCTGGGAAAAAAGAAAAAGCCAAAAAGGAAGTTTATTAGTAAGGAAGAGAAGTGAGCACCAGGATTTAAGGCAGAAAGGGATAGGCTAACTCTACTTTTTGGTGCAAATTCCAGTGGATTTATCTTCAGAACTGCCCTTATGTATAGAGCTTATAACCCCTGTGTCTTGAAGGGTAAAGACAAACACCAGCTACCAGTCTTTCAGTTGTACAACAAAAAGGCCTGGACAATGAGAACACCTTTCCTGGATTGCTTCCATTGATGCTTTATGCCTGAAGCTAGGAAGTACTTTACCTGTAAGGGACTGCCTTTTAAAGTTCTTTTGATATGGACAATGCCCCTGGCCATCCAGAATCCCATGAGTTTACCACCAAAGGTGTTAAAGTGGTCTGCTTGGCCCCAAACACACCATCTCTAATTCAGTGTCTGTATCAGGGTATCATAAGGACTTTTGAGGCTCATTACACACAGTGATCTATGAAAAGAATTATCAACACTGTGGAAGAGAATCCTGATAGAACATTATAAAAGTCTGGAAGGATTATACGATAAGATGCCATAAGATGCCATTGTTATTATAGAAAAAGCTGGGAAAGACATGAAGACCAAAACAAGAAATCTCTGCTGGAGAAAACTGTGTCCAGAGGTGCATGACTTCACCAGATTTATGATGGAGCCAGTCAAGGAAATTGTGAAAGTAACTGTGGATATAGGCCAGGCATGGTGGCTCACACCTGTAATCCCAGCACTTTGGGAGGCTGAGGCGGGTGGATCATGAGGTCAGGAGTTTAAGACCAGCCTGGCCAAGATGCTGAAACCTCGTATCTACTAAAAATACAAAAAAATTAGTTGGGTGTGGTGGCATGTGCCTGTAATCACAGCTATTCGGGAGGCTGAGGCAGAGAATTTCTTAAACCTGGAGGCAGAGGTTGCAGTGAGCCGAGATCGCGCTACTGCACTCCAGCCTGGGCGACAGAGTGAGACTCTGTCTCAAAAAAAGAAAAGAAAAAAGAAATTGTAGATATGGCAAAATGGGCGGCAAGTGGTTTCAATGTATGGATCTTGAGGAAATTCAAAAGCTAATAGGCATCACACCAGAAGAATTAATTGAAGATGAATTGGTGGAGATGAGTGCATCCAAACCAGGGCCAGACGATGAGTAAGAAGATGTAGAAGAGGCAGTGCCAGAAAACACATTGATATTAGACAATCTGCTAGATGGTTTCCAATTATCAGACTGCTTTTGGCTTTTTTTTTTTTTTTTTTTTTTTTAGGGTATGGACCACTCTATGATACAGGCACTGAAATGTAAAGGAAATGGTGGAAGAAGGATTGGTACCATATAGAAACATGTTTAGAGAAAGGAAAAAAGCAAAAAAAAAAAGACAGAAATTACACTCTATTTCCACAAATTTACACTAAGACTGTCACTCTCTCCTGTCTCCCCTTCTACCTCCTCCATCTCTTCTGCCTCTGAGAAAGCAAGACCAGCCCCTCCTCTTCTTTCTCCTCCTCCCCAGCCTACTCAACATGAAGCAGAGAATGAAGACCTTTATGATGCAAATTTGCTTGATGAATAGTAAATATCTCTTCCTTATAATTTTCTTGATATCATTTGTTCCTCTAACTTACTTTTTTGTAAGATTACAACATGTAATACATATAACATACAGAATATGTCTTAATTGACAGTTCATGTTATTGGAGAGGCATCCAGTCAACAGTGGGCTATTATTATACTAGTTAAGTTTTTAGGGAGTTCAAAGTTATATACAGATATTCGTGTATACTGCACAGTTAGCGTTCCTAACTTCTGTATTGTTCAAGGGTCAACCATAATAAAGATATGATTCAAATAAATGCAAATATTTCAAAAGTGGAAGAAAGTAAGAAGCTATAGCGACATTTTAGTAAGAAAAAACACAATTTTTGAAATAAATTTTAAGATGGTTGTCTAGCAGACTGAGCACAATAAAGTAGCAAACTATTGAGTAATAGAGTGAACAAATAATTTTCTAGAACCCAATACAAAATATGTGGAGAGAATCTATAAAAGCAAAATTGATCCCAAAAGGCCCAAATCAGAAAGCCCTGCATTTATCTTATAGGCATTCCAGAAAGAAATAATGGAAGAAATAGTCCCCAAGAGGTATTCAAAAAAAATTTTTTTGTACTTAAAACGTTCACTAACTGCTTTACAGAATAATCAAAAATAAAAATAAATTTACACATAAACTCCTGTTGCAAGACAAAATATAATTTACAAAAGGTTTTTAAGCAGAAGGAAGAGATGGGTTAATTACCAAGAAGCAAGAGTAATTGCATTAGATTTCTCATTGGCAATATTGGATTTGTAGACAGGGGGGCAAAGCATTAAAAAAGGTGAAGGAAACCAAACCTTCAAGATCAACTCTGATACTCATAAAAAACGGAGGGTGAAATTAAGACATTTAGGAAAAACAAAGACTTAGGAAATTTACCGTTTTACACTCTCACTTGAAAAACTATTATCATCATTTGCAAAGAGGAAGAAAATTAATCCTAGAGACAAGGGTAAAATGTCAAAGGAACAGTAATCAAATATATTAGTAAACCAAATTGGCATATCTAAATACATTTTAATTAATGTCAGGAATTCTCACCTGGAATAGTGCTATTTCCCTAGAGGGCATTTGGAAATGTGTTAGGTCTTTGTTAGTTGTCAAAATAACAGAAGGGTGCTACTAGTACTTAGTACCTGCGATGCAGGAAATACCTTCAAACATAGTGTCCTATTATCCTGAATGGATATAATGTTCCTGCTGATAAACATGATTATAAATAATAGCAATTACATTAAATGTAACTACAACAATTTTATATATATATATATATATGTAAATATACGAACCAAGAGTGAAATTTCAAAAACAATAAGGGAATAGGGTAAGGAAGGAGTTTTAGGACATTTCTACCTGTCATGAGCAAACTGTCAAGGTAGAGGACCATGTATCCATGTCTTACAAGTTTGAAAAGTCTGAATGTATTTTTTAACCCAAGCTAATACAGAGGGATCTAGACAAGGAGGTAGAAAATGGAATTCAAGCAAACCTAAGACACAGATATTGTAGGAAACAGAGGATGCTTGCTTTTCCCTGTTCGGGAGGAAGAGAGAAGCAGATGTCTAATAGATTTTGATAGTAAATAAACAAGTTTAGTAATAATGGCTTCTGCTGAAAACATAATGTTTTTTATTTTCTTCTTTTATTCCTCTATATTTTAACATTTCCAAAGATGACATGTAAACAGAGACTTAACTGAATATTAACACTAATGTGGAGTGAGTTGGGTGCTGTGGCTCACGCCTGTAATCCCAGCACTTAGGGAAGCTGGGCAGGTGGACCACCTGAACTCAGGAGTTCGAGACCAGCCTGTAAAACCCTGTCTCTAGTGAAAATACAAAAACTAGCTGGGTGTGGTGGTGCACACCTGTAGTCCCAGCTATTGCGGAGGCTGAGGCCAGAGAATTCCTTAAACCTGGGAGGTGGGGGTTGCTGTCGAGCCACTGCACTCCAGCCTGGGCAACAGAGCGAGACTGTCAAAAAAAATAAAATAATAAATAAAAATAAATTTGAAAAAACCCCTAATATGAAGTCTAGGGGCAGAACAAGTATCTCCAAATTATCCATTTATAACTTCCAAGAGTGGTTATGAATGAAAATGGATAAAATATTTGATAATATTTAATGATCAAGATTGAATATACATCATGAAAGTTATAAAACCTTAAGTATGTATAAACAGTGCTGCATGAATGGAGAGAAGTCCCACATTTCTGAATCAGCACTTGGAAGATGTCAGTTCTTTCTAAGTTTATATTAAATGTAGTTTTATTCAGTATCTCAGCAGGATTTCAGGAAGAGCTATGAATGTAAATATTTAAATATTAAAAATATTTAGATATTTAATTTTAAATATTAAAAATATTTAGATATTTAACTTTAAATATTAAAAATATTTAGATATTTAACTTTAAATATTAAAAATATTTAGATATTTAATTTTAAATATTAAAAATATTTAGATATTTAATTTTAAATATTAAAAATATTTAGACATTTAATTTTAAATATTAAAAATATTTAGACATTTAATTTTAAATATTAAAAATATTTAGATATTTAATTTTAAATATTAAAAATATTTAGATATTTAATTTTAAATATTAAAAATATTTAGATATTTAAAATATGATTTTAAAGATCCTATCTGCTCAGTCTTTGCTTGTTTTGATGTTATATTGGTTACACATGGCCATTACAAATCACCAGAAACTTACAGACTTACAGCAACAGAAACATAGCGTCTCACAGTTCTAGAGGCCAGATCTCTGAAACCAAGGTTCAGGAGAAACATGTTCTCTCTGAAGGCTCCAGGGCAGAATACTTATTTGCCTTTTTCAACTTTTGCTGGCTCCAGACATTTCTTGGCTTGTTGCTGCGTAACCCTAATTTCTTCCTCCGTTTTTGCATGACCTTCTTTATTTGTCTATGTCTTCTTCTCTTCTCTTCTAAGGATGCTTGCCATTAAATTTAGAGTCTATCCAGATAATCCAGGATGACCTCATTTCCCAATCCTTAATTAAATCTGAAAGATCTGTTTTAAAACTAAAGTAACATTTACAGATTCTGTTGATAGGACATATCTTTTTAGGGGCCAGCCTTCAGGCCACTATAGGTAACAACCACTACTCCATTTTATAATAACCAGATCTCATCTATTTACTCATGTGCAACTGATGAGACCTCCTCAAGCTAGCCTGGATAAACAACACAGAACTGGCTAATCATATGATTCCACTCTTCTTCCAGCCACAACGATGTGTTCACTTGACTTCCACCAGCCTATGTTTAGGGTTGCATTTCCATGTCATAAAGAGCAAAAAGAGCTAATGCCTGCAAAGGATAATGAGAAGTTAAAAAGATCAACTATTCTTAGCCTAAAGCCCTGGTTCCAAAGCTCATTGCTTGTGTGAATGAACAGCTTTGCTTTGCCAGTATTTATGTTAAATGTTTTTGAGATTTTTTTTTTCAAGTTTTATAACAGAGACATGCTCAATTCTTGACTTATTTTTGTGATTGACATAGTAAATATTCATTGCTGGCCTTTATGTAGAAATGTGAATGTTATCATGATTGTAAAATTTTCAAATTGTTCTCTGCTTCAGGCAATAGTTAGTCTTTGGTATTTAATTATGAAAGAAATGCATTTAGCTATTTAAATATAGAAACAATCTTAGAAAAATAGAGTTTGATTGAACAAAAGGAAATATTAAACTAAATCAATATCACTACTATAAAATGATCAGCAGTACATAATTCAACTGACACCATGGCATTCAGCCGATGTTGTGTTAGAATTAATATAAGTACAATTAAAGAGAGCAGAGCAATAGATTATATAATAAGCAATAAAACAGAATAAGCCCATTTGCCTTCAAGGCTCTTCCATGACTTACAGGCTGAAACACATTGAATTCAAAGACAAAAATATCCCAGTCTAAGAAGCTGAAACAGGAATCTATCTGAATATTTAGTAGAGTTAAAATATATCTGAAGCCTAAAGAAATGTCATTGAATGAAATAACAGTAACTGCCTGTGGAATAGAACATGTTTTTGTCTGAAATAGATTTTTTGTAAGCTTTCTTTCATCGTTTCAGGAGCAGTTAGCAAGGGATGTGAAAAATGGCAAAAGCTGGCAAGCATACACACTTACATCACTGCTCTTTCCCAGTGCCCATCACACAAAGTTAACTGTCACCATAGTGGGAGCATGGATTAATGTACAACTTACTGTGACCTGACATCCTCATCTATCTTCAACTGTCCTGCTAGCCTGAGGCATGCCGAATGGAACATTGCCTAGAAATGATGCAACTCACTCATGCCATGAAAATCTTCCTATCCATAGAGCATTTGACCAAAGCCCTGAGGCTCTTTTGGATTAAAGATGAGGAAAATCAATCAATCAATCAATCAATCAATGAGAGAATGATGAAGTTGAATGCATAGAGTTATGAAGCACATTTGATTTGGGGAACTTTCCTTGGTGTTTCAGTTTGGACATCAAATCATGTGTTGGAATTTTCCACTTCACTCTTTGATGTGTTTTAAAGAGAAAAAGATTTACAACAAGAATAAAACCAAGATTTGAAGAGGAATTATGGCTACCTTTATAATAAGAGACAAAAGCAAAACAAACTACAAACACAATTTCTCTTAACCCTTTACAGAACTTACGTGTTAGGGCAAACAACCATTCCAAAATCTGGAGAAAGAGGACTGCCTATTGGGAAGAATGGCTGGAGCATTTGTTTGCCTGGGATAGACACTGCTAAATTCCACATAAGCTGGAAAGAAAAGTCAGTTAGAAATATAGACTAGATGTCTAAAGGATAAATGTGATTTAGTGTGAGAGTGTGCAGCCACTGAGGACCACAGGAAAGGGGACTTCAAACCATCATTCAGATGTTTCCTTCACTAAGCCCACCAAGAGCTCACAGAGAAGATGAGGCAGAATTCTGAGAAATCTTTCCCCCATGGGGAGGATTGAGGAAGGAAATGGCAGCCTCTGTTGAAACTCCAACCTGACTGGTGTGTCTCTGTCTCTGTGAACTAGGTGGAATTAAAAAATAGCTTCCAGAATTTCCCTTTCATCTAGTATACATGCCCTGCAGAATTCCTGGAATTGAGAATAGGATGGATTTTACTCCTGTGATTAGGATATATCCTGTGGCAAGGCTGACCTTATGATATGGTTTTGGTATGTCCCCACCCCCACCCAAAGCTCATTGTGAATTGTAGTCCTTTAATACCCACGTGTCATGGGAGAGACTCTTTTGGAGGTAATTGAATCATGGAAATGGTTACCCTCCTGCTGCTGTTCTTGTGACACTGAGTGAGTTCTCATGAGAGCTGATGGTTTTATTATAGGCTTCCCCCTGTCCTACTTCACTCCTACTTCTGTCTCCTGCTGCTATGTGAAGAAGGATGTGTTTGTTTCCTCTTCCACCATGGTTGTAAGTTCCTGAGACCTCCCCAGTCATGTTAAACTGTGAGTTAATTAAAGCTCTTTCCTTTATAAATTACCCAGTCTCCAGTATATCTTTGATAGCAGCATGAAAATGAACTAATACACTTTATAATGAGAAGATTATTCAGGTGGATCTGACCTAATCCAATAAACCATTTTACAAGGAGAGACATTCTGTGCTCAGAAAAATTCAAGATGTGAGAAGGATTTGACACACTGGCTTCAAAGATAAAGAGGATCACATGGTGGGAATGCAGTGTCCTCAAAAGAATAGAAGGACGATCCTGCCTGCCTGAAAGCCAGCAGGGAAAGTAAGACTCCAGTCCTCCAACCACAAGAAACTGAATTCTGTTATCAGCAAGCAAGTGCATGGAATTGAATTTTTCCACAGAGCCTCCAGATGAAATCTCACTCTGGATGACTGGATTTTAACCTTGACATACCCTGAGAGGAGAACTAGAAGACATCAGGCCAGACTTCTACCCTACAGAAACTTTGAGATAATTTCTTGTTTGCTTTGTTTTAAGTCACTGAGTTTGTGATAATTTGTTATGCATCTGTAGAACACAAATACATACCTCAATGGGATAAAATTCCATTGAGGTATTAAATATAAATTGTCTGAAAAGCTTTTAAATGAAGAATGAAAGTTTTTAAACGAAGAATATATACCATTTAGATATAAAATAAAGAATAAATACCGTTTATTAAACAACAAATAAAGAATAAATACCTTTCAGGACATAGGCATGAGCAAAGACTTCATGACTAAAACACCAAAAGCAATGGCAACAAAAGCCAAAATTGACAAATGGGATCTAATTAAACTAGAATGGGAGAAAATATTTGCAATCTATCCATCTGACAAAGGGATAATACCCAGAATCTACAAAGAACTTAAACAAATTTCCAAGAAAAATAAAAACAACCCCATCAAAAAATGGGTGAAGGATATAGACAGACACTCCTCAAAAGAAGACATTTATGTGGCCAACCAACATAGGAAAAAAAGCTCATCATCACTGGTCATTAGAGAAATGCAAATCAAAACCACAATGAGGTACCATCTCATGCCAGTTAGAATGGCGATCATTAAAAAGTCAGGAAACAACAGATGCTTGAGAGGATTTGGAGAAATAGGAACATTTTTACACTGTTGGTGGGAGCATAAATTAGTTCAACCATTGTAGAAGACAGTGTGGAGATTCCTCGAGGACCTAGAACTAGAAATACCATTTAACCCAGCAATCCCATTACTGGGTATATACCCAAAGGATCATAAATCATTCTACTATAAAGACACATGCACACGTATGTTTATTGTGGCAGTATTCACAATAGCAAAGACTTGGAGCCAACCCAATTGTCCATCAGTGATAGACTGGATAAAGAAAATGTCACATATATGCACTGTGGAATACTATGCAGCCATAAAAAAGAATGAGTTCATGTCTTTGTAGGGACATGAATGAAGCTGGAAATCATCATTCTCAGCAAACTAACACAAGAACAGAAAACCAAACACTGCATGTTGTCACTCATAAGTGGGAGTTGAAGAATGAGAACACATGGACACAGGGAGGGGAACATCACACACTGAGGCCGGTCCGGGGTTGGGGGGCTAGGGGAGGGATAGCATTAGGAGAAATACCTAATGTAGGTGATGGGTTGATGGGTGCAGCAAACCACTATGGCACATGTATACCTATGTAACAAACCTGAACATTCTGCGCATGTACCCCAGAACTTAAAGTATAATAATAATATAAAAACTTACAACATAGATTTAAAATACAAAGCAAATATTTTTATTGTGATAGGCATTGTGTTTACTAAAAATTCATTACTCCATTTGTTCATGACCAACATTCAACAGGGTTAACCCAAAAGCATTTCTGCATTTAATTTGCTTCCAAAAAGAGTCTTATTTTATTATTTTAAGAGTTCTTAATGTTATTTATTTTTATTTCCATTTATTAAATTACATTACTCAAAATTAAGTAAAGTTTTTCTTTCTATCTGGGCAAATTCTGTGTGCTGGCCCAGTTGCAGATGTACTGATAGTCGCCATTGGTACATAGTTTTTTACTTAATGGAAGTCCTCACAGTTATTTTCTTGTCAAAATTTTCAATAATATGGTAACAATTTCTATGTGTAATTCAAAGTAATAAAATGGCATTTTTATATGTGTTCCATAATCCAGATATTTTACATATGATTTTCAATTGGTGACATTATGTATTTCAGATTCTGATCCAAACTCTATTGCCTTGCTAACAATTAATATGGCACTGAATCAAAGCCTTTCTGAAGTTAAGACCTAAGGCATCTTTGGTTTTCCCCGATAGTGGGTTTCTCATTCCATTGTAGAATAGCCTGGTAGGTTTTGCTCTTCAGTTGAACTGATTTTTGTCTAATATTCCATGATCCTCTTTGGTCCTTATTACTCACATATTTTCTTTGTGGTCACCCTTGAAATCAGTTCATATTAACCAAATTATCTTCCAAAGTTTAAACACTTGAGGTGCCATAAGGTATCTTTCACCTTTTCATCTTGAATTAAACAAATATACATAGCTCAATTATAGAACATAAGAGTGCTGTGATCAAATATCTACAGCCTATTGACCTCTTCCTACACATAAAGTAATTTCACATAGCCACGAGACTTCCAAAGGTTTTACAATGCCTAACATATAAAATGAGACGTATAATTTACATAATCAGTTTTCTAACAATGTGCCTGAGGTCTTTTTGTATGCCTCTCCTTTTATTGTTGAAATCTGACAGTTGTGTATAGGATAGTAGAGAATAAGGTAAATAGTTTTCACATGGGGATTTGTGTTCATCTAAATAGGGATTGGACTGGGTTTGAGTTTGCTGTTGCTATGGTTACCCACAGTACAACAGAGGCTTCAAATTCTTCTTGGTCACCTTACCTTTTTTCAGTATATCTTATTTGGTAAGTGGGGGTTACCAAAGCCTGCTCCTCTTTGTGTTCTCTTCTTAGATTTCTCCTTTGTACCACTCTGTAGAGAGAACCTGTGTCTTGTAGCTATATTTGAAAGTTTCTTACTTGATGCTTGCCAGCATAGCAGGGATGAAGAACCAGTACATGCCCTGACCTTTATACTTAGCCTCAGTCAGGCAGGCATTGTGAACCCGGGTGGCAGTGGCCCAGCTTTCACTAATGATCCTTCCCCTCCTGCAGGTGCAACACTGGACCTAGTACGTATTCCTGGTCCTATGGTGGTTGTTCTTCTGTTGTTCTTATCTTCTTCCCTGAATTGCTGCGGATTTCCAGTGACCTGAGGCTGGTTTTTGTTGCCTTTCCCCCTGAAATTTAAGATTTTATCACTGAATGGTATTGCCTAGGTTTTCTTCTAGGGTTTTTGTGGTTTTAGGTCTTACGTTTAAGTCTTTAATCCATCTTGAGTTAATTTTTATATAACGTGTAAGGAAGGGGTCCAGTTTCAGTTTTCTGCATATGGCTAGCCAGTTTCCACAGCACCATTTATTAAATAGGGAATCTTTCCCCATTGCTTGTTTTTGAAAGGTTTGTCAAAGATCAGATGGTTGTAGATGTGTGGTGTTACTTCTGAGGCCTCTGTTCTGTTCCATTAGTTTATATATCTGTTTTTGTACCAGTACCATGCTGTTTTGGTTACTGTAGCCTTGCAGTATAGTTTGAAGTCAGCTAGCATGATAGTTTCTTTTGCTTCTGCATCTTTTATCTACCAGTTTGCCACAAGGCTGGCCTAGAGGTTGGCATGTTTATATGTTTGCCATGTAGCACTTACATAATTATAATATAATTTAGAAGAAAACATGTAAAATGTTTTGACATTTTAAAACTTTCCAGACAATTTATATTTAAAAAATAATCTTTACTCCTACTGACAATTTAATAGGGTGGTGGACAAAATAGGAAACTGGTATTTAATATTATTGGGATAAGTTTGAACAAGAAGTGCTTTAAAAGTAAAAATTCAATAATTTAGCGTGATAGCATCAGGTGTATTAAGCTGTTCTCACACTGCTATGTAGAAATACCCAAGACTAGGTAATTCATAAAGAAAAGTGGCTTAATTGACTCACAGTTCCACATGGCTGGGGAGGCTTCAGGAAACTTAAAATCATGGCAGATGTCACCTCTGCACAGGGTAGCAGGAGAGAGAATGAGTGCCAAGTGATGGGGGAAGCCCCTTATAAAACCATCAGATCTTGTGAGAAGTCACTATCATGAGAACAGCATGGGAAGAAACTGACCCCATGATTCAATTACCTCCCACTGCATCCCTCCCATAATACATGGGGATTATGTGATTACTATTCAAGATGAAATTTGGGTGGGGACACAAAGCCAAACCATATCATTTCACCCCAGCCCCTCCTAAATCTCATGTCCTCACATTTCAAAACACAATCATGCCTTTTCAACAGTCCCCCAAATTCTTAGCTCATCCCAGCATTAATCCAAATGTGCAAGTCCAAAGTCTCTTCTGAAATAAGGCAAGTTCCTTCCACTTTTGAGCCTGTAAAATCAAAGCAAGTTAGTTACTTCTAGATACAATAGAGGTACAGGCATTGGGTAAATGCACCCATTCTAAATGGGAGAAATTATCCAAAACAAAGGAGCTACAGGTCTCATGAAAGCTCGAAATCCAACAGGGCAGTCATTCAACCTTAAAGTTTCAAAATGATCTCCTTTGACTCCATGTATCACATCCACGTCACGCTGATACAAGAGGTGGGCTCCCATGGCCTTGGACAGCTCTGCCTCTGTGGCTTTTCAGGGTACAGTCCCCCTCCCAGATGCTTTCAAGAGCTGCTGTTGATTGTCTGTGGCTTTTCCAGGTGCACAGTGTAAGCTGTTTGTGCATCTACCATTCCTGGGTCCTGAGGATGGCGGCCCTCTTCTCACAGCTCCACTAGGCAGTGCCCCAGTGCGGACTCTATGTATGGGCTCCAATCCCATATTTCCCTTCAGCACTGTCCTAATAGATATTAATGAGGACTCTGCTCCTGTAGCAAACTTCTGCCTGGAAATCCGGGTGTTTCCATACATCCTGTGAAATCTAGGTGGAAGTTTCCAAACCTAAATTCTTAACATATGTTCACCTGCAGGGTCAACATCACATGGAAGCTGCCAAAGCTTGGGACTTGCATCCTCTGAAGCAATGGCCCAAGCTATACCTTGGACCCTTTTAGCCATGGCTAAAGTTGAAGCAGCTGGGATACAGGTTACCATCTCTGTACAGAGGAGGGGGCCCCTGCACAGAGCTGCAGATGCACAAAGTGGGTTGTGGGGACTGGGCCAGGTCCATGAAACTATGATTCCCTCCTAGTCTTCTGGGCCTGTGATGTGAGAGGCTGCCATGAAGGTCTCCGACATGCTCTGGAGACAGTTTTCCCATTGTCTTGGAGATTAACTTTCAGCTCCTTGTTACTTATGCAAATTTCTGCAGTGGGTTTGAGTTTCTACTCAGAAAGTAGGTTTTCCTTTTCTATTTCATCGTCAGGCTACAAATTTTCCAAACTTTTATGCTCTGCTTCCTCTTGAACATTTTGCCACTTAGAAATTTTTTTCCACCAGACACTTTAAATCATGTCTCTCAAGTTCAAAGTTCCACAGATCTCTAGGGCACAAACAGAATGCCACCAGCCTTTTTGCTAAAGCATAGCAAGAGTCACCTTTGCTCCAGTTTCCAAGAAGTTTCTTATCTCCATCCGAGACTACATCAGCCTGGACTTCATTGTTCATGTCACTATCAGTCTTTTGGTCAACATCATTCAACAGTCTCTTGGAAGTTCCAAACTTTCCCATATCGTCCTATCTTCTTCTGAGGCCTCCAAGTGTCTAGAAAGTTCCAGACATTCCCACATTTTCCTGTCTTCTTCTAAGCCCTCCAAACTTTTCCAACCTCTGCCTGTTGCTGAGTTCCAAAGTCACTTCCACATTTTTGGGCGTCCTTATAGCAGTGCCCCACTCCCAGTACCAATTTACTGTATTAGTTTTTTCTCACACTAGAGAAAGACTGGGTAATTCATAAAGAGAAAATTGGTTTAATTGGCTCGCAATTCCACATGGCTGCAGAGGCCTCACCAAACTTACAATCATGGTGGAGGGCATCTCTTCACAGGGTGGCAGGAGAGAGAATCTGTGCCAAGTGAAAGGGGAAGCCCCTTATAAAACCATCATATCTTGTTAGAACTTATTCAGTATCACAAGAACAGCATGGGGGGAACTGCCCCCATGATTCAATTACCTGCCACAGGGTCCCTTTCACAATATATGGGGATTATGGGGTTACGATTCAAGATGAGATTTGGGTGGGTACACAAATCCAAACCATTTCAGTGGGTATCATAAATTGCATGTTACAGATGAGAGTAACATACCAAATTCATATGTCAATTTTTAAACAAAGAATATGTGTATTTAGAGTATGAATTACCTTACATTTCAGATTCTAAATACAGGCTAAATCAGCATAACTTTCTTGGATTATGTATTCTCAGAATTATAATATTATTAAAAACTTATTCATAAGACATTTGTAAAACTCATTTGTTTTGTTTTATTCACTTACATTTCCAATAGTTGAAAGGGACTCTAAAAGGCAGGAAAGAGTTAAAATTACTATTCATAAATCTAATCTTTTAACGTGAAACTATGTTTTTTTTTTTTAATCAAGTGCTGGTGAAAGAGAGAAATTCTTATTTTATATGGCCAAAATGCATACAAAACCAATGCTGGCTATAAATATACAACAGGCTATGGTATGTCTACAGAAAAGCAGACTTATACTTGATATTTTAAAAATGAAAAAACAATGTTATTCACTTACATGGTTTACACATAATTTTGTCTGGAGAAAAAAGAAATGAGCAAAATGCAATTTGGAAGTCAGTTTAAATCTTTTCAATCTGCAATTGTGTATTCATCTTTTCAATATTAAGTGAAAATGTAAGAATGACATTGAGGTAGACAGAAAATCACACCTCTTTTGATCACAAGAGTAATTTCTTTATATTTATTAGAATGCCAGTTTCAAAATATTGTATTCAAACAGGAAGTACCACTTGAAAAGAAAAATCTTTCCAGTATGTACTGTTGTCTTTTACAAGTTAGACTGTATTTGACTACACAGAGACACAATATTTGGTACCAGAAGACAAAGTCTACATATATATTTGATGCATTCATTGTTAGAATATTTTTTCTTGGTTATTAATTTAGCTATCTGTAAACAAGGTGTATGACAGAGTTAATAAGTTTTACCCAAAATAATAAACATTCCCCTCAGAATATTCTCTTTTCTGTCTTAACCACATAAACTCCCTTTCTGCTCTAGAACTCTGATTTAAATTTGAAATTTTTTTGTATAGAATTCTTCATTGCCTTCTTTCTTCTCCAATCTTTAGTCCTTTGTATTTCTACGAAATGAGAGCCTCTTCCATACTGTTACAAAGCACTTCATTCCAGACTTGACCAAGCTCTTCCAGATACATTTTAGTTAGTTAGTTGCTACTGTTGGTTGTAGCACACTGCTGAGAAGTCTTATTTTACAAGTAAAATATAAAACCAAACGTATGAACTAACACTGGGACTCTCAAAAGTCCTTCATTCTGTCATTGGCATCAGAGGCAGTATTTCTAGGCTGGGCACAAAAATAGCATAATACAAATAACTAAGGTTTCTTCACACAGCCTGCAACTGACACAGACACCCAGAACCACGTGTTGTTCGCGTTTCCATATTTATAATGCCAGTGTACAATTCGTTTATTACTTAACTTTTCCTCATGTGGTCTTTGAAAAAGCATATATTTTATGCTTTTTCCCTAGATTTATTTTCTTATATTTATAGAGAACTTTGATATCATATATGAAATATCCAATGCAATTTTTACTCAAATGTCCCATCACGATTATTTTTCATGTTTATACACCTTCATAAGTATGTAGTGTGAGGAAAATGCAATGCCTTTACTATACACATATAGATATTTTATATACACAAATATGAATACAACAAATACACCCAATAGCCAAATACACCCAGGCAGGGAAGGAACTTACTAATTTTATCTGGAAATGATAGCTAAAGGAAAATGGCATTTATCAGGAGTTCTGTGATTTCTGTTGTATTATTCCAAACGGGAAACTTATAAGAGTATAAATATTAAGGAAGCAAGGACATCTGAGCTTCAGTGTCTGATAGACTATAAGAGCTTGGTAACAGAGCAATCCAAATTTTCCCAACTAAATGGAAAAACAAACTCTTCTATTAAAATCGTTGATTGAGCTATCTCCTAGGTCGCTAAGGTGCTCTCTGGGCAGTCTTGAGGTTTTATGATGATTATAAAGAGGCGCTTTGCAAATCTGGATCGGGAATGAGCAAGTGCAGTTACTTTTCTATTAAGATGGATGCTGGTGACAAGCATGTTTTCCAGTCCAGTCAAAGGATTTCCATTAGGTCCATATTTCTGCTGAAGAAGTTGGGTGCCGTATGTGCAATTAGGGATAAATGCGCCAAGCAGGAGTCCTCAGTAATGTCCTTCAATTGCTATGAACATTTCATATGGCACTTAAATCTTCATTACGCACACCATTTTTATACAACATAACTTTAAGTAAAAAGAATCGGCAGTCTACTAAACGGAGACACTGTGCCCCACAAAAGGTTCATGCATTAAAAACTTATTTAGAAATGTTTTCAAAAAATGGTATACAGAGAGAATTTCTGTGTAGATGATATTTAGACTGAGTTTCTTAAACAATTGCTAAGATGCAATGCAGCTAATCTTAGATCATGCAAATATTTTACAATGTAGCTATTTTTTAAATTTAAAATAAAGCTACTATATCACTTTATTATGAAATTAAAATTTCAAAAACATCATGATACAGTGTTTTCTGTGGCTTTATCCTGTGGTTCCTCAACTTCTCTATTTTGTGAGGACTCTGGTTTCTATAATCCATCTATTCTTCTTCATATTCTGTCAAAAATAATTGTAACAGAGCAGAGATATTATTACATTTCGGGTGATGGAGAAGTGGTACTTGTTATTTCTTAGTGAGGGGACACATAGAGTCCCTTCTGTTGATTGTAACATACTGCTGAGAAGTCATATTTTAAAAAGTACAAGTACAAAACCGAACATCTGAACTGAAACTAGGGCACTCTAAAATCCCCCATTCTATCATTGGTATCAGAGGCAGTGTTTCTAGAGTGGATACAAAAATAGCATAATAGCAAGCGTCACACAATAGCATGGGGGCCCAAAGTTATTGCCCGACATGTATCTCTAAAAGATGTTTTCGTGTGGTAAAAAAGGAGTAGATGCATTACATAGAACTGAATTTTTAAATCATCTTGTAGAGAAAAGAAAGCACAGTTAACTTTGTTAATCTTTGCTGAATACTTTTTCTAGAGATCAAGGCAGAAATTAAAATTGCATGCCTTGCCTAGGAATTTATTTTAGAGTCAGCATTTCCTAAAAGCCAACATTCATTTAAAATGTAAAATTTTACTCTTCTTTCTCCAGATCTTTAAAATTTCTGTTGTATTAAATGTTTTAGGAGAATAGCTCTCCTTGGGGAGTCATACATCTTTATCTACAAATAAATTATTTAACAAAACAAATATACATTTGTTTCAGATATTTAACATACCTTGTGTAAGCCAACCAAGATCCCAAGCCTCAAAATTAAGTCCTTTATTGTTTACAATCTGCTTTGACCACTTAGCTCCAGTCTCTCAGGACAATTATATTTCTTCCTTAAGTGACTAATTTTGTTGTTTCTTTTCATAATTAAAATAATTGAGAATGTAAAATTTGCCCACCTTTTGTTTCAAATTGTAAAAATACACTGAATAAATATTATATTTTTCTTTCTAAAGCAATATGAGGCCAACACTTTCATATCTTTAAAGAATGGTAGATTAAATTTCCTGTCTTTGCTTTTAATAAATAATTTAATTCTGGGATATTTAATACTAAGAGTTTCATTATTCTATATTTTTTATAATCTACTGTAAGAGAGTGGTTTTCATATGTAAACTATTAACATTAATATGAACAGTTTTGTCATTTATGCTTTGAAGAAACTTTCTTCATTATTTTTCTCTTCTGAATGTTTCAAGTATATTATGAAATATTTTCATCTCTGGATGATTTCCTTAACTAAGAAAATACAAGAATGGCCTATCTCATCAAATATGGATGTTTCTATACTGTTTCCACCAAAGTAAATGTTCACTGTAATATATGTCACTCTCCTGAGCATGTGTTCACTGCTTCAAATTACACCATCACGATGAAACATAATAATTAAAAATATTTTTATTATATCTTCAAAATTCAACTTGATTCACAATATTTGTAATGCATAGTGTAGTTGTTACTACAGTAATTAAGAAACATCATTTTATCTATGTCAATATCTACTATGAGGCAAATTGATTATGGATTCATTTTTGGAAAAGTAAATAAACACATCAGAAATATGGCAAACAGATGCACCTGTAGAATTAGAGTTTTATATATATATATAAAAGTATATATTTTGTGTGTGTATATATAGTATATATTTAGTGTATATATATGTTCAGTGTAGATATTTTTAAATATATAATATATATTTTCTAGAAATATATATAATTTTAAATATATAATAATTTGTTATTTTATTAGAATAATATATATATGTGTCAGTATATATAAATGTATGGGACTATATATATATATAAATGTATGGGACTATATATATATATAAATGTATGGGACTATATATATATAAATGTATGGGACTATATATATATAAATGTATGGGACTATATATATATATAAATGTATGGGACTATATATATATATAAATGTATGGGACTATATATATATAAATGTATGGGACTATATATATATATAAATGTATGGGACTATATATATATATAAATGTATGGGACTATAGGCACACACCGCCATGCCTAAGTTTTTAAATTTTTATGGAGATGAGGGTCTTCCTATGCTGCCCAGACTAGTCTCGAACTCCTGGGCTAAAAAAATCCTCCCATCTTGGCCTCCCAAAGTGCTGGGATTACAGATGTGAGCCACTGTTACCGGCCTGAATAATGTTTCGTATTTAGAATGTTTCTTTTCTTTGTTGAATATTTTAAAATTCTACTACTTCTTAATTTTACAAGGAAAAAAGATAAGTATTAACTAAGTATAATAATGTAATTATCATATTTTGAAATTATTTTTCATGCTATACTCTTCCACAATCATTCTCTAACAGTCTTTCATTAATTTTAACTTCCCATTTTGATAAATAGAATATTGTGGCGTAGAGTAAAAGAGGGACCTAAATTATATGGTAGTTGCCTTCTTTGCTAGATATTTTGAACAACTATCATCCTCTTTTCTAGACTTTATTCATTTGAGTAAATTGCTAATGACAAGAAACATACAGTTTTTATAGCTATTGTGTAGAAAATTACTTTGATGCAGTGGTATGGTCCAACAACACTACCAACTGAATTATCCTAGATACTGGAAAAAAATGTCAAACACCAAGTGAATATGCACAGCTCACATGGCTTATTAAAATGGATTCCAAATGGAGTCAAAAGTGAAGAAACATAGGCAAGTTGAGACTCTTAGGCTAGTGGTGCATACTTACTCTATAGGAAAGAGGCAGGGACAAGTTGGGTCAAAACTGTACCCTACTAATCAGCTACTGAAAAACTATATGTTTTATCTGCATATCTTGGGGAAGTATATGTATGGTCAGGATAAACCATCATGCTATGTCTCTAAAGAGTGTACGACCTAGAAGTGAAAGAGCTGTCAGCCTAGAGGTGGCATGACAATGACTTCATCTTTTCCTTGTTTTCTGTCCTTAAATGATATTCGTTTTTACTTGATCTTACTTTCTATTAATTGTACGTTTCTTTAGCATGTCATACCAGTTATTTTCTTATACTCAATATTTATCACTTCTTGAGTATTATGTCTATCTCTCACAAGAAACACATTAACTCATTATTATTACACATACTTAACATTCCTATGAATCTTGCTCATATCTCAAAAATTCTTTGTTACTTTTTTTTTAGGCTTCATGCATCTTATGAATTTCAGTCATCCCATCTATTTTCTTATCTTCTATAGCAAAATTGATCATTCTTAAATGAATCACTTAATTTTATTATTGGTTGTCAAACATGCCTTTAACATAAAAAATTGTATCTATCTATCTAAGGTTTGTTTAACTCACTGCATTTGACTTCCCCATATGCTTCTCTGTTTTCTCTGGTTTTGACTATTTTCTATTATTTAATTCATTCTTATATTATCTTTATACTTTTAAAAAGCATGTTCAGTGGTGTTTTTAGATTTTACAACATACACTTCTAAATAACCTAAATTCGCTTTGAAATAACTTTATATTGCTTCACCCACAGTGTATGTACCCTGCAATAGTATATCCCTATTCCTCTCCCTGACATTGTTATTATTTGTTTCATTCACACATAAACTACAACCATCAGAGACATCTTTATTATGATTGCTTTATACAAAGAGTTGTCTTTTAGATCATTTAAAAATAAGAAAAATAAAAGGATTTTATTTTACCTTCATATATACTTTCCCCTACACTATTTCTTTCATTATGAAGATCCAAGTTTTTGACCTATAACATTTTCATCTACCCGAAGAACACTGCTAGCAACAGATGTCCTCAATTTTTGTTTGTTCAAGAAAGTCTTTATCCTTCACTTTAGAAGGCTGCTAATTTCACTGGATGTAGAATTCTGGATTGGCCTTCTTTTGGTTTCAATACTTTAAATATTTCACTCCACTCACTTCATACTCGGTTTCTGATGAGAAATCCACTGTAATTTTTACTCTTGTTCCTCTATAAGGTGTTTACTCCCCTCTCCTTCCTCCACCTCTCTTCCCTTTCCTAAGGTTCTCTTTGTTTCTGGTTTGAATATTGTACAGTTTGAATATGATACCCTAGGTGTAGCTCATTGACATTTATCCTGCTTGGTGTTCTTTGAACTTCCTGGATGTGAGGTTTGGTGTCTTTCATCAATTTTGGAATGTTTCAGACATTATTACTTTATATATTTCTTCCACTCCATTCTCTCTTTCTTCTCCTTTGGTATTCCAGTTACATTTGCATTATAAATTTAATTGTTTGAGTTTCCATTTCTCTTCCTACATTACCCATCTGTTTTTGCATGTGTCTAATTTTTCCTTAAGAGCCCTTAGCTTATTACTCATAGTTATTTTAAATTCTCTTTTTGATAATGTCAATGTCTGAGTCATACCTGAATCTCATTTTGATTATTGCTTTGTCCAGACTATTTTGTTTGTGTGTTTTGTTTTTGTCTTTTGGCATACTTTGAATTTCTTTTTCATTGAAAACCAGACATGTTGTTGTGGATAACAGATATTGAAGTAAATGTGTATTTTGTGTGCATATGTATATTAATGTGGCTAGAAGTTTGGTTGTATTCAACGTTTGTTATGGCTATAGCTACCAGAGAATTCAAACACCTTTAGTATCTTTGTTTTTGTGTGCTTTCTAAGCTTTGAGGATTCCCTATGTATTGCTCCACAGAGAGAGCCTGTGTCTTGAATTTCTTTCAGCTATAATCTACTGTTGTTAATCCAGAGTCTTGTTGGGTGGGGTGGTAAGATATTGATAGCAGCAGCAAGCAGACAAATGCCTATGCAGATAGGGGCGGGTCCCCAGTGAAACCCCACCTCCAAGCCAAAGAAAGTTTAAAGCTTGAAAGCCAAGCTACAAGTCAAATTCATGGATGAATTGAGAACCTGTCTTCCTGTTTGGCACACTTTCCTCTGATTGATTCCTACCCTTCACCTATTTTACATATAACTACCGTTCCCTAATTGTATTTTTTACAGTCATGACCACCTTTGAGTGGTTCCTTTGTTTCAGCCTTTTTGCATACTCACAAACCAATCAGCACACACTCCCCTGTTCAGAGTCCATCAAAGCCCAGGACTCCCCCACACTGGGAGAGAAACCACCTGACTCTAGGTAGTTGACCACCCTCATGTCCCCTTTCTACTGAGAGCTATTTTGTCACTCAAGTAAATTCTTCTGTGCCCTCCTCACCTTTCAATTGTCAATGTATCCTCATTCTTCTTGGGCATGGGACAAGAACTTGGGAACCGTCAAATGTGAGTACAAGCTATAACACAGGCAGCTGTGGCATGCTCAGCCCAGCCACAGGCTGAGCTGGTGAGCTGAGCTGGTGGGCAAGGCAGGAGCAGCCTGGGTGGGCCAAGTGGGTATGCAATATCCTGTAGGAGGTAGTGTGGCCGATTGATGCCCGGGTGGGGGCATTGCCAGCTGGAGGTCCCTGGCTTGCAAAGTGACCAAGAAAAATCCTGCATCATTTGGGGAAAGGAGAACATGCTATAATTTTCTGATTAATCTTCAATCTTTCAGTGGACTTGTGTCTTAGGACTCTCGCCTTTACAAACATTTGTTTCCCTTCCAGAGAGAACATATGGCTTTCCTCACTTATGCTTTTCCTAGCTATGGCATTCTCAATATATTTCTTTGAGACCCTGTCTCCTCTTAACTAGTTTTTAGTTTTGAACGTATTTCCTCCTTATTTGATACAGAAAAGCTGGTGAGGGCTGGAGTGGGAAGCCATTTCCTTCCCGTAGCTTGGATAATACTTCAGAATTGTACTGTGGTGAAGTTTTTTATCCCAAGGAGTAGAAACATTTGTGAAGTCTCTGGTTGGGTGTGACTGTTTACTCTTCCCTTCCCTTGACAGAGTCAGAAGGAGATCCTTCCTGAATATTTATCATGAGAATCTTATAAGATTCTTCAGAGAAAGCCCATGGAAGTATAGTGGCTCCCCAAGTCTGAGGTCCACAAGAGTATCTTATTCTTGTGATGGTCCATGCTCAGCCTCCAAAAATTCATCAAAAGTATCATTTAAGTGTTCCTACCATTTTAAGGCTCTAGTGACTTCTGCTCCAATAAGCATATCTTGTTTGCTATATCTCTCAACAAGGTGTATGGATTACTTTGGGAGAAAAACTTGAGATATAAGAATGACTTGTGAATTGTTCATTGCACTCTTCAAGTACATTAAATATGCCTCAAGTGCAGGAAATGTCCATTGTTTATCTTTATGTCCCCAAAATATTTTATACTGACTTTCACACATAGAAAGTTTTCAATACATATTTGATTGATGTGCTTATTAAAATAAGCCATGGAAGATAACTGAGATTCTTGTTTAAAGAACATCTGCAGTGGTTTCACAGGACAACATTAAATAATACCAACATTATCTTCTTACAATGGCTTACTGCTTTGAAACACTTTCACAACCCTTAAATTAATGCAGTTTGGCAATTATAGTATGAGGTAGACAGGGATTATTAGTTTCATTTAGCCGATGAATTAGGCTAGAATTTTCACTTCAATTTTAACAAGGCAAAAATTTAACATTATTGCCTTCTAAGAATGTATTGCTCAGTGTAATAAACTTATTAACTAGAAGAATTTGTGATAAGACCAAAGTTATGTCCACCAAAATCAACCCTTGACATGCATACACACAGACATTCACAATTAAGTATGATTAATTGCAAGGCAATTACGTCATTTTATTTCTATCATTTTACTTCTATATCATCTTTGACATGTTTGAAACTAGAGATACATCTAGCAAGTCAATATTGTATCCTTATAACTTGATGAGTTCTGAGGCAGTCTCTTACAGTCAGATTTATAGTCTATTTTACAAGAAGGAACTTAGATGAGCACTTAGAGAGGATAGACTGAAATATGTGGTAAGACCCTTAGGCTAGTCTAGAGGCTTTCAACACTTTACTCTGAAGACCACATTTTTAGAACAGATTAGCAACTGCGATTACAGAAAATTTTACATAACTTGGGACATATTCATGTGACCTTTAAAGCATTTTCCACAAATTCTGACATGACACTCTGTTTTCTTTTGAATTCTCAATGATCTTTTTAAATAATCTTCAATATATGCCTCACTAAATACTCACCTTTTAAAAAAAGACAAAAATACAAAAATACACTGCTACTTAATCTTTCTTTCATCCCGTGCAATTTGTAAGCAGTGATTTTTTTCAAGTACTTCAATGCCCTTGATGTTTTGCAACTTTGTTTAGTTATGAGTATAAGAAGGGTATTAAAATCTCATTATTGTTTAATTCAAGCTTTCAGTATATAATTCTCTTTTTCCTGGAATAAACCTGTAAATTTATAGATTATAATTCAGGTATATATTTACACATTAATCACAAGACAGCGTATATTAATTACACTTTGACACATCTTCCTTAGTTGCTCTAGTTGAAATGGCAATAGTAGTATATTGGTAAATGGAGTCCAAATTCAGTCTGTGTATTCAAAGTGAATCAGAAATTTCATTTATGGTGTTTTGATTTTGAAAAACAAGATGTAAAGAAAGAACATTCTCACATGCTATACTCTACCACAATCATTCTGTTTATAAACATTTTTCCTGTTATAAAATGAGGTTTTATACTGATGACCTTAAGTGGTGTACTCTCTAAATTGATTTCGGATAGCTCAAATTTTACATTAAATATAGTGTACATTTGGTCATAAAAGGGAAAAACAGTGTCTAGTTATCTTTATGTCACTAGGGCCCTATAGTCTGCATTCTAGTTATACAAAGATATATTTTTAATGTAATGAAGTGACATATCTAAGTTAACTCAATTTTATTTTGGTCAACCAGGTTCCCTTATGTTCCTGCTTAATGTGATGTTAATTGATAGCTGGAGGTTATTCCATAAATTTCTTATTCTCCACTATTTATGATTTTGCATGAACACCATCATCCTTGGTGGGTATACAGTTGGGGAATATTCACAACTATTTCATCCCAAGACCTGTTTTTACCTTTAAAGTAAAAACTTAATATTGATAAACATTAGTAAGCATAAACATGTAGCCAAGAAGAGTAGAATATATCATGAAAATAAAACAGTACTTAGGGATTGATATGGTTTAACTGTGTTCCCACCTAAATCTCATTTTGAATTGTAGTCCCCAGTATCCCCATGTGCCATGGGAGAGACCAGGTGGAAACAATCAAATCATGGGGACAGTTTCCCACATTCTGTTGTTATGATAGTGAGTTAGTTCTCACAAGACCTGATAATGAGAACTTTCCCCTTTGCTGGGCACACATTCTTCTCCTTGCTGCTGCCATATGAAGAAGGACATGTTCGCTTCCCCCTTCTGCCATGATTTTAAGTTTCCTGAGGCCTCCTCAGCCATGCTGCACTGTGAGTCAAATAACCTCTTTCCTTTATAAATTACCCAGTCTCAGGTATGTCTTTATTAGTAGAATGAGAATGGACTAATATAGGGATATATAGGCTAAGTCCATTTTGCCTTACTTAAGATGTTTCAAAAATTTTTTAAAAAGGATATTATTTCTTTTTATTAGCTCTATTTATTGCTAACTGTATTTTGGCCAACCTAGGTAAATATCTTTTAAGTTTTTGAACATAAAGTATTTAATAAGTAAAATATATTATTTATTATTATTATTACTGTTTGTTTTTATAAAATATATGGCAACAGGCATTAAGAATTGCCTGTGACAATCCCCTGTGAACATTTTTTCTTTAAATCACTGTGTATAAAATTTCTGCATGGAATTTCACATTAGCTACTCTCATACACAATGTTATGAGATTGGTTAGGAGAGGAAGATTGGAATACATTTTCCCTACACACGACTGAAAATTATTTTAAAGTCTTTCAAAAACTGTTTGGAATTCAAAACCTCCATCATGTTCCATTTAACCTTGAAAATGGAAAGAAAATAATATTTTAAAGATGACCTCAAAGCCTTTCAGGTGTAGAGGCCAAGTTCAGACCCCACAGAGTGAGTGTTTCCACAGCTGCGGATGGTGGCATCACTCACACTTCATCAGCATTCAGATCTGTTAAACACGCACTTTACATATAACATTGACGCCAGCCCTCAGAAGGGAAATAGAAAACCCAAATATTTTTACAGTAAAGATTATATTTTTGAAACTATAAGTTTTCTAATATGTTATTTCAATAAATGAAATTTTAAAATAATGTTTCTCAATACATAGGTTAAAAACAGCTTTTATCATCTCTAAGGAGAAATTTGGGGTATAATTTACAAATAAAATTAAAGACTATGAATAATCCCCAAAGTTAGAGTAGATTTGTTCTGGATATTTAAGTACTCTTTTAACAATGGCTCACAAAATCACTGGAACATGCCCATTCCCTTATTTTTTGCCTAATGTCTAAGATTTCCATTTTAATGTGTTTGTGATAAAATTTACCTTAAATATTTATTTTTGAAAATAAGTTTCACATTCTTTGTAGAAAAATACGAGATAGAAAATTAAAATTCATATGGGTATTATTTAGGACAACGCTAGCTGTTATAATAAACCCTAAAGTTTAACACATAGGAAATCATTTATAGTCTCTGTAACAATATAATGCATGGAGACCGGGCGTGGTGGCTCACGCCTGTAATCCCCGCACTTTGGGAGGCTGAGGAGGGCAGATCACGAGGTCAGGAGATCGAGACCATACTGGCTAACACGGTGAAACCCCGTCTCTACTAAAAATACAAAAAATTGGCCGGGCGTGGTGGCGGGTGACTGTAGTCCCAGTTACTCGGGAGGCTGAGGCAGGAGAATGGCGTGAACCCGGGAGGTGGAGCTTGCAATAAGCCGAGATCGCGGCTCTGCACTCCAGCCTGGGCGACAGAGCGAGACTCTGTGTCAAAAAAAAAAAAAAAAGGAATATAGTGCATGGGTTCCATGCCAACAAATGGCTTTTTTTCCACGTGGTGACTCAGGGATCCAGGTTCCTTGTATCTTGTGGCTCCATGATCTTCCGCAACCAGCTGGCAGTAGAGGGAAGAATATACTGAAGGCAAATCCACTGGGTGAAAGTGACATACTCATTTCCATTCAGGTCCCATAGGCAAAAGGGGTCGCAGTTACCCTAATGTCAAGTGGTAGGGGAATATAATCTCTGACTGTGCATCCATTTTCTTGTGACAATCACAGTCAATAAAGTGGAAGGGAATCCCAGTTTTTGGTAAGCACTTGGCTGTCCTCACCACATTCTATAATGTACATCCTTATTTGCAGCCAGGGATATCCTGGAGCCAGCTCATTTCAGCTGACAACATCCCATTGTTAAATTCTCAGGAATTTTGTAAGCCAGTTATTAAATATAGCTATTATTTAAATTAAATGATATAAGTAACAAATTTTGTTAAAGGCAAAGGTGGGACGCAATCAGAATTAATCACTTTCTAACTACTTTACCACACTGTACTATTATCTATGCTATTGAGGTTGCTTACATCTATCATTCCTGTGCAATCATCCCGCCTCAGCCTCCCCAGTAGCTGGGACTAAGGTCCATGCAACAATTCCTGGTTTGTATGTTGGAAATACTATGTAATGTTGTGCTTCTGCACATTTCCTCTCATCTCCTCACATTTACTGATGTCACATTGGTAGCTTCCACCACATTGGCTATGGTAGAAGTGTTCGTAACATGAAAACTGGAAACAATCAAACACTGAAAATCAGTTTTTTTTTTTGGAGAACCTATTGTTAAACATTTACCAGCATACCACAAAATGCAGTATTTCAATATACCTATGTCGATGTCTATGTCTCTGTTTTTGCTTCTGTATTTACATTGGTATCAACCATTTATTTTTCTATGTATATCTATATATACAACTACAGTTAAAATATATATTTATAAGCTGCATTATTACAACCATACGACATAGACCTTTGCTTGCCAGTACACTTGCATTGCCATATTTAAAGACTATGTGCTAATGGTTACTACTTAGTTAATTTCATAGCATTGGAAAACTAGGATGTCTCCAGATGTAAGACATGTGAACGTTTATTGTTTAATTAAGTGGGTTAAGATACATATATAAATATGCATACCTTTTATACTCAATTTAGTTAATGAAAATGTCTTCAAATACGTTTGAAATAACTGTAGCATGTGAATCTAATTTTTCAAGTTTGTGTTATTTGAGTTCTAAATATAGACCAGTTTTTCTTGATGTGTGAATTGAGATGTGTTCTTAGTGTGAAATATGTTCAGGGTTTCAAGCATTTACTTTACAATTATGTATAATATTTAATTAATATTTTTATATTGTTTACATGTTGAAATTATGTTTTTGAATCATTGTGCTAAATAAAATGTATTATTAAATTTACTGTTGTCTGTTTTTTAATAAATGTGCTTATTAAAGAATTCAAATTACATATATGACTTGTATCACATTTTTATTGATGAGCACTGTAGTCTAGACCATGTGTGTTGGCTCTCATTGTTGATGTGCTTGTCCCAAACAAAATTAATAATTATAATTTCCTCAACTAAACAATTACAACTTACTATTAGCAGTCCACAGGATGCAGAAATGTTTTTGAGCCGCAGGCATGAATTCGCTCCATCTGGATTGTCAGTCTCATATGCCCTTCTTTTCCTGGCCTGTGTCACTGATGAATTGATATCTGTCCTCAAGGACACAGTCAAGAAGGAAACACATGTCTAGGTAGATGCCTGAGAGTGGTATGGTGTCTAGCAATTTTTGATGACCCTGAAATTCTTTGTTTAGTCAATATTTTTGTTTCTGCAGAATTGGAATGCTGCCATTCATTTGACACCTGAACTTACTCACTGGTTATTCAAGCTCAAATAAATAGCTTTTCCACTTTCCAGGAAAACAAAACAAGGGTGCTTAAATCTACCTTTGGCTCGACTAACTACTGTCATTGCAACATGATTTGATGTCATGAACTATGGTTGTTAAGGAATAAAGTATATAGTAAAACAATGGCAAAAATGAACCTCCAGTATTTGTTAGGGTCATGTCCTGGTTACAATGAACAGCCAATTATGACACAGAGAGATTAATATGATGTCTCAGGCATTTCAATTGATAAATGCCAAATATTTATAAATATGAATTTGTGATTGAGTGTGTGCATATACTTTTCAAATTACTGTGCTCTGCTAGTCTACTAGTTGGAAATTGGTCCCTTGGTGTATTGTAATTTTAATTATTTTATTTTATTAGTGATGCTACAAATATTTCACTATGTCTGTTAATCACTGACATTTCTTCTTTCACATAGCCTATTTATAGTTTTTTTTCTATTGGAAATATAAATTGTAATTTTTGAATATGCATTATATACTAAGTATATTAAATATTTGCTCAAATAAACATAGCAATTTATTATTGTACTTTGTTTTCTTGCATCTCTTAACTCACCTACTTAATGACATAGGTTTATCAGGGAAACAGCAACTCCAGTCCAGATTGTAGAAGTCACTGCTCAGCAGCAAATTCAGAAATAGAGCTTTAAATTTCTTACAGATTGAATCGTTTTGAAAACACTGGCTTTCAATTCCAAATGTCAGGTACATGGGAGAGGAAAAAAATAGATTAGATTTTTTTTCCTTAAACATCCAGCGAAAACGAGTGCTGGATGATGCTCAAAGAAAGCTCAGAACACAGAATGTAAAGTACAGAAAAATGTTTGATGAGGCGAGAGCCTTTTTTTCATCCTTGACTCCACCCAGAAACAGAATCATTATAAGAATCCCAGAGTAGAAGAGAGGACAATCACAGGAAATGCAATTAGGTTTAGATATTAACAAGGGTCTGAGTGTGTTTTCACCACAGTGCACCTTGTTACATTCAAACCTCAGTAAATGGAATATTGATGGAAACATACAGGTCTATCTGGGGCAATCTTAGGCTCTGGGGTTTGTGCCTTACTCCTTAAAGTGTATTTGGAGGTATAGAAAACCTTGTCACAGTGACTAGGCCCAGCACCAGAGCATCTTGACATCAGATGGTAGAGTTGTAAGATTGTGGGCAAGGGCATGGGTGGAGTTAAGGTGACATTTCTCATCATTCCTGTGAAGCATTCAGAATTACCTATAAGCCAACATGGGGAATGAAATGGAGAAGGAGAGGAGGGAAACTCTGAGTTTCTGCAGAATATTTACTTTAAAGTGCCTAGCTTTGTAATAACATTAGGTCACAGTAGTGTTGAATTCACAAGAGTTGTGGAGACATCAATTTATTGTCTTCTAGTATCTTGTAAACCAGAGGATGAAGCTATTTTCCACCTTATCATTAATTTCAATGCAGTGGGCAACTTGTCATTTTTCTCCTCAATAGAGAAGACAGATTTTCTATATTCTTGAAATTACAACAAAAATATTGGGATACATCCACATGTATCTCTTTTTCTTTCATTTTATCTGGTGCTCTTTGAATCTTGTCATTGTAAAGGCACAAGCCTTCTTTAGCTCAGGAAAAAGGCCTTTTTCTATTTTATTATCATTTCTTTTCCAAATTTTTGATCTTTTAAATGTGAATCCTTGTTATATGTATGTCGTATCTTCTGGTTGAGCAATAAAGGATCACTGTTGCATCCATCATAAGAATATGGATGCTAAAGTCACCCAGAAATGAATTCAGTCATTTACTCTAATACTCATGCACCATAACATTTGTGACCTTTGAAAAGTTACTTAACCCAGTTGAGTCTTACTTCCCTCATATTTAAAATGGGTGGTATTATTCTCATAAAATTTTAAAATGTTAGTATTATTCTCACAAAATTTTTGAGCCAAATGAAGATAAACAGCTTAGGTTTATATTTTGTTATAATGTGTTTGATAGTGTTTATTGTAATTAAGGAATATTACCTCTGAGTCCTCCAAATGCTCCCTGCTTTGAAATATGCCCAGTGATTTTTTTGTTTGTTCATGCTTAAAGAGAACAATGTATATACTGAGATTTAAGATAGCTAACCTATTTACCCTTCAAGTCACCAAGTCTCAGTTAAAGTATTTCTCTCTCAAATGGCTTTCCCAAATACTCTCTCCAAGTCAACATTAAATAATGTTGGGTTACTCTTTACCCTCTTTTTCATTATAGTTCATAATTTTCCTTCATAGCATTTACAACAATTTGAAGCTAAATAATCATTTTGTGGTACTTATGAAGTCACACTATGTTTCATTTTATTCAATACAGTTTAAGTTTTATACATCATCTGTTGCATAAGAGTTATTGAATTCATATGTTGAATGAATAAGTCCCATTCAAATATTTTAAGCCAAACACAGGAGAAAAGGGAAATTGTTCTATTTTTAAATTTTACTTTGAAAAATCAGCATCCCAGCTGGACAATGGCATATAGAATGAGCTGTTGAGAAGGTTGTCAGATGGAGAAGAACGCAGCCCCCAGCTCTACCTGGGCTTTACCAGTGTTGCTAATCCAAGTGGCTTTACCACAGCTGATTCCATGACCAACACCATGATTTGATGTTTCCTCTGTGTTTGTTGTAACAGCACAAAGTAGTAGGGAGAATACACCCTTTTTTTTTTTTTTTTTTTCTGTTAGGCACATTTACCAGCATTGAGGTTTTGTAGGTTTAGGTCTCACTTCTCAATCCCTGCCTAAGGGATTCTATTTTACCCACTTTTTAGGATTTTAGTCTAGAGAGGTAAGAATATATTCTATAGATCAGAAGTGGTCAGATTTGATGAGAACCTATTGTTCTTGATACATATGGATTTCTCTGGGGACATAAATTTAAATTTACCTGAAGTCCTAAGTGAAACATAGTTAAAGGATATATTTATTAACTTGTGCTCCAAGGACGATAACAACATCTTAATTACTTTTTTCATGTACCTATTTTCTTATTACCTTTTGAAACTAATTGTACATATAGACAAGCAGATGTACGTTTCAAAATTGCCTTGCACCCCAGTTTGCCTCTGATGATATTTACAAAGTAGTATATAAAGAAAAAACCCAAATCCATAACATTTTCTAATTTCTGAGACACCTGCATTACAAAATCAAAAAAATTAAAAATATAGAATCTATATAATACAAATATATAAGATAAAACATATATCTATAATTATATTTATGAAATACATTTTATATATGTAATACGTACTTCTAAATGTAACTTGATTTCACTATATATAAGTTGTATATTAAATATAACAATGTATGTATGTAATACCTTTAATGCATTCAATACATATTTATAAATGTAATTTAATTTTATTACATAAATTATATATTAATATATTTACTTTATATAGTATATGTGCACATAATATATATATTATTGATTTTTCTTATTTTGGAGCATACAAAGAGTAAATTTAATAAGTCTACAAGATTCAAAACATTTTAAATTATGCACTTTTATAGTTGATCACAGACCCACTGTTATCAATGTTTAAGGAATAATGAGGAATTAGAAAAGTGCAAGGAGTCTGTATATAAAGAAGTATCCTAATCCAGAAAGAGACGAAATGATATTTTTAAAAAATAGAGATTATATTAGTCTGTTCCCACACTATTAATAAAGACATACCCGAGATTGGGTAATGTATAAAGGAAAGAGTTTTAACTGACTCCCAGTTTCACATGGCTGTGAGGAGGCCTCACAATCATGGTGGAAGGTGAAGGGGAAGCATGACATGTCTTACATGGCAGCAGGCAACAGAGCTTGTGCGAGGGAACTCCCATTTATAAAACCAACAGATCTGGTGAGACTGTGTGGGGGAAACTGCTCCTGTGATTCAGTTATCTTTATCTGGCCCCACCCTTGACATGTGAAGATTATTACAATTCAAGGTGAGATTTGGGTGGGGACACAACCAAACCATATCAGAGACCAAGGGCATTAACTGTTTTATTTTAAAATGTTCAGACACCGATTCTTTAAAGACTCTAATTTACTAAATGTTTTATTTATATAGCAAAAGCCAGTAGTATATGTCAAGACAAACCAAAATCTTTAGAGTATATTTTGAGAGTAGAGTTGTTATGTACTATCTTTAACAAGGGATGCACACAGATTTCATAACTTCTTTTTGGACATGTGGGAATCATGTCAACCTGGTAGAAGTGAAGTCATACAAAGTCACTGCTGGTTGAAATTAAATGAATAGAAGCCAGCTACATAAAGGTGATGTAGATAAGCCACAAATCTCTGTAGTAATTGTTTTAGCCAATGTGTTTAATGGGCCATTTAGATAAAGGGGAAAAAACACAATTATTAAATTAGGAAGTGATATAATTATGAGAGTTTTATTCTTTATTTTGTAATAAATATTTGGGAAAGAAATAAGCCTACATTAACAGGATATGATTTTTGGGCACTTAATGTAATTTTTGCAATTAGATTGCTGTAAGAGGCTGTATAACAGCTCCATGATATCTGAGGTTTAGTTACATTTGCCCTGCTATAACAAAACATAATAGACTAGATGGCTTAGAAACAACAGAAATCTATTTCTCACAATTGTGGAGAATGGGAAGTCCAAGATCAATGTGCTATCAGTCTTAGTGTCTGGTGAGAACCCGCTTCCTGGTTCATAGATGGCAACTTTTCACTGTGTGCTCACAGAGTGGAATGAGCAAGGACTTTCTCTCAATTCTCTTTTATCAGGGCAGTAATCCCATTCATAAGGCTCTACCCTCTAGGCCTTATCACTCCCAAATGCCCTGCATACTAATACTATCACCCTGGGGATTAGGATTTCCACCTATTTTTGGGGGAAGACACAAATATTCATATCACAGCAGATAACCAAGTCATAATTGCTGGAAGCTGTAGACATGCTGCTTTATATGGAAAACTGGTCTTTGCAGACGTGATAAATTAAATAATTTGGAAATAAGGAGGTTATCCTGGATCATCTGGTTGAGTCCAATATAGTCACAAGTTCCTTAGCAGAGAGAGGTAGAAGGAACAGAATTATAGAGAGATTTGAGGATGAATGCAGAGGTCATAGAGGACAGAGATGGCACACTGTTGGCTTCTACGATGGAGGAATGAACTTAGAGTCAGGGAATGTAGGTAGTCTCTAGAGGCTGAAAAAGGCAAGGAAATAGATCCTCCCCTAGAGCCACCAGGAAAGAATACAGCACTGTGGAACTATTTTAGATTTCTGACCTCCTGAACTATAAGGAAATAAATTTCTTTTACTTTAAGACACTATGTTTGTTACATCTGCAATAGAAAATAAATGCAATTAGAAATCAGATGAGTGGGTATTGAATGGAATCAGTGTTCCAGCTATTCATATGGAAAAGCTCAAAGTTCAATAAACATTTATTAAACCTATTATCGCAAATATTTGGCATCAGGGACACAAAGATAAATTAGGAGGAGATCTCCTTTCTAGGATCTGCCAATCAACATAGAACTTATATAGAGTGCACTAAGTATGGTGATGCTATAGGGTAAGGACAAGGCCACCAACTGGAAGTGGGTGAATATAAGTGACCAGCTTTGTAGAAGATACTAAATTCTGGGAAGCATGTAGGAAATGATATAGAGGATAGTTTTTCAGGTTAATGGAATTGTATGGATGCAAGGAAAATGAGGAATCTGTCATTCCTTGGGCAAAAGTTTTTTTGTGGTTAGCAGCCTGAGATGAGAGTGGAGAATAGGACAGTAGTGTTTGCATGTTGTCTATTTTCTATGTTGCAGATGATAAGAAGTGACTCAAGTCTTCTTAAGAGAGAAGGAAAAAAAAGCCTGATTTATATACATGTTATAGAAAAGAATTGAGCATTAGAGATTCCTTGGTATCAGGGAAGCCAACTTGAAGACTATAAGCAGTTGTGCAAGTCAGCAATGCTGAAGGCCTAAATTAAAGCAGTAGAAGAATAACAGTGAGAAAAGGACAGCTTTGATAATTGACAGGTAAAACCATGGAAACTGGTGAATAAACACATATAAATGAATGACCTTATGGGATAATTCAGTATTCTGGGTTGAGTAACTGGCGAATTCATCATAAATGAATTTAGGAATAGTATAGAAGAGGGTGTATGAGGGAAATATGATAAATTCAGGTTTTAAATACTTCACCTTTATTGAGGCATAATTGATATAAAACAAACTGCACATATTTAATGTATGCAGTTTGATGAGTTTGGACATAGGCATATACCCATGAAACCACAATCGCAATTGAGGATGTAGATATGTCTAATACTTCCCAAAGTTTCTGTGTGTTCTATTTTTAGTTAGTTGTTCTTGCGGTAAGAACACTTCACATGAGATATACTCCCTTAACAAAATGTTAAACGTGTAACACAGTAATGCATACTATAAGTACTTGCTGTACAACAGACCTTTAGAACTGACAAATTCAGTTTTTGACATACTAAGTTTTAAATATCCATTGGATATCTGTATTAGTCAGGGTTCTCTAGAGGGATGGCACTAATAGGATATATATGTGTGTGTGTGTGTGTATATATATATCTGTATATATGATATATGGGTATATAGGTATATATGATATATATGTATATAGGTATGTATATATATGATATATGTGTGTGTATATATGTGTGTGTGTGTATATATATGTGTGTGTGTGTGTGTGTATATATATATATATAAAGGGGAGTTTATTAAGTATTAACTTACATGATGACAATGTCCCACAATAGGCTGTCTGCAAGCTTGAGGAGCAAGTAGAGCCAGTCCAAGTCCCAAAACTGAAGAACTTGGAGTCTGATGTTTGAGGGCAGGAAGCATCCAGCACAGGAGAAAGATGTGGGCGGGGAGGCTAGGCCAGTGTGTCCTTTTCACGTTTTCCTGCCTGCTTTATATTCACTGTCAGCTGATTAGATTGTGCCCACCAGATTAAGGGTGGGTCTGCCTTCCCCAGCCCACTGACTCAAATGTTCACCTCTTCTGGCAACACCCACACAGACACACACAGGATTAATACATTGTATCCTTCGGTCCAATCAAGGTGACACTCAATATTAACCATCACAATATCCGAGTAAAGATGTTTGATGAGCAGTTATATACATGTGTCTGGATCTTTGTGGGTAGATCACAAAAGTCATGGCTGAAATATTTGATGCAATAAAAATAGAGAATGTCTATAATTGTCAAAAGTAAAATATGTATAGATAGGAATAGCAGAGGAAAAAGGAAAGGGAACTTGATAATTCCAACAGGCATTGTGTGGAGAAGAAAGAAAATCACTAAGGTAGAAAATTTCAGAAGACAGGAATATAGTGAAAATCAAAGGTTTAGAGACTTTCATTATGTAAAGAATAGTAAAAAAGAAAAAGCATGAAATTATTTTAGTAAGACAAAAATTTATAGCCGCTGAGGACATGGATGACTTTGCTGCGGATGGTTTTAGCAGCTTGGTAAAAGTAGGAGCTACGAGGCACGGGGTGGAACAGTGGTTCAGAACTAAGGAGATTCATGGAGCGAATGTAGTCTACTCTGTCAAGAATTGTGGCTGAGAAAGGAAAAAAAAATGAGAGTGGTATTGGTAGCAAAAAGCATAATCCGAACAGATTTTTTTGTTTTTCTTTTTTTTTTATCATAGGGAAGACGTAAATAGACTATTTTGAAAAAACCAAAGTACTGTATTTCAATTAATTTTTTTTCAAATAACTTTTTGAAATTTAAAATTTAGAAAGGAAAGAAAGAAATTCCCCAGAAGAAAAATAGAAAGTAGACACGGAAGGATTGATATTGACTGGAAGAAAGGGACTATGTCGTTTGAAAATGAGATAAAGAGGAGGGACGGTTGTTTCTGATCATTATTGGTGGGAAATAGAGTTCATGCGTGGGTTCTTCAGTTTTCTTTGTGAAGGAAGATGTGAGATACCATGTAGATGAGAGTAATTAGAAATAACCGGGAGTAGTAGTCACTGAGGATAAATGGAGATTTAACTGAACCAAAAGTTGAGTGCAAGGATTACCAGATGACAGCAGTGTGTTATGAGGCTGGGGATGAAAATGTAGTTATTGTGCCAGTGGGCAGAGTTGTAAAAAGCATCCAATAATTTGGCTATTGAGAGGAAGAACATTTGGATACTGGTTCAAGGTAGCAGTTTTGTAGAGTGTTTGTACCAGGATTAGATTTGACTGTATATAACAGGAGAACCTCAAAGAACAGTAAAAAAAGAAAACTTCAGATTGAGAGGATAAGGTGATCTGAAGTTTCCAGCTGGAACTCTACTGCTAACACAGTTACAGGAGAGAGCTTTGTGCCATCTGGAAGAGGCTGCTTCTCAGTAGAATACCCGTCTGGGTTCTTGGAAATGTGGTCTGTGAAAAATGTCCATCTTTGAATTGATAAGAGGCTCAACATGTGAGGTGGTTGCCAAAAAATTTAGTTATTCTAGTCAATAACAATAGGGTTTGTGTCTGTTTTTTTTTTTATCACTTTTGTCTGATTTGGCAAACTCTTGTCAGAGTTTTGAGTTCTTTTCTAGAAAAACATCACTCTTTCCACAGGATTCTGGCTAATGAGGACATATCCAGATAAAAGTGGCTATGATTTTGAAGAGGTCTGGGAAGTAGAGACATAGTAGGGAAATTGACTACAGTAAAGAGAAAGTATACAGAAAACATACAGGAAAGAGAAAATGTTTATTTACTGTTAGATGTTGAACTGATAAAAGATAAGATTGGTTGAATATATTCCCTGTAACTCAAAGGAAATATTCAGAACCAATGGATAGAAATTATGTTAATTCAGATTTAAGTATAAAGAGGAAGCATCTAGCAAATAGCATAGCTCTCACAATGAATGGGTTCGTGAGCTTATTAGCACAGGAATATTTCCTTATTTTTCCCTTTCTTTCATTGTCAAATAATAATTGTACATTTTCATGGGGTACATGGTGATGTTCAATGGACACAATGTGTAGTGATCAGATCAGAGTTTAGCATATCTATCATCGAAAACATTTATCATTTCTTTGTGTTGGGAATATTCAATTTCAAGTAGAGTCTTATGAATATCAGTCAGTCATATAATATAAAGTAGAAAATTCCTAAGATATCAAACCAGAATTTATTTAAAAGTATTTTCTACCTGTACCCAAGATTCTAAGAGATGTCATCATTGTCCACAAAAGCTTCTTAATGCAGACGTTAATGCTTCTAAATGGGTGCTGTAAAAATATTACAGGCTGAAAAATTGGAGATGTGAGTTCTAGTGCAGATTTTTATTTCATAAACTAAATCTGTGAGTAAGTTATTTAAACTTTCTGCATCTCATTTCTGTTTTCTCTTTTGCAACATGATGTTCTTAGTAAAGAACATTAGTATACGAGAGGATCCCTTCTATTCCTATGAAGCTATACTAGTGTATTAGAAACAATCAAGTTAACAAATTCCATCTTTATGTGGTATTGATATAACTTATTTTTTAAAAATCTTTATTTTTAATTTTTTGGGGTACACAGTAGGCGTATATATTTGTGGGGTACATGAGATGTTTTGATACAGGCAGGCAATGCACAATGATCGCATCATAGAATATGGATATTCATCCCCTCAAGCGTTTATCTTTCATATTACAAACAATCCAATTATACATTTTTAGTTATTTTAAAATGTACAATTAATAGTTATTGACTATAGTCATTTACTGTTAAAAACAAAACTACACATGCACCCACATACACACACACACACACACACACACGCGCACACACTTACATATAATGTATTCTTATGCTGATATTTTCTCTGGACTATTAAGCTCTTAAAGGTAAAGCAAGTGTTATAAACATATTTTCTTTCCCAATAGTGTTTAACACAGTAAGTTATACGTAGTAGATCTTAAGTAAATACTTATTCAGTTAATGAGAATGATGTCCTGTCCCATAACCACATGCAAATAGAATATATGGTAAGATAAATTCAGTTAAAAAAACTCTAGATTTTATTTAGTTGGGGGAGAAGGAAAAAAGAACATCATAAATGCATTCAAACTTACACAAGAATAAAACACTTCATATGAAGACAATTTTGGTGAGCTACTTGGCCACATGAGCTTGCGTATATTTGTGGTGGACAGTGGACACATTTGCTAGCTACTCTTGGATCAAACAGTGCCCACTATACAAAATAGGTGCATATCTTCTGTTTTACCCCAAACCCTAAAATCCACACTAGAATACGAGAGGATGCTATATTTTTCTTCTTCTTCCCTACTGGCGGGCAGTGTTGAATATTGTACAGAGCATTGAGTTTAGAATGAGATAATTGTATATCTCATCTTGGATTTCTTACTTTTCAAATTCAGAGTTTCAAACAAAGCAATGCAATTCTGGTGAACTCACCTTCCTTGTCTATTTAATGATACCTCCTAGAATTTTTCTTTGAATAAAATGAGTCAATACATGTGAAACTGCCCAGCCCCATGGCAGGCACATGCTGTGCAGTCAGTTCATGTTATATGGGAACAAATACATACAGGCAAACATTAACTCACACATTTTAAGGATTGGGGTGTGGCTCTCAGGCCCTTGCCCCTATAAAGAGCCCCCTGACCCTGTGGAGATGGCTTGAAATACAGATGTACTTTAGAATATAAGCCAGTACTGATCACAAGGTCAGGAGATGGAGACCATCCTGGCTAACACGGTGAAACCCCGTCTCTACTCAAAATACAAAAAATCAGCTGGGTGTGGTGGCGGGCGCCTGTAGTCCCTGCTACTCAGGAGGCTGAGGCAGGAGAATGGCATGAACACGGGAGGCAAAGCTTGCAGTGAGCCGAGATCACGCCACTGCACTCCAGCCTGGGCGACAGAGTGAGACTCTGTCTCAAAAAAAAAAAAAAAAATGTAAGCTTCCTTTTATCTCTTCCTGTAATATATATGACAGTTTTGCCAGGTTTATTGAATAATTTGCTCTCATTTTTGCATTATAGATTGCATTTTCCCTTGAGGCCATTAACTGAGAGAAATATTGTCAATTCTTTATGTTCAATTCATCTTTTTCTTTTTAGTGCCTTATTACAATCGTTTTTTATCAAGAGAGTCAGGTTATCTATTTTAAAAGTTATTTTAACATTTTCTTGTATATATTTTTTTCCAAATTCACTTGAATTTTTAATGGCAAGATTTTTTTAGAATATCTAGAATTATCATTCCCTAATCTATGTCTAAAGTCTTTTGAGAAACCTCCCAATTTTTAATCTCCAAAACCACATTCTTCTATTTAGATTATGATGTAAAATGTCATTGTCATTTGCTTTCATGGATACATCATTCTTTGCACAATCCATTCTCAAAGTTTTCATAGTGTGATTTCCCTTAGGGCTGGTACGATAGTTTTCACAGACATATTTTGCACCTCAAGCCACTATGTAACCACTCTGTAATTGGGGAATATGCTTTGACAACTTCCGTCGTTTCCACATTGTTAGATACCATGGTAAAGAGGAGGAAATTCTAACCTGTGTCTCTTTCAGGAAAAATGGCATTTTTAATACGTGGAGAAACAGATTATTCCCATACATATTTGTCTTTTTTGGACAGGTATTCCCAATGTTCTAAGTATTTCTTCTCTCTGGAATAAAAATACGCTTCTGTCAGAGTTTTCACAAATCCCATTTTTGGGTGCACAAAATAAGAGAGATTTGATCAATTAAATAATTCATCTGAAAATTTAATGGAGTATGTACGATTGCCTGTTCATGCATCAAGCTACTGATTACATATTGAACCAAAACTTTTTATTTCCATGTTTTTGAAAAATCTCTACTTTTTAAGATAATACAGTACTTATGGAGTAGTTTAGTTTTCAAAGGTTAGTACATTTGATTCAGATTAGATTTCACACATATGAAACAATCTCAATTATGTAATAAACTAACATTTTAAAGTTCATAGTTCTTGAACTCCTGTCTTTATTGAATAGATGCCTAATGATTTTTGTTTCACAGAATACTTTTCTTATGTAGCTATATAAAACATGGACTGAATTAACAATTCAAATTTGAAGATATTTTTATATTTTAAAGGTAAGTGTTAATCAATCCTAATAAATTCTCCTTAGAGTTTTCCAAATATCATGCATTAATCTACTCAAATTATTTCCTTCCTGTCTACCTACAGTAGCAGAGAGCCCACCTGATTATATTTAATTAATGTAAAACTCTTTGTTCATTCTACACATAATTATTTCTATAAACATATTTTAATCTACATTCAGAAGATGAGAGAAGACTATGATTTTCATATGCTTGATTTCTTGCATTTGATTTGGTAGGAAACAATGAAATTCATTCTTCACTGAATTTTCAAACATGTTGATTGTTCCAGCTGGGATTATTCCAGCAGAGGTCGGTGTTTTTGAAGATGTACCAGGAGGACTGCAGTCATACACTGCTATTCCAACAGATTTAATAGTTGTAGTCAGCTGAGGTTGAACAACCAAATAAAAGTAAAATGAGGATATAATATATACCTCACTAGGTTGTTCTGAAATAGTTACATTAGAAAATGCACGTCAAACTCGTGTTCTCAAAAATACTATGTTGAGCATTGACATTGCCATTGTGCAAACTACTTATGTACATTAGAAGAGAAAGGTATTTAAATCCTTAGTGTTCTCGAGAACCCTTTTAACTGGCCTAGGAAAGCTGGTGGAAACTCACTAAGTATAAATCAACAAGCATCTTGTATAAAATATAGGAAGTTATTGTGGTAGTCTGAAGAATAGCCCCCCAAAGATATCCAATTCATAATCCCTAGAACCTGTGAATATGTGAGCTTGCATGGGAAAAGGGCATAGCATAGGCGAAAACCTGTAAAGGAGGCATCTTGAAATGGGAATATTATCAGATTATCCAGGTGGGTCTGATAAAATCACAAAAGTCCTTATTCGAGGTAGGCAGGGTGATTAGAGTTAGTAATAGGAGACATGATAATGGAAGCCAGAAATTAAGGTGACATGGGAAAGGAGTCAAGAGTTAAGAAATGCAAGCCATATTTAGAAGCTGAGCAAGATTCAGGCTGAGCATGGTGGCTCACACCTGTAGTCCCAGCACTTTGGGAGACCAAGGTGGGCGGATCACCTGAGGTTGGGAGTTCGAGACCAGCCTGACCAACATGGAGAAATCCCATCTCTACTAAAATTACAAATTGGCTGGGTGTGGTGGCTCATGCCTGTAATCCCAGCTACACAGGAGGCTGAGGCAGGAGAATTGCTTGAACCCTGGAGGCGGAGGCTGCGGTGAGCTGAGATGAGAACATCCATTGCACTCCAGCCTGGGCAATGAGAGCGAAACTCCTCAAAAAAAAAAAGCTGAACAAGATTCTCCCCTAGAAGCCTCTAGAAGGAACCAGCCTGGCTGACATCTTGACTTTAGCAAACTGAAACTAATTTGGACTTCTACCCTATCCACTTCATGATATTAAATCGGTGTTATTTTAAGCCACTGAGTTTGTGGTAATTTGTTACAGCAATAACAGAAAACTGACATAGCTCTCTGAAAGTATTCTCTCAATACAGTGGGAAGGTCTAGGGCCAGTTCTTTAAAAAGAGTGAATTATACCAGAATTGTTTCCCACACTTATTTATTGATGTGATGTCAACCACTGACTTTACATGCATGCAAACACACACACGCAGGCACACACACAGAGAATCAAGGTGGCTGTTGCTTTCCTGTGCTTTAGGGATTGGCAACCTATGAAGGCCAAATCTGGGTAAACACCTGTTTTTGGCTACCAGGAGCTGAGTGTTTCTTAGAAATGAACATTTGTGATTGATTTGATTATAGGGAACACTAACTTTGAACCACAACGAAGTGAAACGTTATCCCTCCCCTCAAAAAAAAATAAGTCTATTCTTCTCATTAGAACAATGGTTTTACCAAAAAAATACTCCATTTTGCTTATTGTATTTTAAATTTTCCTTAATAAAAGCATTGTGAAACTTTTTTTTTCCTCTCTTATTCCATAAGTCTCTGTATAATATTCTTGACTTTCTTCTTGGCCTGCAATGCCTCATGGCTCCTTAGAGATAAAGTTTACTGATTGAATTACAAATGGATCCACATTTAGGCACCTAACTCCAAGAACATTCAGAGCATGTATTTTTCCTGTCTTTGCCTCAGTACATGGCAGCATTGTTTGCAGATGGATGAATCAAACATAGCAATACCTACCAATACTCTAAGAAAGTATCAAAATATTTTCCTGAGTTGTTTGAAACTGCAGTCCTGTTGAAAATCTTGCCTTCGAAATGTTCATGGAGAAAGAGCGGCCTTAATCAATGTTTAGATCCAGCAGTGAGCTAGTGAAGGAGGCAGTTTTGAACACTAATGAATTTGAGCATAGCTCATTTCTGTATAAGCACATAGCTGAAGCTGCATCTTCCAAGGATCACTTTCAATCAAAAGTTTCCCTATTTTTAGACTTCAGGGAAGGGAGAAATGATGTTGCAATCCCTCCACCTCTCTAAATTCCTTTTTAATGCTTTCTTACATGGGACCTTCGAACTAGCCACATAAAGGGTAATGCAGGCTGTTCCTGATGTAGAAAGAAGATCTTTTGAAACTGATGCCCTTTAAAAAATATTCAGTAAGCACCCAAGAAAGTTTCAGGAATTACTGGTAAGAATTCAAACACTGAGTGCCCTCTGTCTGCATGTCATCAACCGTCTCTCCTGAGCCAAGATTATTAAACTAGTGGTATTTTTCAGAAATAGGCCATCTTCTTTAGGGCTCAGCAATATTGGCTACACACATTCAGCTACACAATATAACACTTAAAATGTATTTTTCAAAAATAAAACATAGTAACTAAAGATTTTAGGTCATTTGACTGCTTCAAGTGAATAAGGAAATTTCCATCACCTGTTAAGTCTCCTCTGGTGCTACACATAGAAGGCAAAATCTTTGCACTCACTTTTCCTTATTCTAAAGCAGCATTGTGCAGCATAATAGGCACGTACCACACATGGCTATTGAGAAGGGTTCAGACTTTGTATGGAATAAAATAATAAAAATACTTTATTAATTATTTTATATTTATCACATATATATCCCTAAGGTATGTCTGTCACAATGCAAGATGTTAGAGATAAAATAACGATGAAGAATGATCAAAGGAGATGATCCCAATTGTTGTGGACCGTATGGTCCAGGATAGTAGAAAGCTAAATAACACATTATTATGAGTGTACCGATTGCCATTTTACAGAAACTATTAAGAACCTTTGAGGTAGAGAAAAAAATATATCACTTGGAGAATAGGCTCTCAGGATGGGTTTCAGTTACGAAGCAGTAAGTTTGAAACTTATGTAGATTTTAGGTTATGATGTTACGCAGAGTCTTGCAAACTGTATTATAGCAATAGATTTAATTGTAAAGAGTGCAGATCAGCTAGCAAATAACCAAAGACACAGTCAGGTTTGTGACTTAGAATTATCCCCTTGTTGAAAACGTGAAGGAAGGATTATAAAGGAATAACACAGGAAAAAGATGAATTGGATCATTTTGTAATACTGCAAAATAAACTTGCTAATGGCCTGATTCCAGCAGTGGTACGGACATTATTGTCAATCCCCACTAATCCATTTTATATTATTGTTTGTTCCCACATAACTCAACATAAGGAATCTCCAAAGCCACATTGTTTTGCCTACTGAACTGGCTCATGTTGTTTCTTCTTTCTGTAGCATAGTTCCTACTAAATCTACTAGTCAAAATTCTACGAATACATTAAAACAAAATTCAAGTGCCATCTTCATCATAATAAATTTTCTGGTTCCTGAAGATGAAGGTTATTGCTTTCTTTCGTGAATCCTCATTGTGATTTATACCTCTTTTACCACATGTAGTGTATGTACTGTGACATATATTTCTGCCATAAGTGCTTGCCTTACTTTTCCCTTTAAGCTTATGTAAGAGGCAGCATGTATTTCCTTCTATTTTCATATTTTACCCAGCACATATAATATAAAGATAATAGGTACTAGAGAATGTATTAATACCTTTAAAGTAGCTAATTAATTAGTATAGTTTAAAACTTCATTGGTTACATGGACACAGAGAGGGAAGATCACACAGCGGGTCCTGTCAGAGGGTGGGGGTCAAGGGAAGGGAGAGCATTAGGACAAATACCTAATGCATGGGGGGATTAAAACCTAAATGATGGTTGATAGGTGCAGCAAACCATCATGGCACATGTATACCTATGTACAAGGCTGCATGGGTTCTGCACATGTATCCCAGAACTTAAAGTAAAATAAAAAAAAAAAGAAAAGAAAAACTACATTGGTTAAATGGATACTTTTTAAAGCTCATGAAACTGCGCAAATTATTTCTCATCTGATAATGTTTCAGACTTTTATAATAATGGCAATAGTATGTGGGTATTGTCTAGACATCTGAAGGACATTATACCAACCACTTTGGAAATAAATGTCTATAAGGAAATATTTTTAAAATTAAAAATAATAAAATTTTTCATACTTTATTTTTGAGTATTGAAAGTTAAGCATCAAAACCACTTGTAGGAATGTCAGGGAGAAGTTCTCCGCCAAGAGAGCTAATTGGAAATGGTATGGACTATTTTCCCTAATATAGTGGCTAAACTTTAGAGTCCAGGATGCTGGGACAGATGGTTTTTCATTGTTTCCTTACATAAAATCACAAACAATTACAAACAAAAAGGATGTTTGTATAACTGATATTTTCCTTGATCAGTTTTTCAAATAAAGCTAAAGTGATCACTGTGGAATCAAACAGAGATAGTAGAGGCTACATTTAATTCTGGTTCTTGATTTGGGGCAAAGCTGAATTTCCTAGGAGATATTTTATTTCTCAACTGTAGAGAAATTGTAATCATTGTGTTGATGTGACTCTACTTTTATTTTTCTGAGACAAATAATATTTTTTAAATGCACAATATTATCTGTCAAACAGTTTTTTTTAAAGTTTTAACTTAAACTTAACAAGATTACTATTTTGGCACATGTAAATTTAGATAAAATAACCTAAAAAATAAAAACTTCAGATTTTCAAAAATCAGCAAATATTATGTTATAAAAGCCAACTGACTAATGTTGGAAGTAGCTTATGCTAGATAACAATTAAATTTTTCATATTTGGAAACATAACTCATCAAAAACTCATCAAAATGTGCTTCATCATATCACTAATATGCAAGCTTGCTAGTTTACATAGATACCATACAATAGTTTAAAAATTAAATGTGTTTTGTAATCACGCCCTGTCATTTTATGCTGCCATGTTCAAAAAATATATCTATACATAATGTATCTATTCTAATATAAGACCTGTTATCTATCAGTATAATTATTTTTAAAATATGAAACTAGTTATATATTTTAAAACTTTTTCACATTAAAAAAGACTTGCTTTAGGAATTTTTGAAAAAAATCTATAGTTTTATCAAATATTGATTTTGATGTTTCTTTCTTGATTATAGCAAATAGATAATGTTCTTAGAATCAAATTAATAATGTTTAAAAATGGAGATTGGCAAGATTTTCATGGAATAAGCACATGACAGTAATTTAGTGATATATTATTAAACTTCAAAATGGTGACTGTTTTGGGAACATTTAGATTCTAAGCAAGAGCAATGTATATCCTTGACACTGAGAATAAAGAATAATACTGACTGTTATTGGCTTTTTAACTTGCATTTTACAATAAAATCTTGTTAATAGCTACTTGGAATAAATGTGGTGCTTTTGAAGATCATGAGGGGGTCTTTGCCAACTAATGCCATGGAGCTTATGTCAGCTTTTTGATTCTTGTGTCAAAAAATCTATTTGAGACATCTTGCTCCTCTCATGCTGAAACCTTGCAGATCTCCCACTGCCATCAAGCTTTAGCTATATCATAGAAATTCTTCCATGCTGTTCATCTATATAGAAAGGCCAAACCTATTTTAAGGGGCCCTAGAATCTTTATTGGAGGAAAATGTATTTATTGCATTTGCATATTTATTACATGAACAGTGGAGTGCTGGTGTGTGCATAGGTCAGAATACGTGAGTAAAATCTGTTAGTGCAGAAATTAAAAGTATCTTTCATGTTGTTAGTATCAGTATATCATTATAATGCTCTTATAAAATGTACATGAATAGGAAACTAAGTATTTTTATCTTTATATTTCCAGGTACGTAGGGATCTATTTGTAAGGGAAATTGACGTATCATTGTTTGCAGATGGATGACGCTTATTATACTAACGTCTAGAAAAAGTCTAGGGGGATGTAATGGATTTAACTAGAAGAAGGCATTAATCATGGTACACTTTTTGAAAACTAATTTATTTTTTTAAAGACAGGGTCTTACTATGTTGCCCAGACTAGCCCCAAACTTCCTGGGCTAAAGCAATTTTTCTTGCCTCAGCTACCCAAGTAGCTGGGACTATGGGTTTGTGCCACCACTTCCAGATAAAACCTGAAATGTTTAACTTAGAAGAAACTATTTGGTTTATAGCCAAACAGTTCTGAAATATAATCTGCAAATTAATTAGTTGATGCAATCCAACAGTTATTCATTAATGTGATCCATATGTTACATGTTTGTTTCACTTTAAAAATGCATATTTGTATGTAAGGGAGGACATTGGGAGATTTTGTAGCTGCCAACTTGATAGAAGTTAAAAGACAACTAAAATGGGATCTAGGATTTCTGGCTTCCACTTTAGGATATGGAAGGCTGCAAGGAGCATAGCCCCTATGCCTACAATAAAATGACACAGAGTAACATCACATTTATGATTTCTCAAACATAGCAGAGAGCTGAGACTGCTGAGAAGATTACTTGAAGAAACTCTGAGAGACACAGTGCCTATTGGGAGAGAGAAAACTTGAACTTTTTTTTAGAGACAAGGTCTCACTTTGCTCTGTTGTCCAGCCTGGAGCGCATTGGTACAATCATAGCTCGCTGTAGCCTCAAACTCCTGGGCTCAAGTGATTTTCCCACCTCAGCCTTCTGAGTAGTTTGGACTACAGGTGAGCGCCACTGCGCCTGGCTAATTTATTTTTATTATCTTTGTGGAGATAGAGTCTCACTATTTTGCGAGGCTGGTCTCAAACTCTTGGTCTCAAGTGATCCTCCCGCTTTGACCTCCCAAAGCACTGGGATTACAGGCACGAGCCATTGCACCCAGCTTTGAAATTGATTCACCTATTGTAGATGCAACAGGACACCAGTGACAAGAGTTTACACACAGTAGCTGATAGACGCTGAATGCGCGCTATGCGAGTGGTACAAAGTTGCTGAGGACAAGGAAATCTAGGGACTCCTTATCATTTTGCAGGCTTTTCTCTACAAACTCTACCAAGTTGTCATGGAAAAATTATCAAAAAGACCTATAATAAGTGTCTATTATGCTTGAGGCTTCAGGCAGGGAAAGTATAGCTATATGAGAGGGATAAGAAACTCGACCTTCTGGGATCCTTCCTGTTTTCCCCATTTTGTTCACCCATTATGAACAAAAGCCTGAATTTGTGTGGGAGGGTGAGAGGTGACAGCGTGCTGGCGGTCCTCACAGCCTTCGCTCGCTCTCGGCGCCTCCTCTGCCTGGGCTCCCACTTTGGTGGCACTTGAGGAGCCCTTCAGCCTGCCGCTGCACTGTGGGAGCCCCTTTCTGGGCTGGTCAAGGCCGGAGCCGGCTCCCTCAGCTTGCAGGGAGGTGTGGAGGGAGAGGCGCGGCCAGGAACCGGGGCTGCACGCAGTGCTTGCGGGCCAGCGCGAGTTCCGGGTGGGCGTGGGCTCGGCAGGCCCAGCACTCGGAGCGGCCGGCTGGCCCCACCGGCCCGGGGCAGTGAGGGGCTTAGCACCTGGGCCAGCAGCTGCTGTGCTCAATTTCTCGCTGCAGCCTTAGCTGCCTTCCTGCGGGGCAGGACTCGGGACCTGCAGCCCGCCATGCCTGAGCCTCCCCCACTCTCCGTGGGCTCCTGTGTGCCCAAGCCTCCCCGACAAGCGCCGCCCCCTGCTCCAGGGCGCCCAGTTCCATCAACCACCCAAGGGCTGAGGAATGCAGGCGCATGGCGCGGGACTGGCAGGCAGTGCCACCTGCAGCCCTGGTGCGGGATCCACTGGGTGAAGCCAGCTGGGCTCCTGAGTCTGGTGGGGACATGGAGAACCTTTATGTCTAGCTAAGGGATTGTAAATACACCAATGGGCACTCTGTATCTAGCTCAAGGTTTGTAAACACACCAATCAGCACCCTGTGTCTAGCTCAGGGTTTGTGAATGCACCAATCAACACTCTGTATCTAGCTAATCTGGTGGGGAGGTGGAGAATCTTTGTGTCTAGCGCAGGGATTGTAAATACACCAATCGGCACTCTGTATCTAGCTCAAGGTTTGCAAACACACCAATCAGCACCCTGTGTCTAGCTCAGGGTTTGTGAATGCACCAATCAACACTGTGTATCTAGCTAATCATGGAGAACCTATGTGTCTAGCTCAGGGATTGTAGACACATCAATCAGCGCCCTGTCAAAACAGACCACTCGGCTCTACCAATCAGCAGGATGTGGGTGGGGCCAGATAAGAGAATAAAAGCAGGCTGCCCCAGCCAGTAGTGGCAACCCGCTCAGGTCTCTTTCCACGTTGTGGTAGCTTTGTTCTTTTGCTCTTTGCAGTAAATCTAAACTGCTGCTCACTCTTTGGGTCCACACTGCCTTTATGAACTGTAACACTCACCGCGAAGGTCTGCAGCTTCACTCCTGAAGCCAACGAGACCACGAACCCACTGTGAAGAAGAAACTCCAGACGCGCCGCCTTAAGAGCTGTAACACTCACCGGGAAGGTCCGCAGCTTCTCTCCTGAGCCAGCAAGACCACAAACCCACCAAAAGGAAGAAACTCGGAACACATCCGAACATCAGAAGGAACAAACTCCAGACGCGCCACCTTAAGAGCTGTAACACTCACCGCGAGGGTCCACGGCTTCATTCTTGAAGTCAGTGAGACCAAGAACCCACCAATTCCGGACACAAGGGGAAGAGCAAAACTGCTTACCCTTGGGCATTGGTGAACTGTCTTTGACACAGGAAAAGGAAAAGAAAAAAACATTATCTTCGGGGAAGAACAGAATTAAGTACTGAGTCCACAGTGGCAGCCCGGAAAAGAGCAGGAGCAAGGAAAATGCCGCATTCCCATGGCCGGGGACATGGTGTCTGCCAACAGGAGAGCCTTAATGGACGGCATCCGCTTCCTTCCATCCACAAGCTAGGAAGCTGCAAATAACAAGTGATAGCAGAATATGGCTGGGACAGGGACAAGAGAGGGACAAGTGCTTAAAAAGTGACCCACTCTGTAGCACAGCACAAAGGAAAGCCTTAAAACTCAGAATCAAAAAGATACTGTTAATCCATTTCCCACCTTAGACGGAAGCAATATCTCCTCGAATTTGAAGTCTCCGTGGCATTCAGGGTAACACAGCAAGAGTAAATTACAAACATGCCCAACTCCTGACTACATTAACACAAACCCTTGCACTAAAGGTCTAGCACAGGGAAAAGAATGCCCATTTCCAGGGATAAGACTGAGGGAAATAAGCTCCATGGTCCACAATGTCTGGTTTTCAATAATAATGTAAAAAATATGTGGCATATGGAAAGGCAAGAAAAACAACACACTCCCAAGACAGAGAGCAATAATCACAAATAGATATAACATAGATCTTGACAGAAAATTAAAAATGCATATGATTAATTTGTTATAGGCTTTAAAAGGAAAGGTGGATAAAAGGCAAGATCAGATGAGTAATTTCAACAGAAAATATAAGAAAAAACCAAATAAAAATGTTAGAAATTAGAAACATGATAACAAAGACAAAGAATGCCTTCAATAGGTTCATCATTAAAATTGACGTGGCTGGGAAAAGAATCAGTGTACTTGAAGATAGGCCAACAGAAATCATCCAGACGAAGAAGCAAAGAGAAAAAGGAGTATAAAAATTGGAAATCTATCCGAGAGCTTTGGAAAAATATCAAAAGTTCTAATCTAGACATAAGCTGGGTCTAAGAAAGCAAAGAGAGAAAGGAGCAGAATGTCTATTTGAAGAAATAATGACAATGGATTTTTTTAAATGAGTGACAGAAACAAAGTGAAATATCTAAGAATCTCTGAGAATAGCAAACAAATAAAATGTATACACAGACAGACACACCTAGGCAAATCATACTTAAACTGCTGAGATAAAAAACGAAGAGAAAATCTTAGAGCCAGCCCGAGAAAATGAAACATTACATAAGAGTAACAAAAATGGGGATTTCAGCAGGCTTTTCACAAGGAATTGTGGAAGGTGGATGAAAATGGTATGTCATCTGTAAAGTGCTAAAGAAAAAAAAATCTCTAAGTGATAATTTTGTAATCAGCAAGAATATCTTTCAAACATGAAGAAATATAAGATAAAGAAATCTTTCTCAAATAAACAAATGCTGAGAAAATGCATTTCAAACATACTTGTTTAGGTAGAAAAAATATATTAGGCTGAAAATTAGAGCAGTGAAAAAGGAGACTGCAAATGTAATACATGATGGTAGAATTTAAGACATTTTTCTTATGTTAACTTTTCTACAAATAATATGGAAAGATTGAATTCTGTGTTTATCATATATGTAAAATTTAAATGAATGACAAAAATAGTACATAGACAGGAGTGAGAAAGGGGAATATACTTTTATAAGTTCTTTACACTACATATGAGACAATATAAGAAGACTTTAAGTAAAAATGTATATTGTAAAACCTAGTGGAAACCATTACAATTTAAAAATGGGATAGTGAGTTGGTTGAGTAAATAAAATGCAATCATATCAAAAGCTCAGTTAATTCCTCAAAGAAGATATGTAAATTGCTAACAAGCATATGAAAAGATGCTCGACATTACCAGTCATTAGGCAAATGCAAATCAAACCATTACCTCATACCAATTAGTATAGCTGATATTGGTAAGGATGTGGAGACACTGGATCCCTTGTGAACTGTTGGTGGGAATGAAAAATAGTGCAGCCACTATGAAACACAATTTAGTGGTTCCTTAAAAATTAAACATAGAATTGGTGTATGACCTAGCCATTCCTTGTCTCCTATAACCCGCTAAATTGAAAGCTGACTCTTAAAAAGACATTTGTATACCCATGTTTATAGCAGCATTATTTGAAATAGCCAAAATGTGTAAACAACCTACATGCCCATCATCAGACAAATAGACAAACAAAATGTGGTATCTACATACAATGGCTTTTTACTTTATCTTTACAAGAATGAAAATTTTGACACATGCTCCAATATGAATGAAGCTTGAGGGCATTACGCTAACTACAGTGCATGATACTATATGATTCACTTACGCAAGGTACTTAGAGTAGTCAAATTCAGAGTCAGAAAGTAGAAGGGTGATTATCAGGGGCTGAGTAGAAGGGGTAATGGAGAGTTATTATTTATAGGTACGTAGTCTCAGTTTTGCAAGATGAGAGTTTCTGTGGATGAATCCTGGTGATGGCAGCCCAACAGTGTGAATGCACTTAATGCCTTTAAACTGTACACTCAGAAAGTGTCAAGATGGTAACTTTTATGTGTATCTTACCACAGTTGATTAAAAAAGAGAGCTATGGTTGGATACAAATATACAGTTAGATAGAAGGAATTAGCTCCAAATTTTGATAAGCAGAGTAGGGTGACTATAGTTAACAACAATCTATTGTATATTTCAAAATAGCTAGAAGAGAGGACATGAAGTGTTTCCAACACATAGAAATTATAAATGCTTGAGATGTTGAACACCACAAATACCATGACTTTATCATTACACAGTCTGTGCATGTAGTAAGATATATGTACCCCATAAATATATACAAATATTATGCACTAATAAAAATTCAGTTAGAAAAATGCAGACAGGAGGATAGAAAGACAAGGAACAGATGGGACAATTTGAAAAATGTTTTCAATGGTGAATTATGATTCTAGTCATATCATTACTCATATTAAATGAGAATTGAGACAAAGTGTTAGAATGGATTTAAAAAAGGCAAGACCTTAATATGTGCTAGCTACAAAATCCACTGCCAATAGAAAGACATGGAGGCATTTTAAAAGTAAAAGATGTACCGGCCCAAAGAAAGCTGAAGTGGCCATTTTAATATCAGATGAAGAGGACTTCAGAACAAAAATATCATCAGAGATGAAATATATTACATAATAATAAAGTTTTAATTTTCCCAGAAAACATCAAAATCCTAAATATGCAGCTAACAAGCAAGAAAATGACATGACGTCAAGAGTAATGAGTCTTAGAGAAGACACATACAAATTCACAATTATTGGAGACTGCAGCACTCCTCAGTAGTTAATAACTCAGATAGGCAGAAGGTCTGTAAGGTAGAGATTAACTGAAGAAATCTATCAAGCAGTTAGACCAAATCGACATTTATGGAACTCTTCACCCAACAACAACAAAATACACACTCTCTTCATGGACACTTGACATATTTACCAAGATCAATAGGATTCTGAGTTATAAAACAAATTTTAATAAGCTTAATAGGAAGTAATTACTACAAAGTTTGTACATATTTATGGCATACATATGATATTTTATTACATAAAATAAAAGTTATCAAATCAATGACCTCAGAATTTATCTCATGGAACTTTAAAAAAAGAATTAATTATTAATTGTATGCAAAATAGAAAAAAATAAAATAATGAGAAGAACAAAAATTAATGGAAGTGAAACTGAAAAATGATACAAATCCTAAAAACCAAAGGCTGGCTTGCTGAAAATGAATCAATTTTTTGAAATACACAATCTACTAAAGCCTATTCCAGAAGAAATAGATACCTTGACTGGCCTTATATTTATTATAGAAATTAATGTTGTGTTTAAAATCTTTCTATTTAGATTGGGTTAAAACCATGATTACTTTCACCCCAACCTAATTGCAGTTTCCAGTGGTTTTACCAGTGCATCATATCAAATATTTAAAGTAGAAATGGTACAAATACTATGCAATCTTCTGCAGAAAATAACAGGAAAGGAAACATTTTTAAACTCATGTATGACCATCATTATCCTGATACCAATATTATACACTGGCATTACAAGCTTAGAAAACTCCAGGCCAATATCCCTTTGAACTTAGAGGCAAAAAATACCTAGCAAAATACTAGCAAACTGAATCCAGCAATATGTAAAAAGAATAAATAATTCATCACAACCATGTGGGGTTTATCCCAGGAATGTAAATCTTTTTCAATGTATGAAAAGCAATCAGTGTAATTCACCATCAAGAAAAATCGCATGATCATGTCTATATATAGAGAAAAGAATGTCAAAATTCAATGTTCATTCATGATAAAAAGAAATAACCATTTATCACACTAGGAATAGAAGAGAATTTTCTTTCTTTTTTTTCAGACAGTGACTCACCCAGGGTCACGCAGCTCATAACAGCAGATCAGCCTGACTCAGGATACCCATTCCTCACTGTTAACACTAGTCTTTGTTCAACCTCCACTAGTGCACAGATGTGAGCATGCTGACTGATTGGTGAACACCCCTGCCTCTCCCATGAGCGTGCAAGGTCCTCCAGGGGATCTTATTCATCTCGTAACCCCAGCATCCAGCATGGGCCAGGCACAACAGTAAAAGCTCAGCTAACATCATCACAAGACACCAGCCCCAGGAGGCCCGTGATCAGAGGATACCGAATGCCCCTTCTCTACCCAGTCTTGCCTTCCTAGCCCAGAGGGGCTTGCACTAATACTGGACTTGGCTTTCATTCCTGGAGTTCAGCTGCAGCGCGCCCTCCCACCGGCGACATGAGTCGGGTGGTCTCTGGGTGGGTCCCAGGAGGAGCATCTGTTTATAATAGGCAGCCCCGGAAAGATCTGAGACCCTGGGCAGGTCTTTGGCAGGCCAGCTCATGTCCCATGGGCACCATGTTTTGGAGCTGGATCGGTGCTGACTTGGCTTCTCGGAGGGAAAGAAAATACCCGCCAGAGACCTCAAACCACAGCAGGCTGGGCGGTGGGGTGGGAAGGTCACAGCGTGGAGGGTGCACAGCTCTCTGCTCCTGGCCCCTCCAGCAGGAGGCTGTTAATAAAAATCCATCCCTGTGGTCAGACGAGAATGAGCAGGCAAGCAACATCTAGCTTGTAAGACATTAGGGTTAGAACAGGGTGCTAGATAGCAGAGCGTGAGTGTGAGCATGACATAGGTTATGACTGGAATTTCCCCCCTTCACAACCCTGTCTATTTCCAAAAGGAGAGACCCTATCTCAAGTAGAGCAGCTTAGAACATGGGCTCTGGAGCCAGGCTGCCTGGGTTCAATTATTATTTTTTTTTTAATTATTATTATACTTTAAGTTCTAGGGTACATGTGCACAACGTGCAGGGTTACATATGTATACGTGTGCCATGTTGGTGTGCTGCACCCATTAACTCGTCATTTACATTAGGTATATCTCCTAATGCTATCCCTCCCCTCTCCCCACATCCAATGACAGGCCCCGGTGTATGATGTTCCCCTTCCTGTGTCCAAGTGTTCTCATTGTTCAATTCCCACCTATGAGTGAGAACATGCAGTGTTTGGCTTTTTGTCCTTGCGATAGTTTGCTGAGAATGATGGTTTCCAGCTTCATCCATGTCCCTACAAAGGACTGACAAGATGACACTGGAACAAGAAAGCAAGAATATGCTAAAAACAGACTAACCAGTGATCAACCATGAGAACACGTGGGCATGGAACCAATCTGAAGGTGCTCCCAATGACGAAAATTGAAACAAAATAAGCAATAAAATGAACAGTGATATATTTGGATTATAACATAAAAGATAAAATAAAAATCTTTGAGTCCATATTAATATAAACATAAAACTAACTAAGCATTTAACTAACCAGAGAGAAATAATAATCTTTCCTCAGAGAAGAAATTCAATTAATATAAATGTAGAAAGAACGATGAGAACAGAAAATTACCATTAAAGCACCATAGTAGTAATTGCCACAGACAAGGTTAACTGAAGAAAGCTAAAACTAGTGCACAAAATTTAAAGAAGAAATAGCATATTTGCATAGCTTTATAGCATCACCCCTAAATATGCAGTAATTCCAGGGGAGAACTACAAGTTTACAGGGGATAATCCTTGCAGACACCATCTAAACCAAGTGTCCAAGGTTAATGTCACCTGTTACAATGCACTATGCCGTCCAATTATGCATGAGAAAATATCAGACAAACCCAAATTAAGAGACACTGCAAAATTGAATAATAAAAGAGTAGGAAATTTGGAAGAATACTCAAAGGAGGCTAAGGTGGCATGATTACCAAATAAAATGTAGGCTCTTGAATTATATCCCAAAATAGAAGAAAAGGATGTTTAAAAAACAAACAAAGTGGAGAGATCTGAATAAGTTCTATAGTTTACTTATTATTTCTACCAAAGTTATTATTGTTTGCTATGATAATTGTTCTATGGTCACGTAAAATGTTAATTCCCAGGCGAGCTAAATGAAGGGTATCTGGGATTATCTGTACTGTCTTGTATAACTCTTTTGTAATTATAAAATTGTGTCTAAATAAGAATTTAAAAAAAATCACCAGGAGAAGAACATGAGCTTTAAAAGAAACCCCAAAACTTTAATTTATTGTACTGCATTAGTATGGATATATTCCCCTCTGGAATTATTATAATCATATGCTGTTATGTGTGAATGTGATAATGTGTCTATAAATATCATCATTAAGTAGTAGAAAATATAGTTTTAAAAGAGCATGATTTTTAAAAAATTAACATTGTACATGTTCTTAGTACCTGGTCCATATTCTCTCAAGTCAATCTAGAAGTCACTTTCAGCTTCACTGGGCAATTTGCATGTGTGGTTGTAGCTTCCTTTCTCAAGTGCTGTGCCTCTCAGACCGAGGGCATCCTGTTCACAGAACCAAGCTCAGTTAGGTCTGAAGTGCCAAAGGAGTAGTGTCTCCAATAGGAACCATCAACCAACAAAGAACAAGAATTTGTGGATACATATCTTAAATCTTTGCCTCTTGGTAGTGCATTGCAGACTTGTGATTCATACAGTTTCTTAAAGGGTTGGCAGTGGGACTGGCTCCTCCGCACCTGCACCTGCTCATTGACCTCAGCCTTTCATACTTTCCTGAAGTCTTTCTCTCCCTTCCCCATTCCCCCAGTATGCTTCCTGGAATTCTCTCTCCAATGACTTATTTCCAGCAAATTTCTTGTGTCAGTGTTAGCTTTGGGGAAACCCAAATGAAGACACACAGGAATTATAAAAATCTGTGTGTCTGTATATTAATATATGTCTCTCTCTATATAGCTGATAACTGGAGTGGAAGAAAGGGAGATTGTATTTGTGTGTGTGTGTGTGTGTGTGTGTGTGTGTGTGTGTGTGTTCGTTTGTTTTATAGGCCTGCTGTACACAATTACCACAAGCTTAATGGTTTAAAAGAACAGAAATGTATTCTCTTACAGTTCTAGAGGCTATAGGAAGTCCAAAATCAAGTTGGCGACAGGGCCAGGACTCTCTGAATGTTCCAGAGGAGAAGGTTTTCTTGGTTCTTCCAGCATTTGACGGTGGCCAGCAGTCCTCTGTGCCTCTTGGCTTGTAGGCACAGCACTCCAATGTCTGCCTCCATCATGCTTCTGTCATCACGAGGCATTTCCTCTGTGTGTTTTTGTCTTTGTTTTCTACGTGGCCTTCTTAAATAGATACCAATTATTTGAATCTAAAAGTCCAATCTAATACAGTACGGCCTTTTCGTGACCAATTACATATGCAAACAAATATTTCCAGATGAGTTTACATTCACGGGTACTGGGAATTAGGACTTCAACACATCTTTTAGGGAGACACACTTCAACCCACAGCACATCATTATAATATATGATTTTTCCATATTATGTTGGATAGGGATGCGTAACCCACTTCTCTAAAACTGATTGCAGTCTTCCTGGCCTCAAAATACAGTCCATGTTCAAATTTCAGAATAAAAACCATTAGAAGTGTCTTTCCATTGTTACTAATCAAACACATTCAGATATTAACAATTTAATGACTAACACATTGTCACTTTTCATTATTATTATTTTATTCAAGAAGCTATGTAAATAAATATATATATGATCTCTATTACCCATTTTTGTATCCCCATGGAGTTGATACCGGCTATCTGTGATGGACCCTCAGCATCTCAACACATTTTTGATGGGGATACCAAGGATACGAAGCCTTGGCTTTTCTTTACCAGGCTATTTCTTAGCACTGGGTTTGCAGTGATTTAACTTGAGAGACAATGTTCTCTCATTTTTTTTTTTCTGAGTAAAGAGTAGACTTGTTTCTATTTGCTGTGAAGGCAGTGAACCCCCCAAGCTCTGTGTTCTTCCTCAGTGCAACCTACTGCATATATAAGCATTCATTAAGGCCCAAATGTATCATCTCCATGACACTTCATGGCATAGAAACCTGAAACCAACCACATCACACTCATGTTACTTGTACCATCAGTAATAAAATCCCTTTTTCTCTGACCCAGGAGCTTCGTGTTTTCTGCCAGCATCAATGGGGACAGTAACAGGTTAATGTGTGAGCTTGAAAAGAGTGTAGCAATCCCAGACCCTTCACAGTTAATGACAATTCAATCAAGAAATACATTTTTTAAAAGTACAGTTATCATTAAAATACAGTCTCTGCAGAGTATCGTAATGTTGAGTGACTTATAATTTCGACTTTGTGCTTTTGTATATTGTTGGAGAAGTTAAAAGAATGAATAGCTATTACTTTTATAATAAAAATAAAGTTTAAAGATTCAGCCAGATGGCATCTTTATTTGGTTTGAATTAGTCAGTGTATAATATATATTTTAACTAAATTCATACATATTTTAACATATTTTAACTAAATTCATCCTTCAGATTTCTACTCAATTGTCTTTTCTTTTTAGAAGATTGTTTTAATCCCTTTGCTATTTCTTTACTTCTTAATACATATGTCAGTTTTAATTATCTATTTCATAGTGTAATACTTTGATAAATTAATGATAGTGTTTACTATTTAACTAGGAACCCCATAAGAGCAGAGCTTTTTTTATTTTCTTTTTAAAAAATTCTTCGTCTCTCCTTCCTCCTCCTTTTGTTCCTCTTCCTCATCCTCTTTTTCTTAACATTTTGTTTTCAGAGCCTAGCACAGTGCCACACCTATAGTAGGTACTCAATACATTTTTATTAGTTAACTAAATCATGTAACTTGGAGGCAAACATCTGGACCCGAAGTCATTCATGTCTCTTCTCGATTCTCCTGCATACAGATCATCATGATTTTCTAGTGACTTTTGGTGTTATGATAATCTCTTCATATTTTATAGATGACAGAATTCTCTCAGGCTCTAATTCCATACTCACTTCTTTAAAATATAGACTTATTGAAGGACTTGCAGGACACTTCATGGTCAGAGCATCTGAGCTCCTGAATATTCCTTACCATCTTCCTATATTCCCCATTTTTCACAGTCTGATCTTGCCTCACTCAAAAGTGCCATCATCTTCCTCAGTCTGTGCGTTTGTTTGATTCCATATTTCAACAGGCTCACTGTAATCACCCTCCAGTTTTTATACTAGGATCATTTCTTTAAGGAGCTGTGTCTGAGGCCCCCAGGCCTGGCCTCTGTATCATGACTGAAGAATTCCTTCCACAAACTAATGTGCTTCTTTAATCCCCTCTGCTTCCACCTATTGTAGCAATATTTGCATTGCTAAAAAAGTTTGCACTTGTCAATTTAATCTTTAAAACGGTAGCCTAAATTTAATTAACGGCAAAAACTTTTCCTTATTCATTGTTTTTATGGCTCCTAGAATAGTGCGGGGTGTCAGATAAGTAGCAAATGCAGAATGAAAGAAGAGTGCAGGGACACCTATTAAAGGATCCCAAGCTGAGCAGCAGCCAAAGAATATATATTTGGTTAAAATATTCTTTAAATCTTATTCTAAAATGAGAAGTCAAATTTGTACTGGATTTTTCAGAATGATTCCTAAAATTAACTGTAAATATAATTTTAACTTGTCACATTGATTAATATGATTAGCCTGGTAAAGTTTATTGTCAGGCTTTTAACAGGTAATAGATAAATTTAACTGAGTGTTAACTATATGCTGAGAAATATTTGAAGGGTTATACATACAGAAAATGATGTTTCCCCATTTAAAATCTTATGAGGTGGGCATTAATATCACCTCCACTTTAATGGCAGGAAAACTGAGGCGCAGAGACGCTGTATAAGTCGCCCACATAACTAGAAAGTGGCAGAACCATGATTAGTGATTCTGGCTCCAGAGCCAACAGTTCTAACTAGAAGGCTACAAACTTTCATATGCACTGCAAGCAGTATATTCTATACTCTCTGCCTCTTGTTTTCCCCATGTACATGCTCTAAACTCCAGAACTGTGCACAGAGCCATAGTCATGCTATGTTGGACAGACAAAATTTGAGAAGTATGATGAATAAATTATCAATATCCCCCATAAATATGGTAAGAAAATGTGAACCTGGTAGTCTAGATATGGCCGAGCAGCAGAAATAAAATGAGATCATCATATTCCTTGAGATTTTAAAATATCTATCTTTCACCAATATATAAAGTCCTCGTCTCCCAGACTATAGCATCAAGCCTTAATAGACGTTTCTCAAAAGAAGATGTGCAAATGGCAAACAGGTATATGAAAATTGTTCAAAATCACTAATCATCAGTGTTAAAAAACAAAATCCCAATGAGATATGACCTCACCCCAGTCAAAATGGCTATTATCAAAAAGACCAAAAAAAAAAAAAAAATCCAAACAGTTGCTCGAGAGCATGTGGTGAAAAGGTAACTCATATACCATTGGTGGAAATGTAAATTAGTACAGCCATTCTAAAAAATAGTATGGAAGTTCCTCACAAAAACTAAAAATAGAACTACCATATGATCCAGTAATCCCATTACCAGATATGTATTCACAGGAAAAGAAAACAGTATATGAAAGAGTTATTTGCACACTCATTTTTATTGCAATATTATTCATGGTAGCCAAGATATGGAATCAATCTCAATGCCCATCTACAGGATGAATGGGTAAAGAAAATGTGCTGTTTATAGACGATGGAATACTATTCAGCCATAAAACAGAAGAAATCCAGTATTTGTGTCAACGTGGATGAACTTGGAGGACATTATGTTAAGTGAAATAAACCAGGCACAGAAAGACACACACAGCATGATTTCACTCATATGTGGGATCTAAACAAATTAATTTCATACAAGTAGAAAGTAGAATAGTGGTTACCAGAGACTGGGAGGGGAAGTAGAAAGAGGGGACCTGGAAAGTTTGGACAATGGGAACAAAGTTATATTTAGGAAGAATATGTTTTGGTGTTCCTGTTACACAGTAGGATGACTATAGCAGATAACAATGTAGTATCTATTTCAAGATAGTTAGGTTTTGAATGTTGTCATGCAAAGAAATGATAAATGTTTAATGTGATGGATATGGTAAATACCTCAATTTGATTACCAAATTATGTATACATGCATTGAAACATAACCCTTTACCCCATGAATATGTACAATTATTATGTCAATTATAAATTTTAAAATTAAGTAATAGTGAATATGTGTATGCATGAGTATACATTGTAATGTATACTTGCATATGTGTATTTGCCTGTGTTTGTGTTTGTACACACACCCATGTATATGCCATTGTGTGTACACTGAGCCTTTTTAAATTGACATATATGTATTTTTGCCATCTCTGATTGCTTTATTTTACTACTTGGCTGTCATTTTGTAAAATCCATGTTTTGGATTTGTGCTGTTCATCTTATTCTATTCTATATCTTTCTTTTATTTAGCTTAAAGCCTTTTTGAAATGAGGCAGGATATGGATTAAATGAATAAGCCAACACAGAATGAGCATAACATGTAATAGTAACTAAATGTCAGATGCTTTTATTGAATTTTTGTGCTTTTAAAAGAGAAATGAAAAAAATTATTTGCATTTGCAAATGAGTATCTTCAGTGGAAAATACTACCTAGCACCAAGAGACATGTTAATATTAGGGTTAAAGCTTTTTAATATTTTTGGATGTTAAAAAATCGGGTTATTGAACATATTAACAACCATCCATTCATATTGTCTTAGTTGAGAAAGGCAATCTCAAATTCAATCAAGGATACAAAAGTGGCCTCTTTGTGAGATCAACTACCCTAGTCATCTAAAAGGTCAATGGCATCTGCCCTTTTGCAAACCACTTATAAAGCGTGGGGGGCCATAGCATCTGTGGGCTTATCTTCCTTTTGCTTCTATAAATAAATCATCCTATTAAGAGGCATGGAAAGAAAAGGGTTTTTATGTCAGTAAAGAAAAGATGATTTAGAACACCGTAAAAAAGTAAAGTAGGGCTTTTTTAAGATGATTATAGAAGTAAACAAAATGGGGTACAGTCAGAAATACTACTGAATTTAAATTCTCAAACGTCTTATTTTTAAAATACTATTTTTTATTTCTTTCATCACTATGATGCAAAATATGTTTCATCAGACCACCATTCACTTAGGATGCTGAAGTTTTTTCAGATTACTTGAATAATTTCAGATAGATGATGAATTTTTGGTTTGATAGTAAATATAAATAAGGATGATTTTAAAATACAATGATTACAATTTTGGAATTTTTCCTTTTTTAAAAAACACAGGCCGGATGTGATGGCTCAAGCCAGTAATCCCAGCACTTTGGGAGGCCAAGGCGGGTGAATCACCTGAGGTCGGGAGTTCAAGACCAGCCCGGCCAACGTGGTGAAACCCCGTCTCTACTAAAAATATAAAACGCAGCCAGGTGTGGTGGCGAGTGCCTGTAGTCCCAAGCTACTCAGGAGGCTGAGGCAGGAGAATCGCTTCAACCCAGGAGGCAGAGGTTGGAGTGAGCCGAGATTGCACCACTGCACTCCAGCCTAGGTGACCAAGTAAGACTTTGTCTCAAAAAACAAATAAACAAACAAGCAACACCAAAAAAAAAAAAAGAAAGAAAGAAAAGAAAGGAAGAGAAAAAAGAAACATAGGGGTGTGGTGGCTCACCCCTGTAATCCCAGCACTTTGGAGGCCAAGGTGGGTGGATTGGATCATGAGGTCAGGAGATCAAGACCATCCTGGTCAACATGGTAAAATCCCATCTCTACTAAACAATGCAAAAATTAGCCAGGCGTGGTGGTGTGTGCCTGTAGTCCCAACTACTCGGGGAGGCTGAGGCAGAAGAATTACTTGAACCCGGGAGGTGGAGATTGCAGTTAGCTGAGATCATGCCACTGTGCTCCAGCCTGGTGACAGGGTGAGACTGTCTTGGAAAACACAAAAAACAAAAACAAACATGTCATGAGAAATAGATGGAGGCCACATAAAAATACCTTGCTTATATATTAATAATTCCAAGCATGATTAGAAAATAATGTCAAGTTTTAAAAATCTCTATTATGAAATAAAGTATGTGCAGAACAAAAAAGGTCAATATTTCTAGCTTTCTTATGATACATAATGTGATTTTCCATTCTAACAGTTTGAAAATGCTCTCCAATTTTAGATGAATAATTCTCTGACAAATATGCAATCTTGGCTTGAATTACCTCCAAATCATATCATCTGGAAGAATAATAACATATTTTTGCAGTTTTCTTCCTATTGTGAATGTATCCACATTTATTGAAAGTTAAAGTTGCACTAGGAATTTATAAACACCCTATAAAGGTCCTTATTTTCAGAGATAATGATATAAGCTTATCTGTCTTTGTTATTACTAAAATTTTGATCTGACAGTACTCTATCAACACTTGGTTATGCAGAGCTTCAATGAATACTTAGAAGTATTCATTTTATATATAATATAATAAATTCTCCATAATTGCTATTATTTATGAATGCAATACTACAAAAATAGCACTACTGACATTTTTTAAAGATATTCAGACAGACAGGCCAATAGAGGAGGCCTTAATGATAACATCAATAGGAAAATACAGGAACAGTGAATGTACTCATTAAATAACAGAGCTAGCATTCATGTAATTTTAATCTGTGAGGGATCATTTTGTTATCTTATTATGGTGTGTGTGTGTGTGTGTGTGTGTGTGTGTGTGTGTATAACAAAATGCTTTTTATTTTTGTGCATCAATATAAATTCTAATAATAGATTCTTCTTAATTTAGGAGTTATATTTAAAATAAAATTTATGGAACCCCAGAGGCAAACAAACATTTTCAGCTAATAAAGTTTATTCTCTAAGTTTGTATGTTGCGGTGTTCTGTTGACATTGTCACGAAAGGAAGCCGTCCTATATGTGTGTGAAAAAGAAAGGACATATTCAGCATGCCAGTAAGTACTCCAGGGACTACCTGCAACTGATCAGAAGGTAGCTGGATTTCCACACCAATTTTATCTTTGACCTCTTAACTTGGCCATTGTTTTTGTGATTCTGTGCGATGGGCACCTGTTAACTTGGAATTCCGTAGAGACCGTAGCTCTCCTTTCACTGACTTTCAATCGCACATCAGATTGTAGCAATTTTTAGCTACTATTAACCCAGTCTGGTTTCAAATTGTTGACCTGTAGGTCACAGGCCCATTACTAATCCCTGGAGCAATTCAGTCTCTTAGTTATTATGTGTCATTTAGTAGACTTGATTCATGTGCACATCTCTTAGCAACATCAATAGAACTTCTGTGTGGAGATCAAGAGTGATGAGGGGCCCAGATTTTATTGAAAAAATACAATAGAAGAGCTGGATTAGTTCTGTGATTTTGAGGCATGACATCTCATTGATTATGAAGAAGGATCTATGTGTGCATAAAAACCAATGTGGCCATTGCACACACGAGAAAAACACAGAATTTTAGAGAAATATGGAACGTGAGGAATTTTTCCTGTTTTCCAACACAATTAATGTATACATGTAAGTGAGCTGTGCTGCTTTTAATCCTCATTTTGTAGAAACAAAGCTTCCACTTTATTAGACTTTTTACTAAGCATGATTTTTACAGTATTCACTTTTGCAGAAAAGGCATTATTTATTCAGGTTAAATAATGCAGTGTATTATGATAGCTTTGAGACAATATTTTTATGCAATAAGCATTTAGTAGTTATAAGGATAGTTTTGAGAGAAATGCGTTATATTAGATTGGTTTTGATTAAGACGAAGAAAGTCAGTTATTAAAAAGTGGAAACATAACAGTTAGGAAAGTATAACAGTTAGAATGGACAGAAAATAAATTGATATATGAAGGGCTGTATTAGAGAGCAATATGAACAACTGCTTTCTGTTTTCATGGAGGATACATAGTGTGAGTGCAGGGAAGGAGAATTTAGATCTAAGACAGAATATGTTAAAGAAAAAAATGGTTATATTCCAGTGAATAAAATAAGGACTGCAATAACAACGGGCATCTATTAAGGGCTTACTATGATGTCAGTATAACCAAAGCACTTAGCAATGCGTTAACCCATTTAAGCCTCAAAAAGCAAAATTAAACATTCATGAAGTATTACTATGGTTTTTCTCAATCTTAAGGAAGAGGAAGGTGAGGCTTAGAAAGGCTGAATCATTTGCCCAGGGTTATTTTTGCTGACCAATCCTAGGTCCCTGATTTGAACGCAGGCAGGCAGGCAGCCTTGAGAGCCTAAGCACTTACTTAACCACTATGCCATTGAAGAAAGTTCCTCCTGCATCCTTTAGACTGTAACTGAGAGTTACTATAGAATCAGTCTCCTCATTCTTTCCAGACATGTATCTTAGCCCCCATTTCCCTATTTCTGTTACTAAATAATATTATAATACTTATCTTGTAAGTTTAAATTCTCAGTCACCTCCAAGTCCTTGTTATCCTCCATGCCCTGCATTTAATCATACATAAAGTCCTGTGCTTGATACCTGTGCATCTTTCCTTCTTTTGCTTATCCTCTTGCTTCCCCTCTGAGCTTAATCTCCCTTGCATTTCTCCTGAAAGATTGCAAAATATTACTAGGTTATGTTCTGTCCTTAACCAAGATGAATCATTTTAAGACTCAATAAAGTTTGTGTGAATTCTCTCTTTAAAACCTCCAAAAACCCTCTATTCCCAGTAGAATAAAGAGTAAATCAAGAATGTAGCCTCAGCCAGGCGTGGTGGCTTACACCTGTAATCCCAGTACTTTGGGAGGCCAAGGCGGGCAGATCCCAAGATCAAGAGATTGAGACCATCCTGGCCAACATGGTGAAACCCCGTCTCTACTAAAAGTACAAAAATTAGCTGGGGGTGGTGGTGCGAGCCTGTAGTCCCAGCTACTCAGGAGGCTGAGGGAGGATAATCGCTTGAACCCAGGAGGCAGATGTTGCAGTGAGCCGAGATCACGCCACTGCACTCCAGCCTGGGCGACAGAGTAAGAATCTGTCTCAAAAAAAAAAAAAAAAAAAAAAGAATTTAGCCTGAAGTTTGGTTTTCACCATGACCTTCCAGACCCATCTTCCACTGGTCTTCCATACAAGCTGCTATGCATTCTTGAATCAAGCTGGCTTATTTACATGCTTAGAGTATGCGTCCATATCTCTGCCCTTGTTCTTCCACTCATATCCCTCTTTCATGTGAAATTCACTTGACCCTCATGTGACTCCCCAGAATTCTTGCCTTGCTTCCACACTCTTCAGTGACTCCCTTTCCAATCTCAGAAATCATTTGACCTCCAAGTGCTCAGTGTGTATAATCCTCTTACACTGTCATCTACTTTTTCTCACTCTGTGGTCTTTTCATGGAAGCATACGAGCTAGAGGGGAATTGAATTATTATGTACCTTTCTCAAAACAACCTGTGCACTTAACTAAAATCTCAGATGCTTAGACCCTCCTCCACATCTGCTGAATGAGAATTGTTGGATTCTACAAGTCATATACCGCAGCTGGCCTGCACCTTTCCTAAGGGCTAGCCTCATCTTCATTCACCCAAAGGATGACAACAACCATGGTGACTGCCTAGCATTTGATTAGACAGTCATTCAGGGTCCCTTCCTACCCACTGATTCTAAATGCAGTTCACTGATTTAATTGTGGCTCATGACAGGATAGGTAATCAAAGCAGATGGCCCATGTTTCTACTACATTTTTTAATTTACTGCATGACAGAACACAGATCATCTAATGGGTTTCCTGTTTTTAAAAAGTAGTTAGTCACATTTTATTTTTCTTAATCCCTCCCCTGATTTCCTTACTAGTAAAATCACACTTAGAAGCTACATAGTAAAGTGCACCAAAGAAAGCATCATTTTTCCACTTCAGGCCAGTCAGTGTTTCTTACTCATTACCGAGTTTCTGTATTTAACCTCTCATTCCCAGAACTCACAGTCTTGATATTCCCCATGGTTTCTATGGACAAAGCTGTCCCTGAGGCAAAGTGTTCTTAGGATTTCTACTTTGGCAGTCTTCCAAGTGCTGAGTCCTAATCTTGGAAAACAACAGCAACAACAACACATTAATGTGGCATCAACTTGAGGGATCCGTGTCTCAGATGCTCATATGTGTTCATACAAGGCGTGTGTGCCTGATGGTTTCCTAATCCACAGCAAAGTACCTTTTCCCAACACAAGTAAGAAGTTAACATCATAGAATTCTTAGTGAAGCTCCTCTTCTCCTTTTTTTCACTTGAAAATGGAGAATAGAAACTCCTTTATTCTACTTAGAACATTCAAGGAAGTCTCATTGTCCTAACCTCTCTCTCCTTTTAGCTTTCTGAGAATAACAAAAGGAAATATTGGGAAGAGGTAGCTTGTGAGGGCTTTTTGGCAATTAAGAAAACAGATATAAGTTCAGTACACACTGCTGCAAAAAGGATGAAGGGTTACCACGTTGGCAGCTAGATGGTTTCCATAGTCATTGCTTCAGAATTGTCTTCAGAAAGAAAGGATTTTTCTCTTTAATACAATTCGTTGCATCTTATAATTTTGATTTTTTTGCAAATTTCGTATAAAAGAAATATAACTATGGTTACCAAAACCCTAGTTTATTGTATCCAATTTCTAAAAATGAATACATTCTTGGCTTTATTTGAAAACAACAAAAATATTTTTATCAGAAAATGCTTTCACATAAGACAAATTTTCTAGTGAACATAGGATGCCCAGAATTGATGTTTTTTTCACTCTTAAAAAGGTTATTAAAAGATACTTCAGTGAGCAATGAATAAAGAACCTAATATGTTTACGCCATTATTTATATTGATCTAATGGAAAGCTAGAGGAGAAGGCAAAGGAACGGAAGATATTTGCCCCCGTTAAGTATCACCAGTCACTGAGGAAGCAAATCTTTCTGTACCTCTTAGTAAACTGTAAGCTGCTCTTGGTAATAGGAGAGCTTGATAAGCTATAACTTTATTTGCACCTTACACAGTAACACCATATACAATCAAAACAGAAATAAAAGGCACTTTAACTTGAGCACTTTCACTAAACATAAATATGCATTTTATTTTATCAGGCTGGGATTTGAGATGGACTCATTCATTATGATTGTTTTTCTCTTATGGATTATCTTTTTTGTTCAATTGTTTTCAATTGAATTTCAATTCAATCTCATATTTCAGTTAACATTATGTATTATTTCTAAAAGTATGATGAATTGTAATGATACTTCTGTAATTTTAATGTGTTTTTATGCATTTTAATAGCAGAGGTACAGTAGTTTGTCATGAAGAATACTATTGCCTATGCTAAGAAGCACTAAATAAGTCTTTTTCTACATAGAAATGCAGCATGTGTACATTTTTTAGTTTATTTCAGTCTGCCAAGGCAAGACATATGCTATTTTTCTTTGTATTAATTTTCTCTTCTATTTAATACAGCAACTTCAATTGTTTCCAAGCCAATTTTATTTTGTCTTAATTTTATTTAAAATATTCATCCATTAACTTAATTTTTATCTTTTCCCATTTTTTAATTTAATAAATAAAGTCACAAAATTTTCTCTCCTTAGCCTGAGGATGTAAATAAATATACAAATATATAATGACTGTGAATAGAATTGAATAGAAACATTAGTCAGTAGAAAGGATTGAAGAAATAGCATGTTATAAGGCAAAGGGAGAAAAGCCAGCTTCAATCAGTGGAGCATGGCACAAATTCATAATATATATCACTTCTCTACTTAATAAATCATATTTAATGAAGTTATCTTTTATGTAACCATTACTCATATATTCAGTAATTTTGTCTGTCAGTAAACTATTCAGTTAACAAAAAATAAAAAGTAGGTCAAGAATACTGTACAACATATTGATATACTAAGAACTTCATATAAAATGATCATACTAATATTGTAAAGTGCTTATTTAATTTTATTTCTCTTAATTAAAATTTTTTCTGAATTACTCATTTTATATTCTATATATTATTCAGTTTTTCACTTCAAAATGATTATCATCTTAATACAGTGGTATCATGAATCAGAATATAATAGCGAATGTTTTGATTTGGCACAAGGCATATACATTCTAAAATTGACTGTAACAATAAGCCAAGATATTAAAAATTGAGTAATGTGAAATATAAAAGTCTGCATTTAAAGTAAAATTGTCAACTGGAAATTTCCATATAGTAGGACTGCATGGCTAAATAGAAGGAAAATTTTAAATAAAAAATTTAAAGGACTTAATGAATTTTTTGCTCTAGTTTCATTATATACCAACACTATGTCAGGAGTGCCAAAATGATTATAGTGTTTTTAAACTTGTAGTATTAGGAGTAGAGCACATGAATCAAAGGAAAACAGCTATCTGTTCTCCACTACTGAGACTATGCTCAGGCCTTGGCTCATTTGAGCAAGAGCTAAAAACCCTGTGAGCAGAAAATGAAGTCAAGAACAACAAAGGATTTAGGAACAACAGAAAACGAGGCTCATCTGAGGAAAGCAAGGGTGGCACTCTCTCAAAGGTAGGTGAACATGCTGACTGTTCTGAAATATTTATATAATGGTCATATAAAGAATGCTATGCTTTCTCAGTGTAGATGTTAAAAACAAAACTAAATGCAGAAGTAGAAATTACATGAATACAGAATTTTGCTGACCTACCTAAGAATTTACTGCAATTCAAGTAATGCAGTCATGGAATGGACTTTATTGATGGCATCCATCTTCCTGTTTCTGGATGGACCAACAGTATTGGATACTTCAGATGAGGTTGTGATTTTCATTGTGTTTTGTTGTTGTTGTTGTTGTTTGTTTGTTTGTTTTTAGTGGGGGCAGAAGCTATGGTTGACTTCTAAGGTAACTTCACTAATAAATACCTTCAATCTGGCTTTGTTTTTCGTCTTACTGTTCATTCTGAATCTACTCTATCGCTAGCCTTCAACAGACCAGAAGACTTCAAATCCGCTTGACCTGTTTCTCTGACTTTGCATCTCCAAGTGCTCAGCAAATCCACTGAGATCTTCTTCAAGATACCCAGAGCATGACTACCATCCACCACCTCCTGCTACCAGCAGGTGTCTGTTTCTTTCCTGTCTCTCCAACAATGATCATTACCAAACTGCTAGAGCAATTTTTTTAAAACTTCAATAGCTCCCAATTTCCTTCAAACTAAAACCAAAGTTATTCACATAGGGAAAAAAAAAAACCCTCATCTTTTCCATGTTTTGGTTCATACATCATTTTCTCAATGAGATCTGACTTGACAAACTTTAATTAAAGATTTCACCTCAGCCATTTGCTTCCCTGAGCAGCGCTCCTAATTCACTATTCTTTGTTGTCCAGTTTTATATCTCCATAGCATTTATTACCGTTTACTATACTATGTGTTATGTATTACCTCTTTTTTTTTTCTCTCATGGCTGAAATATAGGCAGAGATCATTTTCTGGTTGGTTCACTGATGTATCCTAAATGCCCCAAATAGCTTGTCACTTAAAAAGTAACTGGTACATATCTGTTGAATAAATTGTTATTTTTCTCATGTTGTGAAGATGTTTGTGTCCCTAGGCTTTAGTATTTTTCAACTATGTTGTAAGTTTTACCCATGCATATTTTAATAAAGGTATACTTTATATAGTGTAAAATGCACAAACCTTAAGCACATATTTCAAAGATTTTTTGACAAGTGAATATATCCATGTAACCTACCATTCTATCAAGTTATAATGCGGTACAAATGTTAATTTCATTTCTATTGCTATTAATTAGTTTGGCATATTCTAGAACATATGTAATCATGACATGAAATCAAACAGTACGTACACTTTTGTATTTTTTCACTCAGTCTTATGTCTGAGTCTCACTCAGGCTGTTGCATGCATCCGTTGCTTTTTCTTGGTATAATTTATATTTTTCTTATTTTCATTCCAGTATACAAACTGCAGCTTGCAAATTAGATTTCTCACCTTTAGATTTTTTCCAAGGGATTAATTTGTCTTTCTACTGCTGGCCTTATAGATGTATGTCATTTAGCATATTTGATATAAGCAACATGCTGATTGATAGGCACACAAGCACAGTGTTTGAGATGAGTACAATGGAGCGGCTGGAGGGTTTGCTTCTATGATTACCAATTTTTCCTCTTGTTTACATGTGTTTCATCTCTCAAAGCAGTGATGGATGAAAATGTGTATGGATCTATCCAATCTGTCCCAGTACTTTATATCCTTTGATTGTCTTAAAAGCTCCAGGTGCTATTTGCGCTCAGAGCATCACCTCGTCCACTTCTGTTTCCAAGGCTTCCTGGCATTATTCATTTTGTTTAACAAATATCATTCGTGACGTTCATATTTCTAGCAACTCTGGCAAATTTATATAAAAGGAGCCTATGTTGTTCCTGTAACCTGACTTAAAGTAATTCTGAAAATTAATTTCCAATGCAACTTTTGCCATTTGTGGTGAACTGGATTCAGGCTGAGGTGATTTTATCAAAATTCTGAACCTGGTGCTGGCCTCACCTACTGTCCACTTAACTGCAGTAAGCTTTCAATGCACAGAAGTGAGGAATAGGGCTTTTAATTGTTAGAAGATTATCGTCTAATGATATAATTTTGTAGATATTTCTTTCTCTACCTTAAAACCCTTTCTCACATGTAACCAATTCAAACAAATCTTATTTTTAAATAGGCCATTATATCATGAGTGGCAAATGTAATGATGCAAATAAGTACAGTATTTGAATGTAAATGAACTGGCATTATTTTTAAAAGTAAATGTAATTATGGAAATTGACCTTTGGCACTGTAATATCACTAAAAGCCTTTTTTTAATTAAAAAAATGATTTATAGATTCAAGAGATATGGGAATATTTATCGTGAAACTTGAAGTCAGGTTTTAAGAAATGGTCCATAGCTGTCTCCTTTTTCCCCTTCAGAGATGATGACACAAACACAAAATACTCCAGGCTAATTGTTTTAGTAGTAAATTTAAATATTTCAGAAGTTACTGAAAAAGTATTTGAACAGAGAAAAGCATTTCTACTTTCAAGCAGGTTTGGCAAAATGATCCAATGACAGTTTAAGCTGTCATGGATCAGAACAGAGAAAGGGCTAGACCAGGAGATGTTCCACCATTGAGAACACATATTCCAAATGTTCTAAAAAGTGTCTTGAAACCAAGTCACACAAATTTCAGAGGACTTTGAAAATAAGGGTTGCAATGGTAAAGAGAAAACTGGTTATAAACTGGAGAACAATGTAGGAAGTGAGGATTCTAGAGAAGTTGACTCAAAACTGCAAGAAGAATTGGAATAGTTGGAAGTTTGGAAAAATAATATCAGAAGGCAATAAGAGACAGCAAGAAGATGTTCAGTAGTGAGCAGATCAGGAAAGTGTGCATAAGCTCCAGTGGTCAATTCTTTCTCAAACTCCAATATTCAGGTAGACATACAGTGCAGTACATATGTCAGCAGGCCGTGTGGCTGTTTCATGTGTTTTTCAGTGATTGAAGAAGTTGGAGAATAGTATATAGGGACTCCTTTTCATTCCTTGATAATATCTTCCTAGATTTTTAGGCCCAGAGCTGACGGTATGTTTCAGCAAGATCATTCTTATTGATAATTAAAAAATAGATAGAGGGAGAAGCTACTCTTTGACTCAAGCATAAAAATGAGCCACGTGTCAGTGGACATGCATTCTGATCTTTCCCCTAGTCCGTTAAGAAAAGGGAAAAATTAGGCAAAGGATTTTACAGTGGAAATAGCTGCGTTAAGTATATTCATTTTTCTCTTTGTCTTAATTGAATTGTCTTTTTTGAAAACTGATAGAGAACATATCTGTTTACTTTTTTATATATGCACGCCATAAGCAGCAACTATATTTAAAACATTTAATCTCTCGTATTTAACATAAGTTCAATTAATATGCATGTTGGTATCAGTTATATGTATGTACTTCAATTTATAAATAAGCAAGAATACACAAATTCAGAAAAGGACACCAGCTTTATTTGAGACTTATGAATATAGTTTTCCCTCAATCAAAATATATCACTTCTAAAAGTCAAGTTTACATTCCGTTAGCTGTGTCTGTTTTCATAGCATCATGTTGGCATGTCATCAGTAGAGAGGATAGACTTGACAGGGTGACTTTGTGACAGATTTCATTAAAAATAAAATATTCTTTAAGAATAAGGGCAAAATCGAAAAAACAAATGAGACAGGTGAAGTAAATAGCCTGCCTTGAAATTGAGAGAACTTTCTTTTTTAACAACTCTGTTTTCCTGATGAGACACAGGCCTCTGCTTTGTAAAGACCCAGTGTTTTCAATGCAGTAGCCTCATGGAATTACTCTGCTCCTAGGTATTTGTGGCAATGAATAGCAATGTGCGTGTGTATAAAGAAGTAAATGGTGTGCACAAAATGGCCTTTTAAATCACTGCCTACAGGTATTTTAAAATATTGACTTTCTTGCAACGATAAATTCACTTTTTGGGTTCTCAGCCACCATCTGAATTCCAATGTGATGTAAATGAAGAAGCGACTCTCCGTGATTGGCATTCTCCTACTCACTGCCAGCCTCTCACTGGGCAGCCACATGTGGAATGCCACTGATTTGTATGCAGTCCTAAATCATCCTATCTACCAGCGAGCTCTGTGGCAGGTGTATTTGACCACAGCCTCTGGTAGCATTCAGTAAGTAATTTCTTGCTGAGCCGTTTACTCAAGCCCTTGACTTTTTGACTGTTTGCTAATGGCTCTGCAAACTGAGGCTGTAAAATATACCCAAAGTCATTCTCCTTTCTCTGTTCTTCATTATACCCTCCTCAGGCTAGTTTTAGACAACTGGTTTTCTTCTTGTAAGAGATATAGGTTTGATATTTTAATTTTAATTTTTCAACTAGACGGAAGCACAAAGATGGGTTACATTTTTAAAACTACTATACTTCATATTGTTTAAAGGTTCTACAGTTTATAAAGATCATCTTGATCTTACCAAAATATTGACAATAAATAAAGGGCAAATTATTACAACTTAATCTTCATAGGTAAGATTTTTAGTACATGTTCATGAGAAAAATTGTCCTATAGGTATAATACAGGCACGTAGATACATATATAATGTTGTGGTCTTTGAAACATTGAAAGTGCTGAGAATATCCATATAGAAGTAAAGACAATAACTAAGCATTGGAGATTTTCTTTCTCTAGGGTACACTGGAGTAAATTTATTACTTCAGTAAAATAATTATTTTAAAGTATTCCTTTTAAAAGTGTACAGAATTCCAGACTTGCTCATTTGTGGCATATGTGTTTTCTCTTAATTTCTTTTCATTGATCTGATTTGCCAGAATTAGTTGGGGGTAAGTATTATAAACTCAAATAAATAAAATAACACTAAATATAACGTTTAATTTACTTATGACATTCTAAAATTTTTAAAGATAATGTTCAACAAGGCAATTAGTTTTAAAAGGTCCTTTACAATGTACTAAGAGATGCATCTCCAGGAAACCAGATCTGATGTGTGCTCAGGCTATCTTCTGGTTGAATGTCTCATGAGAGAAAGCCTTTAATGGCAAGTTTAACCCTTAACATTTACACCAAACTCTTTAATTGATAACAAATTCACAAGGGAACATGCAACAGATACATTTTCAATGTTCTGTGACATAGCTGGGATTCCCTGAAAGAAAACTACAAACTCTTATAGAATGTCTTAGAGATTGGTTTTCTCAGGTGACAGGCACTGCGGGAGCTTTAGTTATGAACAAATAAAACATGTAAGGTTACTGACTAAAGAAATGACCATTAGTTTCCTCTGGATGTGTTCAGTCATTCTTGTGAATTCAGTTGTATTCAGTTATATTCTCAGTTTTGAATACATAAAAGAGCAATACACTGCTTTATCCACTATTTCATACAAGTGCTTAAATACGTTGGTATGCAGGTCTCACAACAAGATCAACCTGTTGCAAATTTCATACCTGGCCTCTATAATGTAAATGAAAGATTTTAAAAATCTATCAGGCATAACTGACTACTTTCTATCCATGAGTTAACATATTCAACGTTCTTAACAAGCACAATATGGCTCACAGTAACACTATATAAGTCTTGGCTGTTACTATTTTGGCTGTTACTACTTTAGGTCAAATACTGAGGTAGGCAGATTTTCTCAGGTCTCTGGTCATGCTCATAATCTAAAGAGAGATGAGTAAATTCTCCCCATATAACTAGTTTAGTCTCCCTCTCCTTTTTACATTCTATCTTCCTCTTGGGTGATTGCAATAGTTCACCGGATGAACAATTTAACACTCTAGCTTCCTAGAAACTCCACTCTTTCAAATGCAATAGCGTACACCTGCAATGTTGCATCATTAAAATAGTACACTGGTCATTTTTTAAAATAAAAATATAATTCAGTTTCTGAGCATTTTGACAAATTTATACAACTAAGAATCAACCCCAATAAAAGTATATAACATGTCTTTATATGATATGCATATATATGTAAAGATATATATATCTTTATATGAAGATATATATATATGGACCCCTTTACCTCCTTTCACTGAATCTCCATAAGCCATTGGTAACTATTGCTCTAATTTCTGATTTTGCTTATTCTTCATATAGATGAAATCATAAAGGATATATTTTATATAAATTGAATTATAAAGCCTAAATTCTTTAGTCTGGGTTCTTTTGTTTAGCATAATGTTTTTGAGGCATAGGCCATGCCCACTCTTGTTTTTATGCCAAATATCATGCTTTGAAATGACATACCATAATTTATTTATTCATTCTTCTGTTTATCAACACTTGTGGTGATCCAGCTTTTGACTATTACACTAAAGCTGTCAGAAATACTTTTGAAAAAGTCTTTTTGTGGACTTACGTTTTCATTACTCTTGGATAAACACCTGTGACTGAAATTGTTGAGCTATGGGGTTAATATGTGGTTAGCTGTGTAAGGAACTTCTAGAGACCTTTCTAAAATGGTGGTATAATTTTATATGTTACCAGAAATGTTATGAAACCTCCAGTTGCTCCACTTCGTGAACCATGCTTAATATTGTAATAGTTTGTAATTTTAGACATTTTAATGGATGAAAAATTGTTTAATTTGCATTTTTCTAATAACTAATCATTTTTTCATGAGTGTATTCATATTTTTTTCTATTGTGTCCATTAAGTCTTTTGCTTTTTTATTTGGTTGTATGTCTTCTTGTTAATGAGTCATAAGAGTTTTTTACATATTCTGAAAATGATTTGCTTCATATTAAAGTATTAGGAATATTTTCTCACATGCTGTAGCTTGGCAGTTTATTTTCTTTATAGCCCCTTTCAAAGAGCATTTTAATGAAGTCAAGTTTATCAATATTTTCTTTTCTTATTTATGCTTATTGTGTCCTAACTTAGAAACAATTACTTACTCTAAGTGTGCAAAAATATTCTATTTTTTTTTCCTAAAAGCTTAATAGTGTTAGCTTTTTCCATTAAGGTCAGAATCTATTTTGATTTTGCTTGTGTGCATGGTGTGAGTAAAGTAAATCATTGGATTTTTTTTCTGAACATATCCACTTTTTCCAGCACCATTTGTTAAAATAACTTTTATTTAACCATTGAACTGCCTTGGCACCTTTGGCAAAATCAATTCACTATGTATTTGTGTATTTATTTCCGTGTACTGTTTTGTTCCTTTAATATATCTGTCTACCTTAATTTCATTACCACACTGCCTTAATTACTATAGCCTTATAGTCATTTTGAAACCAAATAGTGTCAACCCTCACACTTTGCTGTTCTTTTTTTAAATTTGCTGCAGTTATTCTTCATCTTCCTAATTTCCATATGCATTGTCAAGCCAACTTCCAACACCTACAAAATGTCCTGCAAGAATTCTGATTGGGTTTGAAGTAAGCCTATAGATCTACTTCAGAGAACTGACCTTATGATATTGAGGCTTTCAGTCTATGGATAGGGTGTGTTTTCATCTCTACATGTTTTAGTTTTTATTTTGTTGTTACGTTAGTGATTATCTCTAATTTCAGTCTAGGAATCTTTCATATCTTAAGTTGAATTTATTCCTAAATACTTTGGTTTTGGCACTATTATAAATGCATTTTTATTTCATTTTCCTATTGTTTGCTGCTAGTATACAAAAGTGCAATTGCCATTAGTTTATTAACCTTGTATCCTTCGACAATTCTACACTAATTTATTAGTTCGAGTACTTTTGTAAATTTCTTAAGGTTTCTTGTATGAACAATTATGGCATCTGAAAATGGAGACAGTTTTACTTCTTTTCCAATCTGAACGTCTTTTCCCCTCCTTGGATTATTGCCACAGTTAGGATCTCCAGTACAATGTTGGGTGTAAATTAGGAGTGAGAAATTTTGTTGTATTGGGGAATTGAGGGAAAAGTATCCATTATTTAACCTCTAATTATTCCCTTTATCAGCATGAGGGAGCGTCCTTCCGTTCTTAGTTTGGGAAGGATGAAAAAGTTTTACTTAATTTATTACATTTATGAATTTTAAATGATAGGACATTTTCTTCTATGTACTGCTTGAGTTCCATTTTATATATTTTGATATGTTGTATCTTAAATGCAACAATTAAAACATTTTCTGATTTCTCTAGTCTTTAACCCAAGTATTATTTAAAAGTGTATTTTTAAATTTTAAAACACGTCCAGACACTCAAAATATGTTTCTAAAATCTTATAGTTATTGATTTTTAATTTAATTCCATTGCGGTCAGAAAATATACTGTGTGTGACTTCAATTTTTTTTTAATTTGGGGGAACTTATTTGATGTGGATCAATATATTAGTCTATATTAGTAAATATAACAGTGTGCACTTGAAAAAAATATTGTTTCTGCAGTTATTGGGGGCAATGCTCTATAGATATTAATTAAGCTATCAGTATTTCCCTAATATTTTTGACATATATTGTACCAACTGCTTAAAGATATATAACTGACATATATTGTACTAACTGCTACTATGATTAAGGACACAATCTTTGATGTTGTCCATTTTTGTTTTACATATTGAAAATTTTTAGTAGGCAAATCTACATTTTTGATTGTTTTGTCTTCTTGAAAATTGATCCTTTTGTGATTATGAACTGGCAATCTTCATCTTTGTCTGGATGACTAATTTATCTAATATTGTGACCACTCCAGACTTTTCATATTTATTATCTACTTGACAGTTATTTTATCTATTTACTTTTAACTGATTGGTGTATTAAGTTTGTATTTAAAATGCATCTTATGACAGCATATAATTGTGTTTTGCATGTTAATTGACTCTAATAATTTCTGTTTTAATGGAAAACTTACATCATTAAGATCTGGTATGATTATTTTTATCATTGCATTCAGGTCTACTAATTTATTACTTATTTTCTATTTTTACTCTATTTTCTATGTTTTCTCTGTTTTGAAGTCTTTGAATAATATTTAGAATTAGATTTTAACTCACCTCTTGACTTTTTGCCTATTGGTTTTATATTTTTTAGTAATTCTGCTAGAGATTACTGTATACTTCCTTATTTTTTTCGACAATCTTTTGCTATTCTACCATCTCACGTGACATTTAGAAAAATTGCAACCATGTGGGTGTATTGACCACTGCATCATCTTTCATCTTATGTAGTATATCAATAGTCATTGGAAACCCCACAAGAAAATGTTATATTTTTTCTTTAAAGGATGTAAGTATTTTAAACAAATAGAAAACACAGTCTTTTATATTTGTCTATATGTTTACAGTTCTGATGCTTTTTATTTATTTCTGAAGATAGCACATTTCCCTCTGGTATCATTTCCCTTCAGCCTTAACAACTGCCTTTAACATTACAATGCAGGTCTGATTCTCTGATTATCTTTGCAGGTGGCAAATTATCTTTGTTCTTCTTTACTCGTGGTTGTCTATATTTTACCGTCATTCTTGAAGGGTATTTTTGCTGGATAGAATTCTGGTGACAGTTTGCTTACTTTCAGCATTTAAAGGAGAACTTTTCAATAATCATAAAATTAGATTTACCTAATGTTTGAAGTTTTTAGCCATTCTGTTTACAAGGACTTTTTGCTGACCTATTTTCTCTCTCTTGTCCTTTGGAACTGCAAGTACCCACAGTTTAGATCTATTGAGGTTACTAGTAGAGTCCCTGAGACCCTGACTATTTTTAATTCAATCTTTTTTCCCTTCTTTGGCTGAGATAATTCGTATTGATCTAACTTCAAGTTCACTGTCTTCTCTGTCATCTCCGTTCTTTTATTAATCAATTTAGTAAAATTTATATTATAGTTTTTTTCTATGTATTTTAGGTGGTGATGTCTCCACTACTAGACACAAAGAGGAAACCCATGAGTGGGGCTAAGCTGGTCAGTTCAGCTGCCTTCCATCCCCTTTCTTGCCCCAGTGATGAGTTTAGAAAAGGGCAGGTTGTTTCGTGATAGCAGTCCTCATTTCTTTGAATTTCCTTTTCTGCCTCTGGGAAAAGAGCACTCTTCACTTCTGGCCTCAGGGTTGTTATATATGATCCTGAACTTCAAAAGTAGTAATTATTTTAAAATGTAATAATCATGCCACATCTCTGTTCTAAACCTTCTAACCATTTTCTGTCTCACTGGAATGTGAGCAAATATTCTTTTTATAACATAAATAGCTCTAGATTATTTCATCGCCTGAACTCTTTTTCTTTCTCTTCCCCACCACTATGCACCTTGATCACTGGTCCAGACACACTGGCTTCTTCAGTCTTTCTCAATCACATCAGACAAGTGCTGGCTTCAGAATGTTTTCCCCAGGAGCCCAGGAGTTCAAGACCAGCCTGAGCAACATGGCCAATCCCCATTTCTACAAATATTTAAAAAGTTAGCCAGGATTGGAAGTGTGGTCCTTGGTCCCAGCTAGTTGAGAGGCTGAGGCAGGAGGGTCGCTTGAGCCCAGTAGGTCGAGGCAGCAGTGAGCTGAGATTACACCATTGCACTCCAGCCTGGGCGACAGAGTATGACCCTGTCTCAACATAATAATAATAATAATAATAATAATAATAATAACAACAACAATAATAATGTTTTTCTTGGTTTCATTCTGCTTGGAAGGCCCTTCTTAGAGACTTCTGCCCCTCATCCTGAATTATTTTTCTTCTCATCACTAGGTAGACACACATACACACACACACACACACACACACACTTTCTCTCTAATCCCGGATAGAATGTAAGCTCCAGGAGAACAGATATTTCATGTGTTTTGTTCTCTGTTCTATGCCTGTATCTTGAATAGTACCTGAGATATCATAGACACAAAAGATATTTTAAGTTAATGCATGAAGTCTGAGATTAAAGCTAACTGAAGAATAAAGAGAAAGAGATAACTGATGTTATTTGAAGCCTGAATCAAGCGATGTCTGAGGCTAGACCACTCTCGTTTTACTTTTCAATTTTTGAGTCAAAACATTTTTTATAAATTCCTTTATTTATTTTTTCACTTAAATAAGTTTGAATTAGGTTTCTGTTACTTTCTCCGAGAAAACATCTTAAAAGCATTCTTTATTATAATTGTTACTACAATTACTTCAACTTTTTATTCTATTTATGGAATGACAATTTGCATTCTCTACATTATGAGTATTCCAAACTAGACAATATCAGAATAATTTTTGTTATTACCACCTACAAATTGGTATTTGAAGTTGTAAGAAAATTGCCATGTCTATTGAATAATTAAGGCAAAGGAGGATGCATTTGGTAAACATGTGTAAGCTTTTTTTTAAATTTTTATCTCCAGTGAACAACATAGGGAGGTGAAACAATTATGAGAACACATTTGTATGAGCGTGTATGTAGTTTTATTCTCTCAGTACAAAGACTTGTGTGCTTCACTGAAGAAGGTGGGAGGAAACATATGGAATCACAAAAAGAAGGCTTTTATAAAGTTTCATATTTGAGCACGATAACTCAGTTCTTCACAGAAAAATGCCATGCACAACTAAATATAATAAAAGTGGTAAGCCATGCAACAAATCTAAATGTAGTAGAAGAAGATCCTCTAAGAAGTGCTATTTAATCTGAACCTTTAGAGATAAGTAGATTTTTCAAAAGAAAAAGGATGAGTGCACTGAGCAAGAGTAAAGAAAGGACACAGCAGGCTGTATGCAAGAAAGAGAGTAGAACTTTGGGGATGATTTAGCAGGTGATGAAAGATAATTTGGAGTCAGATCTTAAAGAACCTTGACAGCCGTGCAGGAGCTGAACTATACTCTTCAGGCAACGGGGAGCTCGCAGAGAGTTGTGAACAAAGGAAGCCTCGCTCCAATATGGATTATAGAACATAGCATGATTGGAAACATGCAGGAGTGATTGGAGAAGGATTCTATCGAAGTCTGCTATCATGCAAACATTGAAAAATGTCAAACTGACCTAGAGGTTTAGCACTCAAATTGGAAGAAAAGTGGTTTTTTGGTTTGTTTGTTTCATTTTTCTAATGTACTGACTTTCAGGTATTGGCCGTTTAAAAAATTAGCAATTTCTTATTTTTACCCTGTTTTTACATATGCCCTCTCTTGTTTACATGCTTTTTAGACTACAAGGCAAGCTTATTTCTTCCATACACGTTGTGAACTTTTATTTATTAATTAACCCAGCAGAGTTGTCATCTCTGGGAAGGCATTCTCTTTTCATTCTATACTATTAGATATACTTTCGTGCCTCCTAGAAAAGGAAAACATAGAGCAAACAAATATAATTTGAATTTAATTTCCAAAGAAAGCCAATATTATTCAAACACAGAATCACACTTTAATTCATAAAGGCAACTCAGTTAAAAAAAATTGTATTGCTAAAACTAAGTGGAAAGTCCAGCACAAGGTGGCACCCATGAAAATAGCAGTGAAGTAGTTCATTATACAACAGAATCCTAAAGAGAGGCTTTTTCTATCTACAAACAATTACCAGCATTGTCTGAGTTTTTGTAATTTAGGTTTATTTCTTTTTTACCTACTTTTTGAGCCCACCACCTTGTTTGGTCATTTCTTTCTTCAAGATATACTTTTGTTTGTTTTTTTTTGCATTTCTCCTATTCTTACGGTCAGACCGTGATTAAGCACATATCACTTTATTTCTAAAAAAAATTACTATACTTTTATTTTGCCAGCATCTTTTTTTTTTTTACCAATGAGTTGCATAAATATGATTGATATTCTTGAAGCAATGATTTTGTGTCCCTGCAATGTTCATGTTCATTTCCTCTGTAATAATATCATGCATTAATTGAACTGTATTTTATAAATTCTTCAATAATCAGTTCTCCCCATTAACCTGCTTTCCCAGCCATTTTTCCCAACCCCTTTTCTAATACAAGGAGTCATGTGTATTCACTGCTTATGCATATTTGCCTTTATTCATCCTACTACCTCAGCATGAAACACCCTGGGTCCTTCTGCTTTCAGTTAGTGGAAAGGTTAACTTTCAAAGCAGAATAAACAAGCTGTGGCTTGAAGAAGAAAGAATGTTGCTTCGCTTACACGTACATCTCCTGGGTAGGGCTGCCTGGGAGACTCTGCTCCATAGGGACATTCAGAGACTCAAGTTTCTTTAGTAATCTAGCTTCATCAGTACCTAGGTTCTTTTCTTAATCTGCATAATCAAAGCTGGGGTACAGGCACATCCATGCTGTAACTGTTAGGAAGGGGAACTCAGGGAAGGTCAGACAAGTTATTTTCTGTAAAGCAACAAGGTAGAAGCTGTACACATCACTTCTGTGCAGAATCATTTGGTGAAGACATTTACGTGGCCGGATAACTATGAACAAAAGGAACCAGAAATTTGTACTCAAGTTACACGGCCACACTGCTTGTTACATACTACTACTGCATTATGATGGCAGATAATAATGCCGTAATGATTGTCTCTCTGACATACTCCCGTTTTAACTATTAAATTTCGGTTTATTTGAACATTTTCTAGAATTATTTCTCCTCACAGTTTTGGGCATTTCTCTGTTGTCTGAGTTTAAAAATCTTGAAAAATTGGTCCATATTTTACTTTTAAAAATCAATATTATTGAGGTATAATTTACACAATAAATGAGCACATTTTAAGGTACAGTTTGATGAGTTTTGATGAATGTAAATACCCATGCAATTTCTTCTACAATCAAATAATAAAACATACCTATCATCCTAAAATTCCCCAGCTAATCTCACATCTCAATATCAATTAACTCTTACTCTGCATCCTATCACTATATATTAGTAATTCATGCAGCCATAATGTATATATTTTTTAAAATTTGGCTCATTTTGATCAGAAAAATGATTGTGATCAATTTATAATACACAAAATTTGAGGGGACTATAACATTAATGCAATAAACATAGTTACATTAACCATCTACCCTTTACAAACTACTATACTGGATGCAAAATTATGAAATCTGGTAGTTTAACTGCAAGAAAGATTTAAATAATAAATAGATTCCTGAGAGAACTTTGCTTTTCCTTTAAATAGTCAAACTCACTTGTTCTGTAAAATGGGATTCTTTATATTAAAAATCTCCATATCATGAAGAAAAATCCCAAATAATTTATGTAAATAATTTTCTTTCAAGGAGGTAATCATAATTAATTCACTATGTCAGTCAAGTGATTAATGCTAAGTTGTGGCCAGGCACGGTGGCTCACACCTATAATCCCAGCACTTTGGGAGGCCGAGGTGGGCAGATCACTTGAGGTCAGGAGTTTGAGACCAGCCTAGGCAACATGGTGAAATCCTGTCTCTACTAAAAAATACAAAAATTAGCTGGGCGTGGTGGCGCGTACCTGTAATCCCAGCTACTTGGAAGGCTGAGGCACGAGAATGGCTTGAACCCCAGAGGCAGGGGTTGTATTTAGCTGAGATCACACCACTGCACTCCAGCCTGGGTGACTCAGCAAGACTTCATCTCAAAAAAAAAAAAAAAAGCTAAGTCATGTTGATAATGGGAACCTTTGAGATAATATGAGAAGAATGGCACTTTACCTCTGTGACCTTCCTTCCCAAACATAACCACACCTTAATCATGAGAAAAACCCTAACCAAATCTTGCATTAGTCACATTCTTCAAAATACCTGACCAATCCTCCTCAACATACCGAAGTTACCAAAAACAAGACAACCCTGAGTTGTCACAGCCAAGAAGACGTTAAGGAAACATGGTGGCTGTGATGGTTAATTGTAGAATGTGTTGACTTGACTGAGCCACAGGGTACCCAGACATTTAGTCAAACATTATTCTGGGCATGTCTATGAGAGTGCTTTTGGATGAGTTTAACATTTGTCTTAGTAGACTGAATACCACACATGGCCCTCCCTAATGTATGTGGGCCTCAACCAAGCAAGTGAAGACCTGAAAGAAAAAAATGGCTGAGTAAGAAGGAGTTCCTCTTGCCTGACTGAGCTGTGACATTGTTTTTCCAGTCTTTGCACTAGGACAGAAACAGCTCTTTTTGGGTGTTGCTCCTGCAGGCTTTTGGACTGAAACTTACACTATCTGCTCTCCTGGTTCTCAAGCCTTTGGCCTGGGATGGAATTTTATCATCAGCTCTCCTGGGTCAACAGCTTGTTGACTGCAGCTCTTAGGTTTCTCAGCCTCCATAATTGTATTATCCAATTCTTTATACTAAGTCTGATATGATTTGGATCTGTGTCCCCACCCAAATCTCATATCGAATTGTAATCCCCAATATTGGAGGTGGGGCATGGTGGGAGGTGTTTGGATCATGAGACTGCATGGTTTGGTCCTTCATGAATGGTTTAGCACCATCTCCTGGTACTGTTCTGGTGACAGTGAGTGAGTTCTCATGAGATCTGGTTGTTTCAAAGTGTGTGGCATCTCTACTCCCTCTGCTTGTCCTGCTTCTGCAGACACCTGCTCCTGCTTTGCCTTCCACCATGAAGAAAAGTTTCCTGAGGCCTCCCCAGAGGCAGACGCTGCCATGCTTCCTGTACAGCCTGCAGAACTGTGAGCCAATTAAACCTCTTTTCTTTATAAATTACCCAGTTCAGGTATTTCTTTATAGCAGAGTGAGAACAAACTAATATAATCTCTTTAGTATGTCCCATTGATTCTGAATCTCTGGAGAATGCTGACTAATGCTATGACTACACACAAGATAATATCCTGGACAGGATTCTGAAACAGTAAAAGAACATTAAGTAAAAGCTAAGAAAATATGGGTAAAGTGTAGACATTAGTTAAACACTGTGTATCAATATTGGTTGATTAGTGTGGCAAATGCACCATGCTGGTGTAAGATATTAATGATAGGGAAAAGTGGGCACGGGTGTACAGAAACTCTCCATACTAACTTGCAACTTTTCGGTAAATCTAAAGTTTTTCTAAAATATAAAGTTAATAGAATAAAATCTCCACAGGTAATTGTAACAATTGACCAGGTTTTAGACTTACTGCCATTGAGAATACAAAAATGAATTTAAAAGTTTAGGAATGAAAAGCTAACTTAAAATGTGTATAATTGAACACCCTCTTATTCTGATGAGAAAACCGTGACCTCAAGTCATAAATTTAGCCACTCTAAGATTATAAGTAGCAAAGGCAGCACTTGAAACTATACTTTTTCATTGGAAATCTGTTGTTCCTCGCTCTAAGCTTGTTTGCATATTTAATTAAAGTATAAACTCGTTACAAAGAAAACTAGTATTCACAGATCTACTCCTATCTCTATATTAGCTTAATTTAGCATATTATTTCAGAAACATGTAAGAATATAAATCTGTACATAAACTCCCAGTTCACAAATAACTTTAAATCTAAAGTAAAATTATGTATTAAATATAAACCTAATGGCAAAGCAGCTAAATTTCCACCAACAAAATTAATGTAATTGCATAATTTGCCAAAACTAAATTGCTAATCACAAAATAAATAGGGGGAATTTATACAATTATGGGTCCTTTGTCACTCAATTCTTTCATCTTTCTTTTGTTTTCCATTTAAGCCACACTGAAATTTTCATTGGCATTTTACTATTAGGCCTTCACTTTTGGTCTGTAGCATAATTTTCTTACTAAAACCTCCTTTATTCCCAAGTTCTCTGTGTAAGAAATTCTGTGCAGCATAACTTAATGCACAGACCATAAATACAAACAAGTGTCAATAAGGACAGACGTAGAATGGCACAACTTGGTCATCAGTCTGTATTTCAAATTGTTAGTCATATACATTTGTTATTTTTTAATGCAGTCTGAGACATAGTGAAAATGTGAAGCATAAAATTTGAGTATTCTGGAGAAACCTGAGATCCATGAATGTGTGTCCATATGCCCCAAGACCATGATAATTTTCAGATAGACACCATGGCCCCAATAAATTTACCGTCTAATAAAATACATACATACAATGTGAAGATTGCCTAACTTAATTGTGCTGGGTTGTAGGCAGCTTGGAAAGGACGTAGTACTACTGAACCTGCATATGTCGGCAGGACTTAGGTTACGAAGCACTGGGAAGGCCAGGCTGAGAAGTCTTACCTTTTTAATGAATCAATAGGGATTCACTAAAGACTTTGAAAAGTGCTTCTGAAAGTTTAAAATAGAAATATTGCAAATCATGTATTTTTGTGGGGCAAAAACTGGATATATAGAAACCAGAGAGAACGATAACTTAATTTCAGACACAGGAGGATAAAAGTTTAAACTAGGTCAGTGAAATAGCAAAGTAAGTAAAATCAACCCATCTTGGCAACTAATTGCAAATAGGGATGCTAATGTTAATATTAAGCTTCACGTCAGAATGATGGAAGAATGATTGGATATTGTATTAGATTTCTTCTGTGGTTTTAAAAATCACCATAAAGCTAGAGGCTTAAAGCAACAAAAATGTATTATCTCACAGTTCTGCAGCTCAGAAGTCTAGGCACTGCATGACAGAGTTCTCTGTCCAGGGTCTCACTGGGCTGAAATCGAGGTGGCCACTATGACTGTTTTTCTCATATGGGTTCAGTGTCCTTTTCCAAGCTCACTGTTTTTGGCAAAACCCATGGCTGTATGATCAAGGTTCCCATTTTCCTTCTGTCTTTCAAAGACCTCTTCGAGCTTCTATTCCTTGCTGAGTGGCCCCTAGGGGATGTTCATAACAGGATCTTTGCCCTCTCCCATTCCAGCTGGAATGCAATCTTTGAGATCCTCTTTTGTGACCAGCTGGAGGAAATTCTCCACTTTTAAAGAGCCCATGTGATTATTTCAGGCCTACCCTGATTATCTCCCAATTTTAAGGTCAACTGATTTGAGGCCTTAATTACATCTGCAAAATCCCTTCACAGCAGCACCCCAATTAGTGCTTGATTGAATAACTAGAAGAAGAGGTGTGTCCACCAGGGTTGGGTGTCTCGGAGTTGGGGATGGTAGAATCTTAGAATTCTACTCCACAGTACTATTTGAAAAATAGAAAATTTGGATGGGTGAGCAGACGTTCCCATATAGTAGCTATAATTTTCAAACAGCACAGCTAGACTCAAATAATTACAGAGCTTGCACAGATAATGTAAATGAATAAGGAGGACTGAGTGTTAGGAAGTTATAACAAAGGTAGAGCAACAGAGAGAAGACAGAGTTATAGAGAACAGAGGGCTATGAGATTGCCCAGATACAAATTAGAGTTGTCTTGAGAGAATGAATGCTCAGCTTGCCAGACCTCCGGGCCTTTTAAAAGAAGCCAGAAACCCAGGTTTTTATATATCTCCCGATTTTCAAATGTTGGCAACTATTTCAAAAGATTTACAACCTTGGGCAGGCCAAAGTTATGTGAGCCAAACAAAACATATCTCAGGGCAAAATCCGACCTGTAGCCTGCCAGTTTTTGACCTCTGCTCTACAATAATAAGATTGATTTTTAAAAATTGCTTATTAAATCACTCTCATTAATGTGTAGTCATACCTCAGACTGCTGTGCACAGTAACTCAGACTTTTTCCTAACTAACTGAGTGACCTGCAAATCACACTTTCATACTTCTCTAAGTTAATTTTAAATGCCCTGATTATAGGTATTTTGCAAGGTTGTTGCTATAGAAAACTGAAATTCTAAATCTTGCTATTTTTAGAAATTCTTCCAAGGTTTCTGGACATTTAATTGGATTGGCATTGCTAGTAATTGTTGATGAAAGTGGAATCGTAGAAATTTTTATGCAGTTTAAATCATATTTCTGAATAAATAGACTAAGAGGAAAATAAATAATAAACTAAAACTATAGTTGTTCTCTTTCGTTTCAAAGGATTACTCCATAACAGGGCTTTGGCACACATTTCCTGACACCTGTGTTAGGTATACTGCATACATGTTAACACTGTATATAGTCAAGTACATATCCACATATGTACACATGTATACTTATACAGATACGCACAGGCTAGAATGTACACTGTCATATTATAGCATGAAGAAGCAGCAGCTTTGTGTCAGATTTGCGATTTGCTAAATCCACCACCTTTCTTTCCTGACTTTGAGCAGTGCCATTAAACCCTCTAAGCTTGATTTTACTCATCTGTCAAATGGGTCTAATAATACTACCTGCCTCTATGGATGAAAATAATATCACAAATGTAAAGTGCTTAATACAGGGTCTGTCCCATAGCGACTGTCAATAGTTATTAGATACTATTATTAAGTATAAACATGTGTATTCATGTAGATACATACATGTTAATAGAGAGAGATATATTTATTCTAACAAAGTATCATTTAATACAGTGTTGGAAAAAAACAACTTGACCTGAATATCTTGTTTACACTATTTTTGCTACTTTTCTGAGTAACATAAACATTACTATGTTAGTTCTTTTGATTAATGACTGGGGCTTCAAAAAGAATATCTGAAGGAGAAAAGGTATTTTCAAGGTCATCATGAGTGATATTTATTGGAAAACAAATGGTGAGAGCATCATTCAATTATGTGGAGTACATAATAGGAAATTGCATGCAGCATATGTGGATGGGATCCCTGCAGACCATGACATCACCAGACAACATTCCAGCTGCAGAGAAAGGTCTCAGTGTATCAGAATCACAAATTAAAAACTTCCATTACTGGGTATCACACCCACTGAGTCATTAGAGAAGATGTAAGTCTTAAATGTCAATAACTAGGCATTCAGGATATTTGCTTTTCCAGTCAGTCAGTAAAGCACCGTATTTGCCCTTGAGAGGGAGCAGATGGCTTGGCACAAAGGTGAAATAAAAGACCATCTAAGATAGATGATCTGAGTCTTTGACACAATTCTCAAACTCTTTGAGGTCAAAGTTTTGTGGTGGTAAAATGTCAAATTCAGAAGATCTTTTTCTGTTTTGTTTTCCATTACTGCCGTGTGGGATTCTTCTCAATGAGTCTGTTCACTTGTATTATTCCAAGATCTCTTTTTCCTTGCTGCTTATATCATTATTTTTCACCCATTTCCATGCCTTTATCACCTACTACTTGGATTATTTCAACAACATTAGAATTGATTTTCTTGATTCTACCCTCTCCACTTTCATATACTCTGTTCTTTCTGCTATCAGAATTATCTTTAAGAAATACAGTGATTATCATGCCTGTCTCTTCTCTCAGACTCTTAATAGCTCTTTCTTGTCAATAATTATGATCTAAAATGAAATGGAAATGTACCCCTCTTGCCATTTCTATTTGTATTTCAGCCCTATCAGAAGGATGAATTTATCCTGAAGCTTTCCAGCTCTTTGGGTTTGGGCATCCTACGTTAGTAGCTTGGAATGCATTTGCAGTCCGTGATACACTTGCCTCTAGAAAGCTTGCTGTCCCTAAAGCCTACCTCATGGCAAAGATACCCTTGATAAATAGCCTTATGAGTGATAATAGCAACCATCATCTATTGCTTTCTAAAATGCTAGGGATCATACACTTGGCTAAGTGCTTCACATGAATTGTCTTTATTTGAGCTTTACAATCCTTCTACTGAAGACATTATTTATATTTCTATTTTGTCAATAAGAAAATAAAATTTTGGAAATATTAATGATCTGTCCAATAATTCATGGCTCATCAGTGGCAGAGCCAGGACTTACATTCATGTGTTTAATATTAAGGCACTTGTTGCTACCATAGAAATCTATTTATGCATCTATAAACATATTCTGCCTCCCCTGCTTGCCTCTTATTGAATGTGTACAAGTCTGTCTGTCTTTCAAATTAACTGTCTACCCTAAGAAAAAGAGATGGGCCTCTTTGTTCTCCCATGACTGGAAATATTATTCTTAATATATTTTAGTGAATGAAATGATCCACATCTCTATATAATCCCATAACTAAATTCAATCTGAAACTGTCATATACTGTCCTTTTTTATCCCCATTGTTAGTTATGCAACAGATATTATTGTCCCATTTAACAGATGAAAAAAGTAAGGCTCAGAGACAAAAGATCCTGTCCAAATTCACATAGTAAGTGGTTGAACAAGGATTTGAGTACAGCTGTTAATGCTCTGTCATCTACTCTGAGCTTCCTTTTATTGCAATATGAAGATTATACACATTGGAAATAATCTAGATATTAGACTAAACCTCTGAGCTCTCATTAACATGTTTGGCTACCTAAGATTGGAAGAATAATTGGCTCCTTGAGACTCACAAAATAATACTCACAAAGTAATACCATCAAGTACACAAGGCTTAAAAATAATAATTTCCTAAATTATTTTTTCATTTGTTTATTTGGTCAGAAGGATCGTGCTTTTCTTTCAACCCTGGACAAATATTGTGCCATTTCCTACTGGTTTCTATGGTTTCCTGTAAGAAGTCTGTTGTCTTTTGAACTGTTTTGTCCTTAAAGGTAAGATGTCATTTCTTTCTTATTGCTTTCAAGATTTTTTCCTTGCCTTCAGTTTCTGGAAGTTAGATTGTGATGTGTCTTGGAATAGATTTTTCGAGTTTGTCTTATTTGGGGTTCACTCAGGTCTTGAATTGTACATTTTTCCCTTTTGCCAAATTTGAGAAGTTTTCAGACATTCGTTCTTTGCATGCATTTTTAGTGCTACTCTCTTTCTTCACTCCTGAAGTGGAAGTGACACGAATGTTAGATGGTTTTTTAGTCCTACACGTTCATGAGGTTCTGTTCACCTTATTTTAGCACAATTTCTCACAGTTGTTCACACAGGGCAATTACTTTTTTCAATCTTTAAAACAGCATTTTTTTTTGTACCAATGTATAGGGTACATAATAAATTTGTTTCATGTATATAATGCATATTGTTCAAGTCAAGGTATTTAGGGTATCCATTACCTGAATACAGTACATTTTTGTCAAGTACAATCACTCTACAATCAAAAACTGAATTTATTTCTTATAGCTTACGTATGTTTGTATCTTTTAAACCAATTATCATTATCCTTCCCAACCTCCCTCCACTCACCCTTTACAATCTCTGTTATTTCTTTTCCCACTCTCTACCTCCATGTCATCAAACATTTCAGCTCCAAAATACACGTGAGAACATGTGTTATTTGTCTTTTTGTGCCTGGCTAATTTCACCTAAAGTAATGACCTCCAATTCCATCCGTGTTGCTACAAATGACATAATTTTGTTCTTTTGTATGGCTGAATATTATTCCATCATGTGTATATACCACATTTTCTTTATTCGTTCATCCACTGATGAACAAACAGGTTAATTCCACATCTTTGCTATTGTGAATGGTGCTGCAGTAAATATGCAAGTGCAGGTATCCATTTGATTTACTGATTTCTTTTCCTTTGGATAAATATCCAGTAGTGGGATTGCTGGATTGAATAGTAGTTCCAGTTTTAGTTCTTTGAGAAATGTTCCTACTGTTTTCCCCTGTGACTCTACTAGTTTACATTTTCACCAACGGTGTATAAGAGTTCACTTTCTTTGGATCCTTACATACATCTGTTATTTTCTTTCTCTTTTTAATAATAGCCATTCTGAATGGGGTAAGATGATGTCTCATTGTGGTTGTGATTTTCATGTTTCTGATTATTAGTGATGTTGAGCACTTTTTTAATATACTGTTGGCCATTTGTATTTCTTCTTTTGAGAAATGTTGTCTATTCATGTCCTTGCCCACTTTTTAATGGGATATTTTTTATTGAGTTTTTGGTTTCCTTCTATATTCTGGATATTACTTCCGTGTTGGATGAATAGTTTACAGATATTTTTGCCCATTTTTCAGGTTGTGTTTTCAGTCCAGTTATTTTGAATTTTGCTGAGCAGAAGTTCTGTAGTTGAGACTCATTTGTTTATTTTTGTTTTTACTACCTGTGCATTTGAAGGTTTTGTCATAAATTCTTTCCTTAGCTCAATGTCTATAAGAGTTCTCCCTAGGTTTGCTTGTAGTATTTTTGTATTTGGGGGTCATACGTCTAAGTCTTTAACCCATTTGTTGAGTTGATTTTTGTATGTGGTGAGAGATAGGAGTCCGGTTTCGTTATTCTACATGTGACTATCCAATTTTCCCATCACCATTTGTTTAAAATAGTGTCTTTTCCCCAGTGTAAGTTCTTGTTGGCTTTGTCAAAGATTTGCTGGCTGTAAATATGTGGCTTTATTTCTGGGTTCTCTATTTTGTTCTGTTAGTTTAGGTATCCATTTTATACCAGTATCAGCCTGTTTTTTGTTTAGTTTAGTTTTGTTTTTTTACTGTAGGCTTGTAATATATTTTGAAGTCAGGTAATGTAATGCCTCCAGTCTTGTTCTTTTTGCTCAGGATTGCTTTGGCCATTCAGGCCCTTTTTTGGTTTCATATGAAGTTTAGGTTTGCTTTTTTTCAAATTATGTGAAGAATAAGGTTAACATTTTGATAGGGAATGTGTTGAATCTTTTGATTGCTTTGAGAAATATGGTCATTTATAGCATTGTTAATTATTCCAATCCATGAGGATGGGGTGTTTTTTGAATTGGAATTGTTAGTGTCATCTTGAATTACTTTCATCAGTGTTTTGTAGTTTTCCTGCAGAGATCTTTCACCTTATTGGCTAAGTATATTCCTATGTAGTTTATTTTTATTTGTTGGAGCTATTGTAAGTGGGATTGCCTTCTTCATTTCTTTTATGGCTAGATGATTATTGGTGTATAAAAATGCTACTGATTTTTGGACACCGATGTTGTATCTTGCAACTTTACTGAATTTATATATCAAATCTGAGAGTTTTTTGGTGGAGTCTTTAGGTATTTTCAGGCATAAGATTATATCATTAGCAAAGAGGGATAATTTGACTTCTTCATTTCCGGTTTGAATGTCTTTTGTTCTTTTCTCGGCCTGATTGCTCTTGCTAGGACTTTCAGTAGCATATTGAACAGGAGTGGTGAAAGCGGACATCCTGGTCTTATTCCAGTTCTTAGAGGAATGACTTAATTTTCACCATTCAGTATAACATTAGCTGTGGTTTGTTGTATATGGTCTTTACTGTTATTAGGCGCATTCCTTTTATCCCTGGTTTGTTGAGAGTTTTTATCATGCAGGTATATTGCAGGGATGATTTATCAAATTTTTTTCTGTGTTTACTTAGGTGATCGTATGGTTTTTGTGTTTCATTCTGTAGCTGTGATGAATCGTGCTTATTGATTTGTGTTTGTGGAATCATCCTTACATCCTTGAGATAAGTCCCACTTGATCGTTGTGTCTTATCTTTTTTAATGTGCTGTTGGATTCAGTTTGCTAGTATTTTGTTGAGGATTTTTGCATATATTCACTGGGCATATTGGTCTGTAGATCTTTGTTGTTGTCGTTATTTTTGGTTATGGTATCAGGATGATGTCGGTTTCATAGAATGAGTTATGAAGAGCACCTTTCTCTTCAATTTTTTGGGAATACTTTGAAAACAGTTGGTATTAGGTATTAGTTTTTCTTTGTATGTTTGGTAGAATTTGGCTGTGAATCCAACTGGTCTTGGGCTTTTCATTGTGGGGAGACATTTTTATTACTAATTTAATGTCACTACTTATTATTGGTCAGTTCAGATTTCTATTCCCTACTGATTCAATATTGGTAGATTGTGTGTTTCCAGGAATTTATTCATTTCCTCCAAGTTTTCTAGTTTGTCAGTGTATAGTTGTTCATCTGTGATGCCATGAAATACTCTGCAACCATAAAAAGGAATGAGTTCACATTCTTTGCAGGAAAATGGATGGAGCTGGAAGCCATTATCCTCAGCAAACTAACACAGGAACAGAAAACCGAACACTGCATGTTCTCATTTATAAGTGGGAGCTGAACAATGAGAACACATGAACACGTGTAGGGGAACATCACATACTGGGGCTTGTTGGAGGGTGTCAGGGGAGGGAGAGCATCAGGAAGAATAGCTAAAGGATTCTAGGCTTAATACCTAGGTGATGGGTTGATCTGTGCAGCAAACCACCATGGCACACGTACACCTATATAACAAAACTGCACACCTTGCACATGTACCCTAGAACTTAAAAAATAAAAATTGAATAAAAAAGAAAAAGTCTGTAATGGTCTTTTGTATTTCTGTGGCATCAGTTGTAATGTGTCCTTTCTCATTTCTGATTTTGTTTATTTTGGGTCTTCTCTCTTATTTACTTTGTTAGTCTAGGGAGCAGTTTATCAATTTTGTTTAAATTTTCAAAACACCTACCTTTTATTTTGTGGATCCTTTGTATTTTTAGTCTATTTCTTTTAGTTATGCTCTAATCTTTATTAATGTCTTTTCTTTTGCTAATTTTGGGTTTAGTTTGTTCTTGCTTTTCTAGATATGCATGTGTGCAGTAGTGTACTCTCTGTATGATTTCTTCGGCTGTAAACAACATTAGCGGCATCTGTGATTTTCTCGATGGGTTAGGATGAGGTTATTAGTGGAAGTTGTGGAGAAGTTGTGCTGGGAAGTAGGATTCCAGGTGGGCCAGTCTTCAGGCCCTAGCAGTGGTAGCAGTGGGCTAAATGTGCCTATGTTTTTACCCCAGAGTGGCGTGCACTGGCACCTGTGTTGGTGCTTATCGGCAGGTCAATTCTTGGGCCTTCGTGTGGCTTTCTCAAGTGCAAACAGTGTTCATTGTTGTTGGCAGTGGCTTCCGAGGAATGAGCGGGCCAGTTTCCAGACCTGAAGGTGGCATTTGCAGACAGGTGCTAGCTAAAGTTGTTGCAGCCAGAAGTTTACGCCCAACCCTAGGACCGTGAGAGGAGTGCTCAGGTGCCTAAGGATGGGTTTGGGTCAGGCAATCCCCCAAACACCAGGCTTTGCGCTCTGTCTCGAGGATGGGAGTGGCGAAGCTTGACTGAGTGGGCTTATTTTCAAGCTCCCCAAAGGTGAGAGCAGACCCCAGCCTTGGTGGATGACAGTGAGGCAATCCTCAGACTCCAGGCAAAGTGCTCAAGTTGCGGGCGGTAGCAATCACACTGAAGCCCTGTTACTGGAGAGGGTAAGGCCATCCTTGATGTCCACAGCCTGCGTTGGTGGGTGAGAAACACACATGCCTCTTATGTCCCAGTCTCAGCAGAGCTTGCCCTGGTGGTGGTAACCCATGCCTAGCTAGCACCCCTTGCCTGGCTGCGGGGTCCCCCACCTCCCTGTTGATCAAGTCCCAACAGCACCTCACATTCCAGTTGCATCCCCCTCTCAGTCCCAGTTGTGGTCACTTCCCAGCACTGTCAGCTGCAGCCTATGCCTCACTTGCTTCTTAGCCTTGGCTACAGGAGCACTCTTAGCTCACCCCCCAGTCTCAGTAGTGGCAGCCTGAGTTTTTGTAATGCCTTGGTCCCAGTACTTCTGGGTCCCAGGACAGTGGGCAGTTGGCCAAAAGCCCAGCTGGACAGTGGCACCTTGCTGTAGCTGCTTAGGCTTAGAAAGGGTGTCAGATACAGCATGAGCTCCCTCTTTGGAGTAGTTTTGTCCTACTGTCTTCTGGAAGCTCCTTATATTAGTTTCAGGATTGGAAGGATTAAGGGGTTGTCCTGTTGCCAGGACTGCATGATTCCATGGTGAGGATGTGAGTGGCTTGGAAGTCCCTCACTCATTCCTTCCCTGTGTTTGGAAGTAACTGTTGGTTCCCAGTCAATCCTGGCCAGGCAGGCCTCCTCTCTTCCTTCTCCTTCCCTGCTTTTGGTGTTTCCTGTCACTTCTCCGTTGAAATCCAGCATGGTCTTTCAGATAATGTATTCTAAGTGTGACTATCTACATATTATTTTGGTTCTTCTAAGTGGAGGAGGTGGACATGAAATGTGTCTAGATAGCTATCGTAAGCCCTGCCCCCATCCTCAGACTGGGTAATTTCTATCTTTTGTCCTCAAGTTAATTTTTTATTTCCTATGCCTTTTTTATTCTCCTCTTGGATTCGTTCTTAGAATTTTTAATTTCAATTGTGTATTTTTCAGTTCTAAAATATTCATTTGTTTCCCCTTTATGTTTTTATTTGGTGACACCTTCTGTTCTTTGGTGGGTCTTCAAACATGATTGTAACTGTTCATTGGATTATGTTTATAATTGCTGCTTTAGAAAACTAGTCAGATAATTCCTTCATCTGTGTCATCACAGCATTGGTGTCTGTTGATTGTCTTCTCTAATTTAATTTGAGATTTTTCTGCTTTTTGGCATGATACATGATTTTCTATGTATGTTGGACATTTTGAACATTAGGTCATAATATTCTGGATCTTATTTACAGATACAATTTTAGCAGTCCTCCTTCAACACCATGCTGGCAGTGGAAATAACCTCATGACTGCTGGGTGTGATGATAGTTCAGGCTTCCCAGAATACCTTTGCAGACACCACTTCAGCTAAGATTGGAAGAGGGGCCTTATTACTGCATCCCATGTGGTCTCCACTGACACTCTGGGTGTGTGGGGTGGGTCCTTGTTACTGCCAGACAGGGATGGAAATCCTTATTCCCTCTAAGCCTTTTTAAGAATTATGCCAGTGTGGAAAAAGAGGAACCTTAGGACAGCAGGGTGAAGTTGGAAGTCTAGGCTTTCAATTTGGTCTTTGACGATGGTGATAATAACAGGGCACGCTTGGTTCACGGTGTTTGGGTAGAGTGTCTATTCTCTGAAGGTTTACTGTCTTAGATAGATGTGCCTTTCTTGGTCCTTTGCCTAGAAAGAGCAGCTTCCTTTGGCATTTTTCTTTTTTTGTCTGTGCTCGTTGATGTTTGTAGATTATTGGCTTCCTCAGCAGCCAGCATGGAATGCATTAGGCAAAATGTAGACTCAGGAAAATAAATACAGGCTAACTACCCTCTCTATCTTTCAGAGTGTTCTTAACTTTGTTTTATATGTAATATGCAGAGTTTTAGTTAGGGAGAAATGTATCTACCCTATTATGTCTGGAGACTAGAATCGTATATAGTTACAGCAACCTTTTTTTTCATCTCCAAAAGTTTATTGTTGTATGTCTCAATAGTTCATTGCTTTTTATGGCGATCGAATAGTGGGTCTATGTATCACTTTTTTTTTTAATTATTATACTTTAAGTTTTAGGGTACATGTGCACAATGTGCAGGTTAGTTACATATGTATACATGTGCCATGCTAGTGCGCTGCACCCACTAACTCGTCATCTAGCATTAGGTATATCTCCCAATGCTATCCCTCCCCCCTCCCCCCACCCCACAACAGTCCCCAGAGTGTGATGTTCCCCTTCCTGTGTCCATGTGTTCTCATTGTTCAATTCCCACCTATGAGTGAGAATATGCGGTGTTTGGTTTTTTGTTCTTGCGATAGTTTACTGGCACTATTCACAAGAGCAAAGACTTGGAACCAACCCAAATGTCCAACAATGATAGACTGGATTAAGAAAATGTGGCACATATACACCATGGAATACTATGCAGCCATAAAAAATGATGAGTTCCTGTCCTTTGTAGGGACATGGATGAAATTGGAAATCATCATTCTCAGTAAACTATCGCAAGTTACAGCAACTTTAACAAATATAAGTTATTTGAATTAGTCCATTCAAATGCTATAAATTAGAGTCATATAGTTAGAATGGAGTAGAGGAGCAAATCTAAGTCTAAGGTTGTCCTAACATTTAAGTGTTTTCAGAAAAGGAATAATCAATGATGGAGACTGAATACAAATGTCTAGAAAGGAAGTGGCTAAAACCAGAATAATGAGGCATCATGGAAACCAAGATACATGTGTTTTTCATGAGTGCAGGAATGATCAACTGTCAACAGTGCTGAAATATTGAACTAGGATAAGCACTAAGAATTGACCATTGTATATTAATTAACAGAATTATTAGTGATCCTATCAGAAACAATTTTGGAGTAGTAGGCTTGGAAACATTTAAATGGCTTAAAAACTGAATGTCAAAGGCAAAACTATTAAGACAGTAGAAAGATGAGTGGTTGTCAGGAGTTAAGGGAGGGGAAGTAATAGTAATAGTTCAGCAGAGCACAGAGGACTTTTAAGGCAGTAAAATTATTCTGTATGATACTGTAATGGTAGATACATGTTATTATACATTAGTCAAAACCCACAGAATTTAAAACACCAAGAGGGAACACTCATGTAACTATGGATTTTAGGTGATAGTGATGTGCCAGTGTAGGTTTATTGACTGTAACAAATGAACCTCTCTGGTGTAGGAAGCTGATAGTGGAAAGTCTGTGAGTACGTGGAGGAAGGCAGCATATAAGAACTCTACTTTCTGCCCAATTTTTCAGTAAAACTCAAGCTACTTTAAAAAATAACGACCATTTTTTAAAGAAGCAAGTACATTTTAAATACAGCCTTTTAAAGGAAAAAAAGGTATATAATATTGAGGAATTTGAGAAAGAAACCAAGAAAAATGAAGTGGTGGCCAGAGGAAGAAGTGGGGTCCAGGGAAATACCCTCTACACAAAAGATGCCGTCAATTAAAGCAGAACATAGCAGAGAGGGAAAAATTGAACATGTGTAAGAGGAACACAATTTCAAAAAAAAAAAAAAGGCTTGAGTAAGTGAAAAGGGATAAGGTTTAAGGGCATGAGAGAGGAGGCGTAAGTTTGGAGAAAGAACTTCAGATAGAGAGATAGGGATAGTCTCTTATATGGGAAGTCATAGCAGTGATACTTCAAGAGAAGAACTTTATTGAGGACGTATCTTTATCATTTATCTTTCAAGTTATTGGTACTCGAGACCATTTTGCTGTTATATTTTCAAAATCATGGAAGCTAAGAACTTGCCCTGGGAGTCAGATAAAAAAACAAGGGAACTTCTCCTTCTCTAGAGTCAAAATCTAAATCAGGTTCAGACTTGCTATGAAAATGAAACAATGTCACAATAATAGTTTTATATCCAAGAAATAAAATTTTCTTCAAGAGTGTAAACAGATATTGGCATATTTATAATGCACTGTAAATGACAGAATTCCAATAAACTATTTTTATTTCCTTTGAAATGCCCCTAAGGAAAGAACAGACATTTCTACATTGTGCTCATTAAGAGCCATTTACCATATTTAGCTTTTGGTAGACCAACAACAATTAGCTTCTTTTTCATTCTTGACAGTTTTAAATTTTGTGAAACATAGTCATTCATATTTATTAACTACCTAAGCTATTACTTTTCTCAAAAGAATTTTTCTATTTCCTTTCCCTACTCTACAATTTTGGTCAAAAGAATGAACCCTATTAAATGCAAGAACAATAGACAACCTTATTGGTTATTTCAATGGCAGATAAGTTAGTCAGTTTAAGGGAATGAAGTGCCAGTTCAGCTGTGAAGTGGTGTGATGTGATGCTGGAAGCTTCTGAACATATTTTATGCTTGACAGTAATAATATTGAATTAATATGTCTCTGCAAGGCTTAGAAAATCTGGTTCAAATTTAGCCCAATTTATCAAGGTTTGGCAGAGTTATAAGAATTAACAAATCATGCTGTGACTTAAAATTAGCATTATGAATATTTAGGAGCTGTTAAAACTATGGGCTAAATATATAAAATGTCACTGTCACCATATAAAAACATAGTTTCAAACGTTAAGAGAGGAAGGCTTATTACAGTCCAATATGGTACCAAGTTTAGCATTTGATTTTACTTTTGAGATCAATGTCTATATAAATGTTTTCTTTTTAGTAGTAAAATGTCACGCACATCTGCTGCAAATATACGAGCTCAGGATCTCTTTCTGTCCCGCTATCAGATCTTCCTTTACCTCCCTTTGCCATTTAGGGAATAAATACTGACACCATTCTAACAAGCAGAAGAAAGTCCTTCCAGAGACTCTCTCTCCTCTGTCCTACTGTAGGCTCCATGGAGAATCTAAAGGTTCTATTCAGTTGTTTGAGCCACAGATGATTAAAAGTGAAAGTATATTTTTTGACAATTAAATCTCTGACATATATTTGTCTCCTGAACATCAACGTATCAACACTTTAATAGTCAAAAATTATAAAACTTTATTTTCATTTCACTTCTTTGGTCTATAATTTAAAATAAAAAAAATACCAACATGTGTAGGATGCTTTACTTTTAAGCAAAATGAGGTCAATAAATTGAATGGTGTGATAGGTGAGTGGTTATGTCCATAAAGAGCTTGTTAAAAGGTAACTTATGATAGGTAACAGGGATTGACAAACTTGTGGAAAGCTGATAACTTAATTTTTAATGAAAAAATACTTTTAAGTGCAGTTTTATTCTCAGAAAGTGTATTTGTGTATTTATAAGGGCAAAAGTGAGGCTATTAAAATATTTGTAGCCAAAAAAAATTGTTTTGTTTCATTCTGATTGGCCGGCATTTCAAGCAAAGCCTTTTCTCCTTATCCAGTAGGGATTACCTAGATAATTTGAGTTTTCATTTCACATTGTAAGCATTGTTTAAATACTGAAGTGATGTTTTAAGCACAAAAGAAACACTCCTAGTTATATTTCATACCTTGAAATTTGTAGGTGGCATCCATTGAAAATGAATCTTTAAAGTTACTCTTTAGAAATACAATTGATGAGCAACTTTGCATCAAAAAAAGACAAAAATTAAATAAGATCAAGTAAGGCAAAATAAGAAATAATATACTATTAGAAATGTAGTTTTTAATAAGATAGAGTAAATTGATACCAATTTTACTAAGAAAATCTCATTTTTCTGAAATTATCAAAACATGATAATGAATAAAACCCAGTTCTAGTGAGTGGATAGCAACATGTGTAAGTAAACAACAAAACAAACACCAAAACAACCTCTTCATAATCCTTTCAAGTAATAGCCAGAACAGTTCTGACACATTTTTTGAATGTGTAATGGGGGCGGGGGGTGCTGGGGCTTAGCTGATGTGGGGGAAGTAGATTTTCTCTAATTGCCCTGGATTAAGGTGTGCCACATTATGGAGAAGGGGGAATTGGGTTCTCTCTAATTGCCACATTATGGAGAAGGGGGATGTAAGTTCTCTCTAATGGCCTTGGATTAAGCTGTGCCACATTATGGGACTGGAGAAAAAAAATCACATCAAATTAAAGAGTTAACTTTGAGGAAAATGGCAGCAGCGTTGCACTGTTGACTAAGTCTCTCTTGGTGAAATGTGTCCCTGACTTGAGGGCTCTGAATGCTCAGAGGGAGGTCTAATGACAGTGTTCCTGTTATTGAGGCAGAGAGAATAGGCAAGAAAGGAGTGGGGGAGGGAACACAGATGCAATGTTTGTACCGAATGTGTCCCTGGTTGAAGTAGAAAACTGTGCCTTTCCCAGAGATGGGTGATTATTTATTGATACACTGACATGTGTTGTATGACCATCTTGTCATACACCCTGGGACTGTCATGTGCTATAGTTTTTAGGGATATCAGAGGTTCATGATATTGTCCTCTTGGGAACTTGAGTCTAAAAGAGCTTTACTTTTAATGGACCAATACTTGTGATTAACAGTCCTTGATTTTATCCTTCTAAGATGAGTGTTGCCTGCATTTGCCAAAAATTAATTTATACGTTTCTTTAAGTTTTATATTATTTTGTATGATTTGGTTTGCAACTCAATGTTAATTTAATTTTAAAGGTGCTTGCCATAATTGTGGGGGGGGGGCATGCCATAAACAATCAAATAATATATCACAACACACAAGAACAGAATTGAGTCAGAGCAGGTGCATAACAGAGCCCAGCATTGGAGAACTTGAAGAGTAAGCTACATCTAATCCAAGGTGATCAGTTTTTACATATCATATGTTTATATTATATTTACCAGTTTCCTCCTTGGTTTTAATGACAATAAAATGGACCAGGAAACCTTCAAACAAGTGATCTAAAAGGATATCTAAACGTTCCACATCAATGGCTTTACCCCATGAATTACCCAGATTATCTATTTTATATATAAAATAGAATATTATTCAGTCATAAAAAAGAAGGAACTTCTGTCAGATGTTACAATATAAATGAGGCTTGAGGACATTATGCTATGTGAAATAAGCCAGTCACAGAAAGATAAATGTGTGCAATTCCTCTGTATGAGAATCTAAAGTAGTCAAACTCTTTGAAGCTGGAAGGAGAATTGCTTGCCACTGGCAAGGAGGAAGGGAGAAGTGGGAAGTTGCTGTTCGATGGGTAGAAAGACCCAGTTGCACGTAATGAAAAAATTCTAGAAAATTGCTGTATAACATTATGTTTCAGGTTTACAATTCTGCACTGTTACTATTAATAGAAATTTATTAAGAAGGTAAATTTTATGTTGTGTGACTTTTACAACACACACACAAAGAAAATGAGGAAAATCCAGAATGTTTTTTATTTGACAACGTAATTATAATTTCTATAATTTACTGTCTACATTAGCTTCTAAATAAACTTTGATCACTTTCAGGCTGTGCCTATTTCAACCCCAAAGTATCTTGTCAAGCATGGCAAAATAGACAAGTAGATGGTTTTAAAACTGCAGAGGAAGGGGATAGACAACTGCTCCGTGTGATCCACATGCATTTCTAGATTGGAAACAGTGCTAAAGTGATTGTTTTCCTAATGTTTACGTTGGACAGAATCAAAGGAGGTACATGGCAAAACATATCTCCATCAAAAATATGCAAGGGAGAGTTTTGAACTTGTATAAATGTATATAATAGTGCTTTAAAACTTTTCTTTCATTACATTTTTCTGTTATTTTAAATCTAGTTGCCAAATTTCTTTGACTCAGTCTGAAAAACTATGTCATGAAAATTAGAAAACAATACCCTCAAAAGCATAAAATTATCTTAAGAATATCTTCGGCTGGGTGCAGTGGTTCACACCTGTAATCCCAGCACTTTGGGAGGCTGAGGCGGGCAGATCACCTGAGGTCAGGAGTTCGAGACCAACCAGGCCAACATGGTGAAACCCCGTCTCTACTAACAGTACAAAAATTAGCTGGGTGTGGTGGTGGGAGCCTGTAGTCCCAGCTACTCAGGAGGCTGAGGTAGGAGAATTGCTGGAATCCAGGAGGCAAAGGTTGCAGTGAGCCGCCACTGCACTCCAGCCGGGGTGACAGTGAGACTCTGTCTCAAAAATTAATATCTTCTAGTCTAATTCAATGTTGCTAGGCATGTTTTATCACCTTGAAATTCAGTGACTCCTGATGTTTAGAAACACCATCAATTGTCTAAACTATTTATTTATTTGTTTATTTATTTATTTATTTATTTTTTGAGACGGAGTCTCGCTCTATTACCCAGGCTGGAGTGCAGTGGTGCCATCTTGGCTCACTGCAATCTCTGCCCCCCAGGTTCAAGCGATTCTCCTGCCTCAGCCTCCCGAGTAGCTGGGACTATAGGCGCCCGCCACCACGCCCAGCTGATTTTTGTGTTTTTAGTAGAGACGGGATTTCACCATGGTGGCCAGGCTGGTCTCAGACTCCTGACCTTGTGATTCGCCCACCTCGGGCTCCCAAAGTGCTGGATTACAGGTGTGAGCCACTGTGCCCGGCCCTGAACTATTTCTTAATGACATTAACTCCATCTTTCCTTTTATTTGCTGTAACTGGTGTGCAGTTTTGCTCATTATCATATTTGAGAGCGCACTCTTGTGCTTCTTGGTGTAAAATGCAAAGGCAATGTTGCCAGTAGTTTGGTATTAGAAGTTTAGTCCTAGAGAGTTCCTATAGTAACTGGTTGCCTGGCTTTGAGGTAATATTAGCTGAGAGTGTTTCCTCCTACAACAAAAGACTGTATTGTTGAAGAAATGCTTGTTGCTCTAGTTTCTAATTCTACCCAGCACTCCCTATACTGTGTAGTCTTTCCTGATAAATCCTACCTTTTAATCCTTTTATAATTGCTATTTCTTTCTTTTGAAAGGGTCCTTTCTCATGTTGAGAGTCAGAATTGTGCCAGTTAATTTAAGAAATGTGTAGCCCTTTACACAATATTTGCAAAGAGAACATCCCATTAAAATGAAATTCTTTTCGAATGTTCGTTAAATTCTTTTCGAATATTCTATGCTACATATTTACATTTTACTACATGGCTTCCTCTGGAAAAGAAATATGGTTGCATAGTTGCACAGCTTGCAAATTCAACATGAGATTTCTCTGTGGAAGTCTGCAGATGCACAGAAATTAAATACAGTAAAATTATGTAGGAAATGAATGATCTGTAAATTCATTTGAAATGCCCATAGGTACCCCCACCCCTTCCAAACTGGGGTACTTTTAGTGATATGCTGCATTGATTTTCTTGTATTTCACATTACATTGAGTTTGCATGTCTCGTTATGTGATGTTATCACTTTATGGTGCTGTGGCTTACGTGGTGACACTGTGAGCATAATGTAATGTGATGTGCCATGGCTGTGAAATGCCATTAGACTATGACACTCTAGAGAGTCAGTGAATTATGCTATGTCACTACCACAGCTTCAGGAGGCTCAGAGAACTGCAGGAGGCACTCGCCTTGTAGCATTATCTGAATTTGTTTATCTACCTCATTTGAGTTGTGCAAAGATATTTGCTGTCGGAATTACCAATACTACTAAAACCAACACCATTTGAATTTGCTACTAGGAAATCCACCTGTCTCTAAAATGGGTTGCTGTTATACTTCTTCACTTCAGCAATTATGGAACAATAATGAAAGAAAGTATCGTGCCATCTGACCCAATATTTTCCTCACGTTATGCAAAGAAGGAAAAGACTGGCCCTTCCCTGTTTTTGCAATTACACAGGAAGGTTTATCCAGAATAGTACAGAAACAATTCAGTGGTTTCTGATTATCATTTATACTGGGGTCGGCTTTTCAGTCTCTTGCTTTATCGTGAATGTCCTAATCCAGGGAACTTCAAAGTAGTGTAACCTTGAGTTTTCTTCCTTTCGATGCTACACTGCAATGATTTGTTGCCAACAGAACTTTCATGCTGTCAGTAACACTGAGTTGAAAGAAGACATATAACCTTCTGTGCTCATCTACAATCTTGCCATCTTAAATAAAAAGGGAATATTTCTTTAAAACTAATGTTTATTGAGAACGTTTTATAATGGAATCCAGTGTGAAAACTACCATTTGCATCAAAGGAAATGGTGGCTATGGTTTTATTTAGTGATTGGGTAACTTAAAACCAGCAAGAACAACATTTGAAGAAATGAAATTTGGTTCCATTTGTAAGACATTATTTTTTAATAAACATAATATGATTTGACTAGCACAATAAGCGTATGTGTTATTATTGTATTATATAGACATAGAAAACTAACACTCAGCAGATTAACCTATTCTCCTATTGTTATTTTCAGTCCTGTTTTTGAACCAGATACTTATTGCTGCTGTGACTTCACCCTGTTCAAAGTTATTTGGGAGGTTTTTCTACCTAATTATCCATTTGCATGTTTGTTTTAAATACAAAAGGAACAAAGTGTTCATGGTGACATCAATAATATCAGCCTGGTGCATTTGTATAAAACAAGCTAATTAGTGTAAATGTTGCCCAGATTGTATTATCATCTAACTCTAACAAGGATTCAGAGCCCCTAAAAGCCATGTATGGTTTTCAGACCAGGAAAATCACAATCCTTATCTGAAAATCACCTTTTAACTTAAATGTGAGGAAGGGAAGTATGTGGAGGACATGCACAGGCTCAAAGGGAAGATATGTCCCTCTGTGAGGCTTTCTGTCCTCTTCAGACAAGGCCATCTTTCATTTTGCTCACAATTTTCTCTTCCACATTTTGCCTATATTTATTATGTGCATAAATGTAATGCTGCTTCATGTATGTTTTTTTCCCTACTGATTACCAGGTTAAGTGACTTTCTTTTACACTTATATATAATTCAATAGTAATGTATTTTCTGAGTCAATTAAAATGTCCTCTCCATGCTGTTGATAAAAAAAATGTAAGGTGTAATACAATCATGCATTCCTTTAAAATTTGACCTTGACTTCAACATTATTCAATTGCAAGAGGGTTTTTCCTAAGCCCATTTAATTTGATCTTATATTTTGTCAGTGAATAACTGCATTCTAATTTTTCATGTTGACTTTCATGTACCTATAATATTTACCATAGCATTTATAATTTTGAAATATTCATGTATTCCATCCAGATTACTGGCATGATAATATGTTGTAGGAGTACTGTCAATTAAGAGTTCCTGCATAGTAAATTGGTTTAATTGGTTCTCATTTATCTCCAGAGGATATGAAATTCATGCATGAAAACATAGATTTTGAAGATCCAGTTGTAAATTTTTAGTAAAATAAGTATGAAATATTTTCACAACTGTGAATAGTCTTATTTTCCTATGTATCACTGTGTGTCTGTTTGTGTGTGTCTATGTGTGTAATCAGACAATACAATTGTAAGGTAGGTCTATCATGCCTAACTGGTTTGGATCCATGACTCATAGAACCTGTTTATATCCTAGTTTGATTGATTGATCCTTTACACCGTAAATATCCAAGATTTCACTCATACTTTAGGGATGCTATATAATCAACCAATCCTCTTGCATTAGTTTTCTGTTGCTGCACACCAAATTACTACAACCTTAGTGGCTTCAAAACAGTGCACTTGTATTGTTTCACAGTTTCCATGGGTCAGTGGTCTGAACATGGATTATCTTAGTTCTCTGCACAGGGTCTCCCCAGATGAAGATCAGGATGTTATCTGGGATGTATTTTTAACTGGAGGCTTAACTGGAAGAACACACTTCCATGATTATTCAGCATTGGCAGAATATATTTGTTTGTGGCTCTGTGACTGAGAGTCCCAGTCACATAGGCTTACAGCCTAAAGGCCACCCTCAAAACCTAGAGGCTGTCCGTAGTTCCCTGCTCTGGGGCTGTTGGCCTCTTTAAGGTCAACGAGATAATCTCTTCAGAGTGCTAAGAGAGTCTTACATAATTTGACATAATTACAGAGTTTTATATGTCCTTTGCCATATTCTATCGGTTAGAGACAAGTCAATTTCTGCTCCCACTCAAGTAGACTGGATTATACAAAGTGCAATTCACTGGGATTTACCTTAGAGTGTGCACATGACATACCCCTCTACCATTACATTAGTGAATTCCATTAGTTTAAAATATAGTGAGTACCTATTTCATCAGCACGTTCTGTTTCATATGGAAGACAAGTTAGTCTTAGCTCAGTGTATTAGTCCATTTTCATGCTGCTGATAAAGACATACCTGAGACTGGGAAGAAAAATAGGTTTAATGGACTCACAGTTCCATGTGGCTGGACAGCCCTCACCATCATGGCGGAAGGCGAAAGGCACTTCTTACATGGCAGTAGCAAGAGAGAATGAGGAAGAAGCAAGAGCAGAAACCCCTTATAAAACCATCAGATCTTGTGAGACTTATTCACTACCGTAAGAACAGAATGGGGGAAACTGCCCCCATGATTCAATTATCTTTCACTGGGTCTCTCCCACAACATGTGGGAATTATGAGAGTACAATTCAAGATGAGATTTGGGTGGGGACACAGAGCCAAACCCTATCACTTAGTGTCCCATTTTCCAAAAGGAACCATGTCAGCTGGAAATTTTGCGGCTTGAGAATAATGTATTTTGTGTCTATTCTTTCTTACTGAGATCTTCCACTAGAACAATATTAGTATTCTTTAGACTTTTTCCATTTTAATTGCGTAGGAATTTAGTAGCCTATTTTATCCCATAGAAAATGGTGATAATGATAACAGTAATAATACCATTTGGTATTATTTGCTCTGAGTAGTCCTTCTGAATATTGTCATTTACTCATTATAGCATTGCCAAAATGAAGCTTTGAAGTGTCCATTTTCTCAGATGAGAAAACTAGTGCTAAGAGTTTAGTGCATCCAAAGTAGAAAGCTGATAATCAGCAAAATGAATGTTTTAAAGCGAGATCTTTCTAAAATCAAAGCACTTATACTCCTTCAAGTTGTTGTGATGTGATGTAATATAAATGTTCATAAGAAAAAAATTAGCTCACTTTTTTATTTAAAGAAACTTTTCCGAAGATATACAAAATCTAGTTGTTTGTTTGTTTGTTTTCTTTTGGGATTTGGGAGCGTGATGAATATGTGCAGTTCTAGAATTCTGAAACTGCCCACAGGAGCGTTGTTCAGCCTTGAGCTTTTGACACTTTGTACTGGATCATGGGGTCATGCTTGGTTTTATGGGGCTCTTCTGTGCATTGCAAGATGTTTAACAGCATCTCCGACCTCTACCCAGTTGTGACAACCAAAAATAGCTTCAGACGTTGCCAAAGTGTCTCAAGGGATAGAGGTGGAGGAGTGTCAACATCACTCTCGTGAGAACCCCTGGTCTGCAGTAAGGTCTAGTCTCTTTAAAGCTGACATTGGTTCTTAGCCTTTTTCCCAGTGAATACCCTTAAGATTATATTTCTCCAAATGTGACATGCTATCTGTCATTTTCCTTTCATTTACACCTTTCCAATACCAATATTTTTCTGGCATTACCTATGCTAACTTGACATTTAGTGAATTCATATTTTACTTGTCAGATATTCAAATGGTAGTTTGGACACGCAGGGACTTTAAGAGCTCAAAAAGCAACCATGTGAGAGCAAAGCCTTGTGCCTTCAAAAAGGACCTCCCAGGAAAGACTGGGAATGCCCCTTAATCTTGTGAAACATATCCAAGAACTGATTTGTAACTTTTCCAAGGTGGATGTAGCAACGCTAGCTATGGAAGTCCTATATCCTACTTGGACTACAAAACTCAGACTTCTGGACTGCTACAACATGATTAACAGATGAATGTATGGACTCTTCTTACGCTGGTTCTGCAAGAGCCACTTTATTTCAACACATACCTCCCTTTTTCTTTTCTTTTATTTTATTATTATTTTTTGCTTAATAATACCTCTCTCGCCGTTGAACTATATTTTCTCTAGGACTAATGGAGGAAATCTGTACCATTGAAACTAAAGTTGATCTCTCTAAGAATAAGAACATAAATAAGTACCTTCCTCATGAACTTGGGCCTTAATAATTTTATACCATAGCTAACCTAGAAAATAAACCGAATGTTTGTGGGTAGATGTCTTTTTGCAATTTAAATTTTTAAAATCAAGTTTAAACGAGAAAGTTAGGAAGATGAGAAAAACAAGAGTTTAAAGGATTACAGTGTGATTCACAAACTTGAAACTTTCTCAGTGATTTCTTCTTAAAGCAAGACAATGGAGATGTCACAAGTAGAAGAATGATAAATGAGATTTTGCTAGGAGTTTTTCTCATCTAGAAATATGAGCATTTAGTTTTATTCTCTGTTTATTTGTTCAGGGTATTTCCTCAATCAAAGTAAAATAGCTCCTTTATTCCTTAATTCAATAATCATTTTTGTCTTTTTGCTTTTGTTTTTAATTCATGTGAATGTTCTTTGATTTCCCTTGTTTGGTATGCTTATTTACTTCTTTGATATGTTAGTTAAGCCAACTATCTCCTTAGAAAAATAAAATCATTTCTCTAACCTTATTAACCTTCCAGGAGAAATAAAAATCTATATTAATTGTTTGTTTGTTTTTGAGACAGAGTCTCTCTCTGTCGCCCAGGCTGGAGTGCAGTGGCAGGATCTTGGCTCACTGCAACCTCTGCCTTCCAGTATCAAGTGCTTCTCCTGCTTCCCAAGTAGCTGGGGTTACAGGTGCATACCACTATGCCCAGCTAATTTTTGTATTTTTTGCGGAGACGGTGTTTCGCCATGTTGGCCAGGCTGGTCTTGAACTCCTCACCTCAAGTAATCCACCTGCCTCGGCCTCCCAAAGCGCTGGGATTACAGGTGTGAGTCACCACGCCCGGCCGGTATTAATTCTGAAAATACTAGATATAAACTTGCTTTTGTATTACCATCAAAAAGATAAAAATTGCTAAGAAGTAATAATGTTAATCAGAACAGATTGTGAATATTTACTCTTAAGAGAAAGCAAATAAAAGGAGTGTGATTTAGTGACAGCAAAGGATCTGTGGTTTAGGTGGATGGGTAGGTAAGAGACTTACAAGTCAATTCTATCTGTGAACCTGGGATGAAGCTCATTTCTTCTGGGAAGGGTTTCAGTTTATCAACTTTATTTTGATAGATTGATAAACAAACCTTAGAAATCAGATTATAATCTGGTAAAGTTTTAATATTATTTGCCAACATATTCCTTATCCAGAGGGGTCTTCTCCCAGTTAATCAGTGTTCATTGCTTCTCCTCATGTGAGTGTAGGTTTTATGTACATGTACATAGAGAGTAGTAGGTTAACTGCTGCGTAGGTTTTCCTTTTTTCATTATTTGTGTGTGGCAATTGGAATCAAAATGTTAATTCTAATGAAAGTGATTTTACTTCCAAACACATGGAAACCTTGTATTTGCAAGGTTATATCCTGTTGCTTTTTAGCGCTCGCTCTTAGTATTAAGAAATCTTAGATTTAAGACAGCATAGATCATTTATTTGTAAGACATCAGTCTGTCTTTCTTTTACCTTATCCCCCTCTCCAGCATACCTATGGCCTGCAGCAACAGGATTAGAGATTGAGCTTCATGATATCTCTGCCAAGCAGGGTGGTCTCATACATGCTATGGTAAAAACAATGACCTCCCCTTTCAGCAGCTTAAAGCAGCAGAGGTTGTATTCTTACTCTTGCTGTGTGTCTAGCAAGAGTCGCTGGGATTTCTCTTCTTCCTCATTGCCACCCTGGGTCCTGTGCTGTCTCTGTGGCTGGGGGGGAAAGAGAGAGTAATAAATTGTACACTGTCACTTTAGCTTTCCTATCATAAGTGACACTTGCTTTACACTGAGCAAAGAAGTAAACTTACCACTCATTACTCCTAAGGCACAGACAGCACAATTATATCATGCCTGTTGGACAGTTAGAAATATCTGCGATCGACACCAACGCACCATAGACTATCACTATCCACCCTTCAGGTCGCAAAAGATTCAGTTCACTAGCTTTTTACATGCAGAACACACTAACCTCTTTTCCAAGGGAGAAAGCCTAAAAGTCTTAAACACCCACTGAATCCAGTTCAGTGTCCAAGAGCTTTTGATTATGCCCAGTTCACAGGAGCATCCCCTGGGACCTGAGACTTGTGAACTAAAAAGAAAAGAAATCTGCTGTCCTGTCCTCTCCTCTCCTTCAGACCCCAGATATACAATAGCGGAATAGGTACAGGATGATCTTATCCCGAAAGAAGAAATACTGGGCAAACAGCAGACATTAGCCAGAGCAATCTGGAATCTCAGTGAGCTGGAGCTGCCTGGTTGCTCTACTCCGAGGGTGGGCAATGTTTGCTGCTTAAGCTCTGGTTGCTCTTTGAGGGTGCTTCTGCATCCACTGTATGTTAATGCTCTTCCTCTTCCACCCTTCTGCTTGGCCACATCTGAACTTGGAGGATATGGCCTTCTTGGGGGCTGAGCAACTTTTTATCCTGCCTCCTGCTTGTCACCTACTGAGGGGTCGGGGTCATTTTATATCTCAAATAGTCTCTTTTAGTCCCAGCAAGTTGTAGTTTAGATAGTAAAGCACTTTAAAAAATAAGTCAGCTTGTTGATTTCATTTCAAGACAGCCCCATATGACAATGGGCAGATCCATATTTCACTTATACCTATGGACTTTCCTACCCCTATGCCTCTCTCTCTGTCTCTCTCTGTCTCTCTGTCTCTCTGTCTCTCTCTCTCATGTGTGTGTGTGTGTGTGTGTGTGTGTGTGTGTGTGTGTATGTGTATGTGTTTCTATTTAATTGTGGGCAGCTAAGCTGATCAGGCCTTGGAGAGAGCCACACACTTTGTCTTTTTTTCTGAGGGACATTTTGTCCAGTTGAAATGAGTTAGTGAGTGCTTCTCCTTAAGTTTTACCTTTACTCAGAGTCTGGTGGTGGATTTATTCTCTGCAGCTTGTGCACCTACTCTGAATATCACTTCAATGGTTGCAAACTGGCAATGAATGGATGCATTAGTCAGGGTTCTTTGTTGCCACGAGCCAAAACTGAATCTGGCTGATTAAGCAGAAATAGTGTCTATTAAAAGAATATTGGGTAACTCACAAATTTTTTGGCATGGAAAAACCAAGCTTCAGGCTATGTTTCCAGGAATGATGCCAACACCTTTCCTGCAGAGTTCACCTGATGAAGCATTACTGACGCTGCCACCACCCCATGGAGCAATGTCAGTAGGCACCATGACCACCACTTCTCGCTTGAAGCTAGGTCTGTCCCAGGGAATTGTAATCACCGCTGGCCTCATAATTGGATGCCCTCACCACTACTGCCCTTGAGAACAAAATAAATTTTTGATGAGCCTACTTTCTAAAGTTTTTCACTTTTGAATTGAAGTTCTTGAGATGTTTTCTGGGTTTTCCTTGAAGGGGTCAACTCATAAGTCTGAAAATTAATCAAACATAGCTAAGATGTTCAAAATGTTCTTGGCAGAGAAAATAAATGTTCACAATCTCATATTCTTTCCAACATTCATACTGGAGGTTTAGTGGATCTTTATCAACCCCAAAAACCAAAACCAAAATAAATTCTGCACATAGGTTCTGGAATGTCACAAGAATTCTATGTGTTAACTAGATTCTATGCCTGAAAATTTAAAATTAGATTCATTTCTAATGGGCATGTATACCTGAATGTGGCAGCACATGGCTAGTAATGACATTCATATATGGAAAATCATTTTCTACATCCACATTCTCATTTTATCTTTACTTAAACTCTCTGATGTTGTTGCTAGTTTTACTTAACAGAACAGAAAATACACATAGAGAGGTTTTATAATGTTCTCAGAGTTTCTTTCTTCTGCAAAACAGAACTGGAAATTGAGTCCAAACTTTTGATTTCAAAATGTGTCTTCAACGTACTAACTTGCAACTATGCATTAATACTAGAAAAAGGGTAGCTGTGGAGGGAATGAGATACAGAAAGACAGAGCTTTTTGTCGGTGGGTGGGAGGGTTAAAATGAGACAGTAGGGTATGATGTGTGGATGCTCTGTGATGATGCAGTGTGCTGAGAAACTCAAATTACCTGTATGATAATGTAGGTCCACAAAGGAAAACAAAATGGGTATGGAAAGGGAGATAAAATAAATTAACATTGTCTATTTCATAATTAGTTGGAAACTTCTAACTGCTGTTTTCTGAAATCTCAAGTTATCTAGAAAATTTATGCCAACACCAATATCATATCCAATCAGCTTCCTAAAAGATACTTTGGCTATTTTCCTCAAATTCAGTTTTTCTCCCTGACAATGTTAATCAGTTGTCTAAATATTAGCATTGTCAATAGTAGCCTTTGTCGGTAGTATTAAGATTAATTCAAGTGCATTACACAATTGAAAACATCGTTTTAAAGCTTATGTTTGGCCTGGTGCAGTGGCTCACGCCTCTGACCCCAGCATTTTGGGAGGCCAAGGTCGGAGGATCACTTGAATCCAGGAGTTCAAACCAGCCTAAGCAACATAGCGAGACCTCGTATCTATAAACAATGAAAGCTAGCTGGGGATAGTGGCATACACCTGTAGTCCCACCTACGTCGGAGGCTGATGGGGAAAAATAACGTGAGCCCAGGAGGTCGAGGCTACAATCGATGGTACCACCACCCTCCAGCCTGGGAGATACAGCAAGACCCTGTGTCTAAATAAATAAATGCATACTTACATAAATACATAAAATAAAATGAAGCTTATTTTACTTTGTTGTTCCCACCTTTTTCCCTATAGCATTCTTGTTCTCGTTTTGCAGTTTTATTCAGCAACTATTGCTATATTGTGATATTCCCCAAATGAATCTTTGGTTTTTATAGAAGGCTTATCATGGCTGGTGTGGCGGCTCACACCTGTAATCCCAGCACTTTGGGTGCCCAAGCGGGCGGATCGCGAGGTCAAGAGTTCGAGACCAGCCTGGCCAACATGATGAAGCCCCGTCTTGACTAAAAATACAAAAATTAGCTGGGCATGGTGGTGGGCACCTGTAAGCTCAGCTACTCGGGAGGCTGAGGCAGGAGAATCATTTGCACTCGGGAGGCAGAGGTTACAGTAAGCTGAGATTGTGCCATTGCACTCCAGCCTGGGCAACAAGGCGAGACTCCATCTCAAACAAACAAACAAAAAAGGCTTATCATGTTTCTTGAAAAATGAAGTGAAAAAAGATGAAAATAGCTGTTTCAGTGTTAATTCATCTCTCAGATGATTAACAGTGCACTGAGCCGAAGTTCAACCATTGGAATTTGTTGTTTAAGAAAACTGAGAACATTTGCAGTTAATTGGCACCTCTGACCATCGTCATGTTTTGTTCTGACACTGAATGATCCATTTATTCTGACCTGTCTATTTCAGGTCCTATAGCATAAATTGAAATTTCTTCTGCTTTTCATCACCACAAGGGCATGAGAGCAGCCGTACAATACCACGATCAGGCTCTGCTTCCAGTAGGGCTTATGGGTTAGCGCATAAGAAACCCTGTAGCCTTGAAAAACATTCCCATTACCAACCACTTTTTCAGTCGAGCAAGATTGTAATGGTTAGTTAGGCTTTCAATAAAGCAGGAGCCTCCTTGACTTCAGAAAATTAATTAAGTTTCTGCTATTTTTCAAAGCCACCTTGTTTTTACACAAAGACATTACTGCATATTCTGGTATGGTAGTTCCAATTTATGTGTCATATTGTATTCCTCACATCAGATCCATTTAGACATTGGGATCAGATGTATCAAATTATTACTTAAATGCCAAATTGAATTTGGTCCTACAGAGAGTTCTTATCTGAAGGAGAAGCTTATTATTTTTATTATGTCGACCTTTTCACTATATGCCTGGGATCTTTATTTTTGTTTATTCCTTAACTATAATTACAGACAGGATGTCCTGAGACTTTCAGGAAATGTTTGAAGCTCGTAATTAGATTTGTGTGTGTGTGCATATGTATGTATAACTTCCATGAGGAAATTTTATATTACTGTATGGTTTATATGGCTTTGGTTTTCTTAAACTTCTTCAATTCCCTTGTCTTCTTATGGAGCCTCCTATGAGAGCTTTTCCCCAGTATCTACACTTCATTTGGTTATCTTATTTACCAAGATGATACATTGTCTTTTTTATGCAGATGATATACTGATTTATCTCTTTCAGGGAGCTTTTCTGCAGCAATTTCAAAGCTGTCAGGCTGGCAGACTAAGATTAAAGACTAAAGGACTCAGCGTTTCCACAGCAAAGTGTATACAAACAGCCAACAAGAGATCTTCCCTTGATTTAACAATCTTTTGGTGTGACATTTTTCTTGTGAGAACAGCCTCTCCTGTAGTGCTAGACCAAGGTCAAGGAGGAATGGACTCTTTTTTTTTTCCTTTTTTAATTTTATTATTATTATACTTTAAGTTTTAGGGTACATGTGCACAACGTGCAGGTTCGTTACATATGTATACGTGTGCCATGTTGGTGTGCTGCACCCATTAACTCGTCATTTAGCATTAGGTATATCTCCTAATGCTATCCCTCCCCCCCTCCCCCCACCCCACAACAGTCCCCGGAGTGTGATGTTCCCCTTCCTGTGTCCATGTGTTCTCATTGTTCAATTCCCACCTATGAGTGACTCTTAACGCATTCTCGCAGGGTACTATTCACTAGTTGCTTACATGTTTCATTTAACTTCTAAGGAACATTGATCAACCATGACCATTGTTCTTTATGACTGATTTATCAGCACAGGAAGAACCTGAGAGTATCACATTACTAGATTAAAAATCAAAGAATGAGTAGGAAAAATGTTCAGAGAGAAAAGAAAAACCAGAACATTCTGTGGTCAAAAATATCTCCTTTACCATTTTCTAAATGGAGGTGTTAGTAAAGCCTTGACTTCCCACTGTCTTTTTTATTCTCTTTCTACACCTTCCCTCCAGGTCATCAAATTCATTCTCATTGCTTTTAATGCCATAGATATTTTCTGACACCTAAAGTTACATCTTTAGGTATGTTTTCTAAGGTGCATATGTTATGTATAAAGTTTCGGTGCCACAAAAGGAATAGCACTCGAATATAAAATTTTCTTTTTAATTCTCAGCAAGGCAAGTTACTTCTATAGAAGGGTGCGCCCTTACAGATGGAGGAATGGTGAGCGCACACTTGGACAGGGGAGGGGAAGAGGTTCTTATCCCTGACACACGTGGGCGCTGGGGCTGTGTCGTCCCCCTGTTGGCTAGGGTTAGACCGCACAGGCTAAACTAATTCCGATTGGCTAATTTAAAGAGAATGATGGAGTGAGTGCTTTGGCCGGAATCAGGGCAGAGCAGGTAGCGGGTAGTCGGAATGAGTTGCAGTGGAGCAGGTGATAGGAAGGAGTTAAGGTGGAGAAGGTGATCGGAATCAGTGAGGGTGGAGTAGGCAATCAAAAAAGGTTGCTTTACGAGGAAGTTAAGTTTAAAAGTAGAAGGCGAAGAATTGAACATAATGACATATTAATTCTCTGAAAAGAAATTTAGAACTCATATCTAACACATAGTTATACAGTGGCTTATTTGAATAGTACATGGAAATGCCACGGTTATTGCTCATGTGACATATCATAAACTGAACTCTTTAGCTTGCAATTAGTCTGGTGTTTCCATCTAGTAAAGGGCACATTATCCAACTAAGTGTGCCAGCAAGACTTCTGGGAATTGTCCTTGACACATTTCTCATCTAATTCACTAGCAACTTGGATTAGCTCTACCTGCAAAATATTTCCCAAATCATCTGTTTCTATTTGTAATGCTCGCCCTCTATCTTGAGCTTCCACCATCTCTTATCTGGTTTATTGGTTTCCCAATTCATTCTTGCCCAACTTCAATCCACCTGCTACATAATAACCAGATAGATTTTGAAAAGCTAAAGCACCCATTACTTCACCACCTAGAACCCTGTAGTCACCTTTTATTACTTCTAGAATACAAGCTGAAACTCTTTAAAAGTCAGCAAAATACAGTATTTAATTATGAGAAAACAAAGATTGACAGCATGGATTTCTGGCTGTTTCCAGGTATTATCTGCGTGAACTTCAGCACATCCCTTAGTCTGCTCATCTTTAAAATGGGAATGTTCACAGTGAAACTTTATTTCTCAGAGAGTACTTGAGAAGATAAAACAAGTTAATTACAGAAGCAATTAGAGTGGTGTCTCAATTGTGAAAAGCACCAAAGTCATTGACTTCACCTTTCAAGTGTTGCATAATCCAATCTCTGCCTTTTTTTCAGTATTGTCTCCTCTAACTCTCCTATTCATTGAGTTCCAGCCACATTACCTTTTGTTTAGTTCTTTACTTATCTATTCAATTATGCTCATGAGCCAGTTTCATCCCCATTTTCCTGCCACGAAGTCTGTTAAAATAGCATCTTAAATATCATACCCTATAACCTAAATTCTTTCACTCTTTGTTATTCCTTGCTCTAGCCTATTTTCCTTTATAACACATATCAAAATTTACATTTATGTTTTTAGTAGCTATTCCCAGCATCAAATTAAAAGTTCCATGTGGGTAGAGATCGTGACTCTTCTGTCCACCATTGGATACTTAGTGCCAGACAAATGATCTGGCCTGCAGTGATGCCCAGTAAATACTGGTTGAATTATTGAACGAGTAAATTTATTATTTAATTTTTATTCCTTATGGTAATAAATAAATGTGAATAAATCTTATGGTAATACACCCTGTGATAGTATGTTATATGGTAACAAAGAAGTGTTTTTAATGTTTTCATTCTCTTTGAAGCAATATATTTTGCCTTACCCTTTTCCTCTTTCTCCCTTCTTCAGGTTTCCCCTTGAAGAAAACATTACCTATTTACTTACATCCACTTATTTGTCCCTGTTTTTCTTCATTAATTTTGTGTATGGGTTGTTGCTGTACATTTCTCTCTCATCTATATATCACTCTTAAAGAAAAACAAAACAAATCTGCCATCGCTCTCATATTTTCATATGAGATAAAAAGAAATGAATAATTCCATAACTATTCTTGATGTTACAAAAATGTAGAAATATAAAATAGAAAATTGATGAGTGACATCTTCAGAAATAGACATGTTCCTTCAGCCTGTAACTGTAATAATCCCACATAGGCAGAGAAAACAGCACAGAAGGGAAGATTATATATGGACAATGAAATGAGGAAGCTGTGGTTTCACAGACACTTTTATCTCTATCATTTTAGGATACATAAAAGTCAAAATCCATCTTTTGCAGCAGCTGAAAAGTATGACCAAGTACTTAACAGTTGAAGGAAGATCTGAACAGAGGTAAAACTATACTGTTTGGAAACATGTCTTCTCTGTTGAAGACTATACAATAGAATGATTTCAATTGTATTTTGTTCTGATTTGTTTTCATGTACTTAACTGCTATTCCATTGGCTCTTTTCCTTTTCCCATATTCAGTTTTATTGTCTTTCCAATAGGAGAAATAGTGTGTATATAGAGGCAGTATATTATACTAGTTAAGAGCAGTGTTCCTACAAAATTTTACTTTTATAAGCAAAAAAAGTCTGAACACTATCTAAAAATCGATCACTCAGGAAATTAATCTATCAATCTATTTATCCATCTATCATTGATGTCTCTGTCATTCATTCATTTTTATCAATTTATTTTGCACGTTCACTAATATAGTTATACTATGCAGAAGCCATAGTATTTTGAATGAGTAAATATAAAATAATCATCACTTTTAAAATAAAATAGTTTATTTACTTTAAATGAGATAAAACTTTTTTGCTTTTTGGTAAATATTACATCCTATTAGTAATAATATTTTGGTGGGAACAATAGAATTAAGTAAATTGCATTTTTGTTTCAATGCTTTGTGATACAGAATTGGGAAAGTTTATACCTAATTTTAGTTTATTAATACATTTTGTTTCAATGTTTATCACAGTTTTCAAAGAAGTGACTATATAAATATTTTTTAACGTTCTCCGAAGGCTTCATTTGCTAGATTATTGGGCTCGTTTTTCAAACTTAATTACCAACTAGTCTTTTTCCTAGATTCGACTAGTAACAATTTCTTGTATTTGATATCTGTGATCTGTTCCATCAACCTAATTGGAAAGTCTCTTTCTTGCTTTTTCTTTTCTCTTCATTGTTTCTTTCTTTTTCTTTCTCATTCATTTTGTTTTGTTTTTAGCAAATATATTCAATATCCTGTCAATTCCCATTCTCTCTTCAGCATCTACCTGTTGTCTAGACTTGCTATCTCCAAATTCTCTTCCTGATTTCTCTTATTTATTTATTTATTTTTGAGACAGCGTCTTGCTCTGTCACCCAGGCTGGAGTGCAGTGGTGCCATCTCAGCTCACTGCAACCTCTGTCCCCTGGGCTCACGTGATCCTCCTACCTCACCCTCCCAAACAGCTGGGACCACAGGCACTCACCACCACACTGAGCTATTTTTTTGTATTTTTAGTAGAGATGGGGTCTTGCCATGTTGCCCAGACTGGTCTTGAGCTCCCAGCCTCAAGTGTGCTGCTCACCTGTGCCTCCCAAAGGGCTGGGATTACAGGTATGAGCCACTGCGCCCGGCCTCTGATTTCTCATGAAACCACTTCACTCAGGCTTGCGTATTAGTCATTCCACTAATCTTCTTATCAGCCAACCAATGACCTAATGTTGCTAAGTCCATGGCCTTTTCTAGTTCTCATCCAGTCTGACCAATCATCGGCAACGTACAAGGTTAATCACAAAATTGCCCCTGAAATGCTTTCTTCACTTGGTTTCCAGGACAGCTCACTGTCCTTATATTTCCATCCTCCCATCCTGACCACTTCTCAATCTCTTCTGCTGGTTTTCATCCTAGCTCTGACCTCTTAATATTTTAGTTCTCTGAAGCTAGCCCTTGAACTTCTTTTTATGATTAACAGCTTCTCACATGTATATGCCAACAGCCACCAGCAATGTGCTGCAGCCACCTTGTACCAGCTCCATCATGTTCTCTCTTCTCACTTGTGTTCAGTGAAGTCACACTGGTAACTGGCAATGGGCCATGTGGGAGTTTTTACACACCAGAAATTGGTGAGCAACTCTCAAATGTGTGAGTTTGTGTTTGCATGTACCTGTAGTCTAGATCTCTCCTTGAATTGTACACTCCCTGTGTACCTGACACATCCATTTATATATCTGATAGTTTTCTCAGGAATGTCTTCCCCAAAACTGTGCTCCTAATATCCTCCCACACCAAAATTCCTATTCCTTATCTGCAGCATTCTAGGTATTCCAGGCAAGAAACTCAGAGTCATCTTCAATATTTCTCTTCATCTCACACTCCAAATCAGCCATAGGGGAAGACTTTGGTTCAATTCAAAGTACTTTCAGAATCTGACTCCTTCCTGTTAGCCACACTACCATCCCCATCACTCTCACCTGGGATAGTCCAAGTGGCCTCTCACCTGATCTCCCCACTTCTGCTCTTGCACCCAACTGGTCCATTCTCCACACAATTGCCAGAGTGCTCCTGTTGAAACCTTAGCTTTATGACATGTTAGTTTTCAGTACCTTCCAGGACTGATGGCTCTAAATGCTCTTCTTACATGACCTGGCGTCCTGCACTCTCTCTGACTTCGTCTCCTTCATTCCTGCTGCTTCCTGCCCACACTCTTCTGTTGTTTCTCCAACACACCAGGCATATTTCAAACAATTCTGGGACTTTCTATTTGTTTTCCCTCTGCCTGGGATATTCTACAAATTACTGACATACTTATTCCCACACATCTTTAAGGTATTTCATGAAAATCACTTAATCAGTGAAGTCTTTCTTGGCCGCACTAAAATTTCAGTCCCAGCCTAGATGTTTATATGTTTTTTTTTCTGGTCCATATTTTTCTCTTTAGTATTTATCAATACTTTATATTATATATAATTTATTTATATTTTGATTATCTCTTTTCTTCACTGGGATATAATATTCATTATAGTAAATATTTTGGTCTATTTTGTTTCTTTTTTCTTTATTTCTTCATCATTGACTCCTCCTCCTTCCTCTTGCCCCTCTTCCTTTTCATTTTCTTCTCGATTCCAGTGCTTGAAAAATTGTAGGCACTCCACATTTATTTTCTAAATGAGTACATTCATGCATACATGAATGAAAAATCTATAAATAAAAACGTATTTAAATCTTTGTTTAGAAGACTTTTATTTTATTTTTTTTTTCTTTTCTAACTCCTCTTACTATCATTTCCAATAGAAGATTTTTGAACAAGAAGAAATTCTAAGTATAGAGCATTAATAATTATGAAGGTTTTTATGATTTTTACTGTTTTGGGGGGAACTATCATGCACAGCCCAAGGGTAAATCCGGCACTTTTGCTAATCAATGCACCGACAGAGGAGATTGCCTTTTCCACACCCCCTTTCAGAATTTCTTATGTACTCTTCTACTTGCAGCATCCCCATTTTCTGCTCATCTAGCCAGATAGATCGAGTTTTATTTGCCCTGGTTGCTACAACTTCATTACTGGAACTGCCTTCAGGCCACAACCAAGAAAGCAAAAATGAGAGAGAGGAAGGGAAGGAGACCCCTCTTATATTCTTTTGCCCAAGGTGGCCCCTATTCCTGGGCCTTTGGCCAGAAAGACAAGGCTCCTCTTGGAGTTTTGTTGTCCATGCAATCTTGCTGAGGACTCATCTTCTGACGAGACTGGGTGCATTCAGGGTGGTATGGACAAAGGTGGGACTCATCTTCAAAACAATGTCAGGACACAAAGCAGAAAAGAAAAAAAATCAATTACAAAATTCTGGGATCTCACTCTATGAGGTTGCTTATTCAAGTTTTGACTCCACTCTCCAATTGACTTGATTCTGATTCCTTTGCAAAGTCTTCTGGCAATTGCTTTTTCTATCCCACCCAGCATTTTTAAGAGTAAGGAACTTACTCCATCTTACCCAGTGCTGGATATTCATGAGACTCATTCTTAAATTCAAATACTCCAAATTATTTTACTCTGAATTATCAAGTGGACTTCAACAATCACACTAAATGTTTTTAAGGATAGCACTTTTGATGTCAAAGTATTATAAAGGTTCAAGCATTTAAAATTCTTATTTTTTGGCTGTGTACGGTAGCTTGTGACTATAACCCCAGCACTTTGGGAGGCTGGGGCAGGCAGATCACTTGAGCTCAGGAGTTTGAGACCAGCCTGGGAAATATGGCAAAACCCTGTCTCTACAAAAAAATACAAAAATTAGCTGGGTGTGGTGGTGCACGGCTGTGGTCCCAGCTACTTGGGAGGCCAAGGTGGGAAGATTGCTTGAGTCCAGAAGGTTGAGGCCACAGTGAGCTGAGATAGTGCCTGTATTCTAGCATTGGTGACAAAGTGAGACCCAGTCTCAAAATAAAATAAAATAAAAATCTTATTTTTACTGACATCGTATTATACATGATAACTTGCACCAGATATATTCACACACATACAAAAAAAGAAAAAAAACACAAAACAGAAGAGAGTGGGCCTACCTATCAACTTTATAGAGTTTAGAACTTTCTCTCTTCCATCGGGTGTTTTGCGTAACATAAAAGTATTATGTGGAAGAACTTGAGCCCCCACAGCAACCTGAATATTAAATATAAATAATGCATTTTCCAAATATTTTAAGATAAAAATGATTGGGATTGCAATAATAATATTTGCTTCCTTCAATGCAATGGGTCTTCTTGCACACCCCTTGAAATTGATCTATCTGCAGATAGCACTGGTCAAAAGCATACACTCTGAAGTCAGATAAAACTGAGTTCAAATCTCAATTTTGCACTTACAAATTTGGCAGTGTACTCAGGCATAGATTCCCTATTCTGGATGTCAGTTATTTCATCTGTAATAGGAAGATTGTGTAATGGCTAACTGATATAAAATATATGTATTATATTGCAGAAAACCTCTCACAAGTACACACACTCTATCTCTTGATAATACATGCACACACATATTTACTATACATATTTATATGTACATATTTTTGCATATAATATAGCTATATAATCATCGGTATCATTTACCTCTCAAAGTCACTGAAGCTTTATGAATCACAGTCTCACGTGTTTAAAATAAGTTTGCGTATGATTGCTGAGCCTCCATCTCTGCTCATCTTGATGGCTGTAGGCAGAATTGACTCCCATCAACTCAGCATCATTGCCACTCACTTTAGCTTTTAGTTTTGCATAGCAGGAAGAACCCTGAAATTACAGTCTCCTGAAACCTCTTTACACTTAAACAATAAGAATGAAAGGCAGTGAATGAGGAGAGCTCCGGTCAGGTAGCTTAGATCATTGGTGATAAGTGCTTTCGACTTCTCAATTTCTTCTTATCCATTTTGGTCCTGCAGACCCTTATGGTCATCAGAGGCAGCTCCTGTCAATTATTGAAAATCCTGATGTCCCGAAAGCAGTCTTCTGGCCTTCAGGTGCCCAGCTCCTCCAATTGTTATGTAGTCTTTGATTGCCTATATTAAGTTTGTCTCTACCAGAACCAACTAGAGTGACTTTGAATTTTCTGATCTTACCCTGACTGACAGATGTTTGAAAGACATAACACATGTGAAGATTCCATTAGACAAGGGTCAACATTAGATGAGTGTTAGATTTCATTTTTAATCTCCTACTTTCTTTTCTTTCTGGGAAAAAAATTCTCATTTCTCATCTGAATTACTATGCATTCTCTTTCCTATTATTTTCCTAAAACATAATAAAACAATGTGGAAAATAAAACATACAAAAATAATTTTGGGTATAAGATTGTATTATTTATGTTGTGTAGTTATATCAGCTTTTTATAATTATAGACTTGTACATCAGATAGACTCTTTTCTTTGAGTAAAATAATGAATTAGTACATTTTTTGTTATTGTGGATGCTTTTTGGTTTTTATAATGCTTGAGTGAGATGGGTATTTTTAGAGTAGAGATGTCACTGCAATGATAGCACTTGTCATAAAACTGTCAATAAAATAAAAATGGAACTTCCTCATTCATAAAATAGTATTGGGTACGTATAAGACAGCTCTGGCTATTTGACTAACCTCTTATACATCTCTTCACCAAGAGATGCTAATGAAATAAAAAACGAAGCTTATGTTGATTGAACTACCAAATAATTTATAGCAGAGAATGACCACAACATAAATGCCAGAATCTCTCAGAGTACGTGGGGCTGAATATGCAATGATTTGAAAGGTTTTAATGAAAATAATATTAATGAGGGAGATAGATAATGACTAAAATGTAATTTAGTGTAAGAATTACTATCCATAGGGAAAAGCAACTCCAAGTACCAGATTAACCTTGTGACTTTTATTGCAAACCAGGGCCACTTTTCCTGAAGGAAACCATCAAGGTAGCCCTAGGCTACAAGGAGACAAGTTATCTGATTCCCAGAGAAGCCAGAGACTAGGTCATTGGTAATAAAATTTCTAATGTTTATTGCCTGGAGATAGATTTTCAAAGATGGCATGAAGCCAAAAATAAATTACTTTTAAACAAATCCCTGAACCTTTGCTCTCCATGCCTTCCCTTTAGTGTCTTGTCAAATGTCTCCAGTCTCATGGCCCACTTCATATGGAGATTGCTACAACCATAATTTATTTTGTGACTGGTAGGAAAAATTCTTCCTTTTGCATTCCATTCAAAAATTTTCCTAACTTATAACAGAAATACCATTAGCCATACTTAGGTCAGCAGCTAGTAATGGCTGCTCTTATGCATATTTATTTCAGCCTAGAAATGTGTCATGGAAAAAAAATTAAAAAGGGAACCAAACAAACTATTACAAAGAATAAACACTGTTTATTTCTTCTTTCTTTTCTAATATGTGGTGCAAATATACAAATTCCACAACATAGGGTGTATACTAAATAAAGTCCATATACATACAAGTTATATCGGGGTATATTGGGGTAAATCCTTTTAAAAACTCATTAATTGGAGTCTAATTAATGTCTGATAATTCATAGTTTTATACTACAGTTTTAAAATGTGCCTCAAGTCAAATCAGACAAACTAGAAATATATTGTATATTAGTTTGACACAGAATAGAATTTTTTCGTATAGTAATTTTTTTGTATTCATGTACTATAATAACCAAAATTCACATTATGTGAGGAAGTGGACTTGGGCTTCTTAATGGATGCATAACTAGTGTCTTAGGGCTGTGAAGACTATGCCAGTTGCCAAAAACAAGATCAAAAACAAAAAACAAAATGCAAACCAAAAAAAACATGGCACTACCCAATCATCAAGAGGAAGTGGAACTGTATTCAGGAAAGACCAAAACAGAAGCAACAAACTGGTATATTGTGGCTAAAAAATATAAATAAATCAGGCTCTTCATTTGAGGTACTTATATTCTATTAGAAACCACATATGGCTATCTCTTATTGCAGGTGTGTTTTTGAATCTCCATTATTTTTGCTAAAAATATTAATAGAATTTCATTAAATGGAACAAAAAAATGCATGTAATGGTAATGCTTTCCAAATCATGGGGAAAAAAAAGACCCATCAAAAAGTCTATCTGATTCAATTTATTAATGAAAAGGAGAGTGTGGATATTTTCAGATATTCAAAGACATAGAAAATTTGTTTCCAATTTATCTTTTCCTAGAAAGCTACTTTAAATTATGCTGGAACAAAATGAGAAAAATCAGTTGACTCAGGAGAGCGCTGAAGGTAGGTAGGTCCCCAAACATCTCACAGTCCAGCTTGGAGCAGGACAGTAGATTCTGGGACAAACTGGGGTGATAAGACATAAACAGAATAGTATAAATTTAAAATTCAAATAAGTGAAATCCCATGAAAATCAAAAAGTAAATTAATAAATTAAACATAAGTATTATTAAATAAACAAATAGGCAACTGTGAACTGCAGAATAAACAAACAATGGCTCTCAAAATGACATGATAAAAAATATAAAGCAAATAGAAATGTGACTTAATTTTAAGCAACTCATTGAATGTCATTATCACACACAATTTCACTTGACCTATACATAAAACAAAATTTTTTGCATGGCATAGGAGAACTGACATTGAAAGAATTATGATTATTGCATCGAAGAGTTTACATTGAGGTGTTCTTAATTTAAGTGTCAGGCTTGGATTTATATCTAACAGAATTTATATATTTCAACTTCCTAAAAAAATGTTGACTGTTTTTCCTGGTAGAATCAACAATGGACACATCACAGACAAATTTACACATACATTTTACAGAAACTGAAGGGAAAAGTGAAGGAAGAGAGGTAAAGCAGAGGGAGCATCAATCTTCTAAAGTGGGAATTTGGAACCATTTTTACCTCTTAAGGAATAAAAAAGAGAAGCTGAAGTATGATTTTTGAATTTCCTGAGTTGAGCAGCAAGTGAACTATGAATTTTGATATAATAAGGAGGAAAGGGGTAGGAGAAAATATAGTGTTATAAATCCACATATGTTAACAGAATGTTAAAATAGGTTGAGCATTTCATAATTATTTAATAATATTTGCCTTTTAAGATTGGAACTGGGAGTTGGTGTTAACTGGGCCTCATACTCTTTATTAAAATTCTCTTGCTATTAGAATTTTTTAAAAACCATGTGTGCATATATTATTTGAGTTGAATTATAAAACAATTTAAAACAAAAATTTTATGTAAAGGGTGATATACTGAATATAACTGCATAAGAATGGCAAATATAATAAATGTATCCGTGCTATTCTATAGTTCCACATATCATTTATTAATTTCCTATCAAATTTCCCAAAGTAGCTTCTCCAAAAAACACCGCACGTTGTGCACATGTACTCTAAAACTTAAGTATAATAACTTAAAAACAAACAAACAAACAAACAAATATTTAACCTCAGTCTCCCAAAGTTTGATTCTCAGCTCTTAGGAGAAATATCTTTTTGTCTCTTACTTAAATAAGGCAGTAGATGTCATCCAGAAAAACCTATTTAAGTTTTCTTCTTCTCACCTCAAAACACTTATTCAGCTCATCTACATTCATATCTTCTTTCTCCTCTGCTCTGGTAGATATGTGTCTGTCCTCTTTAAGGCAAACTCTCATTTAAGTATTCTTAGTTCCGTCTCAGCCACCTTACCTTCTTCTAAACATATCACTTCCATTTAGTCTTCCATTTTCCCCTACTTTGTCTCCCTTCCTGTGCACTAACGTGTTCCAGTGTTGTTTATCAGGTTAATATTCTTCGTATGGTTTATGTGTCTTCCTTTGTTATACCCAAACTTGAAATGAGAGAATCACGCACTCACTGCCTGTACTTTTGTAAATCTTAAACCCATTTGATAACCTTTTAAAATATGACATTATGTCTATTAGTCTAGAAAAACCACGTTTCGCATGTTAGTAATTGTCCTCTAAATATGACATGAAAATAATTTTCCTGTTCTGTTCTCATTTACTCTGTCAGTTTTGACCACGCAATCATGAGTAAAATCCCCCTATTACATTGTATGGACTGCTTTACATTTCTACCTTTTTGAACATAGTTTCTCTATCACCATGTTTGCACTTCTTACTTTTTTCACACTCTAAATGATGTTACAAGTTTTTCCCCAAAACATATTTTTCTGATATGTTCCCTCTTTTGCTAATTTCATGCATTCCACACAGCTTTATCTTTTGCTGTGATCTGTCGTTACAGTTACAGTGCTGTATTTGAATCAAAGCCATTCATCTTATCTATTATTTAACTCATTACATTTGGCCACCAAACCAATTCCTCCTTTTGGCCACATATTGCTGTCTACTCTTTCCATCACCTAAACGTAAGACCTTATGGAACTGATCTTGTCTTCTTGACGCTCTTCACTGAAAACTTTCCTTCACTTGACTATTTCAGCTGTTCGTGTGTTCACAGTTCCTCCGCCATTTATCCTCTACCTCTATTTTCAGTTTCCACATTTTTCTTCCTTCACGTCGATCACTCACAAATAATCACTCAATTCTAGTTCTCAAAACAGTCTCTAGTGAGTTAGGATATATTTCAATAGCTACATAGTCACAATCAAGTCATGAAGTCCATTATTTACGATGGATGCTGGATCTGGAAGCCAGCCTGGATTCCTGGGCTCTATTTTGTACTAACACACACGTACTCACATACACACACACACACATCATATATATAACTATATAGTTATACATGTTACTAACTATATATGTTAGTTACTAACTATATATAACATGTATAGCTATATATGTTACATATATAACATAGTTTTATATATAATATGTTTATATATTTATGATAAAAATATAAAAATATATATAATATAAATATATGTATATATGTATTTTTTTTCCTAGCAAGCAGATGCATCCCTAGCACCCATCAAAGCTACGAAATTCAGTATTTTGCTTCCTGGACCTGGATCAATTCTCTAAATCTGGTTTCTAATTGAACTATATCTCCCTAGTTTGCCTGTCAAGAATAGAGCTTTCTTGCTAGGTTTGGGATCCCACACTAAACCAGCTCGTGTTTGGGGCATTTCTGTGTTGCGTTTCCTCGGGTTTGTAATCTACATTTTACCTATCCCTATCCTCTGGCCAAAGTTCTGCTGCAGTTGGATAAATGCCCCTGAATGGACTGTCACTCAATAGGCTTCTGATTTTCATCTGCAGCATGGATTTCCCAGTGCAGTCCTGTGTTCACTGGGATTGTATCATTCAAGAACCATGGAGTCCCAAAGTCACGCCTGAGATTGCTGTATTTTTAGATACTATTCATACTACTTTTCTCTGAGACCAGGCTTGACAGCTGGTTCATTTCCCTTTGCTTCTACCATACCTTTGTGGTATCTAATCCAATGTAGCTTTCAGATACTTTCCTTTCCCATTGTCCCAACTGTGGTGGTCCCATAGTCCAAACATAAATAATACCAATGTCCTAATTCAAGTCTTGATACCACTTTACTCTCTTTCCAACAGTAATAGTTGGTTAAAAATATTTATTACTTAGAATTACTCTTCTAATTCTCCCTGTATATCATTCTTACATTGGATTTCCTAATCTTCCTAATCTATTGAGAAATATTCATTTGTATGAACTATTATTTCATTTATTAGTTTATCTGCTCAATACATATTGATTCACAGATATTTATTAATTTTAAAACACTAAACTGATCCAATATTCTCTCTCTCAAAGGTCTTCAATAGTACCTCATTTTCCTGAAAAACAAAATTCAAAACCCATTTGCTTAATGTTTTGTTTTATCCGGGACCTTGTTTCAAACTACCTTCACTGTATTTTTATCTTTATATACCACCTGTCTTTTAGATAAACTAGATTTCTCATCTTTCTACCATAATTTTACTTATGACATTTCTTCCACAGGGGTTGAATTCCCATCCTCGCATCTATCAAAATCTCAGCCTGTATTTTCCAGATCAAATCTTTAGAGGCAACTTTGGCCAGGCGTGTTGGCTCACGCCTGTAATCCCAGCACTTTGGGAGGCCGAGGTGGGCGGATCACTTGAGGTCGGGAGTTCGAGACCAGCCTGACCAATATGGAGAAAACCCGTCTCTACTAAAAATGCAAAATTAGCTGGGAGTGGTGGCACATGCCTGTAATCCCAGCTACTCGGGAGGCTGAGGCAGGAGAATCACTTGAACCGGGAGGCGGAGGTTGCGGTGAGATGAGATCGTGCCATTGCACTGCAGCCTAGGCAACAAGAACAAAACTCAATCTCAAAAAAAAAAAAAAAAGAAAAAAAGAAAAAGAAAAAAGGCAAAGAGGTAACTTTACCAAATATTTGACTAGGGGACTAAGAAAAATCCCTCATTTTCCAAGGATTTTATTTACCTGCTTTCTAATCTAACTGCTTTAGTACCTCATAAAATAATAAAATAATTAATATAAGTTTGCTACTTCTTATGCTTCACAGATCATAAGTGATTAAAGAATATTATTACATTTGTACGTTTGTTCTGAGTAGATGTCCGCTTTTGTCATTTAAGCATAATGAGCAAACAATAGAATTTAATGGTGCTAAGCATCTTTCAGAATAATCTAAGCAGTTGGCATGATAATAAAAATAATATATTGATATTGGTTGAACATTATTATTTATGATTTATTAAGATCACACATTTAGATGGTATACCCACCTTCTTACTATCTCTTTTCCAGTATGTTAAAATAGAAATATTCAGCAGAAAGATAATAAACAGATATAAAATTGGTCACTACAGAAGTTCAAAGACCTATATAGCAAATTATCTTGATGATCTCAACGTTACATACCTGCCTGTATTATATGCCATATGAGCTTTTTGAAAATATACATAAACACCTTTATAGAAAATAAATTATGTAAATTTCATTTCAGTAGTTTCAATGTAAAAGGTAAGGAAGTATAATATATCTAAGAACTGCTCATAAAATGAATTCATGGAAATTAAAGGGAAAAAGAAGCTTTCATTTCTCATGCAACAAATTTAAGTGGAATGTAAGGAAAATTTTAATGAGACAGAGGAGATTCCTGCTTTCATAATATTTATTATTTTCATAGGAAAGGCACATAATAACCTATTAAAATAAAAACGACGATATTAGATACTGATAACTGATAAGAGAAAAATGCAACAGTCTTATATGTGAATAAAAGGAGCAAAAAGGGAGTTACCTCCAATTGGCAGGTCAGAGACAACCTCTCTAAGGCAACACTGGAGTGGAGAGTGAAAGAAAGGCTGAGTCCATCGTGAGAAGATTCCAAGCAATAGAAAGAGCAGAGGCCCTCAGGCGGGAAGGAGAGTTGACTTCTAAAGAAAACAGAAAGAAAGCCAATGTGGTTTAACAAAAATAAATAAGGGGAAAATGATATAAAATTAAATTGGAAAGGGATAAGATCATGTAAAGTCTTGTAGGCCATGTTAGAGAGTTTCCATTTTGTTCTAATATTTTATTAAGATATAATATCTTCCTTTAGCTAAGAATAATGTCTCAATGGCCTTTGACCACCAAAGACTATTTCTGCATAATATAAAAAAGCATATCCTGAAAAGTGCAGACACCTTTATTTAAACTTTTTATTCATTATATCTTATGAAAAATATTTATGTAATTTCATTTTATTGGATTTTTTGACATTCCATAGAGTAGAATACTGCCTAAAATTTTAATTGTACCTATATCTTATAATATTTACTTTAGGAAACAGATGGGGATGTTTTTATAGAAGGTTAATGTTATTGAACAAACCATTGTGCTTGCTAAATTAACTGTGTCATACTCATAACTTCTTAGGTGAATCATGTTCGAGAACCAAATGGAATGTGTCAGGTTGAGATGCAGAGATTTTCATTTTCCTCTGAGATGTGACCTCCTTGGTAGAAAGAAAGAAAGGAATTGCATCTGCCCCTGCCAATCAGTGTGAACATAGCTTAATTTGTTGATCTAGACTCTTTCTGCTCAGTTGCTGAACCTTTAAAAACATAAGCTCTAGAGAGTTAGATTTCCAGTGCATAAAATACTTGATGCACTATTGCTTTTCATACTGTATGGGAATAAAATAAAACAGCCAACCCTTTATATGTCTGCCATTCTTTACCAACTCTCACTGAGCTATTACACACCCAGACAACCCCTTGTCTACTTTGATGATTTCCTTGGCACAGCAAACCGGGAATTAAACATGTTTTTTGTACCAAAGATGTTGATTACAACAAAAATATGCCTTTTTTGTCATAAAATAATAGATACTTGCAAAAATAACACTTTATGTTTTTGTTATGTAATATAAATGAAACATAAGGATTTCAAGAAATGAACAAAGACATAGATATTTTTCACCTTTTGTGAAGTATAAATTAAAGCACTTTCTAATACATTATTTGTTTATTTAAATATGTATAAGCATGCAACACCACAGTTTACTACCTCAGTTAGAGCAAATTTAGCATATTTGATGTGTTACTTAGGATTAAGAACTCCAAATTGCCAATAGTCATGTATTTTCCTTTTTTCTAGTTAGTTTTGCTACAAAAATAATTTTTAAATTCTTAAGTAATTATATCATATATATTTTAATGCGGAAATTCTACATCACAATTTACAGAGTAATTAAATGTTTACTTGGGTAATAATTTTACTTCATTGTTTAAAGATATTTAGATTAGAATGCAATAAGCTATGCTATGGTTAAAAAAAAAATAGAAAAATGAAAGGGTAGCTCAGTCCTAAAACAGGAATGCTTCATTTCTCTCCCCCAGCAGACAACTGTGGCAGGCTTGGGTGGGGCGCTCTTCTCTACACCAACCACACTCAGGGACCCAAGCTGTGAGAGGCTCCCTCTTCCTTCATGAATCCACGATTGCCAGGAAAGGAGAAAGTGATCACGAGGTTGACCTTGACTCCTAAAGCTTCTGCCTGAAAGTGGCACCTACCATTTCTGCTCTCACTGTTTGGCCAAAGCAAGTCACTTGGTCACATCTAACTTCAAAAGAGTATGACCTTGCAATGTTACCCTCTGTCCCGAGGAAGAAGCCGAAGTCTGTGGGGAGCAGTGCGGGAGACCACCCCAGCTCCTGCTTCTTCCTTGCTGAATCCCACTATTATATACAAAATTCTTCTTGTCCAAAAGCTTATCTTCTATTTTCAACCTATGCTTCCAGTATCTTCTCCATGATGCCTCCTACATCCTGTGTTCATCCATGTCAAAATTCCCATTGTTTTCTGAACACACCACAGCATTTTATGTCATCATGATGTTTTACCTGTGGTACTGATTTTTTTAATGTCTGGTATTTCCTTTTCTTCCTCTTCTTTTATTTGTCTCAGAATCATTCTTTATTTACATTTTTAATGTTTATGGATACATATTTGGTGTATAAATGTATATTTATGGCATGCATGACACATTTTGATACAAGCATACAATATGTAATAATCACATCAAAGGGAAATGGGGTATCCATCCTCAAGCATTTATCATTTCCTTGTGTGACAAACAATCCACCAGTCTTTAAAACATATGTCAAGTGTCAACTTTTCTGAGAATCTTTCTTCACTCCCTCTAACAGACTTGGTCACTTTAGTCTGAGAGGCCATGGTGCTTTTAAAATACCTCATTATTGTAAGTTTTTTCATCTAATTTTAGTTTCCTAAAGTCAATTTAATTATTACAAATATTTATTATGACTATTCTGTGCCAAGAATATTCTTCACACTTTAGACATAACTGTGACTGGAACACATAAAACTCCCTGAGCCCCTAGATTTCATGTTAGAGTGTGAAAACAATAGATATAGTAAATAAGTGCTTTTTATATGGGGTGAGCATACTACTTATTTTTTGGGACACGTTTGGAGAGTGAAAGTTTGTCCTACTTATAATTATGTTAGGACAAGAGTTACAATCCATTGTCTTTAAACTGAAATATTCAGTGATTCTAATGCTATGAAAATGAAAAAAGTAGAACCAGGCAAGAGTGATCCAAAGTAACTGTTGCTTGAGGGGTACCTTGCAATTTTAATAGCATGACCTCTGAAAAGGCAACATTTAAGGAAAGACTAGAAGAAGGGAAGGGAAGGAGCCCTGGAGATATCTGAGAAAAAATATTTCATTAGTGAGACCAGCAAGGGCAAAGGTTCCAAGTTCAAACTTGTGGCTGCAGTAGGCAGTGGGGAGAAGGCACGGAAAAAGTGGGATAAGTGGTGATATGGTTAGGCTGTGTCCCCACCCAAATCTCATCTTCAATTGTAATAATCTCCACGTGTCAAGGCTGTCAAGAGTGGAGCCAGGTGGAGATGACTGAATCATAGAGGTGATTTTCCCTATACTGTTCTTGTGATAGTGAGAAAGTCTCACTAGATCTGATGGTTTTATAAATGGGAGTTCCTCTGCACAAACTCTTGCCTGCCACCAATATGGTATTTTTTTTATACATTGGATAAAAATAAACAATTTTTTAGAGACAGGATCTTGCTATGTTGCCCAGGCTGCCATGAAACACCCAGGCTGAAGCAATTCTTCTGCCTCAGATGCCTATGTAGCTGATACTATAGGTGCATGCCACTGTGCCTGGCAAAATAAACCATTTTTGATAATAAGTTAACTGAAATCGATTTGAAGCAAATTCTTACCAGATTTTAAACGGGCATCATTGAACTTTTAAAATAATTATTCTGCTAATGTAGCCAACTGTTAAGTAGAAATCATGTCACTTATATGTGGGTATAAGAAAATTTATGAGTGGAATTATTCCCCCCAAATATATTAATATCTTGAAGCCTTCACTCCCAGGTCCTCAGCATGTAACTGTATTTGGAGATGGGGCCTTTATGATTAAGTCAAAATCACCTGACACGGTGGGGAGGTGCTTAATTCAACATAACTGGCATCCTTATAAAAAGAATAAATTTGGATGCACAAGGAGACACCAGGGATGGGTGTTCACAGAGGGAAGGGCCTGTAAGGACACAGCGAAAAAGCTGCCGTCTGCAAGCCAAGGAGAGAGGCCCCAGAAGGAACCAAGTCTGTTGACATCTTGGTTTGAACTTCCAAGCACCAGAACCGGAAGGAAATAAAATTCTGTTGTTGAATCCACTCAGTCTATGTGTGTGTGTGCATGTATGTGTGTGTGTGTGTGTGTGTGTGCGCGCGCGCGCATGCGTGCACTTTTTTTTTATGACAACCTTAGAAAATTAATATGATTTGGGTTTGAATTTGAACAAAATTAAGTCAGAACAACAGTCATTTGATCTTAATAACCAGGCACTCTCAGAGTGATGGATATGCACGTCTCTGCTTCATGTGCCAAATTGTTTTCTTCAGGCATGGTTCTCCTAAACTAAAAGTGACCCTTTGAATTAGATGCTAATTCTTCTGCGAATTCATGGTTTTTGGTTTTCATGTGGTTAGTGACATCAAGATGGCACTCATGGGGAATGATAAATGAATGATCAATAATTTCATAAAAATTATAGTTCATCATTAACTTTCTCAAGTAACACAACTTAAATAAGTAAAATTCCCTGAAACACGCTTTTTTTAAATTTGTGTTCATTTTTGCTTAAAAGATTTATTGAAATAATTTACAAAGTGTTACCCACAATGAAATATACTTTGAAAGTTGTGGATTTATACTGTTAGTACAGAGCTTTCAGACCAGTGTCCATCCAGACTCTTTAGTTCATGATACCTAACCTGTAATTTCCCATTGTTTTCCTCACTGACACCATTTACAGAGGCCCAGTGACTTCATGCATCTCCCAGGTTATTGAACTGGCTGGTACTAATAGTGACCAGCAAGGAGCAGCAGCATTACATAAATTTCTCAAAATCGCCCGAGATCAAAGGAAGTATCTATCTTAGCACTCTGCATTCTGCCCTTGAAAAGGTGTTAGCTAAAATAATAATGATACTAATTAAGATGTTAGTTATGTTATAGCTGGACAGGGTTGAGAAAAGAGAATGGGTCAAGAATGTTTGGTGTGCTTCTTTCTGATTTAAACTGCATCTAAAATTGAGAACACATTCATGACATGTTCATCTCACACACTACTACGTGAAATGATGGCAGAGCTAGACACAAAGTAGTGAACTAATAAACCCCACCTACATTGTGCAGATGCTTCTGTTCACCTCAATTTTTAAAATTATAAATAAAAATCCAGCTCACAATGTTAAGTAGCACAACACTGGATAATTCTGAGAGTAAAATGATGAGTCAGAACTAAAATTTTGATTCAGAAATGTGGAGGCCATTGGCAACCTTAGTAAGATCAGTTTCTTTTTTAATTATTTAATTGACTCATCATAATTGTACATATTTATAAGGTACATGTGTCATTTTGATACATGTATATGTTGTGTAATGATCAAATCAGGGCAATTGGTATACGTATCACCTCAAGCATTTATTATTTCTTTGTGTTAGGAACATCCAAAATGCTCTCATCTATCTATTAGAAAATACGCTGTAAATTATTGTTAACTATAGTCACCCTACTTTTTTATAGAACACTAGAACTTATTCTTCCTATCTAACTACAATTGTATACCTGTTAACCAACTTCTCTCTATCCCCTCCTTCCCTCTAGCCTTCCCAGCCACGGATGACCACTAATCTATGTGAATTTCAGTAAAAATATTTATATGTCAAACGACAATGATCACATTTTGCTCAATTATCGAGCGATTTGTGTAATTGTCAAGCTCCTTCCTGGATTGGTATGGTCAAATATACCAAATATGGATTTTTTCAGGTCCAACAGACAAGGGTTCAAATTATGGTTATTTCACTTACAACCCACATGTCCTTGGGCAACCTAGGACAATGCATAGCACTTAGAAAAAACTCAATCAATTACTGTAATTTGAATTATTACTAAAAGTGCGTAAGTTAGATAGCAGATCATAATCATTTCCTTATTTATTACAGTGCAAATATAATGTTTTGCTCGATCCTGCATCAAATAAGCATTTGTTAAATGTAATGGGATTTGTCATTGTGTCTTTATGGATCTAAGTATATCAAAATTTGTTAGGGAACTTGTTTCTTGTAGTGAATGTGAAAGAATCTATCAGTTGGCCAGGTGTGGTGGCTCACGCTTGCAATCCCAGCACTTTGGGAGGCCGAGGCGGGCAGATCTCGAGGTCAGTAGATCGAGACCATCGTGAAACCCCGTCTCTACTAAATAATGCAAAACATTAGCCGGGCGTGGTGGCGGGCGCCTGTAGTCCCAGCTGCTCGGGAGGCTGAGGCAGGAGAATGGCGTGAACCCGGGAGGCGGAGCTTGCCATGAGCCGAGGTCACGCCACTGCACTCCAGCCTGGGCGACAGAGCAAGACTCCGTCTCAAGGGGAAAAAAAAAAGCAAAAGAATCTATCAGTCATCTGTTTATTGATCTATCGATCTATTAGCTATCTATCCAGCTACACATCAATCTATCTATATTGGTTTAGGACAAAGCAAATTTTCGTGAAGTATAAAAATGGCTGTCTTTGAAATAGCAGTAATGTGAAGGTAAATCATAAACTTTATAAATTAAATGTATTTCTTCTCACCCTAAGGATCTCATATAATGAGAATATCATTAAAAGTTGATGACAAGAAAAGAGCATAGATAAGAGTTCATTATTTCTCAAAAGGATGTTTTTTCATACTGACATTTTGTTAGGAAATTGATCTTTAGCAACTCAATCCATGTAGTTAAGTGTAAATTTCCTCATGCATTGAAATGAGAGAAAAAAGAGCTAGTAATTACAGTGATATAATTTACAGCATGAGCATTAGGCCAGTTTACTTTTGAGTCAGATGAACTATTTTGGTTATTGGCCAGTGTAGTTTAGATGGTCAGCAACCTCAGAAATAGAGTAAGACCGCTGAGGTCTTGGTCCTTTGCTATGTTAATGATGTTGGCCAATTCTCTTTTTCTTAGAGGACTGACCAACTTAATTCTTTAGGAGCTACAAGGTATTTCAGCCTTGGTAAGAGGAGTCAAAGGAAAGAATGAAATAAAGGCATATTCTTTTATCTTAGAAATTACTGACAAGAAAGGAAACTCACACAGCACTAGTTACTCATCAGATGACACTACAAAAATAGTTTTGATGAGAATATTGTTGAGTAACAAATTGATGATTGAATAAGAAAAGTTACAATAAAGAAAGAATACTACTAACAAAATATCAATATAATGAATAGAATACTCTGACAATAATATTTAATAAAAAACCTTGAATTAGATGTAATAAAAGTTAAATATTTTACCAAATGTCCCATTAATCAAATGCACACTGAGTTTGTCTATTCCTGTCACAAATTTTGAAAGTTAAACGTATTTTCAACTTTTCTTTCACAATAATATTTGTATGGGATTGCTTTTGTAAAATCTCAATGCAAAAACATTGATTTTGTACTTAGCTTTTTTTTCTCTTGATAGCTTTTCCTTTGTTAGACCTTAAGTCTACAATTTGCAAAATCAATAAAAACACAGCTTTTCCTAAGAAAGAAAAGTCCTCCAGAGGTTTACACGAAAGTGTCCAGGACAAGATTTCTGTGAACTTGAACTATTTGTAAAGTACCAGTGGTGACTTTTCAGAGTGTCACATCAAAATTGGTTTTGTGTCTCCAAGGAAGGTTCAGTGTGTAATGTCAGTAACAGCTGGGGTAAAGGCAACAATTATATGTCAGCTCTGCTTTCTTTTCAAAGAGAACATTTTCCCAGGCTGACACATTGCTGGGGAGAAAAAGGACACATACAAAAGTTTGTTTTCATTTTCAATTATTTTTGGATATATGGAGACTGTGACAAGCCAATAATAGTAAACAAAAATGACAAGAATCGACACTGGTGACCATAATACGTGGAAGCTGCTATGGTTAGTACACATTTGGTTTGACCACTTTCCATTTTATGAGTTTAAAGAGGAGGAAGGAAAGAAATCCAGAATGCCATACCCATTTAAAAAGATTTTTCTAGCTATAAAAATACGTACTACCCCATGCTTTCAAAATTTCCACCTTTTGAGAAATATAGAAATAATTGCTCAGCATGAAATTATTGCAAAACATTTCAAGATTGACAAAACCAAGTATCCTCACCCTTTATTAAACAGAAGACTGTGCCATTGTCCACATATTAGAGGACCTTATTTGTGTTCTTTGAGAGCTAGCCATAAAAAGATTATTGTAAAAGGAAAATGGGAAAACTGAGCTATGACTAATTGATGTTTAATCTATATTTTATAAAATGGAAAAAAAATAAAAGCTGTTTTATTGAAAACAGTTGTGTGGGCTTGCTGGCAGAAGGAACTGCTATGTTATGTTATGAAATAATCAGAGGAAAAATTCTCTAATGCTCTTTTCATAACACTTAAAGGAGGTATTCTAATATCACAGAAACCTTGGGGGAAGGTTGCAGACAAAAAGCAACATAATTAAGTTTCAGTTAAAGGTCTGCCAGAAAGGGATTAAATCAATAGTACTGTTTTTCTTGGTAGACCCCATGGTGGGGGCTGAACCAACACAGTAAACACCAATCATGGGCTGTTGTCTTGGTGGAGGTTGTGCTTAATCAGGATTTTCAACTATTTGTTTTCAAAATTTACTAGAGTTTTTTAAATGTATGCATAAAATGCTCTGGTTTTACTAATGGAAATTCAATGACATTTTAGCTGAACCCCAGTTATTTCTCATGTTTGTTTCCTTGCCTATCAGAAAAAAAAATAAGTTTTATTTAAATTTGAATTATCCTTGGTTTTTGATTTAGCTCAGGTTGTTATGTCCACTGGGTCAAATCCAGATTTGTTCGTCGATGTTTAACATTTTCCATTTTAGCAGTTTACCCCAAGCATTAATTCAGTCTTTCTAAATAGTTTAGGGAGGAATAGGTGGGCATTAGACTCAAGGAGGTGCCCAGCAGGAGGCCTGCAAAAGTATGGGCCAAAGAAATTGTTCAGTAAGGTTATTTGTTAGCAGATCGTTAGGACAAAAACCTACAGATATTTCTTCTCCTTCTATACATTCGAAAACAAAAACAAAAACAAAAAAAACAAAAACCACACAACCACAAAAACTGGGAAAAGAAAAGAGGCCAAGTTTCCTGACAATTCTGAATGTAGGGAACAGCACCAGTGTTTGGATGGGGCCTGAGCAATGGTGCAGACACCCTTAAGTGGTGAGGGTACTTTGGATGAGTGGAAGAGGAAGGACTAACAGGGCACGATCAAAAAAACGCTAATGTTTATTCTAATAGAGAGTTCAAAAATAAAACTAGTTGGAAAGTTTTTCTTTGCTTGTCTAATGCTGTGCCCCTCTAACAATTCCGCAATTTCAGCTGCAGACAGAAATTCACGGAAATTTTGAACCAGACATTTTTCCTGAGTACATTTACAAAACATCCCTTGAAGTGGCCACATTTAAAGATACTCGTGCAAAAGGAGAGAAAATTAAATATCACTACACATTGCAAATATTGCTAATGAAGTGCATGTGCTTTCAAAATTTAACTTATAGCGTTTTAGCTATCAAGTTCTAGAACACTTGCAAAAATGTATTAGCTATGAGCTGAGAAGAAGTTTGGACAGAAAGGTAGGAAATTAAATCAAAGAGGGATATATTAACATAAGCAGACTGGAGTGACCAGGAACCAGAAGATGAAAATAGAAGATAAATGGCCTGTTCCTAAATCCTTCATCTCATTTAGCTACTGATTGTACCAATAAGCTAGAATGATGAGATTGATATTTACTATAAGAAACATAAAGTAGCAATATAAGTATAATATGCATTTTAAAAATTCATGTGTGTTATATGCATATCTTAGTAGTTTATATGCTTATCTTAGTAGTTTGTATGTGATGTATTTCTACATATGTACATTTAAATGTATTTTTAGTTTAAGGTTTTGCTCTTCTCCATGAATTATTTTCTTTCATTTAAACAAATCCACATTAAATATCTTGTCCAGATTTTTGTACAGAATGTCTCCTGAACCATATCTGTAATCACAGTCTGCAGGCCAAAAGTCCATAACCCATGTGAACCTTGCTCATTAGAAAGTGTTGCCCACAGTTACTGCTCTTGACCCTAGCACTGAAGTTTTGTCTCCAACTGTCTGCAGACACAGTTCTTTGAGTTTCTGCATGACATCTGCAGTCCGCACTGATCGCGGGAGCCTACCCGACTCCTTTGCTCTAAGCTCTGTGAATGTGCCAGGAATAACCTCCAAGGAGTGATTCCCTTTACTCTACATAAATTAGACAAAATATAGAGGAATTGGAAAGGCGTTAGAAAATGTCATTAGCTCTAGCCTTTTTTTTTTCTTTTCCTTTTTGGAATAGAAAACAAATGGTGTGAATGCATACTGTCCAAAAAAAAAGGTGGGGGGCGGGGGCGGAGAAATTAAGGCCACTGACCTAATACCCTAAGATGTGGCAACACAGCTTATTTGGGATATGACAGGGAAGAAGATGAAAATAAGTTAGTTTAAGTGTCATGAAACAGTAAAATCTCAGACACATTTGTAATATTAAAATTACCATATAAATGAAGGCCTACATTTGTATCTCATTACTTCCCTCTATAGATTTCCAACGAATTTATGCTAGTATTTAAATTTCACATTTTCATTGAAGCTGATAATAATTATCAAAATAATAAACTAAAGTGTTTTAGGCATTGGCTACGCGTCAAGCATCATCCTGAGTGTTTTATAGTTGTTTTCTCTTTTATCTGTACAACAACCCTATGAGTTAAGAAGTTTTTCTTCATTTTGAAGATGAAGAAGCTGAGGCTTTGAGAGGTTAAGTCAGTTGCCAAAGTCAGAAACACATGACCATCTGACTCCCAGGTGTGGGCTATTAAATGCTACATTATTTGGCTTATGTTTTCATATAATAATAATTTAAATAAGGCACACGAAGGTTTAAATAAGGGACACAAAGCAAGTTTTAGAGTGTCACATCTGGTACTGTTGCATCCACCATGATAATGAGGAATACTAACAGTTTTCCTGTACAGCTTCTTATTAAAACTTGGTGAAAGTAGAGATATCCTAATTCTAGATTTGATTGAGCAACAGTGGAGTTACTTTTTATCTAGGTACATCAAACAACTTTGAAGTATCTATATGTATTATAAAGTGTTTTAGTATTCTTTTGTAATCAAATTACAATCAAATTACAATCTTTCAGATTCAGATATCTTTGGAATCAGATTCTTCCAATATTTATTGCATATCTACTATGCACAGATATGCTGGCTTCTTAACTATTAAGAAAATATTCACAAAGACATATACCTTTGGAGAAACTCCTTAACTCATCAATAAACTATTCAATAAGTAAATGGTCAGATTATTTAAAAATACACTCGGCCAAAAGATGCATAATGTCAGCTAAGCACTTGTGAAGATTCTCAACATCTGCAGTGAAATGAAAATTAAAACTCAGATGTCGCTACAACCCCAAAATAGCTGCTTTATTTATTTATTTTCAAATGTAGTTGGGAATGTGAGCAACTGGAAAGCTCCTACAGTTGGTGGAAATTCAAAACGGCAGAGCCTCATTGGAAAACAGCTCAGCAGGCACTTGTCACCAAACTCAGCGTGGCCACTTCTTGTTATGTAATCAAGGGAAATAGAAACATGCCTATGGGCTTGTAACCAGATGCTCAAGACAGCTTCCCTCGTGATGGCTTCAAACCGGAAACAACCTCCACTGCTATCAAGAATTCACAGACAAAGCAATTGTGGTATATGTATAAATAGAATATTCAGCAATAAACAAATAAAGAAAAACCCTGACATGTAGATAAATAGTTAAAGAGAGAAAAAAGTCATTGATGCATGCAACTACAATCTCAAAAACATTATGGAAAAAGACAGAAGCCAGGCACCATAAATTATATAATACTATATGGTTCATGTAAATGAAATTCTAGGACAGACACAGCTATAGTGATGGAAAACAGATCAGTGGTCACCTGGGCTAGGAATGGGGAGAGATGGTCCATGGCACAGGGAGAGGAGGAAATTTGAGGGTGATGAAAACATTCATTCCTTAGCCACTGCATCCACCTGCTTTTGGCGCGAGGCCAGACTCAGGCTCTCTATTCATTCCTGCTAGAGACTGACATGTCACAGACCCTAGCTCTGCATTTCATCCATTTTTCTCTCAGTCCCCTTTCTTGCTATTTACACATCACGTCTCCTATGCTTTTACTTGTTGGTTGAGATGAACACGAGGGTCATAAAATGAGTGTATATCCATTGAATTAAGCAATAGACAAATTTTTAATGGAATGTTTTCAAGAAGGCAAATTGACAATTATCTGATGTGAAGCAGAAGATAGTTTATTATAATAATTGTATAAGGTTAATAAAATTAATAACGTCAATTGTTTTCTGTAACATTAACAATTAACATCTTTAATTTTGTTTGTAACAATAAGGCAGAAATTACAAAGTTTTTTTACCTTAAAGATTAATTGCTTTAAAATGATATACTATTAAGTGAATAGAATTTTTTAAAAAGTAACCTATGGTCTTACCATGGGAGGAGAGGGTAGAGGCTCCCATACAAACCCTTATATCAGGAGACACAGCGAAAGCAGAGTTTAATTGTGGATACACCAAGCACATCTTTATCTAAGTGATAGAGTTTCTATGTTATTTCCAGGTAGGAAGAAGAAGTCTAGCAGATAGAGACTGGGGGCCAAAATATTGGTATTTCTTCAAAGAAATGTGTTTGTTGGGAGTGAGGCATGTGACAAAAAAGAAAAAAAAATCCTTTGAAATTATAGTGGCTCTGAAAAATTTCACTAAAATGGTTTTCTCTTCCTTTGCAAGTTTTTGCAGTTACCTGTGGAGAGGTGCCTAAGCTACAGGGTACAGCCTGTTCCATGGCTGAATGATGGGCCTGCTTGAGTAGTTGGCCGCAACGCAGGCAGAGCAGCTGATGAGTGGTAGAATTGGAGAGAGGGTTAAAAATATACATGTCAAGAAAAAGAGGATAGCTAGGGGCTTACTTAATTTGGGATACTTCAAGCTAAAAAGAGATGTAAATTTCTATCTCTTTATGTGTGTAAATATCTAATTCTTTATGTGCAGAAATTTGCAATATAAATGGTAGTTAGTCTCAGAGTGAATCAAATAAAAAACTACTACATATTGGTCAATGAAAGTAAATGTGCAATTGCTTACTCTAGAGTTTAATTAATGTATTCATGTTCATTCTCTCTTCTAGAACCATGGAGGGAACTATGCTATTCACTGTGATATTGAGAAGTTTAGCTTTAACTTTTTTCCATATGCAAGTAAAATTTCTTACTAAGTTCGATATTTTATTTTTTTGCAAATTTACTTGACAAAAGAAATCATGTATGAATGCTTTTGTGTTACTCATATGTGTCCAAACAAAATGAAGTTGTAAAATGTGCAGAATTTCAATTCAATGCTTGCATTGAAAATTTTATGAATTAATTATCTTTTTATGGTTGAGATGGGGTCTCACTCTATGACGCATGCTGGAGTCAGTGGGGCCATCATAGTTTACTGCAGCCTCGGACCTCCCAGGTCCGAGCAATCCTCCTGCCTCAGCCTCCTGAGTAACTGGGACTACAGGTGCACATCACCATGCCTGGCTATTTTGAAAAAAATTTTTTGGCCATGCACAGTGGCTCACACCTTTAATCCCAGCACTTTGGGAGGCTGAGGCAGGCAGATCACCTGAGGTCAGGAGTTCAAGACCAGCCTGGCCAACATGGCAAAACCCCATCTCTACTAAAAATACAAAAATTATCTGGGTGTGGCAGCATGTTCCTGTAGTCCCAGCAACTCAGGAGGCTGAGGCAGGAGAATCACTTGAACCCGGGAGGCAGAAGTTGCAGTGAACCAAAATCGCACCACTGCACTCCAGCCTGGGTGACAGCGAGACTCCATCTCAAAATAAATAAATAATTTTTTTTTTTTTTACATTTTTTGTAAAGATGAGGGTCTCCCTATGTTGCCCAGGCTGGTTGCAAACTCCTGGGCTCAAGTGATCCTCCCACCTCGGCCTCCTAAAATGTTGGGATTTTAGGCATGAGCCACCATGCCCAGCTGAAATAATCATCTTTATGCTTTTCTGTTTGAATTATTTACAATGGTACAAAATCATAGGAATTATACACTATAGCTCTAATTTACTCAACTACTATAAAAAGACTGCAGATTATCTTACCATTGACAATAATAATAGGTAACACTAGAAAAATTAGTATGTAATAGGCAGCATTATAGGTGCTTTATATATTAATAGGCAATCCTTACAACAGCTGTATGATGGGGGCTAATATAATTATCCCCATTTTTCAAGTGAGAAAATTAAGGGTCAGAAGTCACACAAGTTATGGCAGAGCTAGAATTTCAGCCCAGGGAACAAGGTTCTAAAATTGATTGATCTTCAACGCTATTTCATAATGCCTTGAAGGAGTATAGAAACACAGCTGAAGACATGCTTTCTTGTGAAGTTATTTTAAAACTTCAATGACTATGTACGTAGCTAAAAATCCATGTAAAATCTTTATTTGCTATCATACCTCAAAATAAACATACAACCACACATGAATTCTGAACCCTTTTTGAAAACATGCAATTTTGGGGCTTAAGGGCATTCAGAAATAATAAGTGGATATAGTCAAGGTCCCTCTGTAGTGATGATAACTATAGATAAGTAACAACAACAACGCTAATAATAATAACAAATGTCTGACTCTAGGAGGTCATCATGGCTTGGAAGTTGCTTAAATCTCTCATTAGATTTAATGATTCACAGTGGATGATGCTTCCATTAGGAATTGGAGCCCTTCACTCTTCCTTTGGACTCTGTCTCTGGCCTGCTCTGACCTGCTCCTCTGCTGCTGAGACTCCCTCATGCAATGGCATGCTCGGCCATTCTACAAGCTTGGAATGACATTCTCAGCTTCTACCACACTTCGCATCAAGTCTCTTTTCTTGATTTTATCAAAATGTGTCACATAAAAAGTGGAATCTTTAAAACTCTGTGAAGGAAATTTCATGTGGTTTCCACAGCTTCTTTTACATCTCCACTGACTTCAAAGAATATTACAGAGCAAGGGCAAAATGACTCCTCTTGATATTCATGGGCATGTGCCTTTGGCCTGCAGGTGATCATGTAGAAAGACCCCTTGTCTGGGATGTGGATGATATAAATTCAAATATTGAATTTGACCCTGTTCATGTTTGTGACCTTATCCAACAATGCGCTTTTACAATCTTGTATTCTTCATCCATTGCATGAACTAAAATATCTTACATTTTTTGTTAAGCTCCAAATTCCAAGTCTTTATGCTTGAGACTAATATCTCGCTGCAGACATTTATTTACCCTGCTTTATTTTCTTGTCATACTGGTTTGTCATGATTTCTCCGACCTTGAAGTTAGCATTCGAGGTTGGAATGGGCTTGTCGTATACTTTCTGTTCTTCAACCCTCTTTTGCCTTCAGATAAAATTCTGCAAAAATTATGAGACAATTGAAATTCCACACTGTGTCTAACCGTCTTATATTCCCCTGAATGCAATGAGCTGTGTCATCCCTTGGGCGTTGTTTGTAATTATAGTACATCTCTGAAGAGCAATTGCTTTGTCATGGAGCTATTTTTATATCTGGATATTCTACAACTAGATTGTGAGCTTTTACAACTAGAGATATGACATATTAATGTTTTCAATCACCCACAATATGTAGCATGTATCTTTTGTAGTGGACTGGAAATGATTTTTTTATACTGGCTTTAATAAAAATGAAACTTGTCACAAATGAATAACATTGCTTCTATTTAAAAAGATTACAGAAGACATACAATATAAACATTATTACAGCTGTAGATCATCTATACACAGAAAATAGATAAATTTCTATTCCAAACTTAAGTTTTTAAGACATGGAATTGAGCATGAAGGAGGAGGAACTGGATTGAGTAAAGAATAAAACTGTATGTTCACATACTCCAAGGGATTCTTTTTCTGATGCATGACGTTGGTCAATATTAGATCTGAGAAAAGAAGGGGAAAGGGAGATTTAAGAAATTGTTACTGCGGCTGGGCGAGGTGGCTCGCGCCTGTAATCCCAGCACGTTGGGAAGCCGAGGCGGGCGGATCACGAGGTCGAGATTAAAACTATACTGGCCAACATGGTGAAACCCAGTCTCTACTAAAAATACAAAGTTAGCTTGGGGGGCTGGGGGGGTGGCGCATGCCTGTAGTCCCAGCTACTTGGGAGGCTGAGGCAGGAGAGTCGCTTGAACCCAGGAAGCAGAGGTTGCAGTGAGCTGAGATTGCGCCATTGCACTCCAGCCTGGCGACAGAGCAAGACTCCGTCTCAAAAGAAAAAAAAGATAAAGAAATTGTAATTGCATGACTCATTCGATGAATTTCTGATTGAAAGCAAAGGGAAAAGAAAGTGATAACAAGAGAAACATTAAAGCATCAGATGGTTCTAGAATCTGAATTTTCATGTCCTCCCAAAATTCCTATGTTAAAATCCTTCCCCCTAAGGTGATGATATTAGGAAGTGAGGCCTTTTGAGAAGTGGACAGAGCCCTCGTGAATGAATATTGTAAGGGAATTAGTACCCTTATAAAAGAGACCTCAGAGAGTTGGTTCACTGCTTCCACCATGTGTAGATGTGTGGACTCAGCAAGAGAGACTCATCTATAAACCAGGAAGTGTGCTCTCACCAGACGTTGAATCTGCCAGTACTCTGGTCTTTGACTTCTCAGTCTCCAGAACTGTGAGAAATAAATGTTCGTTGTTTATAATTCATCCATTTCATGGGATTTTGTTAAAGCAGCAAACTGACTTAAGACAGATGCAGATGATTTCTTGCTTAGTCCTTCATCAGGCTCTAGGTAGGCTATAGACAGAAGGTGAAATCCTGACTGATTGAAAATATATGCAGAGGTGAAATTGCTTGTGGATAGAATAAAGGAAAGATAACTTATCCCCTGCAAAAATCAGGGAGGAGACTATAATTACACAGTCAGGATATGTGGTAGATTATAAATAATAAATACATTCAAGATGGGTATGTAAGTTATATACTTATTAATTCAAATTGTGGGAGTAAAGGATTATGATGTCAGATTTGGGAGTGAGCAAACTGTGACATCCTTGGGGAATAACTAGATTTTTTTTTAAGGCATTAAAACCAAAGTAAGCATGTGGTTTTTATCAAACTGCTGACTGAGGTATAAAAAATCTGAGTAAAATATGAGCAAAAGATATATATTTTTTTATTTTCCCCCACCCAGATATAATATTTGAAACTGTTAAAACTTTAAAATAATGTTTAATTCATAACATAGAAGGTATGTCTCCTAAATGAGAAGAAAAGAAGCGTGTTTTGTTTATATTTTGAAGTTGATTTTATTGCTATTTATGTCAATGAAATGAAAGATTTGTTTACAATGACAATTCCTCCAAGATGAAAACTAACGCATATTTAAAAGAACATAGGAGGTAAAATAAAGGATATTGAAGGTGAGATTCAAGACAAGCAGTTTGCAGCTGGGCGTGGTGGCTCATGCCTGTATTCCTGGCACTTTGGGAGGCCGAGGCAGGTGGATCACCTGAGGTCAGGAGTTTGAGACCAGCCTGGACAACATGGTGAAAACCCGCCTCTACTAAAAATACAGAAATTAGCCAGGCATGGTGGTGGGCCCCTGCATTCCCAGCTACTTGGGAGGCTGAGTCAGGAGAATTGCTTGAACCCGGAAGGCGGAGGTTCTGCTGAGATCGCTCCATTGCACTCTAGCCTGGGCAACAAGAGCAAAACTCTGTCTCAAAAAAAAAAAAAAAAAAGACATGCACTTTGCACTTCCATTTTTACACTGTGTGGACCTGGGACAAAGTGTTTAATCTTTTCAGGTTCAACTTTCTTAAATGCAAAGGAACACATGACTGGTCTTATGATTCGGTCCTTTGGATGTGACTCTGGAGCAAAAAACAAGAAAAGAGATACAGGAAAAATGTAAGAAAATAAATTAAGTGGAGATTCTATGTGGCCTGAGACTCCTTGGAATAGAACAACTGAAGAAACAACCAGATGCATAGGAAATTGGAATGGAGCATCAGCACTGGAGAGAGAACATCAGGACAGAGAGAGTTGGCCTTGCCTAGGCATTGGCGGCTAAGTCCGAATAAATTCTTGAAAGTTTAACACCGAACTCCATGCATCTCAAGAGTTCACATATCAACTTGGACAAAAGAAGGAGCTGCTAAAATTTGCAAGCAAGGTAAAAGTTCTTTGTCTTGAAATCATCCAGGAATTTCCTATACGTTACTTTCCTACTAACTGCTTACAATATTTTTTAAAAAATTATTTAGGTTTTGATTTGGTATTACATTCACATTGTTCACAGTTCAAACATGTAAGTATTGCACATATCGAGGTATGATTAGTATCCCTCTAAACCCTGTGCCAGCCACGTGATTCACCTGCAGTAAATAATTAGCATTACAAGTTCTTTGTATATATTTCCAGATATTTGATGCATATACAAGCATGTGATTCTATCGTCCTTCCGTTTAGCCACCTGTCTGCCCTTGCATCCAGCCATCCATTCATTCACCAACTCTTTTTCTTTTTTCTTTTCACCACTCCTCATACCACACACACACTTTTTTCCAAACCATATACACTGCTGTGCGTTTATGGCTTCCTACTTAATATCCCTTGGTGATACTTCCATATTATTATTTAAAAAAGTCATTTTTTAAATTGTTATATAGTCTAATTTTTGTAGCACAAACACTGGATATAATATTTGCCACTTATAGATATTTTTACCAAATATGTACTGCCACAAATTTAGATCTTTTGACCATTGGTAGGAAAAATGTTATATCAATATACTTTTAATTTATATTTAAGATATTGTGGTTTTAGTCTAACATATTTTCAAACATTCAATATTTCCTTTGCTGTGCATAGTGGGATCATACTCGTCATCTTTTAGCTAGCCCTTTGGCTCCCTATAAGTGGCAAATATTATATCCAAGTGATGTGCCACTTACAATGGTTTTACCATGCAGGAGGTTAATTTTTATTAACATAATTTCATGTCCTTCTTATAAACTTTTCATGTCCTTCTTATAAACTAATCCATACTTTGATTGAATATTTTATGTTTTCCTTTTTATATATAGCCATCCATCCATTAGGGATTCATTCCAGTGAGCAGTATGAGATGTAGTACGTTTTTTTTTTTTTTTTTAATTTATCTTTTTCTTTACCTCTGCTTTGCTTTGCTTTCTTTTTTTTATTATTATACTTCAAGTTCTGGGGTACATGTGCAGAACATGCAGGTTTGTTATATAGGTATACACATGCCATGGTGGTTTGCTGGACCCATCAACCTGTCATCTACATTAGGTATTTCTCCTAATGCTATCCCTCTCCTAGCTCCCCACCCCGCAACAGGCCCTGGTGTGTGATGTTCCCCTCCCTGTGTCCATGTGTTCTTATTGTTCAACTCCCATTTATGAGTGAGAACATGCGGTGTTTGCTTTTCTGTTCTTGTGATAGTTTGCTGAGAATGACGGTTTCCAGCTTCATCCATGTCCCTGCAAAGGACATAAAATCATCCTTCTTTATGCGTAGTATTCCATGGTGTATATGTGCCACATTTTCTTTATCCAGTCTATCATTGATGGGCATTTGGGTTGGTTCCAAATCTTTGCCATTGTGAACAGTGCCGCAATAAATATACATGTACATGTGTCTTTATAGTATAATGATTTATAATCCTTTGGGTATATACCCAGTAATGGGATTGGTGGGTCAAATGGTATTTCTAGTTCTAGATACTTGAAGATTTCTCACTTTTGTCTCCTGTGTTCCTGACAGCTTTTACAGAAGTGGTGTCTTTTCCTTTCCCCTCAAGTTTTCACTTTATTTCTGTGATTAATTTTTTCTTTCTTTAAAAAATGTGTTTTGTTGGCATCACTTTCAATTCCTCTAGTTATCTTGCTATCTCTCCGTGTTTCTTCTTTTTGCTGTTTTTCCAACTGAAAACATTATTTCTGACCATATTTTTGATTACCATTCTCATCTTCTCTATGGCAAGACTTTGTATTGAGAACATTTAATCTGTTATTTTTCATTCCATTCGTTTCTTCTCATGTAGTGTACTTGCAAAGTCTGTGCTATTCCTCTTTCATTATACATCATAGAAGGAGATAAATGCTCTTTCCCTGCAGCAACTATTTGCAAGCGATCTTTTTTTGGGAGTTGTCTGGACATGTTCCAAGCTAATTGGAGTTTTGATTGTTATTGTTTGTTTGTTTTCATAGATCCACTTATTTTTTGTCTGAGTTTGATCATGCATTCCTTCTTCCTACTTAAACAAGATAAACAGCTCATTAGGAAACCCAGAATACAAAGATTCTCTTTTACTATTTTAGAGAAAGTATACATTCTATATAAATGGCAGCTTTCTTTTTCTTTCTTTCTCTCTCTCTCTCTGTTTCTTTCTTTCTCTTTCCTTCTTTCTTTCTTTCTTTCTTTCTTTCTTTCTTTCTTTCTTTCTTTCTTTCTTTCTTTCTTTCTTTCTTTCTTTCTTTCTTTCCTTCTTTCTTATATCAGTCCTCACTGCTTCTGCCTCCCTTGTTTCTTAGGACCGGCCATCTAAACAGTAACCTAGTGTTTTTTTAAGTAAGCATGTACTTCTCACCTTTAGAGAGTTGTGCTTCCTTTGTCTTTGCTGGGGATCCATTGTATCTGACTCTTCTCTACTGGTCAGTTAGCTTCACTTTTTCCTGTATGCTAGCTTCATCTGTGTTTTCCCTGGTAGCTATTCCATCTGTTTTGGTGTCTGGCTTCCCAGCTGTCTCCTTATTTCACTGAAAATGGATTTTTTTCTTTTTGATGAGTGTTTTTTTTTTTTGACCTCTGAGATGAGATAATAGAAAACTAAATTTTTGCCTCCATGTTCAAACTGAATCTCCTCATAACTTCTTAATTAAATTTACCAGGTAATATTTCCCTGTGTTTTAGAAAATTCTACCAATATTTAGCAATATGACTTAAAATTAATTGTGTAGAGTATTTTGTATAATAAATCTGTCTGGACGGATGAAACTACATGAGTAACATTTTAATATTCTCATATGTTTGTTCCATATGTTATCTCAAAGTAACGTTATGACATGAATGATCCTGTTCCCCTCAAGGAGAGCACCTTTGCCGTGCTGAATGGTAACAGACTAAGTATTTTGATATGGTCATTAAAATATTCAAACATAAATCCAAACCCTTAAAGCATTCTTCAACACATGATTAAATACATAAATAAATTACAAGGTTTCCAATGAGTCACCCTTCACATTATCTTTCAAAAACAAAGGGTAGAATTATCTGTTAGGATCAAAATAGGTCACTGCTACCTATGATTTTCGAATGTCTGGTCTACTTGTCCTTGCACGAACGTAGCTCACAATAGATTCCCAGATTTCTGATATGCTAAATTGTTTCTACATAGCAATGAGCATTCTTTGTAAACAATATTGTTTGAAATTATTTGTATGATGAGAATCATTTCATGTGCAAAACATTTTTGCTATTAGTAAAACCACGAATGAGTGAATATTTGCCAAACAAAAAAGGGAAAAAGACACCTGCAGTACAACTTGTGTATGGAATATAGAGATGGTCATAAATACATAGAATGAGACAGATGAAACTGAATCGGGATCAAGATAAATAAGCCTGACTCTAGTCTTTGCTAAGCTCCGATACTGAACAAGGACACATATCCTCAGTGGAAACTGTGGGTCAGGCTTTTTTCTTTTTCGATCTTGACTCTACAGAGCCCTAGGGGTCCCACAAGAATTCTTTAGGACTTGAGAAGGAGATGACAGGGTCAGAGATGCTCAAGAGCAGGGCTATCATTTTAACATCATCTCTACAGACCAAATGTGTAAAATTACACTTAAAAACCAAGCCTGAAGCTTAAAATATTTGAATAATACCCTTTGGTATTACACTAATTAGATTACCAGAATATTCAGTGTGCTCAGCAGCATTACTCTTAAGCCATATCAGGTAAACAACAAGTTCAAAGAACTTCATGAACATCTTAGTTTCATTTCAGGGTTGTTCATGCAGCCTGCACATGTAGAGAGGGTACTGGGTTTCTTAAAGTGAGAACCCATCTGTCTTCCTCATTGCCTGACACTTTTTGACACACAAGTGTTACCCTGGTGTCTTAAAACCATGACTTGAGAATAACAGCATAATCAAAAGAAAGTTCAGTGAGGCTCCATCTTTTTATTTTTTTTTTTTATTGTTTCTACTGCTTTCTTCTATGATGTTTGAAGTCTGGAGACAATTTATCACCAATAGGATTTAAGGATGGAACAAATTGTGCCTTTTTGACACATGATGATGATCATAACATTGGACCAATTCTTAATAGTTAATGTACAGGTAAGGAGTGTGCTCGGCAGTGAGCAGCAGAAGCCTAAAAACATGGAAATGAGGTGTAAATAGATTGGGTTTTATTTTACTAAATGAGAAACGAAACATTTTATGGTGGCTTACCAGTCAGAATTCTCTAGAGAAACAGAACCAAAAAGATTATATATGGTATATATACATATTTACACACATCTATATATGTATCTGCTTTTATATCTTTATATAATTATCTAGAGAGAGATTTAACTGGAATTGGCCAATATGGTGATGGTGACTCAGCAAGATACAAATCTTCAGGGAGGCTGGCAGGCTGGAAGTCCAGGGAAGAGTTGCAGTTTGAGTTGAAATCTAAAGTCCAGAGGCAGTCGGCGGTCTGCTGACAGAATTTCCTCATCTTCAGGGAAAATTGGTCTTAATTATAAAAGCCTTCAACTGATTGGATAAGGCCCTCCACATTATGGGGGGTAATCTGTTTTTATTCAAAGCCTACGGGTTTCAATGTTAATCTCATCTATAAGAATTTCTTCACAGAAACATGTTTGACCAAATATCTGGGTACCATGACCTAGCCAAGTTCACACATAAAATTAGTCATCATGGGTGGTCAATTGAGAGTTGTCATGGCAGCTGTGCACCATCAGCAGGGACCTAAGATCTTTCAGTATTTTTTTATTTTTATTTTTTTGAGATGGGGTCTTGCTATGTTTCCCAGGCTGGTCTCAAACTCCTGAGCTCAAGTGATCTTCCACCTCATCCTTCCAAATTGTTGAGATGTCAGGTGTGAACCACCATACCTGGCCCTTTCAATATTTGTATTTCATCATTTTTAATACATGCCTTTTATCTTCTAGGTTGCCTCACGGTCACAAAGTGGCTTCTAACACTCATGCAACATAGCTATGATTCCAGCCAGGGAGAAAGGTAAAAGCAAAATGAATGCTGCCAGTAAAAACTGCCTCTGCTCTTTTTGAGCATTCCTTGAGGCTATAAGTTACCTGGCATCTCATTAATGATATCTATTTTACATGGTCGCCTCTACCTGCGAAACGGCCTGGAAAACAGATTATAGTAGGCATAATGCACTCCCAACAAAACTGTGATTTTGTTAGAACAAAGGAAGAGTAGCATGTGTATTAGGGAACTAGCAACCTATACCACAGCAGCTGATTTATAATGAGCACTAATTTTGTGCCAGGCACTGTGTTGAGCATTTTGCATATATTACCTCCAGTACTCTTCACAACACCTCTATGAAATAGAAACAACTATTATCATCCTCACTTAGAGTTAGAAAAGCTTAGGCTTGAAAACTTCAACAACTTGGTCCAAGCCAAACATATTAAAGAGGCACACCTGGAACTGACCTTAGGACTTCTGACATCTCTGCTTTGCGTTATTTCTGCCATTTCTTTTCAGACAGTTAATGATGGCTCTTCAGCTCTGTGGTTTTGAGTGCTTACAGACACACGCCCTCTGCTGTCTTCAAACTCCAAACCACAGGCTTGAGAAAACCCTTCTGCAACTTCCAACTGCATATAAAATATGAACCTGAGCAATCGTGCATCAAATATTCACTTACCTTTTCTTGTAAATTTGTTTGAGTTCCTGCGGCACTATTCACAATAGCAAAGACTTGGAACCAACCCAAATGTCCAACAATGATAGACTGGATTAAGAAAATGTGGCACATATACACCATGGAATACTATGCAGCCATAAAAAATGATGAGTTCATGTCCTTTGTAGGGACATGGATGAAGCTGGAAACCATCGTTCTCAGTAAACTATTGCAAGGACAAAAAACCAAACACTGCATGTTCTCACTCATAGGTGGGAATTGAACAATGAGAACACATGGACACAGGAAGGGGAACATCACACACTAGGGCCTGTTGTGGGGTGGAGGGAGGGGGGAGGGATAGCATTAGGAGATATACCTAATGTAAACGACGAGTTACTGGGTGCAGCACACCAACATGGCACACGTATACATATGTAACAAACCTGCACGTTTTGCGCATGTACCCTAAAACTTAAAGTATAATTTAAATATGTATATATATCTATTCACTTACCTTAAGGGTATAAAATCAAATTTCTTCTATTTCTGTTTTTTTTTTTTTTGAGATGGAGTCTCTCACTGTCACCTGGGCCAGAGTGCAATGGTGCGATCTTGGCTCACTGCAACCTCCGCCTCCCGGGTTCAAGTGTTTCTCCTGCCCCATCCTCCTGAGTAGCTGAGATTACAGGCAGCCACCACCATGCCTGGCTAATTTTTGTATTTTTAGTAGGATTGATTTTCACTATGTTGGCCAGGCTAGTCTCGAACTCCTGATCTCGTGATCCTCCCGCCTCGACCTCCCAAAGTGCTGGGATTACAGGCATGAGCCACCGTGCCAGGCCAATTTCTTCTATTTCTTATCTCAAATTATTTCCATTGAATGAAAAATGACCCACATATGTTATTTCTGCAATATTTAAAAATGTCAAACACACTGTTGTTTTAAATAGTTTTCGTGCATGGAATCCACCTGCCTGGCCTTCCTCTGTTATGTAGACAAGTACTCATTTTGTATTTGCCTGTCTAAGCCATTTTTTCCCAAGTGATTCAAGCCACTGAGAAAATCAATGGCTCTGAGGTTTTCTTTCTAGCTTTATTGAGGTATAATTAGCAAATAAAAATTATATATATTCAAGTTGCACAATGTATTTTGATATATGTATACATTATGAAATAATTACCACAATCAAGCAAATTAACATATCAATCATCTCACATAGTTACTTTTTAAATTTTGTGGTGAGAATACTTAAGATCTACTTCCTTCGCAAGTTTCAAGTATACAATATGTTGTTATTATTAATTATAGTAACCGCGCTGTACTTATTCATCATAATTACTACATTGTTAGGCTTCTATCTTCAGCTCAGCCAATCCTTTTGTCCCCCTTACAGTGTCCTTGATGCAAATCTGGGCTGGTTTTTGTCTTGTGACAACAGGAAAGTCACAATTGCCCTAGGAGTATGCTTCAACAAGTTGGTCCCGAGAGCCCACAGTGGAGTTCCTATATCTAGCCCAGAAGACCACTCACCTGCAGTTGTGTCTTTTAACACGGGTAGCAGATTGCACTATTTTAATTAATCTTGTTGCAGATTTTGTTTTTCTATGGAACTGACATTGAAGCCTCTGGCCTTGATTCATCTCCCATTAGTGCTACTAATCTTTGTTTAACTTTGCCACTTTGCTGCCTCAAGGCCCACCAGCCAATGCCACCAGGTTGGAAAGTGAATGCCAATCACAGCAGTTCTAACAGTTAGCCATCCATGCTACGGCCTCCTGAAAGTCAATTGTGTCAACTGTGTCCAAAGGACATAAAATTAATTCCCCGTTGGCTTTTCCCAGAGGCTTCTGAGGCTTCACTTAATTAACCTCTAGATAGATGGCAGATAGTGGCTGTGTCTTACAACAGTCTTTTCCTCACATGAGTTCTTTACTTCCTGAATGACCCTGCCTGTCTTTAATGCAGACCAAACCTTCTTCCCAGATGCTGAGCAGAAACTCAACCCCTGTTACACAACACACCCAGCTACTCAGCCTTCTCTACAAAGAAGCAATTTAATAGCCATCCTGGTTCTTCTTGTCTCTGTGATGGAAAGGTGGAAGAGCCACTAGAACCCTGAGAGGCTGAATTCATTTCCAGGTGTTAATGCTGCCACAGGTTCAAAGGGAGGTGCGCAGGAGAGGTACTTTCAATTAAATTCACATACCCGTTAAACATGGGGGGCTTGTTTCCAAATCTCTCTATTGGGCATCTGACCTTAGCACATGGGGCTGTAACAATACAGAAAACCAGGAATTTATTTGCCCTTAACTTGCCCCCTTTTTCTTCGTTTTACATTCTAATAATAGCAATTATTGTCTTATGTCCAAATCCAAGAAAGAGAGAGAAAGATGAATCCAGGAACAATCCCTCACAAAGGTACAGGAACATTTCCATATTGTGTAAGGTGGAACATTTCTAGGATGCCTTCCTAGGATTTTCTATAGCAGAAGCCTTCCCTCAAATGGTAGCCTACACAAGGCTCTCTCTCCACGCCAGCTACACAGGAAGAAAACTAAAAAAGAGATAGCAAGAAAACTCATAAGATCATAAGAAAGGTTCTCAATCTGATAAGAAAGTTCCTTTCCCTTGGCCCTTTGGTTCAATACTAACTGTGTGCCCTTGAATCTGATATACACATGCCACTCGCAGTGCTCAGGACTAGCACAGATGTTGTGTTGAGGCAGAAGGGTGGGTAATGTGCTTCTTTTCCATCAGTGGGTGGATATCTTTTTGGTCATGGAACTCCTTAAACATGGAATATAGCTTTGGATTTGATCCCCCCAAAATGCCTTTCTGCATTTAAGCAGCAACTTTATATTTTATTTTATAGTCTATAAATCTGAGACGCTCTCTCACAGACCTCTAGTTGAGAGATTTGCCCTAGTAGTTAGAATGTACCACTAACAATAGGATCTATCAGCTCTGTGCTCCAGGGTGTCTCCTCAGTTTCAATTCACGCAGCAATTTATCCCCAGACTCTGTCTAGCTAGACAGAGTTGATGGTGTTCCACAAAAACCATTATTTCAATGAAATATGTAATTAGAATTGTATCATGGAGTTTGCTGTGTTCTCCTTTAGCCAATAATCTTTTAGCAAACGTAAAGGAACATATGGAATTTCTATTGGAGACAGGCCTAGGACATGGAACCTCAATTCTGTCTGAATGGTACAGAATCCTGAAGTTAAGAAAAAAAATGCTACACAGAGAGATCTCTGTTACTGGGCTCTAGTGGAGGGCACATTATGTGGAAAAACAAGCATTGACTGGCTCTGTTATTTATAATTTAGGTTCTTTGGAAGTTGCTTTCTGGGCCTTTTTCTTCTCATATATAACATGAAGATAATCATTCTTAGCCCATGGAGTTATTGCAATTACTAAACAAAACGATGTGGCTAGTATACCAGAGGCACTCCATGACTGGATGAATTCATGTGTGAGAGCGCACACATCCCATGCTCACACTCTATATGCATCAGCAAATGCTTATGACACAATCACTATAAAAAACCAGATATATACACTTACAATACATGAAGGCCCTCAGACTCAGAAATGTGTTCTTTTCCCAAGTGCCAACAGGTATGTGAGTGTGTGAAATGCAATGTCCCTACCCATAAAGAAACATAAAACAAATTTAAATAAGCTGAGGTGAAAAACAATTCACTTCTTTAATCTTTTATCCTTATAGTGTTTAAAGTGACCTCAAAGCAAAGCATAATTATGGGCATATACTCAATATAGACACAAATAAAACTGATAAGTGCTTGAGGGAAATTATATTCTGCTAGCTAGAATAAGAATAATGGTTTTCCTATTTGGTGTTTTTTAAAAGTGCTTTCTTTCCTCTGATTAAAATTAATTTAAGATGAATAGATGTATTTTGAATTTATTAATGAGTGAATATCATATATATAATTCTGTTGATATTGTTTGGTTCTGTGCCTCCACGTAAATCTTATCTTGTATTGTAATCTTCACCTGCGGAGGGAGGGACCTGTAATCCCCACCTGTCAAAGGAAGGAGGTGATTGGATCATGGGGGGCAGCTTCCCTCATGCTGTTCTCAAGATAGTGAGTGAATTCTCAGAGATCTGGTGGTTTTATAAGTGTTGGGAAGTTCCTCCTTCATTTTTCTCTCTCCTGCTGCCTTGTGAAGAAGATGCTTGCTTCCCCTTCGCCTTCCATCATGATTGTAAGTTTCCTGAGGTCTCCCCAGCCATGTGGAACTGTGAGTCAATTACACCTCTTTCCTTTATAAATTACCCAGTCTTGGGTATTTTCTTATAACAGTGTGAAAATGAACTAATACACCTGCGTTTGTTTAAAAGGCTTTGTAGGCATAAAGGTAATTGGTAGAAAGGCAAACTTGTACAGTAAATACATAACTGTTCAGGGATTTGGTTTAAGAACACGGTCTTTGGATTTAAACTGCCTGACTTCAAACCTTGTTTTTACTACTTACTGTTCCTTCTAGTTAACTTCATGAATCCTTACTTTCCTCACTTCTTAAGCAGTGATAAAAATATATATGTCTATTTCAGAAAGTTGTGAGAATTAAATGAGATGCTATCTATAAAATGCCCAATCTGGTGCCTCACAGATTAAACAATAAATGTTTAATATTAGTAATATTTTTATTTTAAATGTTTTAAATCTCCCGGTTTGGTAAGCACTGGTGTTAAAGGTTCTCTTTCATTTGAACAGAATGTTAACTTCTTATATAGCAGAATAGCATCTCATTTTAAAAGATAAACTGTCGGCCAGGCATGGTGGCTCATGCCTGTAAACTCAGCACTTTGGGAGGAAGAGTTGGGGGATCACCTGAGGTCAGGAGTTCGAGACTAGCCTGGCCATGACGGTGAAACCTTGTGTCTACTAAAAAATGCAAAAATTAGCCAGGCATGGTGGCATTCATGTGTAATCTCAGGTACTCAGGAGGCTGAGGCAGGAAAATCCCTTGAATCCAGGAGGCAGGGGTTGCAGTGAGCCAAGATCATGCCATTGTACTCCAGCCTGAGTGACGAGAGAGAAATTCTGCCTCATAATTCAAAAAAAAATTCAAAAAAAAAAAAAAGAGAAACTATCTTTTTGTCATAACTCTATTGTGTCTAAAGAGGATTTAAACTTGAGGCAGACAAGAACTCAGCCACACTGAGAGAGGGATGCAGAGAAAGCCAGGACTCAAATTGGGAAGGGCCGGGCTAGTGGACAGTTTGTAGGGTTGGTTCTGTGATAGAGCTTGGACTCACATGCACACTTTGTGATACCAAGGTAGTGGTTTGTGGAGGAGAGTCAGAGGTAAACATTAATTTGTGTGTGTGTGTGTGTGAGAGAGAGAGAGAGATAGAGAGAGAGAGAGGGAGGGTGAGAGAGAGAGAGATAGAGAGAGGGAGGGAGAGAGAGAGAGAGAGAGAGAGGGAGGGAGGGAGAGAGAGAGAGAGAGAGAGAGATTTACTGCAAGATTCATCCTGAAAAGGAACAGGAGAACAGACAAAATGTATAAAATAAACATAGATGACACAAGGTGTTTAAAGATAGTCATCTTGTCTCATCAGACACTGTATTAGTCCATTCTCACACTGTTATAAAGACGTATCTGAGTTTAATTGGCTCATGGTTCTACAGACTGCACAGGCTTCTGCTTCTGGGGAGGCCTCAGGAAACTTACAATCATGGCGGAAGGCAAAGGGGAAGCAGGCACAGTCTTCACATGGCCAGAGCAACAGAGAGAGAGGAAGAGGAGTGTGAAATGCTGCACACTTTCAAATAACCAGACCTCATGAGAACTCACTCACTATCACAGCAACAGCAAGGGCGAAATCTATCCCCATGATCCAATCACCTCCCACCAGGTCCCTCCTTCAACATTAAGGTTTACAATTAGACATGAGATTTGGGTGAGGACACAGAGCCAACCTCTATCATTCCATTGCTGCCCTCCTCCCAAATCTCATGTCCTTGTCACATTTCAGAACACAATTATGCCTTCCCAAAAGTTTCCCTCAAGGCCCCTTCTCTAACATTGAGGATTACAATTCAACATGAGACTTGGGAGGGAACATACAGCCAAACCATATCAGACACCATACCTTCCAAATTCCCAACCCCATAAATATGATCAGAAACCTGCCAATACCTAGTTAACCAAATTCAACTTAATATGTAGGACTGGTTTTATAACCTCCACTGTTCAGGAATATTTAAGTTCCCTTTTACAAATGAAATGGACCCCCTAAAAATCACCCTTCCTATTTTTTCATAAATATATTTCTTAATGATAATAAGATTTAGTTGTTCCCTTTTAGAATATTTCTGCAAAACAAGAGAGTTGGGAACTTGGATCAGCATTTCCTAAACTCAGTTTCTGAGAACACTAGTAGGTATGTGAGCTTAATAAATATTCATACTAAAAATTAAACTGTAGCTATTTTGTGAAATGCTAGCTTTGAAAATTAGGCAAGCTTCTTCACATCATGACACCCTGAAATCACTAATAGGATAAATTGTGTTGTGAGGGATGTTGTATCATTTCACAAAAGTGAACAGGAGAAGACTAGCTCACGCCATTTTATTTTTTCACCAAGCATTTTAAGTAACTGTACGATGTCTTTTGTCTTCAACTAGAGGCAACATAGCAGGGTGATTAAGAAGACACAAATCCTGCATCCAGAGTGTCTAAGTTCAAATTCCAGCTCTACCACTCTCTAGCTGTGCTATCTTGAGCAATCACTTACTCTCTCTCCTTTCTCCCCACACACTCACACACACTTTCAATTCTCCCTCAGTTTTCTTATTGATAAAATGGGGATGAAAATACTACCAACTTCATGGTGTCACTGTGAAAACTAAACAAAATGAAGTTCACAAAGCAGTTAGAAGAGCCTGACACATAATAAATGATAAGTAAGCTATAGTTTATAGATGAAAACAATTACATAGAGAACAATATTTGTGTAAAATACAAATGAAGTGCAGTATTTCCCTTTATTTGTGCTGGTTAGACATTTGAATCTTTACTGAGTTTTGGAATTGCACATTGTATTCCACACCAAGTGAGAAAAATGTAAATTTGAAGGGGAAAGAAAAAATAAATTCTAGTTATGTCTTAGAGAAATGATGGGACTACAGCATTTTGGGGACAGATGAGAGTGAATATGCACTCATGGGTGGGGCTTGAACAGCTTTAGTCCATGGGCAGGTCCTGTGTAGGAATATGAATTAGGCAGTATTATCATAACTATTTCCAAGGTGAGCACGTTGAAAAAGAGAGAAGCTGGGTTATCTGTCTGAGGATAAACTTCAAATATTTGACAAAACTGAGATCTGAGCATAGGTATTCCTTGCTCTGAAATTAACTTTACTAATCATTACATTTTTAGTTTATTCTTGTAGCAACATCTCAAGCAATTGGTTTTATCTACACAAGTTGTCAATGAAAAACTTGGCACAGATGAAATAATTCCCTCAGGACTCAGAAATCTGGAAATCTATTCCTTTTACTCTCCTCACATCTTCCCCCTACCTCCTGCTAAGTAACAATAATTCTCTGCAGCTGATCATGAAAATTCAGTTCTAGAATTTACAATGTATCTTTAATTTTAGGCATACATGTCTTGTTTTGTAACAAAATTTTACAATAGAGTAATTGGAATTTAGATTATAAACTGCTGTTTGTCACATTTAATGGGTATTTTGGTTGTTTCCACATTGTGGGGATGTGAGGGTGATGTTATGGTACTCTTGGGTATTTTGAGTGTTACCAAAAGCTATACAAAAATGGGGCTAGTGAAAGCTATTTTTGGAGGTGCTGAAATAATTTCAATGGGAAAATGGTCCAGGCCTCAGATGTTGAAGAAATACCTGGAATGCCATTCATTCACTTGACTGCTCCTCCCCACACTAAACATCAGCTGAAATAAGAAGCCACCTGGTGCGTTTGATTTTTGTATGTATGTTAGCACTCAAATTGCTCCAAGTGATCTAAGGGGGCATGAAAGTGGGCTATGATTGATTGATTGATTGACTTTAGTGCTTCCAATTTCTCTGTGAGAATAAGGACTGACCTGGTGATGAGAGGGAGTTTATAGTGTTGCATATTGCTTGTGGGCACAGTTTCCCTACATGAGCATAGCTCTGTCCCAGGACCCTCGCTCGGTTCAGTCTCTTTTCTAGTGATGCCTAGTGTTACATTTCCACCCTGTGTCTCTGCCCTGAGTCCACATGTCTGACTGCCTACTCAATGACTTCACTTGGACGTCACGTAGAAGCCTCTGAGTTCACTTGTACAAAGAACAACTGATTTTTCCCAACAGTTGTACAAACTTTTCCTTCCCCAGTCGTGTGTGTTTCAGCAAATGATGTCACAATTCACTGCGATGCTCAAGCCAGACTCACATCACATGTAGCATCCATCAGGCTTCCTTTTCTTAACATTAACATTGTTTCCACATTGTGGGGATGTGAGGGTAATGCTATGGTACTTTTGGGTGAACTTTTACTTTTTGTAGTGCTTCCAATTTCTCTGTGACAAAAGGACTGATTTGGTGAGGAAGGGGAATGACATATTAATAATGTGTCACTGACTAGCCAATGCGATCAATGTCACCTTCACAATGTAGCAGAAATTCGCTTACTTCTTGCATTTCCCCTGTTATTACCTTACTCCAAAGCATCACCATCCAACCAAAGAACCTCACCTGGTTTACTGCATCATACTCAGCCTAGTCTCTTTGCTTCTGTTTTATTACACAACATCGCGTTCTCCAGACAGCCATCAGAATTATGCATAGCTTTGATCAGTCGAGAAAAGGCCATGGGACCTGACTCACTTACTATTTAGACTATTGATCCATTGGAGTGACACAGGTTATTAGGAGAGCGCTTCCCTAAGGAGCAGGCAGAACTCTTCTGGAATGACGTTTCTCCTATATGGAGAAGTTAATTGGGTTTAAGCTTTAAAAGCTGTTGGATGAAAAGATGTGTTTATCACATATCACACCCTAACCACAGGATAGCAGCCTCTGTGCCTGTGTAATGTGATCAACACAAGCACAGCAGAAGTCTCACAGCTCACCTATCCTCTACCCTCACTTTACAGTGGGAGACTAAATGAATTAAATCCAAAGATTGAATCTGCTACTTTCTGCAGGGCCAGAAGCCACCCTTGAGAATCCCTGCTTTATATGTTGCTAAAATGCCACATCATAGCCATTGTGTTCTCGGCCTCAAGGGAAGAAATGCTCTGACAGAGGTCAAAGGACAAAATAGAGTTCTCTAATCCACAGACAGGCAACAGAAGAAAGAATTTGGTCCTTTTTTGGAGGAGATAAGTTATATACATGGAACATAATAGATACCGAATTGCTTTCTTTGTGTGCTATTTTCTTCAAGTTCGTGTAGTTGGTATATAATATGGAACGGGAATTTATTTCAGATTTTGAGGTGCTTTGCAAAGAGCAGAGTGGAAATGGGGTAAGACCAGAAACAGTGCAAAAATGGCCTTAGCCTAAGATTTTCCCTAGTCTGTTTTATTTCTGTGTCCACTGGAAGAAAGCTCTTCAAGATTATATATAATTCAGGTCTATAAACCAGGATTCAACAGATAGTCTTTGGGCTAAGTAACTTCTCTGTGATATTCAGATTAGTGATTTTAGAATCTCGGTTTTATGTGGAATCATGACTTTGGGGTGTTTCCATTTCTTTTCTCTTTTAAAATTGGACTATATGTTCATAACACTTGGATGCAAACACTGAATTTTGAAGGAAGGTGGAGGGCTAACTGCTAGTGTGAACATTCAGTTTTCAATGTCACGCCACCTTAATCACATACCCACCTGAATAATCACTATTCTTCCTGTCAACAGAAAAGGATAGATGGCAGCGTGGAGATCGTGTGACTATCAGAGTGAATAAAATTATAGGAAAGAAGGAAATGGACTTCATTGCCACATGTTCCAAAATAAAGGTTAAATTATGGTATTTATCACTCAATCAATATGATTCCAAAAGTATGTTTATATGCTTTGATCAGTTAAGTGTGTTCAGCCATTCTTCCTTAGATTGAAAATGAAAGAATAAAAAAAGTCTGGCACCATGTTCTCTAGGGTTATAGTCTTTTATCAAAGATTAGCAGCCTGTGTTCCATTATCTAACACTCTGGAGTTCTCCCAATCTGTTGCCTTTGGAAAGCAGAATGACAAAATTCAAATTTCAAATGCAGCCAGGGAATAAATAAAGAGTGGAGATGACTCAGCCTGGAGAAAATATGACTGTTGGAGAATTACTGTAAAACAAGCCTCTCTGTTGAAGCTGTCAACACAAACATCCAGCACAGCACAGAAAGGCCATATATTAGTCTGTTCTCATGCTGTTATGAATAAATACCCTGAAAGAAAATAAGTTCAATTGACTCAAGATTCTGCACGGCTGGGAAGACCTCAGTTAACTTACAATTATGGCAGAAGGCACCTCTTCACATGGCGACAGGAGAGAGAATGAGTGCTGAGCACAGGGCTCTCAGATCTTGTGAGAAATCACTATCACGAGAACAGTATGGGGAAACTGTCCCCATGATTCAATTATCTCCACTTGGTCCCACCCTTGGCATGTGGGGATTATTACTATTCAAGATGAGATTTGGTTTGGGACACAGAGCCAAACCGTGTCAGGCTAAGTAAATAAGACTGAATGAATAGGGAGTTCTCAACCTTTTGGCTGCTCATAAAAAAGGAAGAAGAATACCTTTGTAAAGGAGGTAGAGACTTCTTACCTATTGAAATGTATCATACTCATTTAATTTTTGTCTTTAAATTGAGATAGGAGATGGCATGAACAAATGGCAGCTTTTGGACAACTTCTGGTCATGATGTTATGGAATGGATCTACATTAGAAGGTTACCTAGATATGTCTCAGAAGCGTAATATATTGACCTAAAAAATCCTTTACTTGGTATGCAGTTTTATTTATTTGTGAATTTTCTTTAAACATTTGTGTTTTCTAAACAGTAAGGCCATAGAAATAAAAACACCAGGATAGTTCTGGAATAAAGTATAAAACTTACTATTGTGTCATGCTTTAGCTAAAGAAGAACATACAATAATATGAGCAGTGATGACTGGGAATTGCCTGCTATTGATCATGAAGAAGGTTAGTGGTTTTTGTCTTTAATAAACAATGTTTGAAGGATCTAAATGAGTCTAAGTTTTGAGACACGTTTATTGTAGTAAAGTTGTGTGCTTTTGAGAAATCCCTAGAACAGAAATTTTAATTGAAGGGTCCAATAGATTGATTAGCTTTTGTGCACAGGGATCTGCCAATTTGATGTTTAAAGCAACATGCTCCATGCTATCAACTGAATGTTTGTGTTACCCCCAAATTCATATGCTGAAGCTGTAAACTGCCAGTGTGATTGCAGTTGGAGATGGGACTTTGGAAGGTAATTGGGGCTAGATGAGGTCATGAGGATGAGCACCTCATGATGGGATTAGTGTGTTGATAGTAAGAGCCAGCACAGAGCTCACCGTCTTCTCAGTGCACATGCACTGAAAAAAAAGTTACCTGAGGGGGAAGCAAGAGGGGCTGTCTATTAGCTAGGAAGAGAGACCTAACCAAAACCTGGCACCCTGATTTCCAGCCCCCACACTGCAAGAAATAAATGTCCATTGTTTAAACCACCCAGTCTATGGAATTTTGTCATGGCAGCCCCTAACAAAACTCCTGAATATGCTCCCATGTTATGAGCTATGCTCTACATTCCGAGGAATAGAATACATTTGAGAGGCAGAATTTGAGTTATTTATTGTGCTAAATCAACTATTTACTTATAGCCCTAGTTTCCCCCAAAAAGCTTTGAGGTGACAAGGGCAACAAAAGCTGTTCTTATAGTTTGCAGATGCTCATCAGTGCCCAGTGGCATGGGTCGCCTTTTCACCAACAGTACATCCAAGAACTTACACACACAGTGAGTCCCACTTTGACTTTTCCTACACTACAATATTTTTTAGTTGGCTTTATTCTGCATCAGCAATGTGCCCTTTCTTGTTCTTGAGGAGGCTCTGGTATCAAGAAGCAGAACTACATTTAGGAAATGGAAGTTCTTGCATAGGGCTCGTGACTTTTGGGGGCCAGTAAGGATGAGAATAAGTGGTAGTGGCCTTCGGTGCAAACTTGCTTGGTGTTGGTTTTGTTGATCTTCCTGGCACACACTATGATAATGCCTTCTTTTGATGGAAGAAGAGAGGAAAATTTCACCGACTTTGGACGTTTAACATAAAACCAAATTATAAACATTTAGATTGTAGCTATAATCAGACCACCAGAAATATCAAATGAACTTCTCTGCCACCATTATTTGTGAAAAATTTGCATTTTATATATGTATTTGAGGATTTGTATATTTTCTCAAGAAATTGTCACATATTTCAGAGTGTATCTATATTTGCATCTTTCTTATCAATGCCCTTTAGTAAAAGTTTGTGAATTTTTACCAATGGTATTTTATTATACATTTGAAGAGGTTTACTTTCCCAGTACTTTTATTGTTTCTGTTTTTTTTTCTTTTTGAATGGAATTATTTTTCTACCATATTTTTAATTTGATTATTGTTGCTGAAAGTTTCCACCATTTTAAAATATAGTTGGTCTATTAAACCTAACAAGTTTTAATTAACTAACTCTCTTGAGTTTTTAATGTAGACAACCATATCATTTAATGGTGATTTTTCTCATTTTATCTCAAACTTTTTGTATTCTTTTTAATGTATTTTTCAGTTGGCTAAGTTGTCTGGTGTAATGTTGAATGGTGGTATTATTTTTAGACATTCTTTTTTTTTTTCCTGACTGTCAAAGAATGCAACAGAAATTACTTTTTAATTTTTTTTTTTTTTTTTTTTTTGGCCAACACCATTGTCAGGTTAATGACTATCGTGTCCAGTTCTAGTCAAATGCTTTATAGTGAATATTTAAATTTTATAAAACATATTTGCATATATTAAGATGGTCACCTTTTAAAGGTATTGAGAGCATATATCATATTATTCAGTTTTCTAGACTGAAATAACCTTGTCCATCTAGTACATCCAGGTTATCACTACCCGGTTAGGGTGTTTTTTTGTTTTTGTTTTTGTTTTTTTGAGACGATGTCTCACTCTGTCACCCAGGCTGGAGTGCAATGGTGCAATCTTGGCTCACTGTAACCTCCACCTCCCAGATTCAGGCGATTCTTCTGCCTCAGCCTCCCGAGTAGCTGGGATTACAGGCATGGATTACAGGCATCTGCCACCACGCCCAGGTAATTTTTTTGTAGTTTTAGTAGAGATGGGGTTGCACATGTTGGCCAAACTAGTCTCAAACTCCCTGACCTCAGGTGATCCACACGCCTCAGCCTCCCAAAGTGCTGGGATTACAGGCATGAGCCACCGCTCCTGACCAGGATATGTTTTTTAAAAATATACCTCTGAATTAAATGTGGCTAATATTTTTAGGCAGAACTTTTGCTCTGTTTAATGTTGCAAGACTTGTGAAATAAGTTAGGTAATCTTCCTACGGTTTTCATTTTCAAGAGGTGTTGGCTTAAGATTGTTATTTTTTCTTTTTAAAAATTAGAAGGCACAGGGATAAAAGATCATGTAATTTTACTCACTTTTTTTCTCAGAAGATAAAATCCTTTTCGTGTGTGTTCTTACCATATTTTCCCTTCATTGTATTACTAGGCTTTTTGAATTTGTAACCGCTTTTTGTTTTGCTGATGATTTGGGGTTTTTTTTTTGATAATTTGTTTTACTTATATTTATTTTTTAATTTCATGTTCTCACTCATTTTATTTGAGTTTACTATATTTTTCTCTTCCTCTTCAAGCTAAATATAGCTTAATTACCTTTATGTCTCTTGTTTTATAATACAATTTAAGGCTATAATTTTCATTTATTTCCAGTTTTAGCTGAACGTAACCACATTTTATATAAAGTTGCTCTGCTAACATGGGTGGGACTGGAGGTCATTATCTTAAGTGAATAATTCAGAAAGTCAAATACTTCATGTTCTCACTTATAAATGGCTGCTAAACAATGTGTACCCACGGACATTCAGAGTGGATTCATAAACATTGGAGGCTCCAAACAGTGATAGGGTGGGTGAGGGGGTGAAGGATGAGAAATTATTAACACCTATTGGATACAGCGTTCGCTATTTGGGTGATGGGAATACTAAAAGCCCAGATTTCTCCACTAGACAATATATACATGTAACAAAACTACTCTTGTACCCCATAAACTTTAAATAAATAAATAAATAAAAATATATTGTTTTATTAACATTTGATTCGAAGAATTTTATAGTTTTTATTATTCTATTATTCTTTGACCCATACAATATTAATATTTCGGTGTTGTTTCAAAATATTTGGTGACTTTGAATGTTTAATTTATTTATTATCTAAGAGGTTATACATGGACTACATAAATGTTTTACAAGTACAAAAAGAAATACTATAAAAATTTGTCTCCCTTCCTGCTGCCCAACTAGCATCTCTAGATGCAGCCATTCTTGGGTGTCTTTCCAGATGTTTCCTGTGCACTCCAAGCACCATGTATGTACTTTTTTTCATACAAAGAGACATAATAGATCATTTAATTTTCAATTTAACATTACATCTGGAAATGTTATATTCTATATAAAATTGTAAAGAATTTCATTGTATGGACACAGCATAATTTATTTAATTTGCTCAATATTTTAAGCACATATGCAGTTTTACTATAGCACACGATGGCTGTAATGAATGTCCTTAGGTATACAATATTTTACAAATATGTGGGATAAATTCCTGGGAAAGAGAATTGCAGAGTCACAAAGTATGTCCACTTATATATTGGTAGTTTTTGACAAATTGCTTTTCATAGCAGTTTTAAAATGGCATATTCTCACCAGCAATGTATACTTTTAAAAACATTTTGTATTTTCTACTCTATAAAATGCACTTTGCTTTTTTTTGGTGGTGAATTTTTTCCTTTTAATTTACAAGAGTATTTATGGATTAAGAAAATTTTTCTATTTTCTGTAGTGTGAATTGCAAACATTTTGCCAATATAATGAGTCTTTGTGTAAAAATTTTATATAAAGAATATTAACCAGGCATGATGGCACACACCTGTAATCCCAGCTACTTGGGAGGCTGAGGCAGGAGAATTGCTTGAGCCCAGGAAGCAGAGGTTGCAGTGAGCCGAGATCGTGCCACTGCACTCCAGCCTGGCCAACAGAGTGAGACTCTGTCTCAAACAAACAAAAACAAGAATCTTAAAATGTATGTGTATTAAAATTTCTCAATGCTTTATTTTGTCTTCTGTACTTTGTTTGTTACTTAGAAATGCCATGCCCACTATAAACCTACAAAACTAAATCCACCTCTCATGTTTTCTTACAATTTTCCAATTGTTTCAAGGTTCAGTTATTTATCCATCCAAATGTATTTTAACAAAAGATATAAAATAAAATATCAAATTATTATTTTTCCTTCAGATGACTATCCACTTTTCCAATTTGTTGAATAATACATGTTTTCCATTGATTTTATGTCATCTTTTTTACATTCTGCACATTCCTCTCTCTTTCAACTCTTCAAACCCTCTACCTAATACACAACTGTGCCTCTTGCTTCCATAATCCTAGGTTTTTAAAACTAGCATCTCTTGAATCTCTTACAAGACAAAAAATATCCCAGGCCTCTAGACATAAATCCCTTCTTATCTCTTGTGTTATGGGCAAATACATTTTATTCTTTTCTCATCAATCTAGAGAAAAATAAGACATGATTAATTACTTTATCTAATTGTTCTGTCACAGATGGAGTAGACATAGCAACAAACACAAGTCTAATAGTCATACTTGAAAATACTTGTTCCTTGTGAAAAATGTTATCTTGTAAATCACAGGAGTTGGAATTTGTTGTAAAGTAAGGTAGTTGAAATTGTATAATGATGTTTAATCAAATATAATTGTGTGATCCCTGGCACTCTCTGATTAAACTGAGCTGTAATTTTAATCCTGTGAACTGCTGTATGAGACTTAAGAGGTCTATAAAGAAAATTCAGTGGAATTGGTAGATGAGTAGGTGCCTAATTCAGTTTGGATGTTTATTTGTCCGCACCCAAATCTCCAAATACCCAATGTTACAGGTGGGGCCTGGTGAGAGGTGTTTGAATCATGGGGACACACCCCTCATGACTTAGTACTGTCCTCACCATAGTGAGTGTGTTTTCTGGAGATCTGGTCACTTAAAAGTGTGTGGGACTTCTCCTCCTCTTTGTTCTCACTCTACCATGTAATTGCCGGCTCCCACTTCAACTTATGCCGTGAGTGAAAGGGGTTCCTGGGGTCACCCCAGAAGCTGAGAAGATGCCAGCACCATGCTTCCTGTACAGCCTGTAGAAACATGAGCCAATTAAGCCTCTTTTCTTTATAAATTACCAAGTGTCAGGTATTCCTTTATAGCCACAAAAGAACTGCCTAATACAGTATCTAATAGGCATTTCTACATCAATTAGATCAGCTAGAGATACATCTATTTTATTCATTGAAGTTTTTAAAAAATATATAAAATGGTATTTGAAAGAACTTTCTGCTGCTAAAATACATTAAAAGATACTAAATAGGCCGGGCGCGGTGGCTCACGCCTGTGATCCCAGCACTTTGGGAGGCTGAGGTGGGCGGATCACGAAGTCAGGAGATTGAGACCTTCCTGGCTAACACGGTGAAACCCCGTCTCTACTACAAAAAAAAAAAAAAAAGAAAAAAAGAAAAAAATTATCGGGAGGCTGAGGCAGGAGAATGGCGTGAACCCCGGAGGCGGAGCTTGCAGTGAGCTGAGATCGCGCCACTGCACTCCAGCCTGGGCGACAGGGCGAGAATCCGTCTCAAAAAAAAAAAAAAAGGATACTAAATAAAGTGAACTGTATTATTTCTTTGATGAAGGCTACAATTCTGATATATCTTCAAATTACTTAAATTAAGATTTTTATTACATTTTCACTCCATTGAGAAGTCATTTATGATTACCCCATGATTAATTATATGAACTTTTCTACACATCTCATAATGTTCTGTGTAAACCTCTGTATTAGTGAGGGTTCACGAGATAAACAGAACCAATAAGATGTCTGTCTATCTATCTATATATCCATTTATCTACCTATCTTTCTAGGGAGATTTAATATAAAGAAATAGCTAAAGTGATTACGGAGGCTGGTAAATCCCAAGATATTCAGAGTAAGCCAGCAAACTGGAGACCGAGGAAAGCTGTTGATGCTGTTACATTTCAAAGGCCAGTGGGCTTGAGATCCAAGAAGAGTCAGTGTTTCAGTTTGAACCCAAATACTGGAAAAAAGCCAATCTAGTTCAAGAGCAGTTGGTCAAGAAGAATTTCCTCTTATATGGGAGATAGTCAGCTTTTTGTTCTATTCAAACGTCTAACTGAATGAGGACCGCCCACACGAAAAAGAGCAAGTTGCTTTACTCACTCTGCTGATTGAAATGTTATCTCATCCAGAAACATCCTCATAAACACACCAGTAATAATGTTTGACCAAATATCTGGACACCTTTTGGTTCAGGCAAGTTGACACATAAAATTAATCATGACAACTTTCAATAGGGAATTTCACAGTTTGCATCTAGAACACCTAGAACTCCATAATGGCAAAGACGAAGACTTTGGGTCTATGTGTTCTTAGTGGGAAGCACTGTGTTTGGTCTATAATGAGCATTAAGGAATGCAGAATAAACTATGCATTAACATTGAAAAAACTATATTTGACAAGTTAATGATAATAAACATCTTGGTAAAAATGTGTATTTCTTTTAATAGAAAATTTTAAAGAATTATCCTAAGTGAAAATATATTAGGTTATGTTTTATTTATTTTATTTTATTTTATTTATTTATTTTTTGAGATGGAGGAGTCTCGCTGTGTCGCCCAGGCTGGAGTGCAGTGGCGTGATCTGGGCTCACTGCAAGCTCTGCCTCCCAGGTTCACGCCATTCTCCTGCCTCAGCCTCCCGAGTAGCTGGGACTAGGGGCGCCCACCACCATGCCCGGCTAATTTTGTTTTTGTATTTTTAGCAGAGACGGGGTTTCACTGTGTTAGCCAGGATGGTCTCAATCTCTGACCTCGTGATCTGCCCACCTCAGCCTCCCAAAGTGCTGGGATTACAGGCGTGAGCCACCACGCCCGGCCTAGATGATGTTTTTAATTAATTAATCAGATTTCTTAAAAATATATAATTTGTCTGGCTCCTTTATTTCAGTTAGTCTTTAATCTCTAAAGCAATGAAGTTATTCAACCATAACTCAAGTAACAAAGTGTCCGGACATATTTGGAAAATCCATCTAAGAGAAATGAAACTATGAACATTTATATACCTCCATTAAAAATGTGTCTAATTCAAATATTAAAAATCTGAATTTATAAGAATTTTAGTGGTTTTAATATCTGCTGATTTGTCTTTTAATAACTTTCAGAATTAATTTTGTGTAAATATTTTCCTTTTCTCTTTTTTTTTCCCAGACATAAGCCCCACAAGGTGAAAAGGCATGCAGATAAAGAGTATGCCTTTTCTTTTTCAGTGTCTGGCAAAAGAATAATTGTAAAATTAAGAGGATTCTTAATCTTTGACTTTTGTTCAATGTTGTCTCATCCATCCAGTTTTTCCTGTGCTATAAGACTTAGATCTGTAATGTTAATAATTAATTACTTAAAAGGTAATGTCTATGCTCAAACAACCTATAATGTTACCCCTAAAACAATGAGAAACAATGACAAGTTAACTAATATGGATCCTTTAAATTGTGTGAATGTGTGCTGTAAGACTGAAGTTGTAGTTGTTTCTTAGATTTAACACAGAGCTACCTCCTTGACTATAAACTTTTGTTGCTATGTTGGGAAATCAGTTTGGCCTTAAATTGTCTTCTGTGAATAATAAAACTTTCCTTGGAGACTGGATTCATGGCAAATTCTCTTTAGGAAAACATGCTTGAATTTGACACATTTGTAAAACCATCGCTCTTTGGGACTACTGGCTTCTGACCTCTGAATCCTAGTAATTATTCTAAGGCCACAAATGTACCAAATATTGTCCAGAAGAGCCGTTCACTGGCTCCTTACTTCGTCAGTCCCATTGCTTGTAGAAACTGTGCTTCTTATATCCTGGTTAGAGGTCTCCAGGCTATGGTCTTCCTACTTGGTTATCTCAAGCTACAGCTGCTCCTAGTTGGTGCCTCCAACAACAGTTTTAACAGACTTCATTTTCTATGGGAGACTCATGCCTGAACTCAACTTCTCTATGTCTAGGTAGTGTCCACATGCAGATATTGATATAATGTATATTCCTTTATCCTTTATGTTTTATAAGAGGAGAAGGGTACCAAAACACTTAGGGGGTGATAATGACTAGATTGAATACATTTATATTGGATGTTATCTAAGGAAGAGGCTTTCAATTTTCATACAATGTGGGAGAGAGCTAATAAGTAAAAAGGAAAGAGTTGAAACAATATCTCTAACAATATTGGTTCATAGGGAATAATAAGAAAATGGGAATTGTTTGTGGAAAAATGCTATCACATAGGTTGACCTAAAATTTTAAATAATTAAACTCTTTTGATACACTTTTGTTTCTATCTTTTCCCCAAATGACCAGCATAAAAACCTATTGATTAAGCAAATCAAGTTTGTTAGACTGTAGCAGTAGGGAAAAAAAACAACCTTGACAGAGTCTCATTGGAGTCTCTAAGTAGTGATACTATTGAAGTATATAGATGCTTTAGAGCCTGGGATATGTGATTTAAGGGTAGATATTTCAAGGTGTGGAGCTAGTTGGAATTGGGAAAATTTTATATAATAAAATACCTTTGGTTTTGCAGGCACAGCAAAGAAGTGAGAATCTTGAAGTAAGCCCTAATTAGCAAACTTGGTTTAATAGACAAGTGGTTTAGTTGGTTCATATTCTTATTTTCCAGGAACAAGTAATTCCTGGAACAATAATACAAGTTATTTTTACTTGATCTTGGTATAAGTATGCTTAGTCCTAGTATGGTTTAACACAGGACAGGAACTATGCTAGTTTAAGTTCTTGGTCTTAAACTGACCTATTATACCATCCCAGTTTTTAGAGAGCTATATAAAAAACTAAGGATTTTTTTCTCAGCTATCTACCATTTCCAAAACACAAATTTTCACCAAAACACAAATTCACAGATGCAAGATTCTACCATAGTCAATATTTACTATAGAGCTCCTAGTGTAAGAGGAATCATGATTGGACTCTGGTATCCCATTGGAGCTTGGCTTTCCCAGTAGTTTCTGAAGCACGTTGGTTAGATAATAGTGTGACCTCAACAAGCTGTACTGTGTTTACTCTGAAAACCTTTCTGGGAAAATTTTTAACTACATTCAATATATTTTCAGTTTTAACAAAATTAAGAGGTCCAGAAATATCAGGTTATTAGGATGCTTTTAACAGCCCATCTTTGAAGAGTGGTAGAAAAATATATCTAGGTCTATCTTAAATTCAGGCTATTTACAAAGTGAAAATTATTACCTTAATAAGATTCCTCATTATATCTTAGCCCAAAAGTCATTATAGAAAGGCTCAAGAAAAGTTCATGTGTTTGCTTTTGTCTAAGATTTAACTTAAGGAACATTTTTCTCATTGGCATATTCCTGAAGAATCAGCAATATGCCTGCCATAAAATATTAATTCTTTGCATGTCTAAAGAAATTTTGGATACCACAGAAAACTGTCATCAAAACCTCAAAGATTTGGCATATGAAAAAATCTCTTTATAAAGACTTGTCTTTATACACACCTCTGTGTGGTAGATGGGTAGCAAATTTTAAAGATTGAGTGCAGAAGTGTTCAAGGTCATTCAACTAGGACATGAGAGATTTGAAAGTGGAACCAGTCCTTCAACAATTAGTTTAGTGTTTTTTTTTTTTAACTCTGCCATTCTGCTTTGAATATAGGAATATGACTTCAAGACCTGCACATAATGAGGTCAAACATTTTCTCTGTTTAAAAAAGTAATTATTTTTATACCTGGGATGCCTTCCTAGACACTCTGAGCAAGTCTGGATATGAAGAAAAATAATTAAATTTATTGCTAGTCACCAAAGCTGTTGTCAGTTACAGCCTTGTGGGATGGGAGGGTGAAAAAAAGATTTGGCCTGAGGCCCTTAAGGGCCCTTAAGGGTTGTGTTTTTAAATGTGGGCCTTCTCCAGAAGAAAGTCCTTGCTTCAGAGCATTTCAAATGAGGCAAATAATTAATTAAAATTTTTCAGTATATCATGGTATACCTCTATAACACACAATAAAAATAACGACTAGAAAAAGTGAAAAAAGTACATAAAAAAACCCAAACCAACATTTCTTTATTATTATGACATTCAACATACTCAAATTTATTGAAATTTCTTTACAAGTTTCAAAATACGGACTCTCAGTTTCTGTGTGTATCTTACCGTAGACCTAAACAGTTCACAGAATAGTGCTGGTCCTTGGGCCGCACCTTGGGTAGCGCTGCTTTAAGTTATGGTCAGATTGAGGACTTACAGGCTGATGTATTTAAGGAGTGTGAAGAAGCTTTTCACAAAGCTCAGAATTAGATGGGGAAGAGAAAAGACCCTCTCTTGACCATGCCTATTAGTTGGCAATGCTCTCCTTCCTCTTAGAATCTTACCCTGAATCTCTTAGGGTATTTATTATTTATTTATTTATTTATTTAGAGACTGGGTCTCCCTCTGTTGCCCAGGCTAGAGTGCATTGGCGCGATCTCAGCTCACTGCAACCCCTGCCTCCCGGGCTCAAACGATTCTCCCACTTCAGCCCCTCAAGTAGCTGGGACCACAGGCACATGCCAGCACACCCGGCTAATTTCTGTATTTTGTGTAGAGATGGGGTTTCTCTATGTTGCCCAGGCTGGTCTCAAACTCCTGAGCTCAAGTGAACTGCCTGCCTTAAGCTCCCAAAGTGCTGGGATTGCAGGAATGAACCATTGCACCCAGGTATGTTTTATTTTAAGTTGGTGGTATTTTATGTGTGTTTTATTTCTGTCTCTAAAATGTAATTTCCTTTAAAAGAAGCTCTGTGTCTAAATCACATGTATAGGGTTCACTGCTCAGCTTAGCTTGCCTGTAAGTGATCAATAAATATTTTCTTACTCAATGAATGCACCCATCATCATAAATATAACAAAGTAATATAAAGGACATTATAGTCTAAATTAAGTTAGTGGTAATCCAATACAGTCATCTTATTCTTAATTTATCAAAGGCTCAAATCCTGCTAGATATAAAATAATCAGAAGAAGTCTTGTATTTTAAGTTGAATTGTTTCCGCTAAAATAACATGCTGAACTCTTAACCTTCAATACATGGGAGGTGACCTTATTTGGAAATAGAATCTTTGCAGATATTGTTAAGATAAGATGAGGTTATTAAGGTGGGCTCTAATCCAATATATCTGGTTTTGTAAGAGAGAAGGGAGAGGAACAGAAGGAAGAGAGCCATGAAAAGTCAGAGGCAGAGATCAGAATTATGCTGCCACCAGCCAAGGAACACTGAGGGCTACCAGTAACTCTACCAAGCAAGAAGATTCTCCTGAGAAGCCTCTGAGGGAGCATGGTGCTGCCAACACCTTTATTTTGGATTTCTGGGTCTCTAAGATCATAAGGGAATATATTTTTGTTGTTTTAAGCTACTCAGTTTGTTGTATTTTGCTAAGATAGCCCTAGGAAACCTACACTTCAAGGAAATCTGAAAAAAAAATTGGAATGGTAAGTTCCAAGTGGAACTTCGGTAAAGCCTGGGCAACAGACAAAAAAAACTCAGGCATTCAGCCGTTGGGTGCAGGCTGTAGCCCAGTGGTTCAGATTCTGTGCCTGAAAAGAAGATGAAGTCCAACCACCTAATGGTCCAGAACCAAAAGTCAAACAAACTTCCTCAGACCCAGAGAGGAAAATACCAGGTGCATAATTGGCTTGTCTCATAGTCTGGAACAATTGAGTCATCTTTCCCTACACAAGACAGAGAGACATGATACTCACAATTAACAATTTCTAAGTCTCAGTGTGTCTCATGCTGTTTGCTACTTGAATGCTTTTTTTCTGAACATCATTAGTTATTTCCTGGAAGAATGGTAACACACTTTTAAAGAACTGTCTAATTGCCAAGTTTTTCATGCCAACTGCAATTTCTCTCCACTGATTTATTGTTCAAGCTATTCTAAAGAAAATAAGAAAATATTGTTATTTTACAGGATTGGAGTTAAAGCAGTTATCAAAATAATATTCAAATATGAAATCACATTCAAAGAGCATATATTGATTCATACAGTTTAAAAGCTTAGGTATGTATTGGCAGTAATACATTAAGTACAGAGAGGTGAATAAATATGTATAGAATCAAGTACATAAAATAAAAAAAAAGTACTATTGCCCATTAGGTACAATATAATGTGCATAAAATTTATGGTTTCAAATATATGAAGTTGATAGTAAATGAATGTTAATTCTCAAACCTATCCTAGATTTATTTAACCATAAAAAATGCTTTAATTCATAATAAAAACTGGAAAAAAATTAAGAAAAATTGCAGTGGAAACAAGAATGGGTTGAGGTGGATGAGCAGGTTTAAAACAAAGTGATACAGTAAAAGCAATCTATTAAAATATCAACTGTCCTTAAAAGTGAAAAGGGGACCTTAAAGTTGAACTCAAGAGCATAACTTTCAGATGCTATTATACCTGTAAAAGAAGAAGCAGTTGTCTGCAATATTTTTAAAGGTCAAAGATATATTCAGAAACAGGTCAGCAAGAACGAGTGGCAAGATGCCACACTGGCCCTGAGAAAGGTGGCTCCGCGCCCCAGTTGCCCTGCAGGCCATCTCTGATGATTGATAAAGAGCTGTGCAAGAGTGGCTGTGAACAGGTCAGGAATGTGGTCGCTGAAAGTGCCATCAACATTTGCAGCAATGCTTGATGTATGTGTAAGGCGGCAGTAGAAGAGACTGTTTGAGCGATTGATTCTAGGAATATTTGCCAGTCTCCAAAAGTCAAGTGAATCTAATAACAAATTGAATTGTTAAATATGGGCACTCTTCTGGAATAAGACTTAAAAGTCAAACATAAGCTTTTAGACATGTGATTTGCACCCTTTGTTAGAAGGGGATTCTAATTAAAAAATGAGTAAGTTTGGCATTTCAATAACGCTGAAAATACAAACAATGGCAAAGCAAAAGAAGGCATGGTAAGTAAAGAAAGGCACAGACAACATGAAGATACTGACCTATCTAATATTTTCCATATGGAAGACACCCCTCTAAATGTGTTCTATCAACCTTTGTCAATCCATTTCATCTTCAACATTCCCATCAGGTAGGTTTCACTTCAGAAATGAAGAAACAAAAACTCAGAGGGGTTAACTTACTTGTCCAGGGTCACACAGCTAGTAAAAGCTGGGGGTTGGGTATCCAGGCAGCCTGTCTCAAGTTCAGTGGCCAATTCTCGCTATAAAATAATACTGACAATCTGATAGCTGCATGATTTCAGTGTTGCATATTTTCTGAGCTAACATTGTTTTTATACATAGTCTTTCACCTCGATACTCACAGCAAACTTTTTTCAAGCTATCTGCAGTTTCACTTAGAGAAACATGGAAGGCTGGAAATACAATGTGTCTTAATAAGTTATTAAACAAATTGAGAACTAGGAAACACTGTTAACAGACAAAATAATCAATCCTTTATCTCTTCCTGCTTTACAGAAGTTTTGTTTTGTTTTTCTTCTTATTGCAAAGCAGAAGAAAACCTTTAATTAACTTCCTAGCATGACAATGCTTATTTAAAAAGCAAATTGGCATTAGACTTGTCCCAATATTAAATTCATTATTTAGATCGCAGACAAAGTGCTTTTTTTCACTCATTAGCTTGTGTATGTTCTTTTAAAAAGCCAAAGGTAAGTCCTATACATGTAGAAATATTGATTGTGGAGATAATGTCTACTACTAGACAGTGGCACTGTATTTAATTGATGAAATAGGGGCAAATGTGAGTTAATAGGTGAAATCCAAAGGAGCAACAAATGTCATTGGCACTTTTTTAACCCAAGAAACGTACATATTAACCTCAATGAAATTAACTGTCAATATTTGTATAAAACATGGAAGGTTTTGAAGATGGTTGAAAATCATAATAGGATATGCAGAATACATTAAGCTCGGAACATAACACTTATAAAGTGAATTCATCATTTTTAGATTTTAAAATTAAAAGTTAACTTTGAGATTGAAAATTAGCTTAGTTGGCTGAAGCCAAATGTAGTAGGTTGATCACATATGTTTATCAATGTGGGTTTTTTGTTTGTTTTATTTTGTTTGTTTGCGATACCATTTCACTATGTCACCCAGGCTGGAGTTCAGTGGCGCAATCTTGGCTCACTGCAACCTCCGCCTCCCAGGTTCAAGTGATTCACATGCCTCAGGCTCCCGAGTAGCTGGGATCACAGGCATGAGCCACCATGCCCAGCTACTTTTTTGTGTGTATATTTTTAGTAGAGACAGGGTTTCCCCAAATTGGCCAGGCTGGTCTCAAACTCCTGACCTCAAGTGGTCCGCCTGACTTGGCTTCCCAAAGTGCCAATGTGGTTTTTTGATAGCTGACTAGGATTGCTATTGCTACTGGCCTTTTCCAGTGGGCAGAGCTAGTAATTTTATTTTTAATATACATAATATTTTTAGATATTTCTAATTCAAACTTAAAATGTTGAATTTTTACTTGAGTTTTGTGAGTTTATTATTTTATCTTTTTCTTCTACTGAAAATCTTTTTTTTTTTTTTTTTTTTGAGACTGGGGTCTCGCTCTGTCGCCCAGGCTGGAGTGCAGTGGCATGATCTCAGCTCACTGCAAGCTCCACCTCCCAGGTTCATGCCACTCTCCTGCCTCAGCCTCTTGAGTAGCAGGGACTACAGCCACCTGCCACCATGCCTGGCTAATTTTGTTTTTGTATTTTTAGTGGAGATGGGGTTTCACTGTGTTAGCCAGGATGGTCTCCATCTCCTGACCTCATGATCCACCTGCCTTGGCCTCCCAAAGTGCTGGGATTACAGGCGTGAGCCACCGCACCCGGCCTCTACTGAAAATCTTAACAATACAATTTTAGTTTGCTCTATCATATATATATCAACTTATTTATATTCATCTATTTACTTATGTATATATAATCTCATAATTTCAAGATAAAATATTAATAATGAAAGATCTTATAATTTCTTTGCATTCATTGTTTTTGAAACTATCTCACCAGGGATATGTGGTTTATTTACTGTGTTTTAAAATCAGTTAGTTTGATTGGGCCACCAACGCAAGGAAGAGTTAGGCTAAATTTATTTATTTATGTTATTTTATTTACTATTATTATTTAATTTTTGTGGGTACATAGTAAGTGTATATATTTATGGGGTACAAGAGATATTTTGATACAGGCATGCAATGTGAAATAAGTACATAATAGAGAATGGGATATCTGTCCCCTCAAGCATTTTTCCTTTGAGTTACAAACAATCCAGTTACACTCTTCAATTTATTATAAAGAAAATGTGCACGTATACACAATGGAGTAATATTCGGCCATCAAAAAATATGGGATCCAGTCATCTGCAACAACATGGATGGAACTGGAGATCATTATGTTAAGTGAAATAAGCCAGGCACAGTGAGACAAACATTGCATGTCCTCACTTATTTGTGGAATATAAAATCAAAACAACTGAACTCATGGACATAGAAAGTAGAACGAAGGTTTCCAGAGGCTGGGAAGGGTAATGCAGGGCTTGTGGGTAGGGGGAGGGTGGATTAGAGGGATGGTTAATAAGCTAAATTTAGGCCAAAACGTTTCCTCTTACAATCTTCGGTTATTTAATAGAAATGTTAAGACCTGATCAATCAAGTTTTAATTGAATCTAGTATAATTTCAGAAAAGGTTATAACTGTACTGTAAGTATATATTTCTTTGAATAATGCAATTTAATGATTTTTTTTTCCTGTAATACACTATCATTTGGAGTCGCTCCTCTACAGCAGAGGTGAATGATAAAATGGCAGCCATGGGCAGCTCCTAGTGCCTCTGAATATCTCTTGGCACTGTCTCTTTCCTATTATTTCTTCTCCTTCACCAAAGTGACTTTCTATATACACATAATATTCAAATGCGTCACTTTTCTCCAGAGTTGGGAGGAGAAAGACGGTAAAGACAAGCTCAGCATGATCACACTGTTTACCCGGGTAAACCCAAGCACCACTGGATTCTGCCCAATCACTTACACACATTCCATAAAACGGAGGCCTTTTAGGATTATCTACATCCCCGTGCAATGATGATGCACTGGTTTGTCTTTATCAGTAGGATTTTTGAAGTCCTAGAGTTTGCTTTGGCGATTTAGCTAAAAATAATACCTGTATAAATGTCTTCCTTGGTTAGAGAACCTTGCACCTTGAATAAGCACAATGGACCTTTGAAGAAGAAGGAAAGGGAGAGGCACTAGAAGAGAGCAGAGATAGAGCTCAGGTGGGCAGTCACTCTCTGCAGAGTTCCAGGTGGATGGCACAGATGGGGGCTGGGATCTAGAGTCCTTCCCCAGGCCACAGCATTTTTTGAAATGGCTTTCCCCCGGAGAAAGACCTTTTTATAAGTAGTATAAGAATATTCTGTGTACTAACAGGATTCAAGGGATGGAAGAACAAAGCAGAAGTAAAGTACTGCAGGAGAAAGACTGGAGAAATTGAATGCAGGCAACCTGGGTTTGAGTTCAACTTCTAACATTTAATCATTGCATGGACGTGGTCAGGTGATTTATGTTTTCTTTTTTCTTTCTCCACAGCCTGTGAGATGAATGGATAAATAAAATAATGAGAAAAGAGTAAATTGAAGGTATTCTGAAAATATTTCTTGAGAAAGCAAAAGAGAGAGAAAGGATAGAAGGAAGGAAGAAAAGAGGGGGACAGGAGAGAATGTAGGAGGACAAAAAGAAGGGATGAGAATGTAAATTTTACTAACTGTACTAGTATTTTGGCAAGCAAGAATTGTCACCTTTATTTTAAACATAAAATTGAATGTTTAATTCTGTTTGTCTTTGAAGCTGGCTTGAGGTTCAATATCAGTTTCCTGTGTGGGTCTTGAACTTCATTTTATCCTCGAAGAGTATTAGGCTTAACACATTCTAGACAGAAGGAGGAACCTGTTTTCTGGTTTCTGGTTTCTGAAGGTAACAGCAGGCACTGGGTCTGGTGAAGACTCACAAGTGCATTCAAAGCTGGGCTCCACTGGACTCTTTCTTGCTGAGTCATGCCAGCCATAGAAGAACTTCATAAAACCTCTCCAGGATGAGGGCATTAGGAGAGAGTCCTCAGGACACCTCCGTCCAAAGGGTGACTTTGAGGAGGGCTCAGTTCTTTGCTTCTCTGAAGAACCTGGATCCCTTTGCTCCCCTATCCATCTGGTGCACTGCAGCTTATTTTATCCCTTCTTCGTTGCTAACAAATGTGGCTAGATTATTAGTTGGGCCTAGACTTTCCGACAAGGAGTTTTTCTCTTTTTAGGAATTCTTCCTAGCAACTCTAGAATTTCTCTTTCTTTTTTTTTCTTTTTAAAATTTGAAATACAATAAAACACTTCCAATCTCCCATCCACTTGCTCCTCTCCAGCAGAAGGGAAGGGAGAGCCCCAGTCCTGAAGCACAAGGCCTAACTCTGATGATGGCAGGGACTGGGGAGGGGAGGCAGAATATTCATGCACTCAGCCAACAAATGTGTATACATCAGGTGCCTTTCAAGCCCTAAAGTTACATCACTGGAAAAATAGGCAAAAATGATCTGTTCATAGAAAGCACATTTTAGTGAGTGAGACAGTATTTAACTGAATAAATAAGAGTCTCAAGGAGGCTAGGCGGTGGGGAGGTGGTCAATCTCCCAGAGAAAATGTAGGTTTTGTCATTGACTTTGTTTAGAATTGGAATTGCATGGTGAAAATGAAAAGTTGAAGATTTTAGCAAGTTTATTGTGTCTTTAATTTTTCTATAGTTGCATCCTTCATTGCCTGTACCCAGGAAGGCTCACCCCGCCTCCCTAATGTGGTATGCTGCTGACAGGTAGCAAATGGTGATAAGTACTATGGAAGATAAACAGAGCAGGGGGAGGTGGCACAGGGCAAGAAGCTGGGAATACAGAGATTATGGGGATTTTATCCAGGGCGGTCAGATGTGAGCAAGTAACTGAAGGGTTGCAGGAGGAGAAGAGAGTCCTCTGGCATCCCTCAGCCCCTTTCTGATTTTTGTAGCAGATACTTGTCTGCAAGGATGGTATTCCACCTTGGCTAATGGCATCTCACCTGCAGCACTAGCTGTGAGTCAGACTTTCTGTGCCAGGGCCTTCTCCATCACAGCAGAAGCCTTCATCCACTCAGAGACAGAAGCCTCCAGTGAATGACTTAGGCGGACAGTTCTTGGACCCCTTCTGAACACCTCTAGGCAAGGCCTAGCGGCAACCCTGGCAAAATACCATTGTTTAGGATTTTCCTCTGTTTAAACTTCCACTCCCTCATTTGTTTGTTTTTCAGGAAGCCGCAGATAGGAAAGTAAGTCTTGTGGCTATCTGGCAGGGGAGTATTCAAGACAGCGGGAGGAGGAGGCCATAGAAAGCCGCCTCTTATATGCTAGGTACAGAAGGAGGCCAGTGTTCCGGAAAGGTATATGAACAAGGGAAGGAGTAACGGGAAGTGCTCAGAGGTAATAAGGTCCACGTTGTATAAGACAGCTGCTGCATTACTTTCAGAGAATCCCCGGGGCTGCAAAAACAAGCTCAGTGTAATTAGTAACGGAAAATACTGTAAAACATTCACTTGCTAGTAAATCGTGTCCCAGGAAAAGAAGGCATGGCATCAGTATATCTGGGTTCAGAGAGGAAATCCAACTCTACCTATATTCATACCTGAGTATTATCTAAGCCCATCAGAAAAAACATTGCCACCTTCCACCGTTTCCTTTTTCAGTCATTTCGAAAGAGTGTACTCCTGTGCCTTCCTGTCTTGTCATTTCTTCTTTCCAAATTATGTTTATGCTTTTGTCTATTTCTCCTGCAAAAAAGTCTTCCCATTTCTCTTATTTGTAGCATGCAAATCCAGTGATACGTACAACTTCCCCCCACTCATTTATTACAGCATGTGACTCTCGCCAAGACACACAGAGAGAAAGAAACGAAGACAGACTGAGCAAGCCTTCCTTTATCTCGTGCATAAAATGGTAAATATACATCACAAGATAGAATACTGATGAATTTGTTTTATGGGAACCTTCAGATAGATACATTTATGTTCAAAGAAACAACTGTAAAGCTAAATTATTCTAACAAGGGTTTCTACTTTAGAGTCTCTAAAGCATTTTAAAGAATAAACTCACTAAAATTTGATATGCTTATAAAAATACACTATATAAAGTTATTTAGTAATGATTCATTGCTTCAGAACCCTTTCCAAAGATATGATATAGCACCTGTTACATATTTATGTTCAAATATAAAGTCTAATATTCTTAGTTTTTGAGTGTCTGTCTAGCAAATAATGAGGACCATTTGGGTATAGATTTAAAACTCTGGAAAAGAAAGAAGCAATTGGACAGGACAGTTCATAATAAAGGAGATGTTCAATGCATTTTGAATAAATGAACAAAAGCGTGCTTACCAGCAACTCTCGCTATACAGCGTCAGCTAAACCCTCACGTTTGTTTAGCTCTCCTAGTAGGCATATCTTTATTATCTTAATATTGCTTTCTTCACAAAAGCTACCCTGAAATACTTCCCCACTTTTTAAAGCAGTATACTCAAACCTATTTCATTTCTTTGCTTCTGCAGACTGTCTTCTGCTCTGCTGTAGGTCAAAGCCATCTGCATTTAAACTCTCCCTGGATTCATGAATAGTATTAGTAAAGCTAAAATGTTTCAAACCTTGCTCTGAAATTGCAAGATGCTGTCACTTTCTCGTTTCTTTGTAGCACCTAATACATAAGCTCTTGTATTGTGATAGCATGTGAGCATATCTTATATTTTCATTAGATTTATTAAATAAGTAAATACGCATTTAATGTTGAAAATTAGGAAGTTGTTGTATATATATGATAGCATATATGTATAACATATACGTTATATATATGATAGTTGTTTTATATATATATATATAAAAGACAGCAGATGCCTGCAGATACAGCAGATCTGCTGTCATATATATGTGATATCATGCATATATAAAACAACTTCCTAATTTTCAATATTAAATACATATTTACTTATTTAATAAATATCTATAATCATATATGTATATATGTAGATATATATCATATCTATCTATCTATCTATCTATCTATCTATCTATCTATCTATCTATCATGTATCTATGTCGTGAGATGAGGTTTCACTGTTTCCTCCAGGCTGGTCTCAAATTCCTGGGCTCAAGCAATCCTCCTACCTCAGCCTCCTAAAGTGCTGGGATTATAGGCATGAGCCAACGTGCCTGGCTGCTTTGGGAAGTTTTATTGGAGTTAAACACACAGAAGGGAGAAAAATAAGATTATCTACTATACAGAGTTTATATTCCAAATGCGACCAGAGGGAAAATGCAGAAGTAAATGAATAAATACATAAGATTATCTAAGATAATGGTAGGTGCTAAGAGGATCATAAACCAAATGATCTGAGGGACTGCATTTGAAGTTACGGTGTGAATGGGGCTTGGCTAATTTTGACAGGTTGGTAAGAGAAAAAGAGAAATTTTTGTTATTATACTTTAAGTTCTGGGAAAAGTATGTGAGATGCAAGTGTTGAAGATTCTTAAAACTTTGAGCTCAAAGATTCTATCTCATTTTTGGTCTTTACTATGAATATTTATGTATTTTTTATTTTTATTTTTGTCATTGGTTAAATTAGACACCATCTAGTCATCTATGGTTCTTTCCAAAGCAAGTACTAAATGTGCATATTATGCAATGAGTGAATGAACGAACTCCTAGTAAGTACAAAAGCATAATATAATCAAAAGCAAAAAGAGTTTTATAGACAAAATTTTAGACAATGAAATGTAAAATTTTATTCTGCTTTCAGTGATGAATTCTTCCTCCTGATATACAAAACTATGGGAGACATTTTTCATCTCTCTTCTGTTTTATATACTTCAATGTATGTTAGCTAAAAAGTAGTACTTTTACATATTTCAATAGTATCTCATTATTTGTTTTCCTTAACTTTAGTACTAGTAAGTTTTGATAACATTACATTTTGTGACATATATTAAATCTAGAGAACCTAGTGTAAACTAGCCATTTATCAACTCACTGTTCCTTAGTTAAATTGGACTTTGATCTATTATATTCTCATTTGCTTCTTTAATTCCTGACATTAAAATTTTATTAATATGCCACTTGCTCATACATGGCATCTATCTTGTTAAAATGGAAAGACCAGGGGTTTTTTCCTTTAAGAGTGTGATGTCCATCTTAATAAAATAGAAGATATTTAGATATTCATCACTAACTAGATGACACAGAAAATTCTCTCAATAAATGTTGGCATACAAAATAACAACATGAGGGAAATGATGCCTTACAATTTCTGTATTTTAAATTAAAGGAAGTCATTGAACACAGTTATAACACTAGCATGGAATAGCTATTCCATCAATATTTTGTTTCTTCTATCTGAATACAATAGAATAGTCATGTAACAGAAAATCTATGTTCTTATATACTCAATATTTTATTTTGGAGAGTTTAACTTCTCAACTGAATTTCATCTGTATATATAATTGAGATAAAATGTGTCTAATTCTACTTGAGATTTGCAATATCTAATATATTATTCAATGTTAAATAATTTAAAATTTATAGTGTTATAAAATCAACATTTTGAAAAAAGAAAGGATAAAGGAAACATTTTATTTATGAGTATGAAGTAATTTGATAAGGACTATGTGTTTTCTTTTTCTGTTTAAATATTTTTAATTCATTGATTCATTTGTTGATATGTACAATGGACCAAGGCTTACATATATGCCCTATTCATAATTAAATGTGTGGATATCATACTACTAATATAAATACTACATGCTTTTGTTGATAGAGCAAAATTTCAACTGGCTGCTTCTTACAATGGTCAATTATTTATGACACATTTTGAAAATGCTCTCATAATGGAATTTAAATAGACTATCATAATTTGTTGTAATATTAAAGGAACTGAATTTAATATTTATTTTTGCAGTGTTAGTTTCTTGGAACATAATTCTGAATAAGACATGATTTAAAGATGACTTTACAAGATATGCTTTCCTTGTGTAATTTCTTCATGCTAGGTACTGCTCTGCTTATATATACAGTAAAAATTTAAAACAATAAGATGGAAAAGTAAACCACTGAGATGATTCAAGTAGAAAATTACTTTGTAGTTTATTTCAAAATGTTTCACATAAACTGGAGTTTTATTTTAAGTTTACTTAGGATTTAAATGAATTGCATAGGCTTTTCACACCACTTTTTATAAATGAATGGTCATTACTAGTAAGACTAGCTTATTCAGAATGAATTACTTAGTTTTCATATTTTCATGACTCATACAATTCAAAGGCAACTGTAACACTTCCCTGTTTTGCCAATCTGTGGAAGAAACTGTTTTCCATATTTGGTAATATAATTAATGGACTTTTAAAATGGTGCCATGCAAAAGCACACTGTTCGCTGGGAACCCAGGGTAAGTGGTGCTGAAAATGGCTGGTATAAACCTGCAGTGACAAACTGAAATTTGATCACGCAAGTGCTCTGACATACATCATGTTTGCCATGCAGAATGTAGAGGTAAAGTAAATAACTGTCATTTTAAAGAACGAATGGACTAAAAATCTGCTTTCAATAGGAAGTCACTTTACCATAAATGTCATGGCAATTGTAGATCCACAATTGAAAGTATGTCTCCAAAATCTCAAATTATTTTATTATGTACTGTATAAAATTTTGTCAAATATATAATGTTGACTATACACAATAACATATATACATTAAATATACTTAATATATCGATGTAGGTATATATATTATGTAGTATATTTATTACTGCTATATAATTATATATTACTACTATATATCATATACTAATATATTTTATATATGTATATATTAAATATACTTAATATGTAGATGTGTGTATATTTTATAGTATACGTATTAGTACTATATAATATAGATTATATCCATTACTGCCATATATAATATACCAATACATATTTTATATATATGTATCTATACTTACACATTATTTTTGTAACCAATAATGGATAACAAGAGTGATGGCAGTGAAAATGGTGTAGTAGGTAGCTCCAAAAACCCATCCCTCTTTAAGAACTTTAAAAATGAAGCAAAAACTGTCAGAATTCAGTGGTCAGAACTCTGGAAAACAGTCTAAAGTTTTCAACAACCATGGAAACCACTGAATCCAAATAAAGACAACTCAAAAATTGATTGAAAATCATGACATTTTCCATGCCTTTGCCTCACCACATCACATCCAGTTCCATATTAATTTTGAAGACAGGATCCCACATTTGCAGTGTCGGACCTTAATCCCCGAGTCAGCAGGGAGCAAAGCAGATCTTCCTCTGAAAAAATTGTGCTTCCACTGTCTGATCATTCTGAGTGTTGCCTGAATGGCTGGCACAAGCAGCCTGTCTTTGTTTTGCCTCATTTGGAACTCAGGGCATAAAAACAGTATTCTTTAAACATATTTTAAGGTAAAGGAACAACCCACTGCTACCTGAGGTCAAACGTTTTAGCTGAGGTAATGATAAAGCACTAAAGGCCTGAGAGGAAAAGCAAGTAGAAGATATGAGAAATGAGGATATTCAAAAGCAGCCCAAATACACTGGGAAATTTAGAAAGCCACACACATGCCCAGGGAACAATGTAGGCTCAAAAAGATCTGAGAGAACCTAAAGCTTTCACCTCTATCTGATCTCTAGGCTTAGCATAGATAGAAAACGAAGGCTGAGTTAGAGTTTTAAGGGGCCTCGATAAGTGTTGAAGGAATGACCCAGAAAAAAAGCCAAGAGGCAATGAATAGAAGTTTCTTTTTGTTTTTATTTCTCATTTCTCTCTCTTTTTTTCTCCTTTCCCTTGTTTCCTTCTTTAGCTCCCCACTTTTTTTTTTTAAAAAAAGAAACCTCTTTCTAAATATCAACTGAACAAAATCTCAAGAAATAGAGACTACAGAGACCACATAATACCAAAAATATAGACTTAACAGAAATAAATTTTAAAAGTCACTAAATAGTGACAACCCACAGCAAACAGCAAAAATGAATCCTGAAGAAAATGGCCACAATATAAAATTCATAATGTTCAATTTTCAACAAAATATTATGGAGCAAGGCAGGAAACATTGCACGGTGTCCTACTCACAGAAGAAATTAACAAACCCTGCCCTGAAGAAGCACAGATTTTGGACTTACTAAATCAACTCTGAAATCTTCTTATAAAGCTCAAAAAGGAATTGTGGACAAATAGCTAAATGAACTAGGAGAATGAGGTATGAACAAATAGTGCACATGAATAAAGATACAGAAAAATGAACCAGATATTTTGGAACTAAATAGTACAATAATGGAAATGAAGAATGTACCCCAGGATTTCAATACCAGATTTGAGCATGCAGAGGAAAGAATAAGTGAATTAGAAGAAGAAAGTTCAGTTGGAATTACTGAGACTGAGGAGCAAAAAGGAAGATTCAAGAAAAAAAAGCAAAGTTTAAGAGACCTGTGAACATTAAGTGTACTAAATACATATAATAGGAGTCCTAGAAGAGTGAAAAAAGCAAAGGGCAGACCAATATTAGAATATAAATAGTTGAAAATTTCAACAATGTGAAAACAAGCATGAATCTGTAATCCAAAAATATCAACAAACTCTGAAAAGGAAAAACACAAAAAGACTTACTCTGAGACATATTATAATTAAATTTTTGAAAGACAAAAATGGAAAGATGCTTTAAAGCGCCAATAGAGAAGAGACAAATAATGTAAAAGCAATCCTGCATTAGATTAGTAGCCAGCTTGTCATCCGAAAGCAGGAGGCTAGAAAACAGTGGAATGACATTTTTAAAGTGATAAAAGGAAAAATAATGTTAACAGAAAATTTTATATCCAACTAACTTATTCTTCAAATAGGAAAGAGAAGTGAAGACATTTTTAGACATACAAAGCTGAGGGAGATTATTGCCAGTAGATCTTCCTTGAAAGAAATGTTAAAGGCAGTTTTTCAGGATGAAATGAAGGGCTACTAGACAGTTTCCCAAAGCATTATAAAGAAAAAAAGAAGTCTGGTGTGGAAAAATACATATGCAAATATAAAAACCAGCATTAATATATATTTAGTTTATGCTCCACTTTAATTTGCTACATTATTTTTAAAAATGCTTAAAATAATTATAAATCTATATTAAAAATCACAAAATGTTTGAAGATATATTAGTGACCATAAGAATGTGGGGGTGGGAGGCAGTATTGAACAAAAATTGGAGACTAAATTTTGTATGCTATTGAAGTTCAGTTGGTATCAATTCAAATTAGATAATTATAAATTTAAGATGTTAATTTTAATCATGGTAATAATTGAAAATATTAAAAACATACACAAAAACAATTGAAAGAGGAATTACAACGGTAAATTATAAAAGTCAATTTAATGTAATACATAACAGTAATGGAGGATATGAGGAGTGAGAAAAGGTATGAGATATACAGAAAACAAAGAGAAGAATAGTAGAATTAGGTCCTATCTTAATTGTAATTACTTTAAATGTAAGTGGATTAAACTGCAATCAAAAGGCAGAGATTGGCAGAATGAACTTAAAATTCATGATCCATCTATATGCTGTGAACGAGAAATTCACTTTAGATCCAAAGACAAAAATAGGTGGAAAATGAAAGAAGATATTCTGTGCAAATAGGCATCAAATGAGGGCCTGAATGGCTATCCTAATATCCAACCAAATAATCTTTCAGTCCAAAATTCTTATGAGAGTCAAAGATAGTCACTAGGTAATTATTAAGGGGACAATTTATGTCAGCCGTTCGAGACCAGCCTAGCCAATATAGTGAAACACCGTTTCTACTAAAAATACACAAATTAGCCAGGTGTGGTGGTGGGCACCTGTAGTCCCAACTACGCCGGAGACTGAGGCAGGAGAATCGTTTGAACCTGGAAGGTAGAGGTTGCAGTGAGCTGAGATTTTGCCACTGCACTCCAGCTTGGGCAACAGAGTGAGACTCTGTCTCAAAAAAAAAAAAAAAAGTGACATTAAATTCATTATGGGGTACAATGACACACTACAGAGCCATCAAAATTATGACTTAATCATTTAAATATAAAAATATCTACAATACTATGTAAAAAGAAATTACATTGAAAATGTCATGTGTTGTCCAACCCCTTTCATTAAAAAATACAGATTTATATTTAAATAATAGTTTCTTCAATATATATTTCCAGAAACTTTTATTTTAGGTTGTGAATCTGCTTCTGGCAACTTTTTCACGCTACTCCATGCCTTTCTCTACCTTGTCTGTTTGCGTAACAATGTACAACAAACTATTATTTTGAACATAATTGTCTTTCTTAAAGGATTTTTTTAAAATAAAGTGTCTGAGTGAAAGAATTATTCGATTTAGATGAGTGACAGATGCATAATTTCTTATTATTCAAATACATATTCACAACTGAAAGCATCAAATGTTACTGTCTATGAGCTTTATGTTTTCATTCTCTGGCCATTTTATTCCTACATTCTATATTTTTAGATTTAGTCTTTTAAAATAACAATTCTCCTTATTCTTCTGTGTGATGACAGATTTCTCAAAAAAATCCATAATCTTAGCTTCCTGAACTCCGGTGTAGTTCTCCAATTCTTGCATACAACTGGAGGAAAAGCAAGTAGAAGATATGAGAAATGAGGATATTCAAAAGTTTTTCTATAAACACTAGTGTTTCTAACTTAGCCAACATCTCTCTGGCCTAACACACTGAAGTGAGGATTTATTTATTGGCTACTCCTTTTCTCTGTGTAGTCTCCCATCCTGATGGTTATACCTTGAGTTTGCAACAATTCATTTTACCTCCATCAATTTTCTCTAATTATTATAAAATTTTTGTCCTGCTACTCTGACTTTACATAGCCAGGGTTTTCCTTCTCTTTTCAAAGCAAATGCTTCTTTAAAATTACCCTCTATAGTATTTTATATGCAATGATTTCAAACCAGTGAGCAGCTCAATTTCCAAGGCTTATAGCATTTTCAAGCTTAATTTAACCAACACAGACAGATTAACAAGAAGTCCTGGTATTGTGTGTCTGTGTACCACCTTTGCTTTTATCTGCATCCTTCTCAAATCTAGATTGTTAACCTAATTTTCTGAAGGATCCACAATAAATTGAAGGCAGGAAGTTTATATGAGGTATTACCAAATACCTACTACTATGTGTCATTTCTTACAATTATACACAGAGTATGAAAAAAATTGCATTTTTTCACGCAACTACAACAATGGCAGAAACAATTGATGCCTAAAATGTCCTGTATACAGGAGGACAGAATGGGATCAAAAAATTGAGTCACATTTGCCTGTTTCTACAAATATTCACCTTGCATCCCTCAAGTTTCAACACATACAGTAACAGCAGCAGCAGTGACAGTCATCAGCACTTTTCACTTTGATTTGAATATCAACTTGCAAATTCACTGATACCAGACTAACTATCACTGAAGAGCCTTGTCATTAGATTATTTTAACTTTTATCTAAGGAAGACATTCTGAAAATAGTTTCAATAAAATAAAATATGTGACATTCATATTAAAAATTATCTGAGTTGGCTGCCGTGTGTTCCTATAACAGAACACCAGAGACAGGGTAATTTTTAAAGAATATACATTTATTTCTTTTTTTTCCTATAGTTTTAGAGGCTGGGAAGTCCAAGGTGGGGGTTCCCACATCATGTGAAGGGCTCCTTGCTTCATCATTCCACAGTGGAAGGCGGAAGGGCAGGAGATCATGTTTGCAAAGGGAAGAGGGAATCCAGCTAGCTTTTATAACAAGCCCACTGCTGATAACTAACTCATTCACGGTAAGGACATTAATCCATCACTGGGGCTTTGCCTGATGACCTAATCATCTCTGTAGGCCTCACCTCTCAACACTGTCACATAGGGGATTAAGTTTGAGAGACATTTTCAAACCATAGCAATGACTGAAGAGCAAACTCTTCCTGGATATTATCCCATCGAGTCCACCTTTTTGTTATAATTGCCATTGTAAGACATACAACTGTAAGTAAATCTTGCAAGGTAAAACAAGTATCTTGCTATTACTTAGTTGTCATAAGTATATCAGTAAGTCGATACTAAAGACACCACTTAGGAGTATAATTTAGAAGATATTGAATGGATTTGGCTACAGATGTAATCCATGGTTTTAGGTCTAACATTTAAGTCTTTAATCCATCTTGAATTAATTTTTGTATAAGGTGTAAGGAAGGGATCCAATTTCAGCTTTCTGCATATGGCTAGCCAGTTTTCCCAGCACCATTTATTAAATAGGGAATCCTTTCCCCATTTCTTCTTTTTGTCAGGTTTGTCAAAGATCAGATGCGGCATTATTTCTGAGGGATCTGTTCTGTTCCATTGGTCTATATCTCTGTTTTGGTACCAGTACCATGCTGTTTTGGTTACTGTAGCCTTGTAGTATAGTTTGAAGTCAGGTAGCATGATGCTGCCAGCTTTGTTCTTTTGGCTTAGGATTGACTTGGCAATGCGGGCTCTTTTTTGGTTCCATATGAGCTTTAAAGTAGTTTTTTCCAATTCTGTGAAGAAAGTCATTGGTAGCTTGATGGCGGTGGCATTGAATCTATAAATTACGTTGGGCAGTATGGCCATTTTCATGATATTGATTCTTCCTACCCATGAGCATGGAATGTTCTTCCATTTGTTTGTATCCTCTTTTATTTCCTTGAGCAGTGGTTTGTAGTTCTCCTTGAAGAGGTCCTTCACGTCCCTCGTAAGTTGGATTCCTAGGTATTTTATTCTCTTTGAAGCAATTGTGAATGGGAGTTCACTCATGATTTGGCTCTCCGTTTGTCTGTTATTGGTGTATAAGAATGCTTGTGATTTTTGCACATTGATTTTGTATCCTGAGACTTTGTTGAAGTTGCCTATCAGCTTAAGGAGATTTTGGGCTGAGACGATGGGGTTTTCTAGATATACAATCATGTCATCTGCAAACAGGGACAATTTGACTTCCTCTTTTCCTAATTGAATACCCTTTATTTCCTTCTCCTGCCTGATTGCCCTGGCCAGAACTTCCAACACTATGTTGAATAGGAGTGGTGAGAGAGGGCCTCCCTGTCTTGTGCCAGTTTTCAAAGGGAATGCTTCCAATTTTTGCCCCTTCAGTATGATATTGGCTGTGGGTTTGTCATAGACAGCTCTTAATATTTTGAGATATGTCCCATCAATAGCTAATTTATTGAGAGTTTTTAGCACGAAGGGCTGTTGAATTTTGTCAAAGGCCTTTTTTGCATCTATTGAGATAATCATATGGTTTTTGTCTTTGGTTCTGTTTATATGCTGGATTACATTTATTGATTTTCATATGTTGAACCAGCCTTGCATCCCAGGGATGAAGCCCACTTGATCATGGTGGATAAGCTTTTTGATGTGCTGCTGGATTCGGTTTGCCAGTGTTTTAATGAGGATTTTTGCATCGATGTTCATTGGGGATATTGGTCTAAAGTTCTCTTTCTTTGTAGTGTCTCTGCCAGGCTTTGGTATCAGGATGATGCTGGCCTCATAAAATGAGTTAGGGAGGATTCCCTCTTTTTCTATTGATTGGAATAGTTTCAGAAGGAATGGTACCAGCTACTCCTTGTACCTCTGGTAGAATTCGGCTGTGAATCCGTCTGGTCCTGGACTTTTTTTTGGTTGGTATGCTATTAATTATTGCCTCAATTTCAGAGCCTGTTATTATTCTATTCAGAGATTCAACTTCTTCCTGGTTTAGTCTTGGGAGGGTGTATATGTCAAGGAATTTATCCATTTCTTCTAGATTTTCTAGTTTATTTGCATAGAGGTGTTTATAGTATTCTCTGATGGTAGTTTGTATTTCTGTGGGATCGGTGGTGATATCCCCTTTATCATTTTTTTATTGCGTCTATTTGATTCTTCTGTCTTTTCTTCTTTATTAGTCTTGCTAGCGGTCTATCAATTTTGTTGATCTCTTCAAAAAACCAGCTCCTGGATTCATTGATTTTTTGAAGGGTTTTTTGTGTCTCTATTTCCTTCAGTTCTGCTCTGATCTTAGTTATTTCTTGCCTTCTGCTAGCTTTTGAATGTGTTTGCTCTTGCTTCTCTAGTTCTTTTAATTGTGATGTTAGGGTGTCAATTTTAGATCTTTCCTGCTTTCTCTTGTGGGCTTTCAGTGCTATAAATTTCCCTCTACACACTCCTTTGAATGTGTCCCAGAGATTCTGGTATGTTGTGTCTTTGTTCTCGTTGGTTTCAAAGAACATCTTTATTTCTGCCTTCATTTCATTATGTACCCAGTAGTCATTCAGGAGCAGGTTGTTCAGTTTCCATGTAATTGAGTGGTTTTGAGTGAGTTTCTTAATCCTGAATTCTAGTTTGATGGCACTATGGTCTGAGAGACAGTTTGTTATAATTTCTGTTGTTTTACATTTGCTGAGGAGTGCTTTACTTCCAAGTATGTGGTCAATTTTGGAATAGGTGTGGTGTGGTGCTGAAAAGAATGTATATTCTGTTGATTTGGGGTAGAGAGTTCTACAAATTTCTTTGTTCACCTCAGAGCAAATTTTGCATTCAGATAGATATTACAAAACAAAATCAATGATTTTCAGTAGAGATTATAGCAAATTTTTCTCTGTAAATTGTAAAGACAGATTACAAATTCACTTCTGTAAGAACATGCTTTATAGTTATGCTATTAAAGTAGAAAAAAGTTTTAGAACATTTTAGGGTATATTAACTTTTGAGGTTAAGCTAGCTCCAGTTCAAAAAGTTTTAAGCAATTTGAATCAGATAAATTTACTTTGTACAATAACCTCAAAAATCAAGTGGAAATTGAAGGTAATACCATTAAACCCATTTCAAAGTGGTTCAAACAAATCCGATTTTAGTAAGAAAAAATATATAAAGTAAAATTATTTTTCTTTTGTTGGCAGTGTCTTTATGACTGTAGTATTGAGGTCATTTAAACTAACAGTGGCTAAAAAAGAAAGATAAGAGTGTTCAGCTTTTTAAAATAATGGAAAAAACTGTAGCTTTACATTGGATTTTATATTGAAATACTTTAGTCAAAGTTCGCTTTGAAGGTAATGGAGGATAAACTAATCTCCCATTGAGAACTGACCATGTGAAATCATAACATATGAACTTAGTAATTTTAAATCTACTGAAGCATAACCGCAGAGTGTAATTTAAAATCTAAACCTTGGCAGAGATCAGGAAAGAGGGAGAGAAAGCAAGATTAGAATGAATGATAGCGAACTCTGTAGAGAGGAAAAGAGGTGAGAATATCACCCTACCTAACATTGAATTGATACCATTTTATAGCAAGTTCCAGCCCCATGATTTTAGTAAATACCTGTAAAAGCTATTGAGGAGCAAGCTGTTAGCCTCACCTTAACATAGCAGAACGTGTTCTTTTTGCTTTTTATTGGACATCTTTATTGCTAAAACAAGAGCACTTTCAATGGTAGTACTCGTTTCCATTTTTGAACTTGTCACCATGCCTATAAGTGTCTTGTAAAAGATAATTCTCGATAATTTGAATTGGTTTAAATTTCTCACTCAGAGTATATTAATGTTTATGTGGGGTAATGGGACATATTCATTTTTCATATAGGCTACTTAAATCCTAAAAGACATTAAGATTTTAGAAAAATTGTATGCTTCTATTAATAATATTGTGGAGAATATTGGAAAACTTACCACAAATATATCACTAACAAATATTAAAGAAATACATTTATATACCCTTCCCTACCAATATTCGAAATATAGAAAAAACAATTTCACTATAATATTTTGTTAAATTAGTTTTAACAATAATAACGACAAGAAAAATATTTATTAGTGATATTTAAGGGCTGAATAAAGGTCTTAACATATAATATCTCATTTAACTCATTCTTTCACATGATGAGAAGGTCATTGCTATCATTTTAGCACTAGCTTTGAGAGTGAGCTTAGGTAGTCCAGTTTTGAAAATTGAAGCAAATGGGCAACTGGACCTATTTTTAGACTATTTTAATCTCCTTTTCTACCAAGCAAACAAATTGGACTCTGAAGTATAAATCCAACATTTAAAAATATGTGTTAAGGAGACAGGGCTTCCTGATGTCTCTTTGCTATTCCCAGAGGCCTAATGGACAAGGTGGTGTGTGTGGAGTGAGGACCTACAGGATAGTGAAAATCAGATCTTCTCAACATCTGGAGAGGCCCCATTCACTCTCAGAAGTCCAAACCTCTTATCATTTAAAGACATTCTGGCTGGGTCACAGTTGCATTCTTTTCTAAACTAATTGCCATATTGTTAAACTTATTCTTTTTGCTTGCATACTGTTATAAGGTGCATTTTTTGGGGTAAATACAGAGATAACTTATTAGTATACTTTGACATAGGTAAGCCTCAAAAAGCTCAGTTTATTATAATTTGATGGCCCTCATGCTTGCAGACATAACTCAAACAAGATCATTAGCAACCCAAATAATATTGTGAGATATGTTTGAGTAACATTTGACAGATATGCAAACATACAAACATGCACAGATATAGGTATCTAGAATTTTTAACTTTTTAGAGGTTTACAGGTGATTGCACAGGTACTGTAGTGGAAAGCTGAAAATTATTGATTGAGTTTCTTTTGTATATAAAACACTACCGGAGATAGCGAGTTGTTTCTTTTAGAAAACATTCTTGTTTGTCTACAGAAGATAAAATCATCAGTAAATATGAGACCAATCACAAAATAAAAGAGCTGACATATTAGAGTTGATAGTCTTCTTCACTGATCCTCAAAGGCAAGTTTATGTCTGTCTGAGTCACATTCCAGACACATGGGCCAATGCATATAATTGTCTACTTGGCAAGCTCCAGATGAAATATGGAAGAGTTAGAAGATTAGCATTAGAATTCTCCTTCTAATACTGACTTCTTTCAAAGTGATGTTCGAAATTCATCTCATGCAGCATACTTCCCTGACACTTCTGGCAGAGAGAACTGTCTCTCCTTTTTCAAATGTTACTGTTGATAAATGTATTTTCTTTTCAAATTTACATAAAATCTTCATAAAAGAAAGACATAAAAGCAGGGAGAGAATCAATATAGATAAAGGAAAAAATACCATAGAATTATTCCCTATGTGGAGACTTTATACTTGGTATCTGTCCTGGTAATATAGTTGTCTATAGCCATTCATAGACACATATAAATATGTGTAAACTTACTTTACTTTTTCTTTTTACACTGTAAGCATTGGAAGGGCAGAAATAGGTAAGAGAAGGTGTTCACATAACCGCATGTTGGCCCAGCAGATGTCTGTTTCTATCAAGTAGAAGGGAGACTAGAATGTCAATTTGATCAATCCCAATAAACATATAAAGCACGTGTACTTGGGGCTACAATCATCCATGGTAAAGAGAAACTCAGGGGGCTCCTGAGGATTAGCAGCTCTCATCTCTCACCCACCTATGGCTTATCTCTGAAATGGGGCAAGGTTTGGAGAAGTGATGAACACAGCTACAACTAATTTAGAACAGAGCTTTAAGACAAAAGCATTTGATGCAAGACATTTGGCTCAATGGAGTTTAGAATCTACTTGGTAGTCATGATTTCTGATCAAGAAAACCACAGAAGAGGGACATCTTGTCAGAACACAACATCCTATGTGTAAGTTTGCTGTTATAAGTGAGAGGTCAGAAAAAACACCAATGATAAAATGACATTTGAACAGAAGCCCTGAAAGAGGGGAGAAAGAAAGCCATTGGAATTACTAATGTGTATGGGAGAAGGCATTTAGGTAGAGAGAATAAAATTACTAAAATAATTGTCACTAGTTGCAATGCCCTGTGACTTCCAACTTTCTTCAATAAAAGAAACACATAACTTAAAATAATACATATCAAAATCTAACAAATGGAAGACTTGACAGAAAAAATATCCTTTATTTAATAATATAAGCGAGTATCAGAAATGATAGTATTTGTAAGTGGAATGTTGGCGAGGACGCAATCAATGTCCCTGTATATGTTTAAGGCAACAAATGTGGTACCACTTCAATGGAGAATAAGTAGATGCCTTTCTTGTTAAAAGCAACTAAATCACAATTGAAATGAGTAATCAATTTGAAAGAACCCTTTTACAGAGTCACCATTGATCATTTTCTTGCACTTTACCTCATGCATCTGCATTTGCTTGATGGAACTTAAACCAAGACACGCATAAGTTTACTGTCTAGGACATTAAGAAATACACCATTGAAGTAAAAATAAAGTATTTTAAGATTCAGATTGTAATGTAAAAACAAACATCAGAGCTTTAAATAGGCATGTTTCACAAAGTTTCAAGAAAAGACAGACCTACAAAACACTATCTGGAATTAATTTATAATAAAATCTTTGAATCCTGCTCCCTTTTTGCAGATCATATTTTGAAATTCTTGTTTAAAGCTATGTTTTATTCCTCTAAGGAAGTCTAATTTACTTTTAATATTTGTCCTCTAGAATCTATTTGTTTGAAAGAGACAAAAATTTATGTTCCCATTATCAGTATTTTATTTTCAAAGACTGTGTCTATTAAGTCGTCAGATTTTTATATACCTATGTAACTGTGCTCTTTAAAATGCCATCCGCTTGCTTTATGTTGAGTTCAATAAACTATTTATGCATGCCCTGGGGAAAAATTCTTATATAAACTCATCTCTTTAACAATGTGTAGGTGATTTCTGTAAGCCATTTGGATATATCATTGTTTAAATAATTTCTGGTGTTGAACTTCTTTTAGATCTATGATAGAAGAGCTCAACTTAAAAAATTTCATGATCTGTATAAAGGAACTGATTTAAAGGCAACAATGCCAAAAATTAAGTTGTTAGATTGGAAAATTAAATAATAATAA